>NC_000001.11:151309587-151934587 GCF_000001405.40 Homo sapiens | reverse complement strand
AATCTTCCTAATTACTCAAAGGAAATTTATAATAGTCAAAAATTTTACCTACTAACCAAAAATCCAGAAGATTCAGGACAAAAATAAATGGAAGAATAGATAATTATCTAAATACACTTGTGGAGGTCAGAATAATGGGCCCCCAAAAAGGTCCAAGTAAGTCTCTGGAGTCTGTGAATACGTTACCACACATGGCAAAAGGGATTTGCAGATGTGATTAAGTAAGGATCTTGAGATGGGAAGATTATCCTGGATTACATGGGCAGGCCCAATGTAATAACAAGGGTGTAGGGTGCAAGGAAGAAAGGTGCGGAAGAGTTACAGAAAATGGGACGACAGAAGCAGAGGTAGTTTTACAATTGCTGGCTGAGGGACCAAGCCAAAGAATGTGGGCTCCCTCTAGAGGCTGGAAAAAGGAAGAAAACAGATTCTTCCCTAGAGCCTCTAGGAGTACAGCTCTGCTGACACCTAGATTTCAGCCCCCTGAGACCCACTTCAAATTTCTGACCTCCAGAACTGTAAAATAATAAATTTGTGTTGCTTTAAGCCATTAAGTTTGTAATAATTGTTATAGCAACAAGAGGAAACTTATACACACTCTTTTGGCTCTTTCGGGTTAATGTGCAGTTTTGGTGACAACATACTGATCAAAATTGTCAACAAATTATGTGATCTCCCCCTTGTGTATAGTCAGTGGTATTATAAGGTAATTTCAAAAGAAATGGAAGAAAAAAGTTTTTTAAATAAATGGAAAACAGTTACTATTAATATAGTCTGATTGGAAAGGTTAAAACCACTTGGAAAGGTTAAAACTTTATGGAACATATAGCTGCAAACAGTTCCACACAAAAACAAAAACAAAAAAGGCTACAAGAAATCTGGTGCTATTCCCAATGCCTTTCTACACTAGCTGGTGAAATGTCACAGTTGTCAGTGGACTATTACCCATGTTTAAAGCCCATCTCTCCTCTTGCAGAGAACCCAGACTTAGAATCTCAAGCAAAACAATGGCTTGCATTTGAGAAAGAATGTCTAATAAGAAAACATTTATATTGTTGGTGCTGCCTCTCAATATCTATCAAAAAACTTTATGCAAGATTATCTGAAGTATATATAAGTCACAGTACATGTTTCTCTGAGGCCAGATTACCAGAAAGCTGAATAACTGTACTATATTGTTTTGCCCCCTCTGCTGGGTCGCCTCCATTCCCTTTGAATTTCTTTCACTGAAATTTGATGCCATCAGCTTAATTAAGAGACATTACATGGTTTAGCCCTGTGAGACTTTTGTTGTCTTTACAGTTAGGATTCTTTGAGGTTGTTATTTGTTGTATTACATAGAATCCCCTCCATGAAAACCCTTGCATAAATCCATGTGTTAAGGTGTCTGTACCAGAAACAGGTAAGCCGCTTCTAAGCAGAGGGTCATTCTTCTTTTTAACGCTCACAGAAATATAATACACATGGCACTACACAGCTGTCAAAAGCTATGGAACTATACAACAAAAAGAATGAGCCCTAATGTAAGTTAAGGACTTTGGTTAAAATATCACTGCTGGCTCATCAATTGTAATAAATGCACTACACTAACGCATGACATTGATAATAGAAGAAGCTGTTTGGGTTTGAAGAGGGTAGGGGTAAATAGTAATTCTCTGTACTTACTACTCAGTTTCTCTGTGAAACTAAAACTGCTCTAAAAAATAAAGTCTATTAATTTAAACATATATATGTATATATATATACACATATATATGTATATATATACACAAAAGCATATATACATATATATGTGTGTGTATATATATATATATATATATATATATATATATATATATATATGCACACACAAAAAGCAAAGTACACTGTAGCATAGTAGATTCTGGGAAGATGGCAGCAGCAGGGGCAACAGCATAGGTGTTCAATCTTTCCTAATCCTAACACAAAAACAAACGAGCAACTTGCTATTGTCTGAATGTTAGTGACTCCCCTGCCCCCAAAATCCACATATAGAAAACTAACTCCCAAGGTGATGATATTAACAGGTAGGGCCTTTGGGAAAGGATTCTATCATGAGGGTTCTGCCCTTGTGGGTAGGATTAGTGCCCTTGTAAAAGAAGCTCAAGAGAGCCTGTTCACCCCTTCTGCCATGTGAGGACACATGGAAGGCACTACCTATGAAGAACAGGCCCTCTCTAGTCACTGAGTCTGCCAGTGCCTTGACCTTGAACCTCTCAGCCTCCACAACTGTGAGAAATAAATTTCTGTTGTTGGTAAATTACTCTCTCTAAGGTATTTTGTCATAGCAGCCTGAACAGGCTAAGTCTCAACTAGATAGCAAAACCAAACCCTACAGACATTTACAAAAAAACAAATGACAAAGTATTCCCACGAGCCTCAAAATACAAACAAGTGGGGACAAACCAGCAGTCACAAAACTTGCATGGTTTCTGCATCAGTGTGTGAGGAAGAAGAATGAAGAAATGGAGACAGTGTCTGATGGACCTGAGAACTCTCCAACAGTAATAGGTATGGAAGACACAGCTGAAAAGGGAAAGATCTGATCTCTCCAATAGGAGGTAAGTACAAGAGGCCCACAGTAAGGACTTAAGAGGGCTGGAGCAGTCTGGCCCCTATGAACTCAAAATTCATTTGCCAAGGCTCCCTTCCAAGACAGGGACCCATGCTAGGGAGAAACTACAGGGAATGCAGTTTTTAAAAATGAGGAGTACAAGGACAAGAGAGATGATCCAAAGAGAAGGTCTTTATCCAAGTTAAAGAGAACAGCCTGGAATCTCAGAAAGCAAGCTTCCACGCCAGACGCGGTGGCTCACACATGTAATCCCACCACTTTGGGAGGCTGAGGGTGGGTGGATCACTTGAGGTTAGGCATTCAAGACTATCCTGACCAACATGGTGAAGCCCCTTCTCTACCAAAAATGCAAAAATTAGGTGGGCGTGATGGCACACACCTGTAATCCCAGCTACTCAGGAGGCTGCGGCAGGAGAATCTCTTGAACCCAGGAGGTGGAGGTTGCAGTGAGCCGAGATCATGCCACTGCACTCCAGCCTGGGTGACAGAGTGAGACTCCATCTCAAAAAAGAATAAAATAAATCAAATAAATAAATTATCTTGTGAAAGTTATGCCAAATAGTAGAATGGCTCTAGATTACTAACTGGCTAAACAGAAAAGTATCTGTGCAGTTGCTGGCACTTCTTGTTGCCCTTGGAGAAATACATAGAGTATTATAAAGACTCAGTTATAGGGGATTAATAAACAGGCTGCTTGGTTAAAGTGAGTAGACTATTAATCTAACTCATTATTTGATCTATTTGATTTTAGTTGGTTTGGTTCATGGGGACCCTGGCTAAGGAGCATACACCAAACTCTTGGCATTATCCTTTTGATAGTCATAATAGTAGTCTCCCCGGTCTGCCGTATTCCCTCAAAACTTTTAGATATTTGCATGCAGCCATCTCTAGAGTGTTAAATGGTCTCTCTTCCACTAGAATGAGAAGAGCTGAGAGAAATGTGTGACCATGAGGGCACTGTAACCTATGAATGACATGCTGAGAATGAAAACCCAAAATGATGGTAACTGAGAGTAGCGTTAAGGCTCTAAGTTTTGGTTATACTCTCACCTAAGGGAGAACCTGACCAAAAGCGGGGAGTTTTTAAACAAAATTATGAGTGGCCATTGTTTTGGACTGAGCTCAGGCTCTAGGCCCCAACAAACCAGATCAAACCAAAGTGGAATAATTCATGCTAAATGTGACACATCAAACTAAGACTTTAAGAAACAGATAGATCCTAAAACAGACCAAGTTTTATTTTTCTCCTGTAAACAGAAGATTCCAGCATGAGGAGGTATCCTCTACTCTAACCCTTACCAAAAAAATAATCTGAAGTTCTTGTTCCCACCTTACAAAACCCACTGGTCTGCTATTTATCAGTGGGTTTGAAGACCAAATAAGTACATTTATGATGGTGACAATGACTAAAGTTTTGGTCAATTTCTCAAAATTGAGAAGATGACCAAAATAAGGAAACTGTTAAATCAAGTTTAGCCTAAAGCTGCCTCCTTCCATATTTTAAGTTCTCCCTAAAAGTTTCTCTGTACACAGTATACTATAACCTAAATGGAGGTTAAACAGATTGTAACCTACTCTCCTGACAATCACAGAGTTTTGGCCAAAGGTGGCCAACTGTTCAAACTGTGTTTAAATTAGGCAACACTGAGCTGTAACCAATCCAGCTATTTCTGTACCTCACTTTTGTTTTGTGTATATCATGTTCCTTTTTCTGTCTATAAATCTTTCACCATGTGTCTCTGCTAGAGTCTCTGAGCCTACTGTCAACAAAAAATCAAACTCTGTAAAATATTTGAAGAGTTTTATTCTGAGCAAAATGTGACCGACCATGGCCTGTGACACAACCCTTAAGAGACGCTAAGAACATGTGCCCCAGGTGGTCAGGGCGCAGCTTGATTTTATACATTTTAGGGAGATTTTAAACTACTGGAGAGAATTTTCAGATTAAATACCAAATTAATGTTACCAAAGACGATCAAGGCCATGTGAATTAAAAGGCATCTGAGCTAGCTTCTAGCAGTCTGATAAGTGCTTACTTTTTTAAAGTCAACTAACTAGAACTCTTTCACATAGTTTGGTAGTGAAATATCACTTCCACATGACCCATATAACATACAGATATAACAGGCATACAGAATAAAAAAGGCAAGTCCAAAAGATTTTTCATTTGCTTGTTTTCCAAAAAAAATTATGTCCCTTACTTTAGATTACTAATTAAAAAAAGAAAAGTTACAGGGGCCAACAAAAGGTGAAGAAGAGACCAGGTACAGTGGCTCACACCTGTAATCCTAGCACTTTGGGAGGCCGACGCCGGCGGATCACTTGAGCTCAGGAGTTCTAGACCAGCCTGGCCAACATAGTAAAACCCCATCTCTACTAAAAACACACACACACACACACACACAAAAATAGTGGGGCATGGTGGCACATGCATGTAATCCCAACTACTTGGGAGGCTGAGACACAAGAATTGCTTGAACCCAGGAGGCAGAGGTTTCAGTGAACCAAGATCATGCCACTGACTGGGCAACAGAGTGAGAGTCCATCTCAAAAAAAAGGTAAAGAAGAGAGTTACCTCCCAGGCCTTTTCAAAAGAGAGAAAGAGCTAAACTTCTGATATAATAATCTGAAGAATTTCAAAGAGACAGATTACAGAATTTAAAAATTAAAAACTTCTTGCATTAAGAGTAAATCAATATTTTTAATAAAATCTTGTTCTAACCAATTCTTCAGTTTTGTATTTGTGTATTTTAATATCAAAATCTCATCTCTAGAAAGTCTATTATATTTAACTATCACCAACTGAATTATATAACCTTTTTTAAAAATAAATTCCTTTTTTTACTATCCTTATTTACAACTTACATAGGCCATTCATAGCATGCTTCAACTTTATGGCTTGTCCTAAACACCTCTCTTTCTGGAGCAACCAGTTATCTTGTTTTAGTACAAAAAAATTCACCACATAAGATACTTTCTCATATAAAATCACTTTTCATTTAAACTTTCTTAGCCAAAATACCTCCTTATATCTATAAATTTACATTTCTCTTACTTCCTGGTTCCTTTTACTTTGTTTTATATATAAACTTTAAATAATCTTTGAATTGGCTGGGCGCGGTGGCTCACGCCGGTAATCCCAGCACTTTGGGAGGCCAAGGCAGGTGGATCACAAGGTCAGGAGATCGAGACCATCCTGTGAATGGTGAAACCCTGTCTCTACTAAAAATACAAAAAATTAGCCGGGTGTGGTGGCGGGCGCCTGTAGTCCCAGCTACTTGGGAGGCTGAGGCGGGAGAATGGCATGAACCCAGGAGGCAGAGCTTGCAGTGAGCCGAGATTGTGCCACTGCACTCCAGCCTGGGTGACAGAGCGAGACTCTGCCTCAAAAAAAAAAAAAAAAAACCTTTGAATTAGACAAAAAATATTTACCTTTAATAACAACACTTTTTAAAATGTTTTCCTATAATGTTTAAATTGGAAATTATACATTTAATTAATATTTAATATAATCTTAGATTCTAAATTATGACAAATTTGTTTACAAGCATTTATTCCATTACACTTACCTGATTAAATTATTTGATAGTTTACCTATATTATTTATGAAAACTGTGACAGTCATTATTTAAAGTTATTTCCCTGTTAATCATTTTTATAACCTATTAATTTCAGCCATTTACCTAACTAAGGAACTTATGGTTAAAAGTATGAGTATTTAACCAATAACTCAGGATTTAGCTGTTTTCATTAAACCAACATTAAATGTCTTATTTATCAAAAATTAAACAAGCAAAGATCATTCTGTTTTGGGCTAGGTTTATAGTTTTATAATCCTCATGGCAAATTTTGACACCTTATAGTGTTCTGCAGCGATAAGTATAAACCTCTTGATCAATAAATGCAAAAAAAACCTAACAATTCTTAAGATGTTTCTAATAATTATTTTACCAATAATTTTAAAGCCAGCTTAAGATTTTACTTAAGTCATGTGAACTTGAAAGAGCATTTGACTTAATGTCTCTATTTTTTAAGCACTTTTTTCTTTAAGCCAATTAATTAGAACTCTTTTATATATTTGTAGTAGTGAAACATTATATACACAACATATGAATACATAGACATATTAGGCACACAGATAGAAGTAAATGTTACAGATTCATAAGACTTCTTTTTTTCCTCTTATTTTAAACTTCTAATATCTGAATAACCTGTTTCATTACCATAGGCAGTTGTCAGCTAGATAGCCTTAAATTTGCATATTAAAGGAAACAACTTTTAGGTGAAAAAAATCAGCAAAATTTACATCTCAGAATAGAGAGAAAAAGTCTGTTGTGCTAGAGGAAAATTAAAACAGACGCCAGGCCAGGCGTGGTGGTTCATGCGAGTAATCCCAGCACTTTGGGAGGCCGAGGCAGGTGGATCACTTGAGGTTAGGAGTTCAAGACCAGCCTGGCCAACATGGTGAAACCTCATCTCTACTAAAAAAATTAACCAGGTGTGGTAGTGCATACATGTGGTAGCGTATACCTGTGGTCCCAGCTACTCAGGAGGCTGAGGCACAAGAATCACTTGAACTCAGGAGGCAGAAGTTGCAGTGAGCAGAGATTGTGCCACTGCACTCCAGCCTGGGCAACAGAATGAGACCCTGTCTCAAAAAAAAAAATGCCAAGTCAAACATAAAATTATAGAAATCTATCATAGAGTTGTATAATGAGACCAATTTCATTTAGATAGGTAGTTCTAATTTTAGTCTCTATCTTTTAACAGGATCTCTGAGCTCTGGGCAGAGCCCACCCTGAATCCTGGGTCTCCAAAAAAAAGAATTTTCATGAGGCTAGACCCAGTGATGCTTTTACAGTGCACCTTTTTTTTTTTTGACAAAGGCATTTCTCTAAGTGTCTACACTACACTCTTTCCTATCTTAAACATCCAAGAGTAGCTTCTGCTGTAATAACTATTTTCACTCAGAAAAAAAAAAATCAGGTAACACAATACAAAATCAAGAAGTTTAAGATCTGAGAGGAACTTGGCTATTTATACTCATGAGGTTTCATAAGGGAAAACAGAGGTTTCTCCCCAAAAAGGAGTCTGATGCCTTCTCTACTTTAATCCTTTTCACAAGGCAGTTTATAATTAAACCTAGAGCTCTGACAGGTACTCTTGAATACCAGTCTCTGATAACTTTAGAAATTGCACCATTGTAATAGAGAGGGAAAAAAAACAAACTTCTAAGACTCTCTTGGAGAGGTGGATAATGTTAAACATTGCCAATCCTTTTGTTTTTCAGTTAATACAAGTTTTTTCTTTTGAACTGTTTACAACTTTACCAATTGAGTATACTCCTGTGAACAAAATTTGGAGCATATTGCTTTCTCCCTACCTGATTTCTCCAGAATTTAGAAAGATTTTGTGAGTATTCTCAACTTACGGCAGTATATTTATTTGCATAAGTGCAAAAAGATTCTGTTTTCTTTTGTAACAGAACACAGTTAGAGATTCTGGTTATTTTACCAAGGCTTTGACTAGAATGGCATGCTTTCAAATATAAACAGATTGCTTTAAGGAATCAAATTTTACTTACAGGATAGCTGGCCTCATACTTTGTCTACACAGTCCTTGTACAGAGTTCCTGACCTGTGTTAAGTAAACAATGTCACTTTCTGACAGGCCCAGGAGCCCTACATTATCTTGGGACCTCAAGAGGAAGAACATGGCCGGCCGCGGTGGCTCACGCCTGTAATCCCAGCACTTTGGAAGGCTGAGGCGGGTGGATCACAAGGTCAGGAAATTGAGACCATCCTGGCTAACATGGTGAAACCCTGTCTCTACTAAAAAAAAAAAATACAAAAAATTAGCTGGGCATGGTGGCGGGCACCTGTAGTCCCAGCTACTCGGGAGGCTGAGGCAGGAGAATGGCGTGAACCTGGGAGGCAGAGCTTGCAGTGAGCCGAGATCGCGCCACTGCACTCCAGCCTGGGCGACAGAGCGAGACTCCGTCTCAAAAAAAAAAAAAATAAAAAGAGAAAGAACATTCATCCAACTCATACAGATATTTTCAGGCATAGATAAATCCAAGGCTGGACTCAAGGCTTTAAAAAGTATAATCTGAGATTCCTTATAGAACAAAGTTTCAGCAAAGCCGATTTTAAAAAGAGCCTATTTGGCAAATAATTATTCTTGCTACACTGTAATATTCCTACAACAAAATGGCCCCCTAAGTGGAATCAATAAAGACTGTAAATGGTCTCGTAGACCTGTTGTATAATAACTAACAGTCTGCTCTGCTTTGCTGATTTTACAAGGTGCTTTGTGATCATCCAGCCCAGGGAGTCCTAGTCTCTTGCTATTTCCTCTAAGGAAGAAAGCACACAGTTTTATATAGTGCCATAGTCCCTGATCAATAAAGTTCCAGATTTGGGGTCAAACCCCCACTTAAGTGCTTGTTAGTCTCCTACTTTGGTTTGTCTTCAGCACCCAACTAATGCACATGTTTCTCAAGAATCCACTGAGACTAGAAACTCCCCAGACACTGGAAAGTACCTTAAGAATGTGTATCCCAAGACCTGCAATGACCAAACACATGGCCTACAAGTACTGTTACTTTCAAGCCCTGGAACTTGTCTATAGCAAAAATCTTGATACAAACAACTTTTTAAACCACTGCCTGCCAAGTCTCTTTTCAAGTTTCAGAATAAATTAAGAGATCAGCTTTCAGTTTTCAAATCCTAAGCTCCACCCCTCCTACCCTTCCTAGGCAGAAATCATTGTTTTTAGATCCTTGCTTCCTAGCTTAATTTCTTCTCTGCCTCAGTTTCAACATCTGTAAAATGGAAATAACAGTACCCACCTCAAACAGCGGTTAGAAGTATTAAATGTAAAATGTTAAGAATAGACCAAGTCCATCATACTGCTCAACACCCTTGTCCCACATTCTGGATTGGGGGTTGTAGGGGATGGAGGTGTATAACTTTTTAAAGCTTTTTAAAATAAGTTGCTGTGAATACTTCAGGTATAAAAAAGCAGATTGGGTGATAATCAACCAGCATTCCTACCATTCTTATCTGCTTATCAAGACAAAACCTGCCAATGTCCCTGGCTACCTGCATTCCAAGTGTTTTGGAATTTGGTGGTAAGACCTGACCTGAGGCTTCTTATAATCTTTACTCAGTGGAAATATGCATACAGTTTACTACAGCATATTGTGTTTACTTAGAGGAGCTGCCCTGGATCTTTGGGGGATGGGTCTTTTCTAAACTATTAAAAGCAATTAATGCCATTATTCTGAATAAATATTTCTAATATGCAAAAAAGTTACTCTTGCTCTACTTTATACAAATAATTGGGCCAAGCATAATAAGTCTTAAAACTAAGACTTATTTTGCAAGTAAATTTGTCCTATATTTTGTCTTTAAAAAATGGGGTGCTGGAGAGAGAAAAATTGTGTTTCAAAAGAACTGTAGTATACTTGTTAAGATTCTAGTCTTGGGCCTGGCGCAGTGGCTCACGCCTGTAATCCCAGCACTTTGGGAGGCCGAGTCGGGTGGATCACGAGGTCAGGAGATCAAGACCATCCTGGCCAACATGGTGAAACCCCGTCTCTACTAAAAATACAAAAATTAGCCAAGCGTGCTGGTGGGCGCCTGTAGTCCCACCTATTCAGGAGACTGAGGCAGGAGAATCACTTGAACCTGGCAGGTGGAGGTTGCAGTGAGCCGAGATTGCACCACTGCACTCCAGCCTGGTGACAGAGCAAGACTCTGTCTCAAAAAAACAACAACAACAAAAAGATTCTAGTCTTGTCTGTTGTTCTTGAGTTTTTATTATTTTCTACAATTTGTACTAAATTCTGAATTCTTTGTGGGCTATGAGCCCCCAAACTAATGCTTTCAAATTTTTCTTCCACTTTTCTGACTTCCACTCAATGAAATTTTTACTACCTTTTTCCAGAGGCCCTGCAAGCTAAAGCTCATTCCTTGTCCTACGGTTGACAAAAATGTGTCAGATTGCCATGCTTCCTCGTCTACAACTAAAGGTATTTTGAGTCTAACATCTGGATAAGTTATGCCCAACATTAACATTTTTCTTCTGTTCCATAGAAATGCCTCTTATTTAAAATCTGTGTGCCTTCATCACATATAGAGGCCTAGCCCATCTGCAATGCCACTCTCCTGATATGAGAAATAGCTATTTAACTGAACTGATCTAGTCTCAGGACTAGGAAACTGACTAAAAATGTATGGAATGGTATATTTAAATATGCTCTTTCCCATCTATCCCAATCGGTCTAACAACCTCTGACCTAAATCTCTTTCTGCTAGTGACCCCTGTCTGACTGTTTCTTGGAGCTATTTACCTGGATCCCTCAGAGATTAAGATCAATTATACAAAGACTTCTGAAGCCAGGAGTTTCACTCTTTATCCTAGGACTCATTATTTACCTTCTAATTCACTGTTCACTTAAATGTTGTGTTAAAATTATAAATGAGAATACTAATGCCTTTATCATGCAAGCCTTGAAACCCCATTGCACTTGAGCATGTGCAAACAGCTGCAAAGCAGTTCCACTCCTCTTACCTTAGGGTCAACACCTACTCCCATTATGCCCCATGTTGGCAGGAAGAAGCTAGAGCGGTCATTAATCACCCTTTCCCATCTTCATAGCCCACATCTTAAGAAGAAGGTGTTTTATAACCTTATTTACTCCTGAAATTTACTCCTGCCTTTAGAAACCCAAAGGGAGGGACTGAAACTGACTTTGCAAAAATTATAACTCAGAATATTATGATGGTGAAAGAGATCTGACCTAACCAATTCCATCTTGCCTCTACCCTCCAAGCTGTCCTTGTTCATTCCTGGGCACAGGCTGAACTAACTTTGGGAGGAACTTATTAGAGTTTAACACTTTGAAACAAAGATTATAACAGCCCTTTCCCATAAAAAAATCCCCTTCCTGCCTGGGGACTAGGCTGCCTTTGTAAGACTACCAAATCAGCCACACGATTAGAAATTATGGTTTAGGAGTCATGCAACTGGAGGCTGCCAAGATTCCGAATATCCCCAAACTGCTCCTCAGGATAACATCACTATTATAAAACCTAAGACCAATGCTTGAGATATTTTGCAGACCCTGCACTCAATGGATCAGCTGGCACCACCTAGATCAATAAACTGTCTTATTTGGTCTTGTGGCCCCAACCCAGAAACTGACTCAGCACAAGAGGATAGCTTCAATTCCCTGTTTCATCTCCCACCCAAACAATCAGCATTCCTGCTTCCCAACCCTCTACCCACCAAATTATCCCTAAAAAATGCAATCCCCAAATTTTGGGGGAGACTGATTTGAGTAATAATAAAACTCCAGTCTACCATACGGAGGCTCTACACAAATTAAAGCCTTTCTCTATTGGAATTCCTGTCTTGATAAACTGTCTCTGTCTAGGCAGCAGGCAAGGAGAACCCACTGGGTGGTTACAGGAGCACTGAAGACTGAACTCTGACCACCCATTCTGTTACTGGATAGTCCTGCACAGTTCCAGGCCGTTGGTGTCCTGAACAAAGAAGTGGAAGTGACACGCACAAACAGCAAAGCAGCAAAAAGTTTATCAAGCACAATAACACACTCTCGGAGAGGGAAGAGCAGGCTGACCTCTGAAAAATGAGATCAGTTTGGTGTATTTTGGGTCATTTTTTTTTTTTTAGACAGAATCTTGCTCTGTCGCCCAGGCTGGAGTGCAGTGGCACAATCTCGTCTCACTGCAACCTCTACCTCCCAGGTTCAAGAGATCCTCCTGCCTCAGCCTCCCGAGTAGCTGGGACTACAGGTGTGCGCTGCCATGCCCAGCTAATTTTTTTTTTTTTTTGTATTTTCAGTAGAGACAGGGTTTCACGACATTGGCCAGGCTGGTCTTCAACTCCTGACCTTAAGTGATCCACCCACCTCGGCCTCCCAAAGTGCTGGGATTACAGGTGTGAGCCTCTGAGCCCAGCCTGTTTTTTTCTTCTCTTCCCCAAACTACCTAATCTCTAGCCAGCATGTGCCTTTTGATTGACAGGTGGGTTGCTCAGTTTCTTGGCCTCTGTGCATTTGCGTGACACTTCCATTCCATAATTTTAAGTACATGCATGATATACAGCCCATATGCATGAGCCTTAAGTAGCTAATCACCATGGGTAATTGTGGGGTCATTTTAAGGATATATTTTCTCTCTAGCGGGCATGCCCATCTCTTAGGAGCTGCCCCTTACTGGTTTAGTCCAGATCTAGCCAACCATGGGGCTCCTTACTCACTTCTGTATCTTACTTCTGGTTTTGCTCAACTTCTGCTTCTTGTCTTGCTTCTGCTTTTGCTCACCTGCCTCTTTATCTTTCTTCTGCTCCTACTCATTCCACCCTTTATCCAACCTCCAGTTCCCTCTGCTATGCTCCTGCCTCAATTCTTTGTTCTAAATTTCTTCCTGAGGAACCTGGATGGAGTCACAACCACAAAGCAAATCTAACATTTTCTGCTGACCCCAAATTTTAAACAAAGCTTGTCTTTCTTAACCAATTGCAAATCAGAAAATATTTGAGTCTACCTATGACCCTGTAAGCCATCCCCTTCAAGTTATCCTGCCACTTTAGGCCAAAACCAATGTGTAGCCTTCATGTATTGATTTATGATCTTGCCTGTGGGAGGCCGAGGCTGGCGGATCACGAGGTCAGGAGATCGAGATTATCCTGGCTAACACGGTGAAACCCCATCTCTACTAAAAATACAAAAAATTAGCCGGGCTTGATGCGGGCGCCTGTAGTCCCATCTACTTGGGTGGCTGAGGCAGGAGAATGGCGTGAACGCAGGAGGCGGAGCTTGAAGTGAGCTGAGATCGCGCCACTGCACTACAGCTGGGGGACAGAGCGAGACTCCGTCTCAAAAAAAAATAAATAAATAAAAATAAAAACCATTACCTGCAAGCCATCAGGGGGTCAGGATTTAAGCACCAGCTGTCTGGTGCCTTGCAAACAAATGCCTTCCTTTCCATAGCTGCAAAACCTCGGTGTGGATATCTGCTCTTACTGCACTGGGCTAGTGGACCCCAGCTCGGTTCTATAACATGGGGAGCTTCTAAGTTGGTGAACTTGATGTACTGGAAGGGTGGCATGCCCAGAGAGGGCATGGAAGTTATGTCACCCTCTCCGTACCCCACACCCCCATCCCTGCCATATCTTTCCCCATGCATCTCTTCTTCCATTTGGGTGTTCTGGAGTTGTATTCTTTATAATAAAACTGTTACCATAAGTATAGTGTTTCCTGAGCTCTGTGAATCATTTTAGGTGTCATCCAAAAGACCATGAGAATGGCTAAATAGTAGAAAGGAGAATTTTATTGGTGATATCAGTTTGCAAGCCAGGAGAGAGGCTCCAGTGTGGACCAAAGGTGCTCTCTCTTCCAAGGTGTTAAAAGAAAACACTCTTTTCCAAGGTGTTAAAAGAAAAACCTTAGACAAATTAAATTTATCAGAGTTTAATGGAGCAAAGAACGATTCATTAATCAGGCAGCCCCTGAGCTGGAATAGACTCAGAGAGACTCCAGTGCAGCCAAGTGGTGGAAGATTTATGAACAGAAAAAGGAAAGTGACATACAGAAAACGGAAGTGAGGTACAGAAACAGGTGGGTTGGTTATAACTTGGCGATTGCCTTATTTGAACACAATTTGAACAGCTTCCCCATTTGATTGACCAAAACTCAGTGGCTGGCACAAGAGTAGATTGCAGTCTGTTTACACTTCCATTTAGCTTACTGTTCACTATGTACAGAGAAACCTTTAGGCAGAACTTAAAATATGTAGCTTTAGGCTAAACTTCATTTAACAAAGGGAAAGAATATGTTGGATTTTATGCCTCACAGGACCAGTATAATAGATAGATATTCAGCAAGTTTGAGAGAAAGGCTATACATATTTATGAGGGGAGCCCCATATATGTTTAATGGGTAAACATAGTTACATAAATCCTATGTTCACTTTGGGGCAGAATTTTAGAATGAAAATGAAGTAGAAGTTGGCCTTTATGTCAAAAGGTGAGCTGTAGGACACAAAGATGGTTTGTGTGCAGCCTCTATAAGCTGGCTAAAACTGGCTTGAGGTCTGTAGTTGCTTATTAGGAAAGAATGTTTGTAAGACTGGTCCTGTGTCCAATCAGAGTTGCAGTGGTCTTGGTTGTAAATCAGAGGTGATTGCTCCTTTATTTTTTTGAGACAAAGTTTTGCTCTTGTTGACCAGGCTGGAGTACAATGGCGCGATCTCAGCTCACTGCAACCTCTGCCTCCCGGGTTCAAGAGATTCTCCTGCCTCAGCCTCCCAAGTAGCTGGAATTACAGGCAACCACCACCACACCTGACTAATTTTTTGTATTTTTAGTAGAGATGGGGTTTCACCGTATTGGCCAGACTGATCTTGAACTCCTGACCTCAGGTGGTCCACCCATCTCGGCCTCCCAGAGTGCTGGGGTTACAGGTATGAGTCACCGCACCCGGCCTGATTGCTCCTATTTTTAGGGAGTTTAGTCATAGGAATTTCAAAATGTGCCATGCCAGCCAGGCCCTGAACCCTTGACCCATAGGTAATTTTGTTTCCTTAACCTTTGGGTCCATATTAGTTGATAAAGTGGCATCTATTTTTTTCTTTCTGGTCACATAGGGAATTACTAAAGAGGAAAGAGGTCATGGGAACCCCAGAATTAATAGTTGGTTAGGCAAAAGTGTAGGTAGTCTGGGAATCCCATTTGTGGTGTCTGAAGTGAGGGCAGTCTTGTGGGATTAAGCACAAGGTTAACATGGGGTCTGTGCTAACCCGGTGTAGTTAGTGTCAGATTTTAATTCAAATGTAGAACACCCCATTGGTGTCAGAGAACTGAAGAATTGGTTGTTATTTGGAAAATCCAGTCCCTCAGCCAGGAAGGGTCAGAGTCAAATTTAAACCCAAGCTTTCTATCAGAATCTAGGCAAAGAGTAGCTAATGTTGCCAGAAGGCCACACAATGTGAGAAGAGAGTCCAAAGGGCAAATGTTCCCAAATTTAATAAGAAAGTAGGTGATTCCATGAAGAAACAAATTTCCAGAGATATAGGAATTAAACTTAGATGAGTTCGTATGGAAACCAAGGGAAAAGGAAGTTTAAAGAAAGGTGATTTATACTCTTAATTGCTGTGAAGACATTAAGTAAGACAAGGCTTGACAAATATTCACTAAACTTGGCAGTTGTGAATGACAATTCAATAATACCTGGGGCCAGAACAAAAAGAGTTTTTTAAATGTAAGTTGGTTTGGGTTTTTCTTTTCTTTTTTTTTTTTTTTGGAACGTTGTCTTTGGTGGAAAGAGGGGTAGCAATGGATGAAGGGTATAGGTGTGAGAGTTTCTGCTGTCATGACTGTTGTTTTATGTGAAAGAGGTTTGAGTATGTTGAAACAGGCAGAGGCTAGATATAGAAAGTGCTTAATGGGGGTGTCAAAGGATACAATTCCAAAATATTTAGTTTGAAGACCTCAATTGGCTTTATTTGCAATTCTAGAATAAAACAAAACCTCATTCTATAAAACAGAATAGTGTTCCAATGAGCTGAGCAGAGGAGATTGGTTTTACAGACAGAAGGGCTGAAGAAAGCAGAAACAAAGAACAAAGAGCGGATAACTCATTTCACAGTTACTTTCCTTGTACAGTGAGAAGAGGAAACAGAACAATGGAGAAATAACTAATTGTTAACATCAGGTTACATTTTTTGGTAATGATTAGGGCAGACGAAACTTTATTATCATGCCCGTTTGGGAAATTAAGCTGTTCTCTCTCTCCTGATTTCTAGGAAGATCAAATAACAACTTAGTTTTGGTTTGGTTACATTAAACTTTAGTATGACTGGCTCCATTTTGATTTTTATTCTGATCTGCTGGGGCCTAGTGCAGGAGCTTAGTCCAAAACAATGGCCTCCTATAATTTTTATTTAACAATTTTCCCCTTTTGGTCAAGGCTCAAGTGAGAACCTGACCAAAACTAAGGGCATTGGCACTAGTCTCAGTTACCATCATTTTAGGTTTCCAGTCTCAACACATCATTCATAGGTTAGTGTCCTCATCATCATGCATTTCTTTGAGTTTTTTGTTATTCCAGCCAAAGACAGACTATTTGACATTCAACAGATGGCTGTATGCAAACATTTAAAACTTTTTTTTTTTGAGATGGAGTCTCGCTCTGTCACCCTGGTGGAGTGCAGTGGTGTGATCTCAGTTCACTGCAACCTCTGCCTCCCAGGTTCAAGCGATTCTCCTGCCTCAGCCTCACGAGTAGCTGAGACTACAGACACGCACCACCATGTCCAGCTAATTTTTGTATTTTTAGTACAGACAGGGTTTCACCATGTTGGCCAGGCTGGTCTCGAAATCCTGACCTCAGGTGGTCCGCCCACCTCAGCCTCTCAAAGTGCTGTGATTACAGGTGTGAGCCACCACACCCGGCCACAAACATTTAAAACTTTTTGAGAGCATACAGTGCAACAGACAGACTACTATTATTACTCTCAGGAGGATATTATCAAGAGTCTGGAGTATGCTCCTTAGCTAGGGTCCTCATGAAACAAACCAACTAAAATAGAATAGATTGAAGAATGAGCCAGATGAGGAGTATATCGATCTTAACCAAGTAGCCAGTCTATTTTTTCAGCCCAGTCTCTATGATACCTGATGTATTTATCCCTGTGCAACAAGAAGTGTTAGCAACTGCAATGATTCCTTCTTGTTCAGCTAATAGAAAATCTCATGACTGAGTTAAAGTATGGAATGACAATTTGCAAGTCACCCACAGAAGCTACTGATTGTGAAATTCTAACGATAGCATTATTCTGCCAGACAAAAAAGATAGGCATAAACAAGGAAAAATTAAGGGAAATAATAGTCTCATTATGGCAGGGTCTTGTTCTGACAGTTTTGTCTGTTTGTTTATTTGTTTGTTTGTTTTTTGGAGACAGGGTCTAGCTCTGTCACCCAGACTGGAGTGCAGTGGCAGTGGCATGATCTCAGCTCACTGCAACCTCCACCTCCTGGGCTCAAGTCATCCTCCCACATCAGCCTTTTGAGTAGCCGGGACTACAGGCATGCACCACCGTGCCTGGCTAATTTTTGTATTTTTTTTAGAGACGAGATTTCGCCACGTTGCCCAGGCTAGTGTCAAACTCCTGGGCCCAGCAATTCACCTGCCTCAGCCTCCCAAAGCACTAGGATTACAGGCATGAGCCATTGCACTCAGCTGTTCCGACAGTCTTGAGAAAAACTCCCCATGATAAAGTTAACAACTCATGTGGGTTTGTAGTTTGAATGTCTCTGGTTATGGCATCGGGCAGTTTGGTGAACTTGGTGTGGTCCACACATCGGGCATGAGGCTTGTCCCTTAAAATTTACATTGAGTTGTCCAGCTTCAGCTCTGGGGCTTTAGGAACAGAGCAATTTTTGTTCTTAGTTGGAAAATTATAGCCAGATACTGAAGGAAACTAGAATACAGGATCCAGTCCGGTATACAGGTAGACAATAAAAATTTGAAAACAATGAATAGGAGTAAAACCTAATAACAGGTGTACTATAGTTTTTCCTCAGAAACATAATTATTCTCTTTACAGTCACCCCCATTTCTATCAAAGATAAACACTATAAGACTCATATGTTTGCAACATAAATTTAGTCTCATCAAACTTGATCGTTAGACTTTCTTCTCAGTATTTAAAAAACAGAAAGCACCATGTTTCTTTAAAAACAATCCTTTCTTCACCTCTGGCTGCTGTCCTCTCTTCTCACTATAAGAGGTCTGAAGAGTAGTCAGTCTACTCCTGTTTGTATGTTTACCTCCCACTCATTCCTCCAGCCTCACCTCCCCACCTCAGCTGCTCTTACTGATGTCTCTAATATGTTCTGTGTTCTAAAAAAAGGACACTTTCAGGCCTTTATCTTAAGTTCCAAACTATTCTATTATCTCTGCGGTACCTTCAACACAACGTATCCAGAAAAGAACTCACTTTTCTTCCCTGTGCCCCTAAACATACTCCTCCTTTTCCCTTTCTAAAGGGTACCTCCACAATTTGTAGTCCAGGAAACCTGGATAACATCTTAGTCCTCCTTCTTTCCCCTGCCCTTGGCCTCATCCATTACCAAATCCCCTCACTCTATCAATCCCCACAAAGCACTCAAGTGTTTCCTTGATTCCAATGCAATTTCCCCGGAGCCTCTATCATGATCCTTCTAAAATATCAATCAGATAATGCCAGTCCTCTAGTAACAGTCTCCCTGTAGCTCTCCATTTCCTCCAGAGTGATCTCTAAACACATATAGGAGAATAGAGTCCTTTGGGATCTTGAAGCCCCAGCCTGCTTCTCCAGCCTTTTCAGCCTCATCTTTCACCACAACCCCCTCTTACTGGATGCCCAAACTCCACGGAAACTCTCAGTAGTGTCCTGAACTTGCCAGGTGACTTCATGCTGTCCTTTGACACAGAACCTGCAATGTCCTCTTTTGCCTCATTTGCTGGGCCAACTCCAACTTGTCCCTCAAGACTTAGCTTCTACTGTACCTGCTCAGGGATTTAGTAACTTGCACAAGGACAGTTTCACTATTCATCTATTGTAGGTTTTCTTTTTGAGACTCTTAAGATATTTGAATTAGTGTCAACCCTAAATGGTTTCATACAATACTAAAGGAAGTCTGGCCTGCAGTGATCCCACAACTACAGAAGTGGATTTGTTCCTTTAGTCACATGTTGGTGACTCAAAATCTATATTAAGCATTTGTAAGTATTTATAAATGATACTTTTTTATTATTCACAGTATACCAAGGCAAAAATAAGCTTTCTTAAGTTAGAATTCTGTAAAGATTGCTGCTTATCCAGTTCATCCCACCTCACTCATTACCAGAATTTTCATGTAACAGCTTGGTTGGTCTGTCAATCCAGGTGTCTTTACATAACAAATCCTACAGATGCCCTTAACTCTGAATTCAACAAAGGCAATGTTGAAAAAGACCAACCCAGCACTCTGTATTTTTTAATTTTTTTTTTTTAATGTTCACCCTGTCTTATGGTGCTGCAGCACTCTGTAATGACAATGATATATCAGAACTTTCTTGGGAATATATCATAACATCCATGAAACCCTACATTTGATGATGGCATGGGAATATATAATTTTCTCCAGGTGTTTCAGCTGTAAAATAGGGATAATAATGGTAATCTCACATGATTATCCTGATGATTAAATGAAGAGAACTTTGAACTAGAGATAAAAAGTTAAGATTCATCAGCAAATAAAAGGTATTTAAACCATGGGAATTGATGAGACAACTAAAGAGAAAAAGTTGAGAGAGAAAAGAAGATCCCAGCCCTCCTTCCAAATGTTTCCCACTCATTAGTTCATTCAACAATTATTTTTGAGTGTCTAAGATCTGCACGTCACTGAATGCATGGGTACACCAAAGAGACATGGAAAAAGCCTATAGTCTCCTCAGAGAGACAGGTAGCACACAAATATATATTTAACTACAAACTATAATAATTGCTTTAAAGGAAAAGTTTCAGCACTCTGAGAGAATTTAATGAAGACCTAATTCAGATTAAATAAAATCATGTATATAAAGCACTTAGCATACTGTCTGAAACCTAGTAAGCACTTTGTTCAGGGAAGGCCTCCCTAAGAAAGTGGCAATTATGCTGACACCAAAAATTTAGTAGGAGTTAGCTACGAAAGAGTAGGGGGAAAGAGCATTACAAGCAGAACATCAACACACAAGAAGGCCCTGGGGCAGGAAAGAGCCTGCGGCACTCCAGGAGCTGAAAGGAGACCTGTGCAGCTAAAGCATATGACAGGTAGTAAATGACAATACCATCTACCTGACACCCCACAAGTAGAAATCTCCCTCTCCTCCATGTGATTAAAATGACTTCAAGAACCATACAACATTACTTGGACATATTGTATGATGGTTAAAAAAAACCACACAATAACTCTGTACATTATATTAAAATATTAATGATGCAGATAAATTGTATCTACCTAAAAATGAGCCTGCAATTCCTCTTTTCAACCTCCTCTTTCACAGTCACCCTTCTTCCACTACTGAAAGGGAAGATGGACCCTTCACCCAGCCGGAGACTCATTTTGGTGCCTTGCCCCATGGATAACAATTCAAGAATACATCCTTTCCAAGAGTGAGACCTATGACAACAAATCCAAGAAAAATTCAGCAAGAAATATTAAAGCAGCTAGCATCACGCTGACATTCAGTTTTCTTATAAATGGAAGGTTTGAAATTTAACTTAAAATTTAGATGTGAAATGTTATCAGAGGTGCATTAATAAGTGCAATAATAAGAATACAAATATCTCATTATTTTAAATGGGCAAAATATTTGAATAGACGTTTCAATGAAGAAGATACACAGATGAAAAATAAGCCCATAGATGTCCTACATTATTCATCATTAGGAAAATGCCAATTAAAACCACAATAAAATACTTACACACATCTAGTTACAATGGCTAAAACATAAAAGATTGACCATACCGAAGGCTGGCAAGGATATGGAGGAACTGAAATCCTTATGCACTGCTGGTAAAATGATACAACAACTTTGGAAAAGTTTGGCAGTTTCTTAAACAGTTAAACATACATCTACCACATGATCCAACCATTCCACTCTTAGATATTTACCCAAGAGAAATGAAGGCATACATCCATACAAAGACTTGTACTCACAGCAGCTATATTTGTAATTCACAAAAACTGGAAATAAGCCAAATGGTCATCCATGGGTGAATAGAAAAATTGTGGTACATCCATACAATGGAATACTACTCAGCAATTTTAAAAAATAAATTCTCGACATAAGCAAAACATGGATGAATCTCAAAATAGTTATAGTGAATTAAAAAAATCCAGACCACAAAAAGTACATACTATATAATTCCATTTATATAAAACTCTAGAAAATGGAAATTAATCTACAGTGACAGAAAGTACTGTACGATAGAAGGGAGGATTTACAAAAGGGCATGAGCAAATTTGTGGGTAATATTTTGTGGCTCATTATCTTGATTATGGTGATGTTTGCATGAGTGTAAACTTGTATGAAAACATCCAATTGTATACTTTAAATATGTTCAGTTTATGTCAACTATCTCTTTTTTTTTTTTTTTTTTTTTTTTGAGACGGAGTCTCATTCTGTCACCCAGGCTGGAGTGCAGTGGTGCAATCCTGGCTCACTGCAACTTCCGCCTCCCGGGTTCAAGCAATTCTCCTGCCTCAGCCTCCCGAGTAGCCGGGATTACAGGTGCACGCCACCATGCCCAGCTAATTTTTGTATTTTTAGTAAAGACGGGGTTTCATCATGTTGGTCAGGCTGGTCTCGAACTCCTGACCTTGTGATCCGCCTGCCACAGCCTCCTAAAGTGTTGGGATTACAGGCATGAGCCACTGCCTCTGGCTTTTTTTTTTTTTTTTTTTTTGAGATGGAGTTTCGTTCTTGTTGCCCAGGCTGGAGTACAATGGCGCGATCTCGGCTCTCTGCAACCTCCACCTGACAGGTTCAAGCGATTCTCCTGCCTCAGCCTCTCAAGTAGCTGGGATTACAGGCATGCGCCACCACACCTGGCTAACTTTTTTTTTTTTTTTTTTTTTGAGACTCAGTCTTACTCTGTCGCCCAGGCTGGAGTGCAGTGGCGCGATCTTGGCTCACTGCAAGCTCCGCCTCCCACGTTCACGCCATTCTCCTGCCTCAGACTCCCGAGTAGCTGGGACTACAGGCGCCCGCCACCACGCCCGGTTAATTTTTGGTATTTTTAGTAGAGACAGGGTTTCACCGTGTTAGCCAGGACGGTCTCAATCTTCTGACCTCGTGATCTGCCCGCTGCAGCCTCACAAAGTGCTGGGATTATAGGAGTGAGCCACTGCGCCCGGCCTTAATTTTTGTATTTTTAGCAGAGACGGGGTTTCACCATGTTGGCCTGGCTGGTCTCAAACTCCTGACCTCAGGTGATCCACCCACCTCAGCCTCCCAAAGTGCTGGAATTACAGGTATGAGCCACGGTGCCCATCCTATGGCAACTACACCTCAATAAAGCTGTCTACAAAATTAAAGAATGGTGAGAAGACTATTAAGTTTCATACCATTGGCTTATTCGAAGCCTAGTTCTATCAAGATTGAACATTTGTTCCTTGCCTAAACCATACAAGCTTCAAACTCCTTCACTTCCATAGCCTATCAATCCTATTTCTAGACTGTAACCTGCCCTTCCTCTTCCAAATCTGACCAGACATTTTATATGTGCTGTCAACACGAATATCCCAGAGTAAGCCATGCAAGAGTGTGGATGACTTAACTAAATGCACTGCCGCTACTTGAAAAATTTAGAGTTAAAATTTAATGAAGTTTAAACTCAGTGTAACTGACCTCTAATTGCCCTAAGTCTAAGGTCTTTTAAGAAGCTGATAGGTGCCGAGTGCAGTGGCTCATGCTGGTAATCCCAGCACTTTGGGAGGCAGGCAGATCACTTGAGGTCAGGAGTTCAAGACCAGCCTGGCCAACAGGGTGAAACCCCGTCTCTACCAAAAATATAAAAATTAGCCAGATGTGGTGGCACGCGCCTGTAATCCCACCTACTCGGGAGGTTGAGGCAGGGAGAATCGCTTGAACCCTGGAGGCAGAGGTTGCAGTGAGCCAAGATCATGCCACTGCACTTCCAGCCTGGGCAACAGAGTGAGACTCCATCTCAAAAAAACAAAAGGAAGCTGTTAGGTGAGCTATTGGTACATTAATCATATAGACAATCTTAGCAGGGTTGAAGTCTATAGGTATTGATTGATTTGACTACACTGTAAATTGTAAATAGATGCAATTTTAAGTTACCTGAATAAACTTTTCTATTCATTAACAGTAGTCATCTCAATTTTAGAGATTTACGTTATGCTCGTGCCTCCATCTGCACGCACAACATGGGAAGACAACAGACACCAAAGATACTTTGGATTCTTGCTGCTAAGTAAGTATTCAAGCACTACGTGCACGTTGTTACAATTAATAAGGCAATCTGACCCCATCCCTGCCACCAGGAAACTGCAATACTATTAATATATTAAAAAGGAAGACAACTGAGATAAAGGGAATGTGGGAGGTTGGGGGGGGTGCTTAGGAGATATCAGAATACAACCTCTTAGAATTACAGAATCTCAACAACCATCCTTTATGCCTGATCTTCGGTTCAGTAGCTCTAGGATTCCAAGGGGCCCCTCCTAACTGCATTGCCTTCTCTCCCCAATTCCCTTTCTCTCAGAATGTTACACCTTCCCCCAGTTAATAGTGTAGGCTTAAAATGTATCTAGGTGTTCTTACCTACTGACAAACTGCTGGAGTTGTTCATGGGAAAGGAATCAAGGCAAAATATCTAATGCATTCAGGTCATTCGAGTTTTCTTTTTAATTTATTGCTTTTTTGAGATGGGGCATCAGTATGTTGCCCAGGCTGAAGTGCAATAGCAGTATCTCTGCGAGACTCTGTCTCAAAAAAAACCCATTAGAGTCTTCACCTTAGGATGGACTAGGGCTATGGCATACTGGTAAGCATTTAAAAATAAAGGGGTATGATGGCCCGGATTTGCATTATCTGAGTAATGGGAATACTCCAACCCAGTCCGATTTCAAGGTCCCAGTGAGGTTACTGAATTCGAAGCTCAGAAGGTATGCGCCTAGTATTCCCACCATACGAATACAAGCGAGGTAAGTAACCTCAAAAGCATCGATAACAGTAAAATAGTTACAATACCTGTTACGCCTTTAGTATCCATTACCTTCGTTTAATTTAACTGTCAGTTTACATAACAAAAGAGTCTTTTAAGGCGTAAGCGCGCTCCTGGGGAGGGTATGGGGCTGTTGGCAGGGAAAGCAGCTTTTCGATCGTATAAATGCTCTTTGTGCCCAGACTGCCCTCTATAAATCAGCACTATCAACCCTGTCCAGAGACTTGCCCATGACCTCCAAGAAAACACTTTATTCATACTACTCCTAGCGTGCGCTCCTACCCGCCCCAGGGACTTCAGTCTTCCGGGGGAGGGATAACTACTTGGGGACACGGAGCACTGCGTACGCCCTGGGTCATGTGGGAAGGATGACCGCAAAGCCTCCAGTCGGCGCGCGGGTTCCGGGGCTGAGGGGCTGAGGGGCCCAAGGCGATAACCGGGATCCGCTCCGGCCGCGCTCCTCTTGCCTTTGAGAAGCCCCGGAAGTGGCCCGGCTGTTGGCCGCAGCGGGAGGTCTTCGGAAAGAAAAGGCCGGAACCAGAAGATAGACTCAACAGCGATGCCCTACCCGGACCCCGCCGGCCTCACACCCCGGCCAGCCAGCCGCCAGTAGTGCGCACCGCCTCCTCCCCAAGCCCCGCCCTGCGTCCACCCCAGGGGTTAACTCGCACGCGCGCTCTTGTGGCGGAGGTAGAGTGCGCCGTCCAGGGCTAGAGCAAGCGCGGCCCCGCGGCCCGGAGCCATGCTGAGGAGCTGCGCCGCGCGCCTCCGCACGCTGGGGGCTCTGTGCCTGCCGCCAGTAGGCCGGCGCCTGCCGGGAAGCGAGCCGCGACCCGAGCTGGTGAGTCTGGGCACCCTCGGGCATGGGGCGGGAGCAGGACTCAGAAACACGCCTGCGGTAACAGAGCCTTCGATTGTTATCCATACCCCAACCAGCCAATCTCAGAATAAAAGCTCACCTGGGCACCACAGGGCAGCATAAGCAACAGGGGCCTAGGAATACAGTCCTGAGATTCAAACCGTTAGAAAAGGGATGGAAAGGTGACCCCGTTTTTTTGTTTTTTAAGAGACAGGGTCGGCAGGGCGCTACCTGAACTGCATAATTTAGTCTGTCTATTTATATTTTGACAACATCTGTATTTTACCAATAATATTTGAGGCTGTTTTTATTTTTCAAAGATTAAAGTGACGTGAACTAAAAGATACCACAGCTTTTATCTTCCCTTTAAAAAAATATTTGATCCAAACGCTTATCTTCCTTTAGGTCAATTAATTAGAGATCTTTTTATAGACATCACACACAACACATATATAACTACACAGACAGGCAGAAGAAAACCCAGTTGCCATAAGATCTTTCATCACAGGGAGAGGGATCTATCTGCTTTTAATTCCTGGGGTTCCATGAGGAAAACAGAGATCGCCCCTCTTATGCAGGCATTAAAAGTGGCAAGGCAAAATGGAGAAAAATAACTCAGTCGACCGCAAAGAAACACTTTTTCCAGCAAAATAAGGTCCAAGAAAAGGAAAACATAAAGGCCTTATAAATATAATTACAACTTAGATATCTACTTTTAATTAAGCTGAGCACTCCTTAAGAAAATTCTTTTAACACCCTTATTATCTAACTTTAGCTCCACCAAGCGGCCAATATTTCTGGCTTTCAAACTTTACTTAAAGGCTCAGAGAAAGGAAAATCCAAGGTGGTTGGTGGAGGGCAGGGGAATCGACAAATAGCGAAAGGGCATACAGATACCAAACCAGAAAGGACTCATTCCCTAAGCCAGGATGAATCTGGGCCATGCCGGGCTAAACGAAGCTATGCAATGGGGTTACAGGCCACGCCCCCAAGGACGTAAAACAAGATGGAGGCCTGCAGCGAAGTTTGCTGTGGAGCATACAGAAAGACATGCAAAACACACAGATTGGCTACAGCTTACGACTTACCTCACAAATCCTTTCGCACAAAACTTTACAGAAAATATAAACGGTAATCCTCATCATTCCCAAAAGAGCAAAACGTCTTCCAAAAGGAAAAGAAAAACCTCCTTTAAAAGTATACTGCTGATGGGTTGGAGAGGAGATAAGGATGCCTGGGGGAAGAACCTCTTATTCCTATGCAAATGGTTCCTCCACCAGAGAGAGGAGCTTAATTGCTGTGGGACAGAGCTAGACTCCCTGGAATGGGGAGGGGGAGACTGCAGGCACCTGGTAGGGAACGCCAGCCAGCCATGCCGGCGCCTTGGAGCCTGGGCAGTGGCTGTGGCTCATTTATGCCCTGTGTGGCTACTGGACACCACACACACATGCTGCAGACACCACCATGCACCCCAGCCAGTAAAGAAGTGGGGCCAGGGAGCTACCCCACCCAACTGTCTTGTGAGTGCACTGGTGACCATTGGGGTGGGTGTGGACCACCTCCAGTATCGTAAAAAGAAAAATAGGTGCCGTTGCTGTCCCCCCAAAAAGAAGAGGAATGCCATAAGACCAAAAGGCTCAGAAATGAAAGTGAGAGGTTTTGAGTCCCCATTTCACTCATCCTTCTGTTGCAGGAATGAAGGAGGACTGGAGAGGCCATGGGGTGAGACAGGAGAACTTTATTGAGTGCACTCAGACCCAGCGGACTAACATCCAAAAGCTGGGCCCAGAACAAAGACAGCACTTGACTTTAATACACACTTTTAAAAGGGGGTGGGCTAGCTTGAAACAAGCTTACAGTGGCGTGAAGCATAGTGGCGTGAAAGCAAGGATACAGAGGCAGCACAAAGGCAATTAATTCATCAAATTGTGACAGGTGCATAATTCAGGATTACATACTGTGTCGGAATTGATGGGTTCTTGGTCTCACTGACTTCAAGAAAGAAGCCACGGACCCTCGTGGTGAGTGTTATAGTTCTTAAAGGCGGCATGTCCGGCGTTTGTTCCTTCTGATGTTCGGATGTGTTCAGAGTTTCTTCCTTCTGGTGGGTTCATGGTCTTGCTGGCTCAAGAGTGAAATTGCGGACCTTCGTGGTGAGTGTTATAGCTCTTAAGGCAGCACGTCTGGAGTTGTTCGTTCCTCCCGGTGGGTTTGTGGTCTCGTTGGCTTCAGGAGTGAAGCTGCAGACCTTCGCGGTGAGTGTTACAGCTCATAA
This sequence comes from Homo sapiens, assembly GCF_000001405.40. Taxonomy (NCBI): domain Eukaryota; kingdom Metazoa; phylum Chordata; class Mammalia; order Primates; family Hominidae; genus Homo; species Homo sapiens. Next base: position 151,907,066 of record NC_000001.11, on the reverse strand, counting down.
AGGCAGTGTGGACCCAAAGAGTGAGCAGCAGCAAGATTTATTGCAAAGAGCGAAAGAACAAAGCTTCCACAGTGTGGAAGGGGACCCGAGCGGGTTGCCACTGCTGGCTTGGGCAGCCTGCTTTTATTCTCTTATCTGGCCCCACCCACATCCTGCTGATTGGTAGAGCCAAGTGGTCTGTTTTGACAGGGCCCTGATTGGTGCATTTACAATCCCTGAGCTAGACACAAAGGTTCTCCACGTCCACACCAGATTAGCTAGATACAGAGTGTCAACACAAAGGTTCTCCCAGTCCCCACCAGAGTAGCTAGATACAGAGTGTCGATTGGTGCATTCACAACCCCTGAGCTAGACATAGGGTGCTGATTGGTGTGTTTATAAACCTTGAGCTAGATACAGAGTGCCGATTGGTGTATTTACAGTCCTTTAGCTAGACATAAAGGTTCTCCAAGTTCCCACTAGACTCAGGAGCCCAGCTGGCTTCACCCAGTGGATCTCGCACTGGGGCTGCAGGTGGAACTGCCTGCCAGTCCCACGCTGTGTGCCCACACTCCTCAGCCCTTGGGTGCTCGATGGGACTGGGCGCCGTGGAGCAGGGGGCAGCACTCATCAGGGAGGCTCGGGCCGTGCAGGAGCCCACGGAGGGCGTGGGAGGCTCAGGCATGGCAGGCTGCAGGTCCCGAGCCCTGCCCCGCCAGAAGGCAGGTAAGGCCCAGTGAGAAATCGAGCGCAGCGCCAGTGGGCCGGCACTGCTGGGGGACCCAGTACACCCTCTGCAGCCACTGGCCCGGGTGCTAAGCCCCTCATTGCGTGGGGCCGGCAGGGCCGGCTGGCTGCTCCGAGTGCAGGGCCCGCCAAGCCCACACCCACCTGGAACTCCAGCTGGTCCACAAGCACCCCGCGCAGCCCTGGTTCCTGCTCGCGCCTCTCCCTCCACACCTTCCTGCAAGCTGAGGGAGCCGGCTCTGGCCTTGGCCAGCCCAGAAAGGCGCTCCCACAGTGCAGCAGTGGGCTGAAGGGCTCCTGAAGTGCCGCCAAAGTGGGAGCCCAGGCAGAGGAGGCGCCGAGAGGGAGCGAGGGCTGTGAGGACTTCCAGCACACTGTCACCTCTCACTATGACCCTTGCTTATGCAGCCCAGGTGGCTGTTATCTAGGCTTGCTCAAAAGAGCCTTGCAAGTGCTTATCTCATAATCTTCACTATGGTGCCCAGACGGCCGCAGCCTAGGCCTACTCAGGCATGTCTTATAACCTTCACTGTGCTGTTTAGATAAAACAGAATACTTGAAGTTACTAGTTACAGAAAACAGGAATCTATAAACTCATAAAACTTGCAGAGCAAGGTACAATCACACGGAAGGGGATGGGATTCAAGGGGGAACTTTACTTTTTCTTATCCTTTTGTTGAGGGAGTGCTGGAAGAGTCTCCAGAGCACATCCTTTGAGCCCTGGTTTCTTTGAGAATGTTATCAAGACTACACCCGGGTCAGGGCTTTGCCTGTTACTGCCTTTGGGATGAGTCAGCCTCATATAGAAAGCTTGTTTTTCACTTTTTAAATTTTATTTTGCTTTCTTCAATTTCCTGCCTCACTTCCTCAGGCCCCATATTTGAGCGCCAAACACAGTTAGGGTGAGAGTGAGACTCTGTCTCAAAAAAAAAAAGGACTTTCTTCTCAATTCATCTAAGTTCTTGTCACACAATCAGGAAAGATCAGTCTTGTGGACACAGAAGGGTGAGAATAATGGAATTTATTGGGCAAAAAAGGAAAAAGAGAAAAACCTCAGCAGAGGAAGAGGGAGCTGCTCCTACCCTGCCACACAGGAACTCAAGAGGCCAGGCTCCTTGCGTCTGCCAATGGCATGAACTTCTGTGGCTCCACCCTGTTCTCCCAGTCAAAGGCTGGTGGGAGGTTCTCTGGGGAGCTCTTTTTACTTCGCTGTCTTACCACTTTATAAATGTGTAACCAAAGCTCAAGCAAGACCTTTCCTCTGTTCAGGACAACAAAATATAATCGTTGTCCCTAACATTTCTACTTCATTTATAATCTATGCTTTGTCTTTACTTCAGGTATCTCTTAGTTTTCACCTCCTTGAACTGAAACCTTTATTATTTCTATTTCTACATTATTATAGTGTCCATCTGGAGTAACAAATTCAACCCCTGCCAAACTAAAATTAATAGTTACACTCCTGTTTTCTCTCTCCTGATCCACATGTGCACACTAAGAAAAACCTTTCTTTTCATTCTATTCACCCTAGTTTTCAAAGCCACAGCTCTAGATAATCATTCAAGACTCTTCTGCTTTCTCTTTCCCAGTCAGTAACTCCCCACATCCCTCAGTCCCAATGTCCTAAATATCTTAAAACTTTACTTTTCATTACTCAGTACCTAGTTCAGATTCTGACCATATCTGACCTGGGCCTTTGCAACAGTCTTTTAACTGGTTTCCCTACCATTGCATTTCACCATTTTAATTCATTCGTTACACCAGATGGAGCTTTCTAAAACCTATGTTCATATTACTCCCTTGCTTAAAACTCCTTAAGTCTCCTCATAAAGGAAAAACGTGCTGTATCATTCAAGTGCTTTCATGATTCTTTAAAGACGCCACTTCTTTAGTTAACTTAATCCTATGTAATAACATTGGTGAAATCACGTGTGAGTTTTCTACTTATGTCCTTTTATAATATATGAATATATTTTGTTATATTTTAAAATACATATATTTTTGTCCTTGTGCCACCTAAAATCATTTTTCATGCTGGTCTTTGGAAATACTGACCTAGAAGTTGAAATCTAAGCCCTATGGTGTGATCCCTCTAGTTCTTCACATCTTGCTGCTCTTCTCTTTCCACCTTACATATATGAAGGCTGAAACCCTAGCAGTTCCCCAATGTGATACGTTTATTTCAATCTCCTATGCCTTCGCTTGGAGCAGGCCCCCTCCCCATTCTCTCCTTAATGAACTTTTTATCCGTAGGAAATCACTCCATCATTTCAAAGTTTTCCCTGAAAGTCATCCGTTCTATGCCTGTATCTATTTCTCTTGTAGTATTTTTCACATCCAAGGCTGCTAACACTTGAAGGCAGGGTCTAAGTCTTCTCTCTGTTTTACCTGTCCCTCACATAGAACCAGGGCATGTAGTAGGACTCAAAAAAAGTTTCTTGGATTTAACGGAATCCCAGACTTTAAAAGTTAAAATCAGGAGAACCCACAGTTAAGGGAGTCATTCTAATTCCTAAAAGTATTTAATTAGCTCTGTATCCATAAAAGGACAGTGGAACTGATGGATCCTAGTGTTACTTGTTTAAGATGAGACCAGTGGCTAATGAGATGAGTTCAAATTCATAACTCCAAAGCTTATACATACTATTCTGCCTCTCAGTTGACATGTTTTGGTCAATACATAGTAATCTGTGATGAATTGTCTTGTTGGGTTACTTCTAGATTCATGTCCTTTAAAAGTTACATAATCAGGACTGGATTCTAAGGAAATAATCCAAAATAGAGGAAAAGCTATATTCATAATGTTCCAGTGGACATTTTCATTTAGAGCAGCAAAAGATTGGAAATAATTTAAATATCTACCTTAATGGCTAATTATATAGTATATCAGTTTAATGGACTATTTTTCTGCTATTGAAAATGGTGGTAACTGATATTACGGAGAAAGTGAACACTAAATAATTTCAAGTGGTAAATGTAGAAAGCAAAATTGTGGGATTTTTAAAATTTTGTTTGTTTTTGTTTTTACTGAGATTACAAGTATATTAGGAAAAATTATATTTAAAAAATTTGGAGGAAAGAAAATTTGCCATTAATTATATTAAGAGGGAGAGATGGGTGGGTTTAAAACTTTTTCTTTTCTTTCTTTCCCAAATTTTCTGAGCTGGGTTCTGGAAGGATGAACCAATTAAAAAATATATATATATGGAAAAAGATTACAAATCCTGGGCTAAGGGCAAAGTGGTTTCAACCCTGATCATGTATCCCCAACCCTCTGATACTCCAAAGTCAGGACTTCCTTTTTTTCAGCCAGGACGTTTTTATTCTGTAGAGTTTTTTGTTTGTTTGTTTTTGAGACAGAATCTCACTCTGTTGCCCGGACTGGAGTGCAGTGGTGCAGTCTTGGCTCACTGCAACCTCCACCTCCCTGGTTCAAGCAACTCTTGTTCCTCAGCCTCCCAAGTAGCTGAGACCACAGGCACACACCATCTCGCATGGCTAATTTTTGTATTTTTTGTAGAGATAGGGTTTCACCATGTTGGCCAGGCTGGTCTCAAACTCCTGACCTCAAGTGATCCACCCGCCTTGGCACCCCCAAAGTTCTGGGACTGCAGGTGTGCCACCACGCCTCAGCTTCCATAGAGTTTAGTTTTGATCTGTTTTGTTTAATTTTTATTTTTTAATTTTATTTTTCCATAAGTTATTCAGGTACAGGTGGTATTTGGTTACATGAGTAAGTTCTTTACACTAGTGATTTGTGAGATATTGGTGCACCCATCACCTGAGCATTATACACTGCACCATATTTATAGTCTTTTATCCCTTATCCCCCTCCCATTCTTCCCCCCAAGTCCCCAAAGTCCATTGTATCATTCTTATGCCTTTGCGTCCTCATAGCTTAGCTCTCCCATATAATTGAGAACATACAATGTTTGGTTTTCCATTCCTGAGTTACTTCACTTAGAATAATAGTCTCCAGTCTCATCCAGGTCACTGGGAATTTGGGTTGGTTCCACGATTTTGTGTTGGGCATTTGGGTTGGTTCCATGATTTGCAATTGGGGATGATGCTGCTATAAACATGCATGTGCAAGTATCTTTTTCGAATAATGACTTCTTTTCCACACTGTTTTCCATAGCAGCTATACTAGTTTACATTCCCACCAGCAGTGTAGAAATGTTCCTTGATCACTGCATCCACAGCAACATCTACTGTTTTTTGAGTTTTTTTATTATGGCAATTCTTGCAGGAGTAAGGTGGTATCGCATTGTGGTTTTGTCTGTTTGTGCTCTTTCAGACTTTTTGAGGTAGGCATTTAGGGCTATGAACTTTCCTCTTAGCACTGCCTTAGCTGTATCCCAGAGGTTTTGATAGGCTGTGTCATTATTGTCATTCAATCTGAAGAATTTTTTAAATTTCCATCTTGATTTCATTTTTGACCCAGTGCTCATTCAGGAGCATGGTTTTTTTGTTTTTTTTTTTTGTTTGTTTTTTTCTGAGACAGAGTTTCGCTCTTGTTGCCCAGGCTGGAGTGCAGTGGCACAATCTCAGCTCACTGCAACCTCTGCCTCCTGGGTTCAGGCAGTTCTCCTGCCTCGGTCTCCTGAGTAGCTGGGATTACAGGCGCATGCCACCACTCCTGGCTGATTTTTGTATTTTTAGTAGAGACTGGGTTTTGCCGTGTTAGTCAGGCTGATCTCGAACTCCTGACTTCAGGTGATCCTCCCGCCTCAGCCTCCCAAAGTGCTGGGATTACAGGCATGAGCCACAGCGCCTGGCCTATTTGCATGGTTTTGAAGGTTCCTTTTTGGAGTTGATTTCCAGTTTTATTCCACTATGGTCTGAGAGAGTGCTTGATATAATTTCAATTTTCTTAAATTTATGGAGGCTTGTTTATGGCCTATCATGATCTATCTTGGAGAAAGTTCCATGCACTGTTGAATAGAATGTGTATTCTGTGGTTGTTGGATGAAATGTTCTGTATGTATCTGTTAAGTCCATTTGTTCCAAGGTATAGTTTAAATCCATTGTTTATTTGTTGACTTTCTGTCTTGATGACTTGTCTAGTGCTATCTGCCAAGACCAGCTCAGTTATGGAGACCCTAACCCAGCAGTGCTAGAGAAATTAAAGACACACAGAAATATAGGGTGTAGAGTGGGAAATCAGGGGTCTCACAGCCTTCAGAGCTGAGAGCCCCTAACAGAGATTTACCCACATATTTATTGACAGCAAGCCAGTGATAAACATTGTTTCTATAGATTATAGATTTACTAAAAGTATTCCTTAGGGGAAACAAAGGGATGGGCCAAAACAAAGGGATGGGCTCTGGCTAGTTATCTGCAGCAGGAACATGTCCTTAAGGCACAGATTGCTCATGCTATTGTTTGTGGCTTAGGAACACCTTTAAGCGGTTTTCTGCCCTGGTTGGGCCAGGTGTTCCTTGCCCTTATTCCGGTAAACCCACAACCTTCAGCATGGGCATCATGGCCATCACGAATATGTCACAGTGCTGCAGAGATTTTGTTTATGGCCAGTTTTGGGGCCAGTTTATGGCCAGATTTGGGGGCCTATCCCCAGCAGCTGTCAGTGGAGTATTGAAGTCCCCCACTATTATTTTGTTGCTGTCTATCTCATTTCTTAGGTCTGTTAGTAATTGTTTTATAAATTTGGGAGCTCCAGTGTTAGGTGCATATATGTTTAGGATTGTGATATTTTCCTTTTGGACAAGGCCTTTTACCATTGTATAATGTCCCTCTTTGTCTTTTTTGACTGCTGTTGCTTTAAAGTTTGTTTTGTCTGATGTAAGAATAGCTACCTATCTCTGCTTGCTTTTGGTGTCCATTTGCATGAAATGCCTTTTTCCACCCTTTAAGTTTATTTGAGTCCTTATGTGCTAGGTGAGTCTCTTGAAGACAGCATATAGTTGGTTTGTGAGTTCTTATCCATTCTGCGGTTCTGTGTCTTTTAAGTGGAGCACTTAGGCCATTTACATTCAATGTTATTATTGAAATGTGAGGTGCCATTGTGTTCATTGTACTCTTTGTTGCCTGTGTACTGTGGGGTTTTTTTTATTTTTTGTTTTTGCTTTTTAACTTGTATTTTTGTTTTATAGGTCCTGTGTGATTTATGCTTTAAAGAGGTTCTGTTTTGATGGGTTTCTGGGATTTGTTTCAAGATTTAGAGCTCCTTTTAGCAGTTCTTGTAATGGTGGCTTGATAATGGCGAATTCTCTCAGTATTTGTTTGTCTGAAAAGGACTGTATCTTTCGTTCATATATGATACTTAGTTTCACTGGATACAGAATTCTTGGCTGATAATTGTTTTGTTTGAGGAGGCTGAAGATAGGGCCCCAATCCCTTCTGGCTTGTAGGGTTTCTGCTGAGAAATCTGCTGTTAAGCTGATAGATTTTCCTTTATAGGTTGCCTGGTGCTTCTTTCTCACAGCTCTTAAGATTCTTTCCTTTGTCTTAGCTTTGGATAACCTGATGACAATGTGTCTGGGTGCAGATCTTTTTGTGATGAATTTCCCAGGTGCTCTTTGTGCTTCTTGTATTTGCATGTCTAGATCTCTAGCAAGACCAGGGAAGTTTTCCTCGATTATTCCCCCAAATATGTTTTCCAAGCTTTTAGAATTGTCCTCTTCCTCAGGAAGACCAATTATTCTTAGGTTTGGTAGTTTAACAAAATCCCAGACTTCTTGGAGGCTTTGTTCATATTTTCTTGTTCTTTTTCTTTCTCTTTGTTGGATTAGGTTAATTTGCATTTCTAAAAGTGTGTCCAAAATTTCCTGAATTTTTTATTGTTTTTTCTTTAAGCTATTTCCTTGAATATTTCTCCCTTCTTTTTTTTTTTTTTTTGACTCACTCTGTCGCCCAGGCTGGAGTGCAGTGGCACAATCTTGGCTCACTGCAACCTCCACCTCCCAGCTTCAAGCAATTCTCCTGCCTCAGCCTCCCGAGTAGCTGGAACTACAGGCGTGTGCCACCATGCCCAGCTAATTTTTGTATTTTTAGTAGAGATGGGGTTTCACCATGTTGGCCAGGATGGTCTCAATCTCTTGACCTTGTGATCTGCCCACCTTGGCCTCGCAAAGTGCTGGGATTACAGGCGTGAGTCACCACACCTGGCCCTCCCTTCACTTCTTGTATCATTTTTTGGATTTCCTTGCATTGGGCTTTGCCTTTCTCTGGTATCTCCCTGATTGCCTTAATAGCTAACCTCCTGAATTCTTTTTCAGATAAATCAGGGATTTCTTCTTGGTTTGAATCCATTGCTGGTGAACTAGTGTGATTTTTGGGGGGTGTCGACAAGCCTTGTTTTGTCATATTACCTGGGTAGGTTTTCTGGTTCCTTCTCATTTGGGTAGGTAGACTCTGTCAAAGGGAAGGTCTAGGGCTGAAGGCTGTTGTTCAGATTTTTGTGTTCCACAGGGTGTTCTGCTGATGTAGTACTCTCCCCCTTTTCCTGTGGATGTGGCTTCCTGTGAGCTGAACTACAGTGATTGTTTTCTCTCTTCTGGGTCTAGCCACCCAGTGAGTCTGCCCAGCTCTGGGTTGGTACTAGGAGTTGTCTGCACAGAGTCCTGTGATGTGAGCTGTCTATGGGTCTCCCAGCCATGAATACCAGTGCCTTTTCTGGTGGAGGTGGCAGAGGGTGCAGTGGACTCTGTGAGGGTTCTTAGCTTTGGTTTAATGCTCTACTTTTGTGCTGGTTGGCCTCCTGCCAAGAGGTGGCACTTTCCAGAAAGCATCAGCTGTAGCAGTATGGTGAGGGACCGGTGGTGGGCGGGGCCCTAGAACTCCCAAGATTATATGCCCTTTGTCTTCTGCTACCAGGGTGGATAGGGAAGGACCATCACCTGGGGCTGGGGCTAGGCACATCTGAGCTCAGACTCTCCTTGGGGGGATCTTGCTGCAGCTTCTGTGGGGGATGGCAGTGAGATTCCCGGGTCACTGGAGTTGTGTACCTAGAAGAATTATGGCTGCCTCTGCTGAGTCATACAGGTTGTCAGGGAAGTTGGGGAAAGCCGGCAGTCACAGGCCTCACCCAGCTCCCATGCAAACCGAAGGGCCGGTCTCACTCCCACCATGCCCTTCCAACATCCCCGTGTCTGTTTCCAGGTGGAGGGCAAGACGGGCTTGAAAACTTGTCTGAGGCTTTCCACCTCCCAGCTGCAAAAGAAAAGGGCTTTAGTTCTTCCCCGACCTGTGAAGTCTGCAAGCCGGGTTCATGCCCTCCCCGAGTTCTGGCCAGGAAGCTTCTCCCCAGTTCAAACTGTTACAAAGTTCAGCCGCAGAATTTCTTCTCCCTGTGGAATTTTACCCCCTGCTCCTTTGGCCACCCTCCTGATGAATCCCTGTGGTGCCAGGCAGGTATGGGCTGCTTGGGGACCCAGTGAGCTCCCAGGGCCTTTCTGCTGCTTCCCTTACCCTGTATTTCGCTCAGCTTAGCTCTCTAACTTGACTCAGCTCCAGGTAAAGTCAGAAATTTCTCCTGCAGACAGACCAGCTTCTCCAGTAGGGGTGTGTGTTCAGGAGAGGAGGGTCTTTCTTTCCCAATTCCACAGTTGGGGCACTCACAGTATTTGGGATGTCTCCCGGTCCTGCAGGAGTAGTCCGCTTCCTTCAGAGGGTCTGTGGGTCCTCTTGGGATTGCTGGTTCTTGCAGTCAATCTTGAACTAAAATTCACAATACAAGCCTCCACATGCTCAGCTAATACGATTTTGAAGAAAGTTGGAGGAATCACTCTGCCCAATCCAACACGTATTATGTTCCTACAATAATTAAGAACGATCACAAGGTCCCACAATAGGCTGTCTGCAAGCTGAGGAGCAAGGAGAGCCAGTCAGAGTCCCAAAACTGAAGAACCTGGAGTCCGATGTTCGAGGGCAGGAAGCATCCAGCATGGAAGAAAGATATAGGTTGGGAGGCCAGGCTGTCTCTTCTTCCATAGAGTTTTTGAGACAGGTTCTCTGTATTCTTCCCACCAAGCCAGCATTGGAGCCAGCCCCTGTCAGCAGAAAGCTGGTTCTCCCATCATACTGTGACCTCCCCGTTTTGGTTTTATGGTGCAGTGTGTGTATTGTAGGTACATTAAATCTGAATGAATTGATAAGGGTGGCTGAAAGTAGAATGCCATGGAGTTAATAGCTTCTGTGATCCTACATGTTCCAAGATAACTGCAGCAGTCCAAAAAGCCAGTTTCCTTTCTGGTGTTTGTGGGCATACACTTTGTTCTGCTCCTGAGTAAGTCACACTTTGTCTTCCAGGTCCTCTAGGATCCCTGCAATGTTCCATTTGTTGCCTGGGCATTGGAGTAATAGCAGTGCTTGGTGCTACAGAAATAGATGGATGGAAGTTGTGGTTACTGTGACACCAAAAACTTGTCCCCTGAGCTCCCTACTCCTCTTTCTCCTATATTTTTTGGTAATTGGCTCTGTCATTCACCTCACTGCAGGATTCAGAATCCTGGTACTGGGTCTTGTATTTCTCTTTTTCCCTTACCCTCCTTATCCAAATTGTCACCAAGTTCTGCTTCATGCTCTCATGATTTCTCACCTGAGTTACCCTAGTAGCTTCCAAATAGGGCCCTCTGATTTCAACCTTGGACACTCCCACTATCTTTTATATTATGGAAAGATCTAATCATGTTACCCCCCATTTAAAATCCCTCAGAGAGCACTGCAGATACAATTCAAGCCAGTTAGCTTAGTGTTAAGGTTTTACATGCATTTCTGCAGCCATCTGCCCCTATTCTTGCACCCTAATAATGCCAAACTTCTTTTAGGCCTTAATTTCATCATCTGCAAAATGAGGATAATAAATAGTACCTACTTCATATGATTGTAATAAGGCCCCTCAAAACTGTTTCATGCCTCTTTTGCCCACTGCATTAGGCTGTTCTCACATTGCTATAAAGAAATGCCTGAGGCTGCGTAATTTATAAAGAAAAGAAGTTTAATTGACTCACATTTCTACAGGCTATACAGGAAGCATGATGGTGGCATCTGCTTGGCTGCTGGGGAGGGCTCAGAAAACTTACAGTCAGCCGGGCACAGTGGCTCACTCCTGTAATCCCAGCACTTGGGGAGGCCGAGGTGGGCAGATCACCTAAGGTCAGAAGTTCGAGACCAGCCTGTCCAACATGGTGAAACCTCATCCCTACTAAAAATACAAAAATTAGCCGGGTGTGGTGGGGCGGCACCTGTAACTCCAGCTACTCAGAAGGCTGAGGCAGGAGAATCACTTGAACCCAGGAGGTGGAGGTTGCAGTGAGCCAAGATTGCGCCACTGCACTCCAGCCTGGACAACAGAGTGGGACTCTGTCTCAAAAAAAAAAAAAAAAAAAAAAGGAAGCAAGAAAACTTACAGTCATGGCAGAAGGCAAAGCAGGAGCAGGCACTTCACATGGACACAGCAAGAGCAAGAGTGCAAGGCACAAGGTACTATACACTTTTAAACAACCAGATCTCATGAGAACTCACTATCATGAGGACAGTACCGAGGAGGATGGTGCTAAACCGTCCATGAGAAATTCACCCCCATGATCCATTCACCTCCCACCAGGGCCCACCTCCAACTTTGGGGATTACATTTCAATATGAGATTTGAGCGGGAACACACATCCAAACTATATTCCAGTGTTTTTTTTTTTTTTCCTGTAATACTTTTTCCAGCTGGCTAATTTCTGCTTATCTAATCAATATTCAAGTCAAAGAACCCCTTCCTGAACCCCTAATCCTAGATGAGTACTTCTCCCTTATCCCCTAACTTCCTGTGCATAGCCACTGGAAGCACTTTCAACATGGAAGATAATGCCTGTTCTTAACCTCCATCTCCAGTGTGCTGGGCTTACCTGTGCTTGATTAAAGTCTGGAAAAAAAGAATGGAATCAGCAGACCTGAGCATAATCCTGGCTCTGTCAATAGCTCGCTGGGTGATGTTGAGCAAATCATTTTCCCTCTCTCAGTCTCTCATTTTCCCAAGGAGGTTGGACCAGATGATCCCTGAAATTCCCTTCCATTTTGAAGTGACAAGCTTATGGGGAGAAGAAAAGCAGCAAGATAATCTTAGAAATTGGGAGAATATGTTATGAAATAGAATGCACCTCCCATTACTTACTTTTCTTTTTCTTCTGTCTTTTAGAGGTCATTTTCTTCTGAGGAAGTCATTCTTAAGGACTGTTCTGTCCCCAACCCCAGCTGGAACAAGGACCTAAGACTGCTCTTTGACCAGTTTATGAAGAAATGTGAAGACGGCTCCTGGAAACGTTTGCCTTCATATAAACGTACACCTACTGAATGGATTCAAGACTTCAAAACCCATTTTCTTGGTAGAAACAGCCACTTTCCCATTAATATATCTGAGCATCAAATATAAAGCTAAGAACAGATTGAAGTACTAGTTACTACCTGAAAAAAAGAAAGAATATAATGCAGGATTATGGTTCTATAGTCACCAATTTTATAGACCAGAAATCACAATAAATTTTGCAGATTGGAGAGCATAAAGCCTATTGTCAAGAATAAGACTGCTCCCACCCTGGCATTCTTATCACCATTAGCAAGAGTGAAGAAAGGGCCCCAGAGAGCTTCCACCCTCCTACAACCTCATCACCTCTCCGTCTTGAGGCTGTCATCTAATCTCATTTCACCCTTTATCCCATATCTGGTTATATCACCCTAAGAAGCTTAGAACACTCAGGTTATACCCACATCTCCCAGTATCTAAATCCCCAGGGCAACCCACCCAACACCCAAAACACACACATAGCAATTCCTATCCTTCTGTGTTTTTTTACTAATATACTTTTTTAGCATTATAATTTTATAGAAAAATTAGCCTAAAGTACAGAGAGTTCCCATATACCCTTTATCCCCTCCCCACCCCTAATTTCTCCTATTATTAACATCTCACATTACTGTGGTGTATTTGTTACAATTGATGAGCCAATATTAATATATTATTCTTAATTAAGGTCCATAGTTTGTTTTAGGGTTCACTCTTCGTATTATGTTTTCCGTGGGTTTTAACAACTGTGTAATGACAGATATCCATCATTATAGTATATTTGAATCATTCACAGATATTTCTGAGTTACTCATTATCTTTTAATCATCCAAACACATCTTTAGGTGGTGGTTGGTTTTTTTTAACTGACTTTTAAGAAGGCCCTTGGGCCAGGCACCGTGGCTCATGCCTATAATCCCAGCACTTTGGGAGACTGAAGCGGGCGGATCACTTGAGGTCAGGGGTTTAAGACCAGCCTGGCCAACATGGTGAAACCTCGTCTCTACTAAAAATACAAAAAAAATTAGTTGGGCCTCGTGGCGGGGACCTGTAATTCCAGCTACTTGGGAGGCTGAGGCAGAAGAATTATTTGAATCCAGGAGGCAGAGGTTGCAGTGAGCTGAGATCGCGCCACTGCACTCCATCCTGGGCAACAGAGTGAGACTGTCTCCCCCCCTACAAAAAAAAAAAGAGAAAAAGAAGGCTCTCAATATTGCCCAACAACCATACTTCATGTTTCCCTAGTTTATTCACTCTCCTCCCTTACTGGATGAGTATTTTCTGCCTTTTTCTTTCTTCTTATGCCTCTAATACTTTCCCTTCTCACCCTCAGTTGGTCTCGCTTCCTATCTCACTAAGAGAAAATAAAAGCAGTCAGAAGAGAACTCCCAGTCTCCCATTGCCTCACATATCCTCCCCCCTGCATCTGTGCCTGATGTTCTGCTTCTTCCTGCTGTGAGTGAACCATCCACACTCTTAGGGAGACCAAGCCTTCCATTTGTGCGCTGCATTCCATTTTCTTTGGCCTACTGAAGGACATCCATCTCTGCTAGATGTTTCGTATCAGCATATAAACATGCCACAACTGCATTTCTCTCTTCCCAGTCTCTCTCTCTCTCTCTCTTTTGTTTTGGGTTTTTTTGTTTTGTTGTTTTTTTGTTTTTTTTGTTTTTGGTTTTGAGAATGAGTCTCACTGAGTCACTCAGGCTGGAATGCAGTGGCGTGACCTCGGCTCACTGCAACCTCCTCCTCCCGGGTTCAAGTGATTCTCCCACCTCAACCTCTCAAGTAGCTGGGATTACAGGTGCATGCCACCACACCCAGCTTATTTTTATATTTTTAATAGAGACAGGGTTTCACAATGTTGGCCGGGCTGGTCTCGAACTCCTAAATTCAAGTGATCTGCCCCACCTTGGCCTCCCAAAGTGCGGGGATTACAGGCATGAGCCACTGTGCCCAGCCTATCTTGAACCCACTCCCTCAAAACAGCTCTTGCCAAAGGTACCAGTGACCTTCATGTTGCTGAGTCCGCTAACCTCTCAGCTTTTGGCACAGCTGTTGACTCCTTTCTGTTTGAACATAACTTCTAGGACACCACATTCTCCACTTCACTGGTGCCTCCTTTTCAGTTTCTTGGGCTGGCTCTTCCCCATCCTCAAACCCTTCATGTTGGGGTGCCCTCAAGTCTCAGTCCTTAGTACTCCTCTCTTCTCCACACTCCATTGGTAATCTCATGCAGTCTCTCAGCTTTAGAGACCATCCAGAAGTTGACAACTTCTTAATTAAATGGTTGAAATTTAGTGCCTGGGTTCAAATTCTGGTTCCACAATTTAAAGCTGTGCAACTTTGAGCAAGGCACTTTACCTTTCTGTGCCTCAGTTTCCTCATGGTAGATACTTTAGTATTTGCTGAAGGAATGAATAAAACAAAAATAAAACTAATCAAGAAAAATTATAGAGTTCTTAAGTTTCTTTGCAGAATCTCTGATATATCTCGAGGGAAGAATTATTCTGTTTTATAAATGAAGAGGAAAAATGTGTAGTTTGTATTACTTATTCTCTTCCAACTGTTAGCACATCACACAACTGACTGTCCTTATCCCAGCACAATCTGGCTTCTACCCTCACAGCTCTACTGAAATGTCTTCATTGAAGCCACTAGTGACGGAAGTGCCAAATTCAGTGTGCATTCTTCAGCACTTACTGTACTAGACCTCCCTGTCTCATTCTCATTGAAACATTTTCTTTTGGCTTTCATAAACCTTTCAGACCAATCTTCCCTCCTCCTTCTACTTGCTCCTTAAATGTCAATGTTTTCCAGGGTTCCATTCCTACATTTTGCTCATTTCTTCATCCAACCCTCATTCGCTCTTGACTAAAATTTGACCCTCTCAGAATCAAGAGGAGTTTGAGATCCTCTTTGCTACCCACACTTGTTTTCAAACCATTACTTCCCCTCATCTTAAAAAGCCCTCTGGGCTGGGCACAGTGGCTCAACACTTTGGGAGGCCAAAGTGGCAGATCACTTGAGGCCAGGAGTTTGAGACAAGCCTGGGTGACAGAGCAAGATTCTGTCTCAAAAAAAAACAAAAACAAAAAACCTCTGTTTCTTTGAGTTTATACCATCTAACTTTGTCACCCTCCTCTTCTTCTCCTCCTTGTTGCTGTCATCTGTCAACCTCTCCCTCAGTGTTGAGTATTTCAGCAGCTGGTCCGCTATCTACCCAACTCCATTCAGCATCCTCAGCAACTCGAGCATCTACACAGTGGCTCCTCAGTTTATGTGCTTCCTCATCACCTATGAACTTTTCTTATCCCCCAGCCCCAGCCACACACTGCCATGAACATCTCGAGCCTTATCTTCAGACAGTACACAGCCTCCAAATGCATACATTTAAACATCCTGTTTTCTGATGACAGCATTTTTCCTTTCAGCAGCTTACTTGTTCAAAGGCCCCTCAGAAACAATTGTTATTTCATTAAGACCTTCTGAGTTCATTGAATCCTTTACTTTCTCATGGTCCAATAGCCCTCATCTATCTGAACTTTTGTAGCCCACCTAACCTAGGAAAACCCCAGCCCTGGATGAATCCAACCATCTGCCATCTTTACTTTGAACTGGCTTTCACATAGTTAAGCATTGCTAGAGAAAATCACCCCATCTAGCAGATAAGTTTGGTGATTGTGATTTTTGTAGTTTCATCTCCTGTCTCCATTCTTATCCTCCTCAAAGCCCTTCTTCCACTCAACTGTCAGAATGATTCAAAATGCAAATCTCATCATGTTATTCCAATGCTATTTTCAGTGCTATCCCATTTCTTAAAATACTCTTGCCTTTCAGACTTAAAAATGAATATGAAGCACCTAGGAATCTTGTTAAAATGCAAGTTCTGCTTCAGAAGGTCAGAAGTAGAACCTGAGATTCTGCATTTCCAACAAACTTCTTTCACCATCACAAAGGACAAACACATCCTCTTGAGAGTAGTAGCTTTTGGTCTTTATTTTGAAATGACCTACATTTTAACTCAACCCAGACCTTATTTTTCTCATTTTTATGAAATAAGCTCAAGGTTTGCCAATCTAGACCAGAAATCTCAAACTCCTAAGTAAAACAATTATAAGCACTTAACACCTATCTTATCCTGAAGTCCTGGAATGTCAGAGTTGGAAGAGATCTTAGAGCTCATTTTGTTTTATCTCCTCATTGTATGGATAAAGTGTAGTGCAAAAGAGTGAGTTCTAGGCCAGAGGTAGGCCAATAATTTAATTTTCCCAACTCACGGGCCAAGGTTCTTTCCACTGCACCATAATACTGATCCCCAATTTTAAGGTTCCTTGTCTGTCCTTCTAAACCATCAATTCACTCAACAACTGCTTAAGTGTATATAGTATGTGCACATCTGTGCCATTTGTTGGGTATGCAAAGTCTAAAAGACAGGGTGCCTGCCCTGAGATGCTCATGACCTAATTCAAATGCATCCTTCCTGTCCCTCTCCCCACTTCTCCTGGATCTTCTCATCTGTATCTTTTTCCACGTTTGTAAATATAAATTCAATAGAAATAAACAGTTTTATATATGGCAAATCATGATGAGCTATGAAAGAAAGGTGAGTAGGGGGATTAAATTTTAAAATAGATACAAAAGGATAAATGCACTATTTCTTGAGAGCAATGGCTTTCAATCTTTATTTTGAAGTGACCTATATTTTGATTCAATCCAGTTCCCCCAACTTGCTCACAATTGTGTAAGTGAAAAAAAACTGTGTCTAAACAAGTGCACTATTACTTACCCAGAGTATATGGTTCTGTTAACTAAGTGTTCTGTTTCTTTTTAAAGCCTGGTTAATGGCCGGGCGCTGTGGCTCACGCCTATAATCCCAGCACTTTGGGAGGCCAAGGCAGGCGGATCCCTGAGTTCGGGAGTTCAAGACCAGCCTGACCAACACGGAGAAACCCCGTCTCTACTAAAAATACAGAATTAGTCAGGCGTGGTGGTGGGCGCCTGTAATCCCAGCTACTCAGGAGGCTGAGGCAGGAGAATCGCTTGAACCCGGGAGGCGGAGGTTGCGGTGAGCTGAGATCACGCCATTGCACTACAGCCTGGGCAATAAGAGTGAAACTCTGTCAAAAAAAAAAAAAAAAAAAAAGAAGCCTGGTTACAACCCACAATCTGATTTCATGAACCCTAATGGTTCTCACTGCCAGTTTTGGGGGCTTAGAGTCACAATCACTTGAGTGTTGGGCTGAACTGACCCTGTTGCTGATTCAGACTCAACTCATGTCTGCCAGGGAAACCTCCTTTCTGTTACATTTTTTATTTTCTGTAAATTGCATTTAAACCACAGTTCTTCCAAGAAGGATTTCCGTCTTTACCGTACCATTTTATTCAGTATATTGTTAGCGTTTATATACTATATTCCTGATTGCCATGTGTGGGTACTTCATTTTGATTTCATGTCTGTTTACTCTGTCCCCAGTTGGACTGTTAATTCCACAAGGGCAAAGATCCTATCTTCTGTTTCATTGAGACGCTCCCATTCCTTTCAATTTTGCACCCTGTGGACATTTGAATCAATCATCTATTGACATGTGATTCTAGCAGGGTACAGGTGCTTGGCTCTGCCATGGCATTTCTCTCACCCTTGTTTCTCATTTGCCATCCACCTCATTTTCTATAGACCCAAAGCTTATGAAAGAAGAACAAATGTCACAGGCCCAGCTCTTCACCAGAAGCTTTGATGATGGCCTGGGCTTTGAATACGTGATGTTCTACAATGACATTGAGAAAAGGATGGTTTGCTTATTTCAAGGAGGCCCTTACCTGGAAGGACCACCTGGGTAAGAATGATAGCCTGAAAGTGTGGATCTAAAAGATTTTTATCTTACACTGCCCCCATGTGTCCTGTACATGGACTACAATAAAGATTTTCAAATGGTCACATAGATGTATATTTATTGACATGGAAAGATGTTTATAATACATTATTAAAGGACATCTTATCTATATTATTAATATTGATTAAATATTTTTATATATGAGCATTATAATATTATAGGGCATAGGGCAATAGAGTATAATTTGAGAGCATATCATTAATGTGTTAACAGTGGCTTGTCACTGACTAGGTGGGTAGTATTATGGGTCCTAAATTTTTTTCTTTTTTTTCATATTTGCATTACCTACATTTCTAAACAATGAATATGTATAGTTTGTTTTGTTTTGTGAGACAAGGCCTTGCTCCTTTGCCCAGGCTGAAGTGCAGTGGCATAATCATAGCTCACTGCAGCCTCGAACTCCTGGGCTCAAGCAATCCTCTCACCTCAGTCTCCCGAGTAGCCAGAACTACAGGCACATGACACCACACTTGACTAATAATAAAAACATAATATAAATTTTCTAAATTACATTTTAGCTTTTTGCTTGCTTGCGATCTGGTTACTATTAAGTTCTGGTTTTATTACAAATACTTAAGACTATATTATTATGCTGTGAACAAAACAAAGTTGGGGACATAGATAGTATTTGGCATTCAGTACACTGAACATGGGCTAAGTGGACCTTTCATAAGTAAATAGTGTGAAGATGCTTGGATAATTTTTCTCTTTCAAGAGGCTCTCTATCTTCAGAACTTCTGAAAACATTTCTCCTCCACTCCTGTTGTAACTAGATTCATTCATGGAGGTGCCATTGCAACCATGATTGATGCTACTGTTGGTATGTGTGCAATGATGGCTGGGGGAATCGTCATGACTGCCAATCTCAACATCAATTATAAAAGGTAAATTCACAGTAATTCTCTATTTATCCTTAGGTGTTGTTAAGTCAGGTTCCCAGTTGCAGATCTTGACACCATAATTTGTGTTCAAGTGATTATTAAGGAAGTGCTCCCAGAGGAGACTAGCAAGGGAGTGGGAGAAGCAGGACGGGGAAGATGAAGAAGTGTCAACCAAGGCTGAACTCTCAAAAGTCCAGCAAAGCATAGCTTTAGCCAGATCATACAAGAGAGCTCTAGAATGAAATTTATGCCTCAGAATTGTCTCCATCTCAGATGAGGGAGCTAGAGTCTTTATACTCTCGCATGTATTGGTCATAGGATCAGGGCCATCCCAGGGACCATAAATTTCCAAGTACTTCTAAGGGTCTCTGTGTTTGAGCAAAGCAGACTCTAGAGAAAATAACCAAAACAAGTGAAGAAAGGATCCAAGGGGCTCTGGGTGGAGCACCAACATCTA
Source organism: Homo sapiens (assembly GCF_000001405.40). Lineage (NCBI taxonomy): Eukaryota > Metazoa > Chordata > Mammalia > Primates > Hominidae > Homo > Homo sapiens. The sequence goes on along the minus strand of NC_000001.11, from coordinate 151,887,818 downwards.
CTACATAACAAAATTAATTTTTTAAAAATTTAGCTGGGCCCAGCAGTGCACGTCTGTAGTCCTAGCTTCTTGAGAGGATTGCTTGAGCCCAGGAGTTCAAGGCTACAGTGAGCTAGGATCATGCCACTGCACTCCAGGGTGGGCAACAAGACCCCAACTGTAAAAAAAACAACAACAACAAAAACACACACACACACACAAAACACCGAGTCTTTTCAGTCCACAGGCACAGATGTCTTTCCATTTATTTGTGTCTTTAATTTTTTTCATCAATGTTTTGTAGTTTTCAGTGTATAAGACTTTTGCTCTTTGGTTAAGTTTATTCCTATGTATTTTATTCTTTTTGATTTTTTTATTTTTAATTTTTTTATTATTATTATTATTATTTTGAGACAAAGTCTCACTTTATTGCTCAGGCTGGAGTGTGGTGGCATGATCTCAGCTCATTGCAACATCCACTTCCCAGGTTCAAGCTATTCTCATGCCTCAGCCTGCCAAGTAGCTGGTATTACAGGCATGCACCACCACAGCTGGCTAATTTTTTGTATTTTCAGTAGAGACAGTGTTTCACTTTGTTGGCCAGGCTGATCTCAAACTCCTGGCCTCAAGTGATCCGCCTGCCTTGGCCTGCCAAAGTGCTGGGATTACAGATGTGAGTCACTGCACCTGGCCTTAATTGTTTTCTTAATTTCCTTTTTGGATTAGTCATTGTTTGTGTATAGAAATGCAACTGCTTTTTCTGTGTTGATTTTACATCTTGCAGCTTTGCTGAATTTGTTTATTCATTCTAACAGGTTTTTGTGGAATCTTTAGGATTTTCTATATACAAAGTCATGTCATTTGTAAACAGATCTTTGTACTTCTTCCTTTCCAATTTGAATACCTTTGATTTCTTTTTCTTGCCTAATTGCTCTGGCTAGGACTTCTAGTACCATGTAGAATAGAAGTGGCAAAAGTGGGCATCCTTGTCTTGTTTCTGATCTTAAATGAAAAGGTTTTAGTCTTTTACCATTCAGCATGATGTTAGTTGTAGGGTTTTCATAAATAGCCTTTATTATGTTGAGAGAGTTTCTTTCTATTCCTAGTTGTGCCTTAGATTTTTAACCTTTAAACCCAGATTGTCATTGTACCTCCTTTTAACAATTTTAATAGCAATTACATTGATTCTAGAGATTAATTTGGGGAAAGTTGACATATTTACAGATGGTCAATATTTCATATTAGTTATAACTATAAATTAGATTCTAGAAATCTGGGTTTTCTTAACATGTTAAAGAATATATTAAAAATTAAATTTTTTATATTTTTCCATGTCCCATGTTTTTAAAAATATTTTTCCATGTTCAAATAAAGTTGAATAATGAAGTATAACATCGTTCCTAAAAAAATAAATGTAAACGGTTACTTTGAAAACAAGCTGAAACAAAGTATTTAGATTGCTGTTTATCTCAAAAAGTGTTTGTGTCTTAAGCACATACTCAAATGCAAAATGGGAAACAGAACCTGCCAAACTCTATGCTTAGTGTTTGTCCCACCCAATAAACCATCCACAAAAATCAGTTGCATTGCTGTTCATTTGTTCCCCACAATTGGAAAACATACTGAAAAGAAGTTTTACCTGAAGTCATATGGATAGAGAGCAATTTAGTCAGAATTAGAACTCACATCTTATGACACCAAATCTGATGCTCTTCACTACAACACACAGCCTCCATTGTCTTCTGTTAGTTGATGACTAAAGACCAGAATAAAGTATTGGATTTTATAAGTAGTTTAGAATTTAATATTTATCACTCTCTGTTTTTTTGTATACAGTTATTTAGGTTCATAATAATAGTAATAATATTAAATTTAATATGATTACTTGACAGTCCTTCAAGATGCTACAGGTAACAACCTGGGATTATATTTTAATTGAAAATAATTTGCAGTGTCAATTAATCATCAGATGCCTTAATCTACCTTACTTCCTTTAAGAAGCAAGATTATTCCTTAATGATTTCAAATAATTTCCAGCCCTCTGATCCAAATATCCCACTTGATTTATTTCCTTGTGCCTAGCACATTAAGATAAATAGACAAAGCAGGTCAAACTAGTGATGACAAGCCAGCTGAAAGGGTAAATATCTCAGCATGCCAATGACCCATTCATGACACATGAGTTGAGAAGCTCCTGATTCGATTTCTTCATGCAACATGGCAAACAAGAAATGCTAAAGGACATTCCTCCTTCAAAACAAGTAGATCCTGTACCAAATACACAAGGAAAGAAACTACCAAGGGTGACTATCAACAGAAACAATAAATAAGATTTAGACCTCAGGGATCTAAGATATGATGATAATCAAATACACAATATAAATGAATAAAGTATGAGATGTTTAAAGAAATAAAAGATGAGGCTGGGCACAGTGGCTCACGCCTGTAATCCCAGCACTTTGGGAGGCCAAGGCGGGTGGATCACCTGAGGTCAGGAGTTCAAGACCACCCTGGTCAACATGGCAAAACCCTGACTTTACTAAAAATACAGAAATTACCCAGGTGTGGTGGCACGTGCCTGTAATCCCAGCTATTTGGGGGGCTGAGGCAGAAGAATCGCTTGAACCTGGGAGATGGAGGCTGCAGTGAGCCAAGATTGTGCCACTGCACTCCAGCCTGGGCAACAGAGCGATACTCCATCAGAAAAATAAATAAATAAATAAATAAATAAATAAATAAATAAATAAATAAATAAAAGATGAAATCACAAAAAGAGAAAACAATGATAAACTATAAAAATTATTAGGCAGGTTTGCCACAGAACCTAATAAAACTTTGAGAAATGAGATTGTAGGCCGGGCATGGTGGCTCACGCCTGTAATCCCAACATTTTGGGAGGCTGAGATGGGCAGATTACAAGGTCAGGAGTTTGAGACTAGCCTGACCAACATGGTGAAACCCCGTCTCTACTAAAAATACAAAAATTAGCTGGGTGTGGTGGTGCGCACCTGTAATCTCAGCTACTTGGGAGGCTGAGGCAGGAGAATCACTTGAACCCAGGAGGCAGAGGTTGCAGTGAGCAGAGATTGCACCATTGTACCCCAGCCTGGGCGACAGAGTGAGACTCCATCTCAAAAAAAACAAAAAAAAAACAAAAAAAAGGAAATGAAAGTGTAATTGTTTAAAAACAAAAAAATACCTCAGTGAATAGGTTAAAGGACTATTTAAACACAGCTGAAAGTGAACAGAAATATAGAACTGAAGAAATTACCCTGATAAGATGGTATGCTGGTAAAGGTCAGAACATTTCCTCTGAATTTGCTAGAAACTCAAAAGCTGTGGAATGTCATTTCTTTCTCTCCATTTTCCTATTATAACTACCCCGCCTTGTGGGCAGTCTATATAGAAAGGTTTCTTTGATACCTGACTGATGTAAGAACAAGAGGGGTAAATGTGAATTCTTATGGATAGATAACACAGGAGTTACTTCTAAATATCACTCCACTGCAAGAATTTAAAAGAAAGCTTTAAAAATACACTCAATAGTTTTCTTGAAAAGGGAAAATGACAATCCCTAGGCTTCTGGGTTTTGTTTGCTTTTTAGAGTTTCGATTGCTTTTCATTCTGTATTTTTTTTAATCAGAAGCTCACATCACTTTAATAATCTTGTGGCACTGTGTTTCTAATTTGTAGCCAACACATTCTGGAAGCTTCTTCCTTCCTTCCTTTATTTATTTATTTATTTATTTATTTATTTATTATTTTGAGACAGAGTCTCACTCTGCCACCCAGGCTGGAGTGCAGTGGCGCAATCTCAGCTCACTGCAACCTCTACCTCCTGGGTTCAAGTGATTCTCCTGCTTTAGCCTCCCAAGTAGCTGGGATTACAGGCATAGGCCACCATACCCGGCTAATTTTTGTATTTTTAGTAGAGACGAGGTTTCACCATGTTGGCCAGGCTGGTCTCAAACTCCTGACCTCAGGTGATCCACCCACCTCAGCCTCCCAAAGTGCTGAGATTACAGGTGTGAGCCATCGTGCCCAGTGCTTGTTCCTTTAAAATGCACAGTTAAGGCCAGGCTACTTGGGAGGCTGAGGCAGGAGAATCGCTTGAACCTGGGAGGTTGCAATGAGCCGAGATCATGCCACTGCACTCCAGCCTGGGCAACAGAGTGAGACTCCATCTCAAAAAAAAAAAAATGCACAATTAAATCCTTTATTTTCACTAACAATTTAGTTAGACATTTTATAATTCTGATATGGTTTGGCTTTGTGTCGCCACCCAAATCTCATCTAGAATTGTAATCCCCATGTGTCAAGGGAGGGACCTGGTGAGAGGTGACTGGATCATGGGGGCAGTTTCCCCCATGCTGTTCTAGTGATAGTGAGTTCTTATGAAATCTGATGGTTTAAAAGTGTTTGGCAGGCTGGGCACCGTGGCTCACGCCTGTAATCCCAGCATTTTGGGAGGCCAAGGTGAGTGGATCACCTGAGATCAGGAGTTCAAGGCCAGCCTGACCAACATGGTGAAACCCCATCTCTACTGAAAATGCAAAAAAAAATTAGCTGGGCATGGTGGTGTATGCCTATAATCCCAGCTACTCAGGAGGCTGAGGCAGGAGAATTGCTTGAACCTGAGAGTTGCAGTGAGCCGAGATTGCGCCAGTGCACTCCAGCCTGGGCAACAGAGCAAGACTCCATCTCGAAAATAAATAAATAAATAAATAAATAAATAAATAAATAAAAGCATTTGACAGATCCCCCCTTGCACTCTCTCTCTCTCTCTCTCCTGCCACCATGTAAGACGTGCCTTGCTTCCCCTTCCCCTTTCCCTTCACCTTTGCCGTGATTGTAAGTCTCTTGAAGCCTCCCCAGCCATGCAGAACTGTGAGTCAATTAAACCTCTTTTCTTTATAAATTACCCAGTCTCAGGTAGTTCTTTATAGTAGCATGAAAATAAACTAATGCAAACTCTCATGATTTTTATAATCTCACAGCCCAGTAAACCTTCAAATCATTTCTCCCTACAAGTTATTTTCCCCTTCCATTGAAATTTAATCAAGAGTTCATTTGTCAGATCCATATGCTCGGTGATGGTGGTGGTGGTTGTATTACTAAAAACACTAAATTAGTCACCAGCTCCATTGTTCTAGTGCGGTGTTGAGATATATCCCATAAATACATCAACATGCCCACCTCAACTAAGTCATTTGGCAGATAAAACAAGCTCAAATGCAAAATGGGAAGTAGAACTTTGAATCAGACTGTTGGGGATTTGAATCCCATGTGTGCCACCAAATAGCCATACAGCTTTAGCAAATTACCTAACCTCTCTGGGCCTCAGTTTCCTCATCCATTAACCAAAGACAATAATACTTTTCTTAAAGAGATATTTTGAGGATCACAGTTAATGTATTCAGAGCTAGCAGCTTAATATGTTAAATGAAGCTTTTTTTTTTTTTTTTTTGAGATGGAGTCTCTCTGTCACCCAGGCTGGAGTCAGTGGTGCAATCTTGGCTCATTCCAACCTCCGCCTCCTGCGTTCAAGCGATTCTCCTGCCTCAGCCTCCTGAGTCGCTGACATTACAGGCACATGCCACCATGCCCGGCTAATTTCTGTATTTTTAGTAAACATGGGTTTTTGCCATGTTGGTCATGCTGGTCTTGAACTCCTGGCCTCATGATCCATCCGCCTCGGCCTCCCAAAGTGCTGGGATTACAGGCGTGAGCCACCATGCCCGGCCTAAATGAAGCTTTTTAATTATTATTTTCAGATCTATGTTTAGCAGAGAGAGAGAGAAAAAAAAAATTACCCTGAATCCAGCACAGAGAAAAAAGGAAATGGGAAATATAGAGAGCATAAGCTATAGTGGACAAATAAAAAGATCTAACATGCTCTAATTAGAGTCCTAGAAAAATAGAATAAAGAGAATTGAAGAGATCCAGTATTTAAGGAAATAATGGGTCAGCATATTCAAGAGCTAAAGAAAATCATGAATTGACAATATAGAAAGCAATCTATATCAAGCTAGGTTTTAAAAGTATATCTAGAGACATTATAGAGAAATTGGAGAATACTTAAGACAAAGAGATCTTAAAAGCAGAGCTAAGATAGAGCAGCCATTACAAAGCAGTCTTGCTTTTTAGAAGCAAGAGGGCACCATTACACTGGCAGTAAACCTCTCAATAGCAACAGTAGAAGCCAGAAGACAATAAAACATCTGCCAAAAGAAAATGTCGATCTAAAATCATGCTCTCAGCAAAGCTAAAGTTCAAAAATGAGCGCAAAATGAAGGTGCTGTCATTCAAACAAATGGAGAGAATTTATGGAACAGCAGGACAACACCCAGGGAGCTCCTAAATGGTGGACTTTAGAAAGAAGGAAAGCAATCCCAACAGGTGGGAGGATGAAAGGAGGAATCATGAGCAAATTAATTGGTAAACATGTAGATAACTAAAATCTAAATAGAGTCTATAAGTAATATTGATGTCTAAATTCTGAGGATTGGTGTGTTGCAGTGGCTCATGCCTGTGGTCCTAGCTACTTGGGAGGTTGATGCAAGAAGATCGCTAGAGCCCAAGAGTTCAAGGTTGCAGTAAGCTATGATTGCGCCACTGCACTCCAGCCTGGGGGACAGACTGAGAACCCATCTCTAAAAATAATAAAAATAAAAATTTACAATAAATAAATTATAGTGATTAACAAAAGGACAGCTAAAATACTGGATAACAATAGCATGTAGTTTGGGAGGAGATGAACAGAGTTAATGTTGATACATCCTCATATTTTTCAGTGGAGAGAATGATTAAAATAAGAGAAAATGAGTGTATAACTAATATCTAAAACAATACAAGATCAAACAAGTAGTAAAACTCAATTTTTAAAAAGGCAAGGAAAAAAAGAGGGTTAGAAAAAGCGAGTCAAATAATAAGCCAAAATAAGATGATAGAAATAAGTCTAAATAAATCAGTAATGACTCTCTATAAATAGACCAAACCATCAGTTCAAAGACAGATTATAATATTGAATTTTTAAAAGTAAAAAACTAGAAACTATATGAGACATATTTTTGAAATGACACCAAAAAGTTTAAAAGGAAGAGAAAATATGCTACACAAAAGTTAACCAGAAGAAAACTGGGATCAGAAAAAATAATGAACTGTCAAAAAAGTAATATTGGGGATAGAGAAGGCTACTTCATAGTAATAAAAGATTCAGTTCAATAGTAGGTAATAATAACTAAATCAATATGCGTCTAATAAAGAGTATAAATTAAATTGATATAATCATAGGGAGAAGTTGACTAGCCCACCTTTATATAGTGGGAGATTCCAACACATTGTTCTCAATTTTTTTTTTTCAAGACAGAGTCTCGCTCTGTCACCCAGGCTGGAGTGCAGTGGCGCGAGCTCAGCTTATGGCAACCTCCGCCTGCTGGATTCAAGCAATTCTCCTGTCTCAGCCTCCCAAGTAGCTGGGACTACAGGCACCCACCACCATGCCTGGCTAATTTTTTTCTATTTTTAGTAGAGACAGGGTTTCACCATGCTGACCAGGCTGCTCTCGAATTCCTGACCTCGTGATCCGCCCACCTCGGACTCCCAAAGTGCTAGGATTACAGGTGTGACACAGCACCCAGCCTGTTCTCAATTATTGATAGGTCAAGCAGACAAAAAAAAAAAATCAGAGCCAAGTGAGGTGGTGCACATCTATAGTCCCAGCTATTTGGGAGGCTGAGGCAGGAGGATTGCTTTAGTCCAGGGGTTCAAGGCTGCAATGCACTATGATAACTCCTGTGAATAGCCACTGAACTGCAGCCTGAGCAACATACTGAGACCCTGTCTCCAAAAAAAAGAAAAAACAATTAGAAAATGGAGGATTTAGGCCAGGCACGGTGGCTCAAGCCTGTAATCTCAGCACCTTGGGAGGCCAAGGTGGGTGGATCATGAGGTCAGGAGATTGAGACCATCCTGGCTAACATGGTGAAACCCCATCTCTACTAAAAATACAAAAACTTAGCTGGGCATGGTGGCATGTGCCTGTAATCCCAGCTACTTGGGAGGCCGAGGCAGGAGAATCGCTTGAACCCAGGAGGCGGAGGTTGCAGTGAACCAAGATCGCGCCACTGCACTCCAACCTGGGTGACAGAACAAGACTCCATCTCAAAAAAAAAAAAAAAGAAAAGAAAAGAAAGAAAGAAAATGGAGAATTTAAACATCACAAGATAACAAGTATGGTTTATTAGACAAACATAGAACTCTGCATCCAATAATTAGAAAACAGCACACTTTCTTTTTCCCAGCACACATTTGCAAAAATTGATCATGTATTGGCTTATAAATTAAGTCTTAATAGATTTTACAGAACCAGAACCTTACAAGCCAATGTTCTGGCCACATTGAATTTGAGGTTAAAAAAAAAAAAAGAACTTTTTAAAAAAAATCTATAGTAAATTAGAGTAACATTAGCTAGTGTAACTCCTACATTTCACTACTTTAAACCTATAGGCTTTTTTGGTTTACCTAATAGTCTCATGTGGTTATCCTGGTCAGTGAGGGTAACCCCATGAAGTGATTGAGAGACCCAGTCTCGTTTCAGAGTGAGACTCCTCCTTCCGCTTAGTGCCTCAGTGTCTTCTTTATTCAACTATTCAGGCTTTCTAATCATTTTCTTAGTTTTAATAAATTTTTGAAATTTTTTTCTATTTCATCTGCATTTTCAAATGTATTGACATAAAGTTATTCATAATATTCACAATATTCTCAATTTTTAAAAAATTTCAGCTAAATCTATATCCTTTTTGGCCCCAATAGTATTTATGTATGCTCTCTCTCATTGTCTTGATCTGTCTTGCCAGAAATTATTAGTCTTTTCAAAGAGTTATCTTTTGGCTTTGTTATGCCTTTCCAGTGTGTGTGTGTGTGTGTGTGTGTGTGTGTGTGTGTGTATAGACATATACAAATATAATAAAACAAATTTTTTTATTTTTAAATGCTGCTTTTATCTTTGTTATCACTTTTCTGCCTCTAATACAAATCTAATTAAGTGTTCTAGCTAAACGAAGGAAAACAAGCTAAAGCCAGTTTCCTGTGCCAACCAAACTGATCTGTGCCTAAATATTAGTTACATTTAGAAAATTACACTGTATAGTTGTTGCATTATTTTGTATTTTCTGAAACATTTTCTGTTAGTCTCTTTACTAATCTAGGACTTTCTGTTACAAGGGCAACTCTTAACTCTCACTAGCTTAAGCAAAAAAGGGAATATATTGGCTTGTATGGTTGAGAAGTCAGGTGTGGCTGAGTGCAGATATTCAGTGATGTCATTAGGAATCTCAGCCACATTTTCTTCTAGATCTGCTTCATCCTTACGTAGCCTTTCCCAGTGTAGTGGCACAATGGCCACCAGCCAGGCCAGCCAGGCTTATGTCTTGTAAGCCTAGCGCCTCAGAGAAAAAGAACCCAGCCCCAAGGGCTACAGCACAAGTTCCAGGATTGACTATTTCAGCCTGTGCCCACCCCCACAACTGGTCACTATGTGTGTGTGGAGTGGAGGGATCATTATTCAATGCCAGTCAACCTACATGGGCTAAGAATGAGGGAGAGGTGGTTCCCTGACAAAAGGGGTACATGAGTATATCAAAGAGAGAGATATGAAGAGAATGAAGGGAGGGTAGGGGATGGATAAATGAAGAGAGTCATGTTAGTAGAAAAGGGAGTTGCTGGGCAGGCGAGAACACCTAATGTCCCCTGGGTCTTAGTAAATGTTGAATTGACTCAACAAAAGAGCAAAGGAAAAGCTAATGGGAGTGGAAGTATTAAAAGTTCATTGAAAGGAAAACTGGGCAGAGAGATCATCACAGTGATAACTTCCTTTCTACCTGGGGTAGTTCCATCATCTGCTTGGTAGTACCATAGGAGCACGAAACACGTTTCCGTGCTCTACCTTCTGTTTCAACCAACTGAAATTTCACTTTTAAAGAGATATCCTTTCATTGTGATATGTTTCTCCAGGATTCCCAGAAACGTCTGTAGCCACTAGTCACATGTAGCTATTTAAAGTTAAGTATAAATTAATTCAAATTAAATAAATTTAAGGACTCAACTTCTCAGTTATGCTAGCCACATTTCAAGTGCTCATTAGGCACATGTGGCTACCAGGTTGGACAGCTCAGATATGGAACATTTGTATCATCACAGAAAGTTCTATTGGACAGTACTGACTTAGAGCAGTAAGCTGTTATCAGCAATTTGTTGTTATTAGGTGTCTTTCTAGTGACCATTACTCAGAATTGAATGAGAAATGTTGATTATGACAGAAGAAATGAGAGAAGCTGCCTGGGACCATCTGTTGGCCCTATTTTCACTTCTTTAAAGCATTTCAGCTCCCTTAGGACTTTGCAGTGGATCTCCAGATGGGATAGTCTCTGCCATCACAGAGCTGGAATTCCTGATGATCCCTTTGAAACAAGCCCAGAGAGACATCCAGGGACTGTAGCCCAGGAGCCACCTGAGAGCAGTGGTGCTTGGGAGAGGGGGAGCTTGAGAGGCTGTTGGTGTCAGAGTCCTTGAGGAATGTATTGTCTAAGGCAGTCAGTGCTCATTGTTGTCAGGTGTCATAAATTTCTATCCCTTGTCATGTACTTGATCATCTTTTAATGTTATATAAGTCAGATAAAAACTGATTTTTTTCCTTTTTCATTTTATTCTGCAGACCTATCCCTCTTTGTTCTGTTGTTATGATAAATAGCCAACTTGATAAAGTTGAAGGAAGGAAATTTTTTGTTTCCTGTAATGTTCAGAGTGTTGATGAGAAGACCCTATACTCAGAGGCGACAAGTAAGAAGCTGGTCTTATCTCTTTCTTGGGGTTTAGTTGGGTTGGGTTGGGAGTTTTGGTTGGTTGGTTGGTTGGTTGATTTGGGTTTTGTGGGGGTCAGGGGGGTGTTTTGGTTTGGTTTGGTTTTTTGCCCTGGTATTATAACCCATACATGCCAAAAAATTCTTAATTCCCTGTCATACAAAGAACAAGTTAAAGATATTCTTATACATTGCTAGTAAAGGGCAAGTTGCCAACAGCTATCAAAATTACAGCCCAATGCATAAGCTCATGCCTGTAGTCCCCGCACTTTGGTAGGCTAAGGTGGGAGGATCACTTGAGCCCAGGAGTTCGAGACCAGCCTTGGCAACATGGCAAGACCCCATCTCTACAAAAAATACAAAAAATTAGCGGGGCATGGTAGTGTGCGCCTGTAGTCCCAGCTACTTGGGAGGCTGAGATGGGAGGCTCCCTTGAACCCAGGAGACAGAGGTTGCAGTGAGCTGAGATCGCACCTCTGCACTCCAGCCTGGGTGACAGAGCCAGACCCTGTCTCAAAAAAAAAAAAAAAATTTACAAAGTGATATGCCCTTTGACCCACCTCCAGGACTTTATCTCACAGGTATAATAACTGCAAAATTATAATGTGTTAGATTGCTATCGGGTTCCAGTGATTGTGTCACTCATGCAACATTATTTGCAATAGCAAGAAAAATGGCAAAACGTAGCAAACATAGCTATCCATCAATAGGAGACTGGTTAAAGAACTACAGCTCACCTATGAACTATATTGTATGTGTGTGCCATTAAAAAATGGTGAAATATTGTGATACCATAAATAAGAAAAATATGTCTATATTTATGTGTGTGTAGACTGTCTCAGGAAAGTCACACACATGACCTGTTACTTCCCTGGAGTACTGAGGTTCATCCATGTTGTTGGCTGTGTTCACTTGTTTGTACCACTGTGTAATACTCCATATGTGACTGTCCCACAATGAATGTCTCTCTTCCAGTGACAGGCCTCTGACTATTACAAATGGGGCTGCTATAAACATTCTTGTTCATGTCTCCTGGTGGTGTGCATGGGCAAGAGCTTGGCATATACTTAGGAACAGAATTTCTGGGTGGTAGAGTATTGTGAGTATTCAGCTTTACAGAGGAATGCAAAATTGTTTTCTAAGCCTGTACCAAATTAAACTCCCACCAGCAATATATGAGATTCTTTAGATTCCCATCTTCTCTAGCAATTAGTGAAGTCAGACTTCATGATTTTTGCCAGTCAAATGACTATAAAATGACTTCTCGGTGTGATCTTGATTTGCATTTCTCTGATTACCTGTGTGGTTGAGTGTCTCTTCATATGTTTATTGACCATATTTTTTCCCATTCTGTGAAATTTTTGTTTGTTCAGCTTTTTTTCCATTTGTTCTCATTTTCTTACTGATTTATAGATGTTCTTTATATATTTTCTATTAGAACAATTTTTTGTTGGATATATAAGTTGCACATACCTCCTTACAGTGTGTAAGTTGTCTTTTATTTGCTTTAAGGTATCTTCTTTATGAACAGAAATTTTTAATGTCAATTTAGTTGCATTTATTACATTTTTCCCTTTATGGCTAATTTTTTTGTATCTTGTTTAAGAAATTTATTTTTCCTCTTAAGTATGAAGCATTTGCAGGAATGATGGATTTAAGGAGCAGGTGGAAGATAATAACTTAAATCCACAGTCAATTTAAGAACTCCATTCCAGGCTGTGGTTTGTACTTCCTGTCTCACTAAACCTTTCAATATCATAAAGGTGCCAGATGGCTCACTTGTAATTTTAGTTCTTTTCATTTCTAATGGAAGTAGTGAGGAACCATGAAATGGCCAAGTGGTGAGGACCTGGTTACCCAGGGAGAAGTAATACAGTATTGTGATAGTCAAAAGCTGATTCTTAATTTGGCTGAAAAATGAGAGTGGACAGATAGACTGAAGCTACAAATGTGAATCAAATCCTTCTTTTGTATATGTCTTTCTATTTAGAGTAGTCCATCAAATTGAAGTCAGTTGACATATAATCATCTGCTGTTATTTTGTTTGTTTAGGCTTATTTATAAAGCTGAATCCTGCTAAAAGTCTGACATAAAGAGCTGCTGGTGAACTCCATCTCATTCTCGCCCCTCCAGAAGAAGCAGTTGTCCCCCAAATACTCTGCTCCCTCACTGCTGAATCCCTGTAGGGAGAAGCCTGCCAACAGTGACCTTCCGAAACAGCCTTCTGAATACAAAGAGGATTCAGTTTCCATCTTCTCAACTTTTTAACACAGAAATACTTCCTGCGAGCATATCGACAACTCTCGGGCCAGGCGCTGTGGCTCACACCTATAATCCCAGCACTTTAGGAGGCCGAGGCAGGCGGATTGCCTGAGCTCAGGAGTTCAAGATCAGTCTGGGCAACACGATGAAACTCCGTCTCTACTAAAATACAAAAAATTATCCAGGCATGGTGGCGTACGCCTGTAGTCCCAGCTACTCAGGAGGCTGAGGCAGGAGAATTGCTTGAACCCAGGAGGAAGAGGTTGCAGTGAGCCAAGATCATGCCACATCACTCCAACCTGGGCAACAGAACAAGAACCCATCTCAAACAAACAAACAAACAAAAAAAAAAAACTCTTGTCTCCTTAGGATATGTTACCTGCTCCACTGCAGACTAGAGAAATAAATGTGTATTGAACCTTTTACTGCAAACTTGAAAATGCTAGAAAACCAAGCATGAAGAATAAATACATGGTGGGAAACACACAGGCATGTGCATATGCATATACATTGTAAGTTAGTAAGTTAGAAAGCTAGCTTTGTTGTATCTGAACACATGAATCTTTTTTGGTCAGTGTAGGAAGCACAGCCAGATCCTATAGGAATGAATACCTCAAATCTGTTGTCTGAGATTCTAGAGATTAAACCACTGTGCCATTTTTAACCCAGGCTGTACTGTTGTTTCTTACCAACAGCATAGGTTTTCATCACTGGAAGGAGCCTGTGTTCATTTCCTAGGGCTGCTGTAGCAAAGTAGTACAAACTGGATTGTTTAAACCAACAAAAACTCATTGTCTCTCAGTTCTGGAGGCCAGAAGTTCAAAATCAAGGTGTTGACCAAGGCCATTCTCCTGAAAGTGCTAGGGAAGGAGCTGTCCACGCCTCCCTCCTGGCTTCTGGGAGCCTCAGGTGTTCCTTGGCTTCTAGATGCATCATTCCAGTCCTCCATCTTCACATGGCATTCCCTCTGTGTGTCTCCACAGTGTCTTCCCTCTGTGCAGATCTATCTCTGTGTCCAAGTCTCCTCTTTTTATAAGGAAACCAGTCATAATGGACCCACCTGAATGACCTCATTTTAACTTGATTACCTCTGTAAAAAATGTATTTCCAAATAAAGTGACCTTATGAGGTATTGGAGATTAGGACCACAACATACCTTTTTTGGGAGGACACAATTCAACCTGTAAAAGAGCCTCAACAAAACTAAAAAATGAACGGAGAGTTGAAGGGGGCCAGCCCCTCCACACCTGTGGGTGTTTCTCATCAGGTGGGATGAGAGACTGAGAAAAGAAATAAGGCACAGAGACAAAGTATAAAGAAAGAACCCTGGGCCCAGGGGACCGGTGCTCAGCATACAGAGGACCCGCACCGGCCCCAGTCTCAGCTCTCTCAGTATTTATTGATTACTGTTTTCACTATCTCGGCAAGGGGAATGCAGCAGGAGAACAGGGTGATAGTGGGGAGAAGGTCAGCAGGAAAATCTGTGAGCAAAGGAATCTGTGTTACAAATAAGTTCAAGGGAAGGTACTATGCCCAGATGTGTACGTAGGCCAGATTTATGCTTCTCTCCACCCAAACATCTCAGTGTAGCAAAGAGTAACAGCAGCATTGCCGCCAGCGTATCTTGGCTCCAGCCACAGGGTGGTTTTCTCCTATCTCAGAATGGAACGAACATAGGATCGGGTTTTACACCAAGACATGCTGTTCCCAGGGGCATGCAGGAGACAGAGGCCTTCCTCATCTCAACCACAAGAGGCCTTCCTCTTTTACTAATCCCCCTCAGCACAGACCCTTTGCGGGTGTCGGGCTGGGGGATGGTCAGGTCTTTCCCTTCCCGGGAGGCCATATCTCAGGCTGTCTCAGTGGGGGGAAACCTTGGACAATACCCAGGCTTTCTTGGGCAGAGGTCCCTGCGGCTTTCCACAGTGCATTTTGCCCCTGGTTAATTGAGAATGGAGAATGGCGATGACTTTTACCAAGCATACTGCCTGTAAACATACTGTTAATGAGGCACGTCCTGCACAGTCCTAGATCCCTTAAACCTTGATTCCATACAGCACATGTTTCTGTAAGCACAGGGTTGGGGCTAAAGTTACAGATTAACAGCATCTCAAGGCAAAGCAATTTTCTTAGAACAGATCAAAATGGAATTTCTCATGTCTTCCTTTCTACATAGACACAGTAACAGTCTGATCTCTCTTTTCCCTACAGAGACTAATGTTCTGGAAAATATATTCTGCTTCCTAGTGCAGGCAATAGATTATTTGGGCTTCCATTTCTTTCCTTTCTTTCCCCATATTAGAAATTTAAGCTGAACCATATGAAATCACTATTTCGAAGAACAGAATGGTCAAATATTGACAATTTCCTATGGTTCAACCTAATAACTTAGGGACAGCCTTGTGGTACCCTACCCAGTCATCCTTCCACAGCCAAAAGATCAGCTGGAGCCCTCCATTGCCAGAGCTGACTGACCTGGGATGGCCAAGCCAGAGGAAGACCCACATCCTGGAAGCCCTGTCTCTAGTGCCCAACTCCAGTTCTCAAGTTGCAAGGGCCCAGCAGACATGGGGGCACTGCAGGGGTGAAGCTGGCAGTTCCTTCTCCCAGAAATTCTGAGAGAGCCTGGGAAAGTGCCCCAGGAGATGGCTGGGCTCACAGCTCTACAAGTTACAGGTCTGGCAATGGCCACCCTCTATTCCCAGTCTTCCAACAAATCCTGAAACTTAAGAGAGTGGACTCTTACAATAATTATATTTCACATGTTAAAAAATATGACTCCGAAGGAATAAGCCAGCGCTGCTCATTTAGCTAGTTTCACTTAACTAGTTGGGAGGAAGTTTAGACAATGAAGGTACTGTACTCTCATCGTTAGATTTCTCTGGCAGGCTTGCAGAACTGCTATGGCACACCAGACCTCCAGCCAAGTGAAAGAACCTAACTGAAAGAGTGCCAAATGACCAGGTTTTCTTCATGTTAAGTATGCCTGCCTCCCTTCGTATCCACTTTTTTCCCTTTACAGTTTCATTTCTTACACTGGTTTGCTCACATCCAGGTTAGATGCTGCACAAGATCAACTAAGGAAAAAGCTCAGTCACTGTTAACATAGGGTTCCCCATAGCCAGTGAGGGAAAAATGGCTTCCCTGCTTTGCAGCAGACTATTCCTAGCCTTCACCATGCCCTGGCACTCTTGCTTTCCTCAGGTTGTATTTTGACAAGTATGTAAGATAACAAAAGGTGGCAGAACAGGTAGAAAGAAGGAGAGAGATGCTATCAGAATTGCCAGCTCCACTCCATCACTGGCTTGCTGTGTGACCTAATGGAACTATTCCTCATTTCCTGTTTCCTTCTTTTTCCTTTCTTTTTTCTTTTTCTTTTTTTTTTTTTTTTTTCAAGACAGGGTCTGGCTCTGTCGCCTGGGCTGGAATGCAGAGACACAATCTCAGCTCAATGCAACCTCCACCTCCCAGGTTCAAGCGATTCTCCTGCCTCAGCCTCCCAAGTAGCTGGGACTATAGGCATACACCACCAAACCCAGCTAATTTTTGTATTGTTTGTAGAGACAGGGTTTTGCCATGTTGCCCAGTCTGGTCTCAAACTCCTGGGCTCAAGTGATCTGCCCACCTCAGCCTGCCAAAGTACTGGGATTACAGGCATGAGCCACCTTGCTCAACCTGTTTCCTTCTTTATACCAAGTGCTAACATTTTGAATGAATATTAGGAATTGATGCTGGTTAGTGCTAAAATATCTTTAAACTATCAGTGTAAACATAATTAGGCCGTGAGTTTTTGCTCTTACTCCCAGGTTTCTAAATGTCTAAGAAACAATAAAATGAGAGTCATGTACAGAAATATATTGTTGGAAGAATTTTTTCAAAAAGCAAAATAAGATTAAGTTTTTTCTCTAATGGGAAGATGGAATGAAATATATAAGTTAAGAAAAACCTTTTCTTCTGTATTAAGGAAGCTCATATCCTACATGTTCCTATGTTCCCTATCCCATTACCTTCTCAGGACGCTTAACCTCTTCTGGGGACTTATGAAGCCAAATTATTGTCTTACCTAATGGATGACCATCATGGGACCCTAGTCAAACATATTTTTCAGGACCAAGTATACAACATCCTCTGTGATGGAGACAATGAGGCAATCTTTCAAATTTAAGTCACTAAAGTCATGAATTTTATGTCTCAGAAAAGTTTGAAATTTCACTTGATAGTATTCTTGGTCTGGCACTACTCTGGCCAGTTTAGAATTACAGAATTGGTTTATTCCTTCTCAATTATAGATTTAAAATTAAGTGGACTGCAGACAAAGATACCATAAGAGGAAAAAAAAAGTCAAAACTACAGATCAATATCCCTTACGAGTATAGATGCAAAAATACTCAACAAGATAACAAGCAAATCCAATAGCACATTAAAAAGATTATATGCTATGACCAAGTGAGATTTATCCCAGAAAGGCAGAGGTGGTTCAACATAAGAAAATAAATCAATGTAATACACCACATTTATACTTCAAGAGAGTAAAACCACATGATCATCTCAATTGGTGCAAGGAATGGCATTTGACAAAATCCAACACCCTTTCATGACAAAAAGCACTCAGAAAACTAGGAATAGAAAAAGACTACCTGAACATAATCTAGAAAAATGCACAGCTGGTATCACACTCAGTGATAAAAGACAGAAAGCTTTCCCCTAACGTTAGGAAAAAGGTAAGGATTTCCACCTTCACTACTGCTATTCAATATAGTACTGGAAGTCTTACCCAGAGGAATTAAGCAAGAAAAACAAAAACAGCTTGCAAATTAGAAAGGAAGATGTAAAATTATCTCTATTTGCAGATGACATGTCTACATATAGAAAATCCCAAAGAATTCACCAAAAAAACAAAACTAGCACTAATAAATAAATTCAGCAAAATTGCAGGGTACAAAACTTCATTGGCTGGGTGCGGTGGCTCAAGCCTGTAATCCCAGCACTTTGGGAGGCCGAGGCAGGCGGATCACAAGGTCAGGAGATCGAGACCATCCTGGCTGACATGGTGAAACCCCATCTTTACTAAAAATACAAAAAATTAGCCAGGCATGGTGGCGGGTGCCTGTAGTCCCAGCTACTCAGGAGGCTGAGGCAGGAGAATGGCATGAACCCGGGAGGCGGAGCTTGCAGTGAGCCGAGATTGCGCCACTGCACTCTAGCCTGGGCGACAGAGCAAGACTCCATCTCAAAAAAAAAAAAAAAAAATTCATCTTTTGTGCATTAAAGAATAATATCAGTGAAGTGAAAAAAAATCCCTACAGAATGGGAAAAATATTTGCAAATTATATATCCAAAAAGGTGTTCGCATTCAGAATATATAAGGAATTCTTACAACTCAACAACAAAGAACCCAGTTTAAAAATGGGGGAAGAACTTGAATGGACATTTCTCCAAAGAAGATATGGAAATGGAAATGGCTAACAAGTATATGAAAAGAGCCTCAACATCACTAATCATTAGAAAAATGCAAATCAAAACCACAATGACCACACCTACTAAAATGCCTATAATTTTTTTATTTTATTTTATTTTTTTTTTTTGAGATGGAGTTTCGCCCTTGTTGTCTAGGTTGGAATGCAATGGCGCGACCTGGGGTCACTGCAACCTCCGCCTCCCAGGTTCAAGTGATTCTCCTGCCTCAGCCTCCCAAGTAACTGAGATTACAGGCACCCACCACCACACCTGGCTAATTTTTTTGTGTATTTTTAGTAGAGATGGGGTTTCACCATCTTGGCCAGGCTGGTCTATAATTTTTCGTTTTTAAAAACAGTGTCAAGGAGGATGTAAAAAAAAAAAATAGAAACTTCATACATTGCTGGGTGAATATAAAATAATGCAGCTGCTACGGAAAATTTGGCAGTTCCCCAAAAAGACATACAATTACTATATGACCCAGCAATTCCACTGCTAGGTATAAATAAAAGAGAAATGAAAACACGCATCCACACAGAAGCTTGTACACTAGTGTTTATAATAGCATTATTCGTAATAGCCAAAATGTGGAAACAACCCAAATGGCCATTAATGAATGAATAGATAAACAAATTGTAGTACACACACACACACACATAATAGACTATTATTCAGCCATACAAAGGAATGAAATACTGAAACATGCTGCAGCTTGGATAAACCTCAAAAGCATCACATTAAGTGAAAGAAAACAATACTATATTTAGAATAGGCAACTCCATAGAGACAGAAAATAGATTAGTGATTGATATGGTTTGGCTGTGTCCCCACCCAAAATCTCATCTTGAATTGTAATCCAAATTGTAATCCCCATGTGTTGGGGACAGGACCTTGTGGAAGGTGATTAGATCATGGGGGCAGTTCCCCCATGCTGTTCTCGTGGTAGTGAGTGCATTCTCATGAGATCTGATGGTTTTATAAAGGGCTTTTCCCCACTTCACTCAGCACTTCTCTCTCCTGCTATGTCAGGAAGGATGTGTTTTCTTTCCTTTTTGCCATGATTGTAAGTTTCCTGTGTCCTCCCCAGCCATGCAGGACTGCGAGTCAATTAAACTTCTTTCCTTTAGAAATTTACCCAGTCTCGGGCAGTTCATAGCAGTGTGAGAATGGACTAATACAGTGCTTGCTAGGGGAATGAGGGTGGTGCGCATGGAGGAGAGAACAGGAAGTGATTTAAGTGATTACTTACAATACTGTTTTTCTAGGGTGGTAAAAAAGTTTTAAAACTAGAGAAAGGTGGTAGTTGCACAACATTGTGAATGTACTAAATGCCAATGAGTTGTACATTTTTAAATGATTCAGCTGAGGGTGGTGACTCATGCCTGTAATCTTAACGCTTTGGGAGGCCAAGGCGGAAGGATCCCTTGAAACCAGGAGTTCAAGACCAGCCCGGTCAACATGGCAAGACCCCATTTCTACAAAAGAAGAATTTTGAAAATTAGCCAGGCATGGTGACATGCGCCTGTAGTTCCAGCTACTTGGGAGGCTGAAGTGGAAGGATTGCTTGAGCCCAGGAGTTCATGGTTGCAGTGAGCTATGAACATGCCACTGCACTCCAACCTGGGCAACAGAGCAAGACCCTGTCTCAAAAATGAAGAAGAAGAAGAAGAAGAGGAAGAGGAAGAGGAAGAGGAAGAAAAGAAAGAAGAAGAAGAAGAAATTGGAACCCTCATACATTGCTGGTTGGAATGCAAAATGATGCAACCATTCTGGCAGTTCCTCCAAAAGCTAAACAGAATTACCCAGCAATTCTAGTGGTAGGCGTATACCCAAAGGAATTGAAAAGAGGGATTCAAACAGATCGTTGTACTTCAGTGTTCATTGCAGAATTATTCATAATAGCCAAAAGGTAGAAACAACCCAAATGTCTATCTACAGATGAGCAGATAAACATCATGTGATATATACATACAATAGAATATGATTCAGCCATAAAGAGGAATGAAGTTCTGATACATGCCACAACATGGATTAACCTTGAACACATTATGCTAAGTGAAATAAGATGTTAAAAGGACAAATATTGTATGATTCAATTTATATGAAATATCTAGAATAAGCAAAATTGTAGACAGAAAATATATTAGAGGTTACCAGGGCAAGGGAGAGGCAGGAATGGGGAGTTATTTTTTAATAGGTACAAAGTTGGGATGATTACGTTTTGGAAATAGATAGTGGTGATGGTTGTACAATACTGTGAATGCAATTCCTGCCACTGAATTGTACACTTAAAAGTGGTTAAAATGGCAAATTTTATGTTACATATATTTTACCACAACTTCAGAAGGCTATTGTAATATACCAAAAACCATTGAATTGTACATTTTAAATGTGTGAATTGTGTATTATATGAATTTTATCTAAACAAAGCTGTTTAAAAAAACAAAAAAGATAATACTAAAACTGCAAGTACAGGCCGGGCACAGTGGCTCACACCTGTAATCCTAGCACTCTGGGAGGCCGAGGCAGGTGGATCACTTGAGGCCAGGAGTTTGAGACCAGCCTGGCCAACATGGTGAAACCCTGTCTCTACTAAAACTACAAAAATTAGCCGGGCATGGTGACGGGCTCCTGTGGTCTCAGCTACTCGGGAGGCTGAGGCAGGAGAATCACTTGAACCCAGGAGATGGAGGTTACAGTAAGCCGAGATCACGCCACTGCACCCCAGCCTGGGTGACAGAGTGAGACCTATCTCAAAAAAAAAAAATGCAAATACAAGCAAACAATAAGAAGATGGCAGAGCTGACACTTGTACTACCAGGAGCCCTTTGCCAGCCACGTTACAAAGATAAAACAGCGACTGACATGCTCAGTTTCACTGATCTCACTTTAAATACTACTGTAAGATTTTTCTATTGAAAGCAAAAATAAGCTGGGCGCGGTGGCTCACGCCTGTAATCCCAGCACTTTTGGGAGGCCGAGGCAGGCAGATCACAAGGTCAGGAGATCAAGACCATCCTGGCTAACACGGTGAAACCCCATCTCTACTAAAAATACAAAAAATTAGCCGGACGTGGTGGCAGGCGCCTGTAGTCCCAGCTACTCAGGAGGCTGAGGCAGGAGAATGGATAGAACCTGGGAGGCGGAGCTTGCAGTGAGCCGAGATCGCGCCACTGCGCTCCAGCCTGGGCGACAGAGCCAGAGACTCCGTCTCAAAAAAAAAAAAAAAAAAAAATGCAAAAATATTATTTGTATTGATACTAAATACAACTTTTAATTGTTAAAATTAAGTGGTCCGGAAACTATCAATCTCGTGTGTGTGTAAAGTGTTTTGTAGATCTTGTTTATTGCTTAGGAGAAATTAAGATTGCCCAGCCAAGGGACCTTGAAAAGATTTCATTTTTTTTTCCATTTCTGCCTTCTCAGGTCCTTCCTAAACATTCCCTTCACCAGCAGAACTTTTTCAAATTCATCCCACTTATCTTTAACTCTGTAAAATCTTACAGTACTATGACCTGAATCTTACTTAATTCTCTAATTTTTTAACAAGCTAATAAACCAAAAAGCTCCTCTGTATGTATGTATGTACGTATGTATGTATCTTTTTGAGACAGGGTCACACTGTGTTGCCCAGGCTGGAGTGCCGTGGCACAATCACAGCTCACTGCAGCTTCAACCTCTCGGGCTCAAGTGATCCTCCTACCTCAGCCTCCTGAGTAGGTGGAACTACAGGCAGATAGCTTGAGCTCAGGATTTCGAGACTAGCCTGGGCAACGTAGTGGCGGCTCCACAGGAGGAGAAAAGATGGCAAACAGAAGCGATTCAAAGTTTTTGGAACGTGTCTAGAAGCACCTAGGTGGCGTGAGGGAGTTGCAGCAGGAGGAAGGAGGGCAGAAAGAGGCAGGAGCAGGGGACAAGAATTGGAAGGGGAAGGGGTTTTGTAGAGTCAGGGCCATGAAGTGGCTCACCTCCAACATGGGCCCCATTCAGCCCCTTTGGGTGGTGGAATCTGAACTGGAAGAAGCGGCCGTGTGTGACCACAACTGAAGAACTGTGTCTGTGTGTTAAGCATCATAGCAATGGGAACCCAGGCCCACCTGGTGAGAGCACCCAGAGGTGAGCCTCACTCTTGGGAGAGGAACTTCTTCTTCACCCCATCCTGAGAAAGCAGTGGTGCCTGTCATCATGGAAGCAAGGGTGTGCTTGGGTGGCCATCACCATGGAAGAAAGACAGGCTCAGTGGAGGACGTGCCTCAGTCACCACAGGGAACTGTTGGAGACATGGCAGAGGTGACAGCAGCACCAGCATCCACAATGGGCCCCTCAGCAGCCTCCCACCCTGTTTTCCATGTGAGGAGCTGGGGCTGCCCCCTTGGCCCTAGTGGCTCCTGGCTTCTTGGGCTGCCTACAGGAAGCCAGGAGGAGCAACCCTGAAGCAGGGTAAGAAATGACACGTTGCCTGCCTGCACAGGTTGGAGGTGGCTTTGCAGCTCATGCACTAAACTTGGGGCACCCTCTGTTAGACCAGTATTCACACCCCAAATAGTGTATGCACAATTATGAATGACTTTAATGAAAATGAAGGTCCCTGCTGGCTGCCCTGGGAGCATGTGCCCAACCTTGAACTGTGGCAGTTCACTCGCCTCCTGCCAACCCTCCCCAGTCCTCACACTTGTGCTTCCAGAGCACAGCAGTCTGGCCAAGTGCAGACAGGGAGGGACAAAAACTGAGGAATGTCAACTTCCAGGGGCAGCTGACCTTAAAGAACCTTTTCATGAGCATATGTGCAATAGATTTAATGCAAGGCTTTTACCCTACTTGAGAGAAGCAGTGTTAAAGAAGACATACAGAGGCTGTTTATGAAGAGGCAGTATCCATCTGCAAGTGAAAAAAAAAGATGAATTGGCCCATAACGCTTCTCTTGAGTTGTTCAAACCTACTGCAATACAAGTAATTAATTGTGAAAAAAAAGTGATAGCTATTACTCAGTTACAGTTTGCTAGGCATTGTGTAAGCACATTATGTGTGTCACTTTCTTTACTCCTTAGATACTATTGATGGCCTCAATTTACATGTGAGCAAACTTTGTGAGGCTTAAGTAAATTCCCAAAATCACACAGCTACTCCATTAAGTAGGTGCTCTTATTATTCCCATTTTACAGATGCAGAAGTTGAAGCAAACCTGGGATTTGTATCTGGGTCCTCCTGGCTTCAGATCCCAAACTTCCAGCATCAGGATTCACTACCCCTCTGTGATGACCAACACAGAAGTGCGTAAAGGTGTGATGGTGTAAGTGGAGACAGATCCTGGAGAAGGCAGAGGAGGAAGGGACATTTCCCTTATCACTGCACTTAAGGCCAGAGTTTCCAATTTGCAATTTTGAAAACGTTATATTTTATAAAGAATAATACCCGATCAAGAAATTGATAAAGTTTTAGGCCAGGAGGCCAAGGTGGGAGGAATGCTTGAGCCCAGGAGTTCGAGACCAGCCTGGGCAACACAGCAAGATCTCATCTCTACAAATAATTTTTAAAATTAGCTGAGCATGGTGGCATGCACCTGTGGTCCCAGCTACTCAGGAGGCTGAGGCGGGAGAATCAGTTAAGTCCAGGAGGTCAAGGCTGCAGTGAGCTGTGATCACACCATTGCACTCTAGCCTTGGTGACAGAGCGAGACTCTGTTTCTAGGAGAAAAAAAAAGAAATTGATAAAGTTTTAATAATAAGGAAAGTTTTGATAGTGGTATATCATTAGTGTCATTTTAGGATCAGAATAAAACTCCTCTAGAATAATAAGGTAATGAGTAAATACAAGTGTAAAGGACTGGGGTGGATGTTACAGAGTGGTCGCTAATTATACATTAGCCTAATATACATTAGCTGAGTCAGGAATAAAAATGAAATAAGTGTTCTAATTTAGGAGACAACACTTGGGCTGTTGATTGCCTCTGAAAAACCTTATTCTTCAGAAAACAAAAAAACTCATCACAGCAGGTGTAGATAAAGGTGACAAAAGGAAAACATACTAGAAACAAGATTCAGGAATAATATCTACCACACCCAAATCTAAAATATAGGAAAAGTGTTTTCATAAAGTCACCCCAGTCCTCAGTTCATTTATAAAACACCCCCCCCCCTGCAAACTTTAGCAATTTTCTAAAGAACTCTAGGATTGAAACACTGAACTGTAGCACTTGGAAATGAGCCTCAGCCAGAAACACCACCTTCACCCCTCCTGTCTCTTATTTTGTCTCTGTTTCATCCCTTCTCTCCCAAAACACAGTCTTCACAATGGGGACATTCCTCCTCCATCACCCCCACCCTATCCATCTCTGGGTCAGAAATGTCTAGGCTATTGCTAAGATACAATCATGGACACCAGTTGTTTTCTTGTCTGTCATCTTCTATCCCTTCCTCCCAGTCTTCTGAAAACAGAACCATGCTGACTTGGCAGAAAGCCCTTAGAGTCAAGCTGGGTGAGAGGACTGCCAATCAAACCTGGCCACTTGACAAGCTTTGATCATCATAGCTCCCCACCCCCTTGACCACAGACATTAGTCCAAGGAGGAGGCACATAACCTAACATTAGAGTCTTCCCTGGGATTTCATATGTGGATGATAGGTGAAGGAGAAAACAGATTGAGATGAATTTTGGAAATGCCATCCATGAGGCTTGATGTGTGGATGGACAAGTCACGTAACCTCAATGAACTTGAGTTTTCTTCTCTTTACGAGAGACTTGAACCAAAGACTCTTGGAGGCACCTCCAGATTCAGTCTGAGGGTTCTGTGGGGCTTCACCTATGATGAGGTCAGTCTGTCTGCTCCAGCCATGCCCTTTCAGGGCCGAGATACCTGGCAAAATTATGCATCCAGGGAAAATCTCTCTTTCATAAGCTCAGATACAGGGTTGTCCCCTTTGCCATCATTTCACCCTTCTCCTTATCAAAATCTACTTTTAGGTTCCCATTTAAACTAAGAAGTAAAATACAATAACTAATTTGATTTTATTATGTAATATAATAAAATAATGTAATATACTCTTACACTATGACCCTTCACAAGAATATTTATACTTTATTTTATTTATTTATTGTAACAGAGATGGGGGTCTCACTATGTTGCCCAGGCTGATCCTTGAACTCCTGGGCTCAAGCAATTCTCCTGCCTCAGCCTCCCAAAGTGCTGGGATTACAGGCATGAGCCACGCAACCCAGCTAGAATATCTACATTTTAAAAGAGAAGCAAAACTTTATGATGAACAATGCATGATGCAATAACTATCAACATCACTATTTATTAAACTCACTCCAAGGTTCCCCCACATAGAAACGTACACACAGTCTTCCTTCCCTTCACAGCCTTTGGAAGGTTTGTGTGTGCTTGTGTGTGGTATTATGGAGTCAATGTGTGAGTGAGCATATATATATGTGAATGTGTGTATGTGCATGTATGTGCATTTGTGTTTATGTGTGTAAGTTTATGTATGTGTGTGAGTGTGCATGTATTTGTGTGTATGTGAGTGTGTGCACGCACTTGTGTGTATATTGTGTAGACGTGTGTGAGTATGCATGCATGCATGTATGTGCGTGAGCATGTATATCCACATCTGTGGATGTGTGAGTGTATCTATGCGAGTGTAGGTGACTGCATGTGCCTGTGCATGTACTAAAAGAGCCAGTTAACTCTGGAGCTGCAGTTGCTGAAGGTGGGGGCAGAGAGGAAAGCCCACAGTGCCAAGGAGTCAGGCCAGCTCAGGCTAACAGAGGGTGCTGGGGAGCGCACAAGGCTTTCTCTCTCACCCTGGCACCAATAAACTCTACACTGGAGCGGTTATAGCTGATGGAGCCACCAAGGCACAGTGGCCATGCCATGTGCCCAGTGCCCATGCCATGTGCCCAGTGCCCAGCTGTGGACAGCAGAAGTGCCCCTCCAAGAAGGCCACACCTCCAGAGTTTCCCTGCGCTGCTGAAGGCCAGGAGCCACAGCCATAGGAAGGAAAGGACTTCCCGATGAATTCTTTGTATGTTTTCATAGACAGAACCGAAGACAGCCTCAGAACCAGACACTTGCAGACAGCCCAGCTTCCATGAGGGAAGGCCATGGTCAGGCTGGTTTAGTATGACCCAATCTTTTCAGGGCACTCAAAGAATGGAGTGTCATTGTTTTCCCTCATCCTCCAGAAGCCCAAAGATAGAGCCCTACCAGCCCCCAGGGGAAAAAGAACCTGTTTTTCAGTTGCTAATTATTCCTGCCTGGGCTCAAATGGGAAGAATTCTGAGAAGAAAGGGAGTCTCCCCAACGCTGACTGAACAGAGGCCTGAGGACTGACTGGGGAGAGGGGAGGTAGAGAACCGTGGCTACGGGGGATCTGGCAGGGAAAGGTGCCCAAAGAGGGAAAGGGCTCCTTGTCTGGGGAGCACAGAGGTAGGGGTGGCTGGGGGAGATCCTTGGGAGGCTCCCCTGCAGGGACAGTGCTCAAGAGCCCCTCAGGAGCCTCCTGGGGCCTGAGGAGGACTTGCCTGCACCCCACCCTCATCCCGGCCACTGCTGTGACTATCAGCAAGGACAATGCCTTACTGGGGCCACGAGACTTGCTCCGTAGCCATCTGTTATACTGTGTGGAACACACTCCACCCCTGGGATGTCCCTGACCTTGAGGGAGGGGGCTGGTTCCTAGGCATCCTCAGCGGCTGGTGAAGTCCACATCACCTGTACTTGGAAGCCTCAGGAGCTTGGCCATTGAGCTGACTCAAGCACCTAAACACCCCTGCTTCAGAGTTCTCAGAGGAGAAAGGGGCTCAGGATGTCAGGGGTGTCAGTCATTTAATATGCTTCTTAACAGGAAAGTGGCCTTACTTTGTACCCCAAGATGGTAAAGCAGATATGCCAGTGGCATTGTGTGGCTGTCCCACTGGTTTGAAAGTATCCCCTCTCAAGCTGTGATCTGGATTTGAAGTGGAGAGGATTGCAGTACAGGGCTGGCCAGGGCCTCTAAGCCCCACCTCAGCACGTGTGTGTGCGCGCACACACACACACCCCTTCAGGATGTCACCACAGCTTTCTGAGCTTGGAGGTCCTGCCTCACTGCCCCTTAGCATTTCACAAATAGGAACTCAGTTCTAGTTGAGCAGTGGTCAGGGCTCCATTTGTGGAATGGCCTCGGGTTTCCCCTCAGTCCCAACACAGTTCCTGTTTCTGTTCCCTGCCGAGACCCCCTCATCAGCCCTGTGATCACACCGGCAGCTGCCCACACAGCCAACACCTGCCTACCAGCTGTGTGGCTCCCCTAGGCAAAAGGTCCCTGTGCCATGGCCCAGGGGGCCTTTCAAGCCCAGCCTCCCAGGGTTCCTCTGGGCAGAGTGCTCAGCAACCATTTATTTTAGCTCCCATCCTGTGCCCCATGTTTTGTCAAGACAGCCTTTTCCCTGGTCGTGGTGAGTCCTCACCAGCCCTGGACTGTCTGAGGGTGGGTTTGTGCCTTTCCCAAAAGCTGCCCATGGGCACCTTTCTCCTATAGCAAAGACCAAAAACCTTAGAACCCAGATGAAGCACAAACCCTGAGGCCCCATAAAGCCAGCTGATTCATTCGTTTCAACATGTAACAGTTACTTTCCTTTTCAAAGAGTCCCCTATGGGTGTCCAGGTGTAAAACAAATCTCAAGAGGATCCCTCCCAGAGGGAACCAGGAAAAAAATGGCTAATCTGGGAAGAGTCAGAGACTAGATCTGGGGCAGCAGATCTAGACAGGCAGCAGACTCCTGGAGGGCCTGGGAATGAGCTGACAACCAGGGGGCAGGACTGGCAGCCCACAGGACAGGATCCAGTCAGAAGCATTTGGTTTGGCTCAGGCAGTATTTTTATAAATTACTACTGCAGCATCTAAAAGTTAGAAGTTTTCACATAAAAGTCTAGATTTGTGCCAGCTTTTCTTGAAAAAGCAGAGGTGCTGGCAGCTGGGCCTGTATCATGGTAACTCCCACATGGAGTGAGGCCAGGTTTGCCCCCAAGTCCCCTTGGGTCTGCCCACCACCCCTATTATGCACAGCTGCTCCTGCCCAGGTTGCCTCCGACCCTTAGCTCTGCAGGTCAAGGAACCCGCCCAGCTTGCCTCTGACCCTTAGCTCTGCAGATCAAGGAACCCAGCTTTCCTGAGGGCAGGGCAGCCTTGGTGGGAGTTTGACAGGGAGCCCTCCAGAAGTTGCCTGTGGTAAGCCTGCGGGGCTGAAGAAGGTCCTTCCTCATCCAGAATGGCCAGATGAGAATCAGCCTGGACGGCACCACTCCAACGTGCTGGGAGTACCACGATCCCATGGGGAGCCAGCCAGTCCACATCAGGGGAGCTCAGCACATGTCCAAGGTGATCTGAGAAGGGCTCCCAGGGCCACCCAAGACAAGGAGGGATTTGGGAGATTTCTGGGAATGTTAATCATCTTCCTGTTTCCTCTTAGTGGTTAACAGTAAATGTCTTTGAACAAAACATGTCCTGTGAATTTGTTTGTGGGGCAACAAAGAGGACAAGGTGGGGAGACTGAGTACTCCATAGTCAGCCTTACAAGGGAAGGAAACTCCAACTTCAAAAGATAGAGAAGTGCGAGTGAGTTTAGATCTGGAAACAAGAGCTGATCTGCTGAACCTACCAAGGCCTTGGTCACTCCTGCTCTTTCACTGTGAGCCAAAGAGTTTGCTCATGCAGTGGTATGCTGGAGCCGGGTCCTACTGGTTTGCAAAAGCTGATTGGGCTCACCTCCTTCCAACTGCACAGTGACTTCATATGGATAGCTAGAAATCAGCCACCATGGGAATATTTACAATGCAGAAATGGGCAAATGCTACAAATCAGAGCTCCCCCCACCTTATCCCCAGCCCCAGGGCAGACTGTTACATGTTTGCCTTTACACCACTGCTGGCTCTGCTGTGGACCACAAGCAGATCAGGCCCAAAACGTGCTTCTGGGCACAGGTCACACCCCAGGAAGAGAAGCTTTCAAACTCAACATGCACCCACATGTCCCAAACTGGAAAGGAACCAGGCCAGCAGTAAGCTAAACCAAAACTCAGTAGGAATTCTCAGTTGTGCTTAATTGGCACTGGCTTCCTCTTTTTTCTGATTGTTTCTCCAGAGACTCCAGGCCTGAGGAGGGCTTTCTTGTCTCTGAGGTGAATTTTCTTTTTTTCCTCTGAGCTAAATTCATACAGAAGGAGAAGGGTTGGGGCTAAAGTTCATGTTGTCACAAAACCCATTCAAAGTATTAGCTGAGCACCTTTCCACCTCCCTGGAGAGTGGACCACTTGACCCACATCCAGAAAGGGCTCTGCATTGCAGAAAGCATCCACAAGATATGTGGAATGGTGGGAGGAGGAGTTGGAAAGGGAGAAAGGAGCACTTTCTCAATAATCCTAATCTTTCTTTTCCTAGATGGCCTTGGAAACCTCCTTCACTCTCCTCCAGCCAGCCTAATTGGGGGCCACATCCATGGTTGTACCATCAGTTATGGATGTTCTTCTCAGATATCCTAATTCTTTCCATCTGTCATGCCCTTGATCCAACTAGAGCTGCTCTGCAGTATCACAGACAGCGCCAGAGCCTCGTCTCTCTTATTTTCTCCCTCCTGGATGCTCTTCCCTCCTAGCAGAGAAGTGAAAGTTGACCTCGACCAGTTGTCAGCTCCTTCCCTTCCCCTGTTTTCCTCTGGACCACATCATCCAGCTGAACCTTGGTAATTATCCACTCAAGAAAATAAAGTGATACAGGAAACAAATGTAACTGTAGTATGTGGCAAGGCTGAGAGCAAAAGTTACATAATCATAATTATGTAAATATTTGAAAGTTGATTTAACCAAAAATCGTCAAACAACCAACATAGGAGGCAACAAGAGATTCAGACCCCACTGGGATCACCATGGGAAAATCGCTGGGTGACAACCCAGCTCCCAAGTGGCACTCAGCCCATGAAACAGCAATTTCCTTTCTCAGGTGCACCTACCAACTTTTTTTCTTCTTTTAATTGAGACAGGGTCTCACTCTGTCACCTAGGCTGCAGTGCAGTGGCACAATCTGGGCTCACTATAGCCTCAAACTCCTGGGCTAAAGCGATCCTCCTGCCTCAGCCTCCTGAGTAGCTGGGACCGCAGGCACACACCACCACACCCAGCTAATTTTTTTTCTTTTTTGTAGAGTCGGGGTCTCACTATGTTGTCCAGGCTGGTCTCGAACTCCTGGGCTCAAGCGATCCTCCCACCTCAGCCTCCCAAAGTGCTGGACTTACAGGCATGAGCCACTGCACCCAGCCACCTACTGACTCTTTATATTTTCTGAGACAGAGTTTCACTCTTGCTGCCCAGGCTGGAGTGCAATGGCGCAATCTCAGCTCACCACAATATCCGCCTCCTGGCTTCAAACGATTCTCCTGCCTCAGCCTCCCAAGTAGCTAGGATTACAGGCATGCGCCACCATGCCCGGCTAATTCTGTATTTTTAGTAGAGATGAGGTTTCTCCATGTTGGTCAGGCTAGTCTTGATCTCCCAACCTCAGGTGATCCACCCGCCTTGGCCTCCCAAAGTGCTGGGATTATAGGCGTGAGCCACCGCGCCTGGCCCTACTGACTCTTCTTAGGAGGACAGCTCTTTCCTCCTGGGGCCACCTTGCTGGAACCAGCTTCCAGCTGTCAGGGCCGCCTGAGGATCCCCTCTTGCTCCCCACTCACCTTTCCTCTGACTTCTCTCCAGTTCACCTATCCTTCCTAGGATTTTTCTTTTCTATCCTGTCTTCTCAAGTCCATCCTTCCAGATCAAGGATGGACCCAGGGAATGAAGGGATGCCAAGTGCCAGGGGACGCCTGGGCAAGCCACAGGCACAGGGTACCAGCTACAGCTATTGTGGTAAACTCAGGACCAGAGAGACAGATATGGAAAAACAGGACGATGTTTATTTTAAGGTAGGCATTGGCTCAGTGGATTCACATCCAAAAAGCTGAGCATTGAACAAAGACTGAGCAGGATTTTTATAAGCAGGCTTACAGAAGCAAAACAGGCAGTTAATCATATAATGACAGGTCACATAATCTATAGCATAACTGATGACTTGGCATAACTTGTGGCTTTGCATAGCTGGTGGCCTTGTAGCTGCGTGGAAAGAAAAAACAAGAACTGGCTAAATACAGACAGACATTTGTCCTTTTTTTTTTTTCCTTCACCCTTGCTCCAGACGGGGGATGTCTGGAGCCTATTCCTTTGGTTTCGACTTCTCGAAGAGCATTATCTTATAATTGTCTTTGAAGTGAGCTTGCTAGGCAGAGAAAAACTTGCTCTTCCTTTCTTTTTAACCTTTGCCTTGCCACATTCTGGGCCTTGGCTTTTACTTCTCAGACTAGGTCACTATGACCTTCTTATAGCCTTGTCTGTTACTTTTCTTGGAGTGAATGAATGTAGTACTTACTATCTTTTTTTAATTTCTGCCTCACAGCAACGGCTGCGGCCCAGGGCTGAAAATGAGTGCTGCCAGATATTCTCACTTATCTGGGGATGGCAACCAACTCAAATATCTTTGCTTAGACCCAGAGGCTGAATCAACCAAAAAAACTTCCAGCTGGGCGTGGTGCCTCATGCCTGTAATCCCAGCACTTTGGGACGCTGAGGCAGGCAGATCAGCCAAGGCCAGGAGTTTGAGACCAGCCTGGCCAACATGATGAAACCCCGTCTCTACTAAAAATATAAAAACTAGCCGGGCGTAGTAGCAAGCGCCTGTAATCCCAGCTACTTGGGAGGCTGAGGCAGGAGAATTGCTTGAGCCTGGGAGGCAGAGGTTGCAGTGAGCCGAGATGGTGCCACTGCACTCCTGGGCAATAAGAGTGAGACTCTGACAAAATAACAACAACAAAAAAAAATGGTTCCCCCAGTCCTTGAGGAAGTTTAATTCAAACCTTTGCAGGAGGTGAGGGGAAATATTTATATTCTAGTCTTCTTCTAGGGCAACCAAATACAGAGGGTGAACCAAATCTTTTAAATTTCCGCATTAAATCAGTTTCATCTTTTGGAACCTGCCAAAATGTCATAATCATCACAACTATTATTATCGTCATCATCACTGTTATGATTCCACCTTTGCACAGTTCTGATTTTTTTTTTTTTAAGACAAGGTCTCACTCGGCCTCCCAAAATGCTGAGATTACAGCCTTGAGCCACTGCGCGAGGACTGATCTTTAGAACATGCTTTTATTTTAGTCAATTTAAAACTGAGACTTTTAATTGAAAATTGGCAGTTTAAATTCAATAGAAGACACACCACCACCAAATCCCACTGCCTTGCAGATGTTGGCTGAGTGTCCCTTCCCACTCAACAAAGCCTCACTGCCGCGCCCACCTCACTCCCAGCACTGCCTGCTGACATGAGCCACTCCCTGGGCACGGGGTTCCCAAAACATGAGAGTATCCCTGCCAAGCTGTTTCCTCCCAAATTATTTTCTGCCCTCCCTGTCAAGCCCTCCCCCACCTCCAACTCCTATCCCCAGCCAGAGACCAGCAGGTGAAACTCTCCTGTGCTAACCCTTGTCCGGGATATAAGAAGAGGTGTTGGCCGGGTGCGGTGGCTCACGCCTGTAATCCCAGCACTTTGGGAGGTCACCTGAGGTCAGGAGTTCAAGACCAGCCTGGCTAACATGGCAAAACCCCATCTCTACTAAAAAAAATATACAAAATTTAGCTGGGTGTGGTGGTGTGTGTCTGTAATCCCAGCTACTCAGGAGGCTGAGGCAGGAGAATCACTTGAACCCAGGAGGCGGAGGTTGCAGTGAGCCGAGATCACGCCATTGCACACCAGCCTGGGCGACAAGATTGAAACTCCGTCTCACCAAAAAAAAAAAAAAAAAAAAAAAAGAGGTGTCTAAGGCTGTGAGTTGGTTTTCTTTTTTTTTATTTTTTTATTTTTATTTTTTTGAGACGGAGTCTCGCTCAGTCGCCCAGGCTGGAGTGCGGTGGCTAGATCTCAGCTCACTGCAAGCTCCACCTCCCAGGTTCACGCCATTCTCCTGCCTCAGCCCCCTGCGTAGCTGGGACTACCGGCACCCGCCACCACGCCCGGCTAATTTTTTGTATTTTTTTTAGTAGAGACGGGGTTTCACCGTGTTAGCCAGGATGGTCTCGATCTCCTAACCTCGTAATCCGCCGCCTCGGCCTCCCAAAGTGCTGGGATTACAGGCGTGAGCCACCGCACCCGGCCTGTGAGTTGGTTTTCTGAGTCACAAAATCATACCAGAGTTTTCAGAGTCCGGTATACACTGCAGAGCACATACCAAGAACACTCCACCAGCACCCTCCAATCAAGGGACAGGCTTCCCTTATCCTTCTGGAAATATTCTTGGATTCTCCCTCAGAACCCCCAGGCAGCTCTCCAAGGCTCTATATACCCCATACTATTTGTTTATGTACTTGTTTACTCCTTTTGCAACTCAAGCCAGTCCTGCTGCCTTTTCATGCCCAAGCAGCATCTGTCCCTCCCCAAGCACTGGGTGGGGCTCCTAGACCAGCTAAAGGCGCCGAGCATCTGTGGGTGTTGCAGCACACCAGCCCAGCCTCGCCTAGCTCTCTGAAAGAAAGCCTGCAACAGAAGGGAGAGAAGCGGCCCCAAGTGCAGCTGAAAGCACTCCTTGGGAGTCAGCCAAGACCCTCCATCCAAGCAGGGCTGGATCCTTGCACTTGGCCATGATAAGGAGATGCTTCCAGGTGGCAGCAAGACTTGGCCACCACAGAGGCCTTCTTGAGGCCCCCCGTATCCTGCCCAGACTCAACCCTGCCTCAGCATTTGGATCCTCCACAGACTCCATGGTGAGTTCCCAGCTCAGCCAGATGGGCAGTGTTTTCCCAGGAGCCTAGGGCTTAAGGAGCACCCCAAATCTCCTCTTCCCAGCCCATGGCCAGGGCAGGTGGGCAGTGTTCGGAGGAGCTATTTGATTTGGCAAAGAGAAAGTGCTCTGGGATACCAAGTTGCCCCCATTCAAAACTAAAACTACCAGGAGACCTGCATCTGGCTCTGTGTCTTGTGTGGCCACCAACAAATGACTTTCCTCCTGTGGGACTCAGACTACTGCAGCAAAGCTGGGGTATCCCCAGACAGAGGACCCCATCTGTGGCATTGGCAAGCAGCTCACATGCTGTCTACAGTTGTGACTGGTGTATGAGCAGGTGACGCTACAGAGGACTTCCTTACGTCACACAGATGGGCACATAGTCTGTGCCCCAGCCATGGCACCACACCTCTGTGGGGGCCCAAATGTGTTTCAAAGGAGCCACCCTGCCCAGGCAGGCCCACAGCAGTGGGCAGAGCTGGAGTAGCCCCTGAGGTGGGGGTTGCTAGAATGGTCCTCAACAACTGTGACCCTGCCCTGCAGAGGAGACAGCATCTAGTGCGACCACCAGCTCTCACAGTCACATGCTTGGCAACCTTGGCCGTATTCCCTCAGTTTCCCCATCTGTACAGTGAGGCTAATATGAGCAGTTGTCAACTTTAAAGAACTGCTCACATGTTTTAAGCAGAACAAGGGTAAGGCACCACATCGAGCAGCATGCCCATCATCTCTGGCCCCACTCCCTGCCCGCCCTTCCCTTGCTCTTTAGCATCCTTATGCCCCGTCACCCATAGGGGTCCGCAGCCCCCCTGCAAGGAATATGGGCCCTTTCCCTTGGATCGATACTCTGGCAGAAGGGATTGAGAAGCCCCAGCACCCAGGAACAGCTGTTTAGAGGTCCCGAGCCCAGGCAGCAGCCCCCCTCCAGGATGCTGTCTAGTCATTCTGATTTTTCCTGCCCAGTTCTCAAGATTCTTGCCAGAGAAGACAGACTTGAAGGATTATGCTCTTCCCAATGCCAGCTGGTGTTCGGACATGCTGAGCCTGTACCAAGAATTTCTGGAGAAGACTAAGTCTAGCGGCTGGATCAAGCTGCCCTCCTTCAAGTCCAACAGAGACCACATCCGGGGACTCAAGCTCCCATCTGGACTGGCAGTTTCCTCAGGTAAGGACAGGACCATGAGTACACACACCCCAGCCGCCCTTCCCTGTGTTCTAAGACTGAGAAGCAACTTCACAGACCGCCTTCCAGTTCTCAGCGAGTTCTTCCTGCTGTCCAACTCCACCCCTGATGCTGCAGCCCCAGGCAACAGGCGGCGGGTGTCCTCTCAGGTCTCCAGCTCCCCTCCTCCCATCTGAAGCAGCACACCCTGGTGGGCCCACCTTCGCTCCCAGCCAAGCATGTCCCCACTGGAGGACAGCCAGCCCAGCTCCTGCCCCGACTTCTCACTGACTGCCCCTCCCTAACTATCAAGCCTCATCCCAAGCCTTCCGCCCCAACCCCATGAAAGCCCTTGGACCCCACACCCCTTCCACTGAGGCCCTGCACATCATCCCTGCTGTGCGGGGTCTGGAGCAGCACTCCTGAAACACCTAATGATCCTAATGGATCCTAATGATAGAGCTTCCACCTTCTTGTGTGTGTGTGTGCACTCGTGTGTGCACGCATGTGTATCTCCCTGTCTCTCTCACTCATATATGTTGTCTTCCTGCCTAGTGATGAAGGAGTGGTACAGGGGACAGACTACCCTTGGGTTTATGGCACAAACAAAGCAGGAATACCAACATAATTTTTTTTCAAAGAATTTGATACTTCCAAAAAAGGATGTAGTAGTGGTAGCTGTCTTGGAAAAAAAAAATCAGAACTTTGATGGACTTTTCTGCTCTTATTTTACTGTTTACTATTATTCTTTTGAATTATATGTGAGTTACATGAGTAATTACATTTTCAATTTTCAATGCTTATGGTCTCTTAAAGTCTTGCCCTGGCCCTGATCCTATCTCCATTCTCAGCCAGGGCACTTCCTGCATGTTTCTGCCCTAGACAGAAAGGCTCTGTGAGGACAGCAACTGTGCCTCTGCTCCCAGAGGGAAGGCTCCCTGGGGGTGGACCTGGTGTCCTCTGGTTTTCTCTCCTTAATCTTGTACCAGAGGCAAGACTCAACCAAATGGTGCTGCATCCTGACCATACCCTCCCTTCTCCGGCTGCAACACTGCCTATCTCTCCCCAGACAAAGGTGACTGTCGCATCTTCACCAGGTGCATCCAAGTGGAAGGACAAGGCTTTGAGTATGTCATCTTTTTCCAGCCAACCCAGAAGAAGTCGGTCTGTCTTTTCCAACCAGGCTCCTACCTGGAGGGGCCCCCAGGGTAAGGTCACTGGTAGGACCTTGGCTGCCTCCTGGGCTTGGCTCAGCAGGGCAGGTTCAGCACCCACCAGGCTGGCCCTGGAGTCTCTATCTTTCTCTAAGGGGTGAGGAAGGGAGTGTGGGGCACTAGGCTTCAGCCTCACAATACCAGGCCTGGAAGGACACACAGGGTTATCTGGCCTAATCCCCAGTGTGCAGATATGGGCTTCTCATCAAAGTCTCAAAATTTTCTGGACAAAAGACCTGAGAGGCCACTTTGAGAAGAATGTGGTACACTTGGAAGAGGGCAAGATCCGGAATCTAGACTCTGACTTGGTGTCCTGCCTGGCTGCTGCTGGCTGTGGGACTCTGAGCAAGCAATTGACCCCTGGTCTTTAGTCTTCTTACCTGAAACCTGGGGCAATAATATCTACCTGCCAGGGTGACCAGAGATATGATATTATGGGCCTATGTGTGCGTGCTCATGAACCGTAAAGCACAGTACAGCTATCAGACACTTCTACCCAAAACCCATGTTCTATCCATGGGGAAATGGAGATGCACACAGCTAAAGTAACTTGCCCGAGGCAGCACCAGCAATCAAAGTCAGATCCAGGACTCTAATCTGGGAGGTGAGATTCCAAGTCCACTGTTCTCTCCACTCTACTCTGCTGCCTCCAGACTTGGAACAGACCTCAGGAGGAATGCACACTGGGCATAAATGTGTCCACAAGGGAAATCAGGCTGACCGTGGGTCACCAAGTTCATGGTTGTCCCCCTTCTCTTCCATCCGGATGCCTGCTCCAGACAGTCACTGAAGGCTGGAGGTGGTGCTGGAGCTCCTGCAAGGGAGAGACAAGAGAGGGCAGGAGTGGCTTTAGGGTCCTGAAGCCTGAGAGGGGCTTAACTGGGGTTAAATAGAATCCAGAGTGCTAAATAGATGTCAGGGCCTCCAGAGGCTGTGGATGCCAACTGCAGCCCTCAGTCACCTTGGCCATCCCAAAGGAGTCCTCCACAGGGACACTGCTCCACACACTAGGCTGTGCAGATACTAGTGAATTGCTCAGAGCCCTGCCCAGGCCATGGACTCCCTCCTTTCTGAAGCATGGCTGACTTTTATTTAGGGGCTGATGGAAGTGAGGCCAAAGAGGCAGAGGAGGACCATCCAACACTAAGGCCAGTCAGTGGATTGAGGGGTTGGGGGTCTAGAGAAGAGATTAGTATCCACCAGGCCCCTAGACCATGGGGAGTGGGAAGGAGGAGTTACTCGTTGGCCAAGAGCTACTCTGTAGATCCACATACTGGCCAATGGGTCCCCAGGCTGGCCAGTGAGGACAAGGAGGAGAGAGTTGGTTTCGAGTTCTTTGACACCAACTCTTTTCACTCTCTTTCAAGCAATTTGGGAGGCAGACAGGGAAGTGCCTAAGAAGTGTGTAAATTATGTTTGCAAACATTTGTTTATTTAATCTGCTGAGATCAGAATTGTGAAATTCATGGTGGAAAAACTAAGGCTCAGAAAGGTTTAGCAATTTGCTCAAGATCAAACATGTAGTGAGCTGTGGGACAAGGAGTCCAACTGGGTGGATAGAGACTAAAGAAGCAGGGAGGGAAGGGTCTGGAAAAGCCACTGGTCACAGCAGCAGGAGGGTAACCCATGGCAGTACAGTGTGGACAGCTGATCTGGCTCTGTGGAGAATGGGCTGTGCTTTTGAAAATCAGGAACTCAAATCTGCTTGGTGTTATTTGAATTCTAAAATGGGTGCCTATTTTCCCAAATTAGCCAACCATGAAGTAGCTGACATAAAGCTTGCAAAAGCAAGAATGAACATTTTACGCTTTTTTTTTTTTTTTTAATTTTGAGACAGTCTTGATCTGTTGCCCAGGCTGGAATGCAGTGGCACAATCTCAGCTCACTGCAACCTCCACCCACCGGGTTCAATCGATTCTCATGTCTCAGCCTCTCGAGTAGCTGAGTTACAGGCGCTTGCCACCACACCCGTCTAATTTTTATATTTTTTAGTAGAGACGGAGTTTCACCATACTGGCCAAGCTGGTCTCGAACTCCTGACATCAAGTGATCTGCCCACCTCAGCCTCCCAAAGTGCTGGGATTACAGGCGTGAGCCACTGCGACTGGCCATTCTATGCATTCTAAATAAAGCAAATGTCTGCGGCATTTGAGCATTTCAGCTCAATTTCAGCATTGAGCCTGCTGAAGCAGGCGCTCTGCTTTCTGTGGCAACGCTGCTCAGAAGTGTGTCATGCCAGCCCTTGATAGGTCATAAGTTATGTTTCACATTTACTTATCTTGAGATGTGGGCCCCGCACTGGCTGTAGTGACTGGTAAGGTGAGAAACAGCCCAGGGTTGTGCCTCAAAGACTGAGTCAAAAAGTTCAGGGACTTTTTCATTTCCTGTATATGCCCATCCTTCCAAATTATGGCAATTATTGCCAGCAATTAGGTAATGAACCAGAAAAATGTTTTCTATTAACTTTATCAGAAAAAAACAATTTCCCTGATGAAATAAAATGTTGTATCATTGGCTGCAAACGCATGCTGAAGCAAAACAGAAAAGCTCAGTTGATTTTGACGGGTTTGATCAGATGGGATGCAGCTGTTTCCTTCTTTCCTATTTGGCTGCCCTGAGGCTGAACGTCTGTGTTTGGAAGGGTCTAGGGAAAGGGAAAGGTAGGATCACCACAGGAGGGAGGGAAGGCCCATTGAGGGGGTCTGCCCAGCAGCCCCAGCCCAGGCCTTGCTCCTCACCTTACCCCACCCCCAGGTTTGCTCACGGCGGGTCCCTGGCAGCCATGATGGACGAGACCTTTTCTAAAACTGCCTTCCTGGCTGGAGAGGGGCTGTTCACACTAAGTCTCAACATCAGGTTCAAAAAGTAAGTATGGGCCCCTGGGGCATTGGCCAAAGTCACAGACCTTTTCATCCCTGGAAGTGGCCATCCTCGGCAGCTGGGGTGTAGGAGCCCTGCCTGCCACTCTCCTTCCCCAGCCCACTCCCAAGCAATTCCTCTAGTCCCTGGCCAGGACACAGCCTCTGCTGTCCAACTTTGGGAGCTGACAAAAAGGCCCTGAGCCCAGGGCCACTTCTGAGTCCTCGAGGCCGGGAGGGATGAAGAGAGGGAAGAGGACACAGAGAGTGAAGGGATGGGGAACCGGGTTCACATGAGAGATGGGCTAAGCTGCCTCGTCTCCCAGCTTGATCCCCGTGGACTCTCTGGTTGTAATGGACGTAGAACTGGACAAGATTGAGGACCAGAAGCTTTACATGTCCTGCATCGCCCACAGCAGAGACCAGCAGACAGTTTATGCCAAGTCCTCAGGTAAAGGAGCCCCCAGCCCAGCCCCAGGCCCCGTCCCACCACCACCCACCCCCAGAACAAACAGGAGGAAGAAAAGATGCCAATGATTCATCCCAAGCTGCGGTCCAGCTTCTTTAGGGGTGGGATAGGGCACCTACTAGGGACACAGATGAAGCAAGGGAGAGCAGAACTAGGATTTTTTTTTCTATATATGAGTTATCCAACCTGTAACGAAAGGACAGGACCCAGGTAATGGGTAATTTGCAGCCAAATGCTCAGAGTGTCCATCAAGCTCCAGCCATCTCAGTGCAGCTCTTGCAGCTCAACTCACCCTTCTCTTGCAGGTGTTTTCCTTCAGCTGCAGTTGGAAGAAGAGTCTCCCCAGTAACAGTCACTGTGCCTGCAGGAGAGCCACTGCCTCCCCTGCCTGCCTCCTGCCTCCTGCCTCCCCTGCCTGCCTCCTGCCTCCTGCCTCCCCTGCCTGCCTCCTGCCTCCCCTGCCTGCCTCCTGCCTCCTGCCTCCCCTGCCTGCCTCCTGCCTCCTGCCTCCCCTGCCTGCCTGGGACCCATCAAAGAGCAGGGAGGGGTCCTCAAGCAGCAATTGGTGAGGCGAGGGAAAGGACCCTTTTCTCTGAGTAAATAAAGTCTCACAGTCCCATTCTCGGCCCAGGGCCTTTCTGTGGTTGGAAATCAAAATCCTTCCAGGGCATCTCACATACCCACCTTCCCATTCAGCACCGACTGAAAAGATTTACTGAGTACCCGCCAGGTGTCAGGCACTGTGTGAGGCACCAGGCACCCAGAAGTGAAAGACAGGGCCCCGGTCTCAAGATGCACAATGCGGGAGCCAGGTGCCAAGTCAGAGTGCCCTATCACGCTCCTCCCACACCCACCCTGGCTTCCATCATGAGTGCAGTGTCATCTCAGCGGGAGGAAGGGCTAATTTTACTCTACAAAAGCAATCAGAAAACATCTTCTAGAAGAAGCTCTTCCTGAACTGTCTCAAAAGTTAAGTGGTGTTCATTAGGCAGGCAGGGGAGAGGAGGATATCCCAGGCAGAAGGGAAGTAAGAAGTAAGACAAAGGTGCAGAGGTGTGAAAGTGTACAGGGACTTTGGAGAAGAGCAAGGTGTTGAGGAGGGCAGGCGTTTAGGGAAAGAGAAGGTGGGCAGGAGCAAACCACAGGAAGGCTTCATAATCCCTGATGGAGAGCTGGAACTTTGTCTTGCAGGCAACAGGGAGCCTCCAAAGGGCTTGGGCTGGGGAGTGACAGAGCTTTGTTATTTAGAAAGATGACTCAGTGGCAGTAAGGCGTCAGCAAGACTGAAGGCAGGAGTACTAGTTAGGAGATCCCCACAGGCTTTACACTAGAGACAGTAAGGGCCTGCAGGGGTCAGAGCTGCGAAGCTGAGAGATATGAGAAAATGTTACAAATACAGGAAGTGCAGGACTGTGCCACTAGTTATACAATGTGGATCTGTGAAGACGAGCTCCAAGTTTCTGGCTTATGAGTTTCCAGGTGGTTATCACTGGAAATACAGAAAGAGGTGGGGGTAAACAATGAGCTCAGTTTTACATGCATCGAGCTTGAAGTGCCCATGGAACTTGTACCATGTGGCAAGTGCCAGCAGGAACGTGGATATTGTGATATGGAGCTTGGAGAGATAAGCTACTGACTCAAATCGTGAGCCAATATAAAATGTGACATGAGGCCGGACACGGTGGCTCATGCCTGTAATCCCAGCACTTTGGGAGGCCGATGCGGGCTGATCACTTGAGTGATTCGAGAGTCGAGAGGCTGGTCGGGAGTTCGAGACCAGCCTGACCAACATGGAGAAACCCTATCTCTACTAAAAACACAAAAAATTAGCCGGGTGTGGTGGCGCATGCCTGTAATCCCAGCTACTCAGGAGGCTGAGGCAGGAGAATCACTTGAACCCGAGAGGCGGAGGTTGCAGTGAGCCGAGATCACACCATTGCACTCCAGCCTGGGCAACAAGAGCAAAACTCCGTCCCAAAAGAAAAAAAAATGTGACATGAAACCCCTGGGAATGCCTTACACAGAGTGGAAGTGAGAAGGAGGCAAGGGGAAAGACAGAGGTGAGGAGGGAGGGGGAAAGGGGAGGGAGGGAAGGAGAAGGAAAGAGGTCAAAAATAGAACCAGAACCTTATGTCACACTAAGGCTCAAAGTTGGGATAGAAAACCAAGGATCCACTAAAGAGGCTGAGAACAGAACAGGAGTGACCATCCTTAAGAGGAAGAGGTCAGCAGTATCAAATGCTGAAGAGAAGGCAAGGAAGATGCGAATTAAAAAGAAGCTTTTGAGCCAGGAGTGGTGGCTCATGCCTGTAATCCCAACACTTTGGGAGGCCGAGGTGGGAGGACTGCTTGAGGCCAGGAGTTTGAGACCAGCCTGGGCAACAAAGTGAGACACTCATCTCTACAAAAACAAAAAAGGTAAGAAACTAAAATAAATAAGTGCATAATAAAATTAAAAAGAGACCTTTGGATTTGGTCATGAAGAAAATGTGGTTTCCTTTGCCAGAGCAATCTTAGGAGGTGGGAGAAAAATCCAGATTACAGTGGATGAAAATATGAACAGGGAATGAGGAAATGAATGTAGATGCTTCTTTCTGGGAATGTTGTTGTTATTCAAGGAAAGATATTTGACTGTATTTTAATTGCTAGTGGAAAGAGGCTGAAACTTTTAGAAGAAAGAGGGACAGAGGTGTCATCCAACAGAACAGCTCTCTTAGAGCTGTCTTGGAAGCCATGGGAGAGCGTCAGCATGACTCTGAGACTGAAAGGAAGGAGGTAGAGTGCAGAGCATGGCAGGAAGTTGAGGGGATTCAACCCAGAGTGCTTCAACTTTCTCAATGAAATGGAAGGCAAGGCCATTAGTGGGGAAAGAGGTCTGGAGGAAGGGGGATGGTTTGGAAAAACCGCTGTAGGGATCAGGAAAACAGGTACCAGGTACATGTGTGACCAAGACATCCTGAGCGCCCAGCTGCTGGTAGAAAACAGGTATCTGGAGTGGCACCAATCTTAGGAGAAAGGAAGGTGGGAACCAGCTGGCAAAACCCAGGGGCAATGGTGGATGAGTCAGGTGAGAACAGTGGAAGGGGAGGGAAGACAGCAACATGGCTGGTACACATTTCTAAGAAGAAAAGATTTGCTGTGAGGGAGAAGAACAATGGAGGAGGCAATGGCTATCCAGAAGAAGTCTGTAGCTCCTCTGAGCCTGGGGAGGAGAAGGGTGGCACCAGCTTCCACAGGGACAGCTGTAAGAAGTGTCCTGTCTTGAGACAGCCAGAATTCTACTGAGGCTAGTAGGTGGAGGGGATGTTCAGGAAGAGGTCAAGATTAGGGAAGGTTTACCAAAGAATTAGAGCTTCCCGGGCCGTATCATGAAGGACTTTGTTATTAGGTATGGTAAAGCCAAATGTTGAAACAGATAAGCCTTTAAATCTCTGTAGCTTAACCCATATCTTCAAATAGAATGTATTTCTCACTCACATAAAGTTCAGCCCATGGTGTCTAGCAGTCATTCAGGAACCTGGCTGACAAAAGCTTTGTGATCTCCAACACATGACTCCAAAATCACCCTTCGTGTAGGCATCCAGTTGCCAGATGAGAGAATCCACAGGGAGATGTTCTGGGCCAGGCCTCCACGTGGTTCCATTGGCCAGAATTCAGACACAAAGCCCCACCAAACTGCAAAGAAAGCTGGTTAGAAAATATGGTCTAACCCCAGCCTGGCCAATATGGTGAAACCCCATCTCTACTAAAAATTTTTAAAAATACAAAAATTAACAGGGCATGGTGGTGCTCGCCTGTAGTCCCAGCTACTTGTGAGGCTGAGGCAGGAGAATCACTTGAACCCGGGAAGCGGAGGTTGCAGTGAGCCGAGATGGCGCCACTGCACTCCACCCTGGGTGACAGAGCGAGACTCCATCTCAAAAAAAAAAAAAAAAGAAAGAAAATATGGTCTAACTACATGTTTTTTGTCTGTTTTTTTTTTATAAACTATAAACTTTATTCAGATTTTGCCAGTTGCCCACTAATATCCTTTCTGTGGTTCAGGATCCAATTCAGAATCATATGTCACATTTAGCTGTCACGTTTCTTTAATCCCCTTTAATTTGAAGCAGTTCCTCTTTCTTTGTCTTTCATTACCTTGACATGTTTTTTTTTTTTTTTTTAATTTCCTTTTTTAGAGACAGGGCC
The DNA here is from genome assembly GCF_000001405.40 of Homo sapiens. Taxonomy (NCBI): domain Eukaryota; kingdom Metazoa; phylum Chordata; class Mammalia; order Primates; family Hominidae; genus Homo; species Homo sapiens. Next base: position 151,843,531 of record NC_000001.11, on the reverse strand, counting down.
TTGCTCTGCTGCCCAGGGTGGAGTGTAATGACGTGATCATAGATCACTGCAGCCTCAAATTTCTGGGCTCAAGGGAGCCTCCTGCTTCAGCCTCCCAAGTAAATGGGACTACAGGCACATGCCACCAAGCTCAGATAAATTTTATTTAATTTTTTGTATAGATGGGGTCTCCCTATGTTGCCTAGGCTGGCCTCAAACTGCTGGCCTCAAGTGATTTGCCTACCTTGGCCTCCCAAAGTGTTAAAATTACAGGCATGAGCCACTGTTTGGAATCCAGTCCACTGATATGTTTCTCAGAGTACGAGTTAGTTGTTTTGTAGCGTGTTCCAAGGTTTGGATTTCTCCAATGTTTCCTCATCATTAGATTCAAGTTATTCATTTTTGTTGCAATATTTCAGAAGCAATGCTGTGGCCTTCTCAGTGCTTCATGACAAGAGAAACGTGATGCTGATTTGTCCCATTAATGCCAATGTTCCCTTTGATCAGTTGGTTACTATGGTGTCTGCCATATTTCTCCACTGAAAATTACCATTTTTACCTTTTTAATAAGTATCTTATTGGGAGGCACTTTGCGATTGTATAAATATCCTGTTTCTCATCATACTTTTGCCCATTAATTTTAGCTTTTATCGATCATTCTTGCCTAAAGCAATTATTACTGTGATAGTGGCCAGTGGTAATTTTCTAATGCCATCATCCCTTCAACATGTTTTCATTCTAACTATATGTTAAAGAAGAAAGTAAAATGGGGGGCCAGGCACGGTGGCTTATGCCTGTAATCCCAGCACTTTGGGAGGCTGAGGTGGGTGGATCATTTGAGGTCAGGAGTTAGAGACTAGCCTGGCCAACATAGTGAAACCTCCATCTCTACCAAAAAATACAAAAATTAGCTGGGTGTGGTGGCACACACCTGTAATCCCATCGACTCAGGAGGCTACGGTGGGAGAATCGCTTGAACCTGAGAGGCGGAGGTTGCAGTGAGCCGAGATCATACCACTGCACTCCAGTCTGGGCGACAGAGCAAGACTCTGTCTCAAAAAAAAAAAAAAAAAAAGAAAAAGAAAGTAAAATAGGTTTGGTGAGTAGCTAGCAGCCGCTGCCTCAGTTTAAGAGGAGGGCCAGTAGAAGATGACAGAGTCTATGTAAAAACTCTTACTCTGGCAAGTAAAATATTCAGCTTCAGGCATATGCTAGGGTTCCAGGATCTGCGGCTAGAGCTGGGGATTCAGGGAATCAGAGAGAATGAAACCCTTTGTGACATGGAACCAGGTCAGAGAGTTGTGCACAAATTCAGCAGCAGCGGTGAGGTAGGTGGGTCAGGCTCCCTCTCTAGTACCTAGACCACATGCTTCCTAAGCCATCAGTCTCGTGACGGGCAAAGGATAGGTGGACATGGATTTGAATGGCCTCAATTTAGTGCCTTCCAAAAGCTAGAGATGTAATGGAGGCCATAGCCAAAAAGCTTATGACAATAAACTATTTCCTCTCCCATATACTCACATAAAAACCTTTTCTCCTTCTGTGCTTTCACAGTGCCCATGATATCTACACTCTAGACCCAGAGTCTAAATCACTGTATACTAAAAAACTGGTTGCTCTTCATTCATGGTCAAGGAGAGTCTAATCTTCATTCAAACACTCCCAGAAGGAAGGAAATACATTCCATCCTTCCTAAGCAGTCAGGAAAAGGAAGAGGTTGGTCCAAGTGCAGTAGTGTTTACAACTAATTGATCACAACCAATTGCAGATTTCTTTGTTCCATCTCCACTCCCATTGCTTCACTTGACTAGCCTAAAGAGAAAAAAGAAGAGGAAGAAAAATAAAACAGTTGTGTTCCCTGGGTCCTACCTACTTCTGGACTTCTTATTATGGAAGTCAAGTGTCCATATTGTTAAGTCAGACTGAGTTGGGTTTTCTGTTTTCTCACACTTTTAGCGGATGTCAGCCTAAATGATGCCCACGTGTTATCTTTAATCCTCATACCAACTCTGAGAGTTTTATTCTTTCTGTTTTCCAGATGGAAAAGGTAAGCCCCAAAGAGATTAAGTTACATGCTAGAGGTCACACAGCTAGTCAGTCGCAGAATCCAGATTCCCAGCCCATCTGACTGATGACAAAGCAATGAATACTGCAGCACTCCAAGAACATGGACCCTCCCCAGAAACAACACCAGGGCTGAGCTGAGTCAGAAGCCACATGAATGGAAGGTCTGGAGGCCACCAGGGATCGCCACAGAAGAAACACTTGCTTTGTTAAAATCTTCAAGTATTAGATGACACAATAATCATTGCATTCACTGGTTTGTTTCATCTTTTTTCCTGCATTTCAGGATTTGTCTTATTGTTGTTTGCATGTTTATTGTCTGTCTCTCCCCTTAGACAGCTCTCTATTCTATGTATCCCCCTAGCACAGTGCCTGGTGCATTTTAGGCACTTCAATGAATGGATGAACAAATTGATTCAAGTATAATTTTGCTTACTACTTCACTCATCAAATACATCCTGACTGAGTACCTGCTTTGCACCAAGCACTGTTTTTAAGATTCTTAGTCTAGTAAGAGAGGTGGACATTAAACAAATAACCACATAAATAGAGGGGGAAAAACTGTAATCAATGCTATAAAGGAAAAGTATGAGGTACTATGAAAGTGTACAGCAGGTGCCCCTAATTTAGATGGGAGGGTGTCAGTGAGGGCCTCCAGAGCTGAAGCATGAAGGAGAAGAGTGGTCCTAGGGGAGGAACTAGCCTTGCTTCCTTTCAGAGACTGAAGGATGGTAGGTGTGTCTAGACTGCAACTGATGGTCTCATCTTGTCTGTGGTGGCCTGTGCTTCCTAAGATCTGTCAGGGATGGAGGACATAGGCCAGCTTGATCCTGACTGTTGGATCCAGCTTTATCTTCAGTGTTTCTAAGTCCAGAAATCCTGAGTCTGGCCACTTTTCCTTTAGCCACAATAATTCAGAGAACTATTAGCCAGAATAATGCAGACAACTGATCACTGCAAGTCACTCTGCCTTGGAGCTATTGGAATGGCTCCAGAACAGGGCACTGGGGGCCAAGGCAGGATTTCAACCAGGAGGGTTTTACAGAAGATGGACTTCACCTGTGAGGGCTGGGGTTGGAACCGAGCACCAAAGAAGTGGCCACTGTCCACTGATGGCCGTCTCCCTCTTCTCTGTAGCCCTCCCCCACCCCTAAGCAGCCCAGCTTCAGCAGAGGAGGCCTGGGCACAGGAATGGATTGTTGCTAGAAACCTGGCTTCAGCTGGAGGAAGTCAGAAGACCGGGCTGATGGCCGCGCAGACAGAGCTGTGTTTATCCAGGAAAAGAGGTAGGACGTAGGCAGCGGAGGCCCCTGCCAGCTCCTCCCATAAGGACTGCGCTGGGGGAGCAAGCTGCAGAGAAAGCTGCTCCCCTCTGGCTCTGAAAGTTTCAGGGCCTGAGGCCAGAACCCAAAAGCGACCCACAGGTGAGGCCAGCACTCCGGGCGCGCGACGGAGAGGGTCGCTAGCTCGGATCCCAGGGCAGAGGGTCGGAACACGGTGCTCTTGGTGGCTCCGCGCAGGGGTGAGGCGAGCGCGTGGTGGCGGAGCCTTCCGGAGACCGCTCTGAGGGTGGCGGAGAATCAATGCTGCCTTTGTGCTCGGTGGTTTCCGAGGGAGAAAAGGAGTGGAGAGTAGGAGGGGCGACCCAACGGCCCGGCCCCGCCCTGCAGACGCGGGATGCGGTAGGGCTGGGAGGCGCGGGAGCTGGACGGTCAGGGCTACTGGGGGTGGGATTCTGTGTCCCCGGGAGGTGCGTCTCCTTGGACCAGCCCAGGGTGTCCTGAGGTCAGCAGCCAGGTGTGTCCCCTGGCTGCCAGGAGCAGAAGTGAGTCCTCTTCTGGCTTGGAGCGACTCGAGGAGGGGAAGGAGGAGCCAGAGGAGGCAGGTGGGGCTAGGACTGAGGGATGGCTCAGGCCAGAGAAGCTTGAGCCGGGGCAGCCTGGCAAAGGGAGGAAGTCCCAAGGGGCGCCAGACTGGATCCCAGAGGAAAACCCAAGTCTTCGAAATGGGCGGGGGAGGAGGGCGTGAGCCCGCCTAGGGCGCAGTGTCCCAGGGGGGTTGGGATCTGAGTCCTTTTGCTATAATGCGGTTATTATCCTATTTGTCCTAATAGTACCCTAGGGTTCTGGTGGATACTATATGGGCCCTCTAACTGTAAGGTGAATGGGGCATCTTTAGTACCAGTGGGAGAATCTGTGTACTTGGTGACGGAGGCCCGTATATGAAAATGTGACTGACTGGCCCTTTGCTCCCTCCATTTCTCCCCAGCCCCCCAGACTGCGCCGCCCTTTCTTTTTCTGCTCAAATAGGGGTCCGCGCTCCCAGTGGGTCCGGAGACCGGGGCGCGGTGGCTGACCGCCCGGTGTACGCCAGCATCACTCACCTCTGACTCCTCTGCGCTCCTCGCCCAGCCCCGCTCCGCCGAGCACTCCCATCTGAGACGGGATTTGGACCCTCTCGGCCCTGCGGAATTCGGAATTCCATTACCCCACCCACCGCATGTGGCTCTTGGAAAAAGCTGGCTATAAGGTGGGGGCCGCGGAGCCTGCGGCCCGTTGGGCGCCTTCCGGCCTGTTCTCCAAGCGTCGCGCCCCGGGCCCGCCCACAAGCGCCTGCCCCAACGTCCTCACCCCGGATCGCATCCCGCAGTTCTTCATCCCGCCTCGGCTCCCGGACCCGGGCGGCGCAGTGCCCGCGGCCCGGCGGCACGTGGCGGGGCGCGGCCTCCCCGCGACCTGCTCGCTGCCTCACCTGGCGGGCCGCGAAGGCTGGGCCTTCCTGCCCGAGAGCCCGCACACGCGCCGGCGGGAATCCCTGTTCCACGGGCCGCCACCTGCCCCGGCCGGGGGACTCCCCGCGGCGCAGTCCCGGCTGCACGTCTCCGCCCCGGACCTGCGCCTCTGCCGGGCCCCCGACAGCGACACGGCCTCGTCGCCGGACTCGTCGCCCTTCGGCTCCCCGCGGCCAGGCCTGGGCCGGCGCCGGGTGTCCAGGCCTCACTCTCTGTCCCCAGAAAAAGCGAGCTCGGCCGATACCAGCCCGCACTCGCCGCGCCGCGCCGGGCCGCCCACGCCGCCGCTCTTCCACCTGGACTTCCTGTGCTGCCAGCTGCGGCCCACGCGCGAGAGCGTGCTGCGCCTGGGGCCCCGCGGCGGGCAGCTGCGGCTCTCCACCGAATATCAGGCCGGGCCCGGGCGGCTGCGGCTGCGCCTAGTGAGCGCCGAGGGCCTGCCCCGGCCGCGGTCCCGCCCCGGGAGCGGCGGCGGCGGCTGCTGTGTGGTGCTGAGGCTGCGGCCCCGCGTCCGGCCGCGGGAGCAGCAGAGCCGCGTGGTCAAGTGCAGCGCCAACCCCATCTTCAACGAGGATTTCTTTTTCGACGGGCTCGGCCCCCCGGACCTGGCCGCCCGCAGCCTGAGAGCCAAGGTGCTAGACAGGGGCGCGGGACTTCGCAGGGATGTGCTGCTGGGGGAGTGCGAGACGCCCCTCATTGCGCTGCTGCCCCCGCTGGGTGGGGGACTAGGTCCCGGGTCATCCCTGGCGCCCACCCATCTCAGCCTGTAGCCTGAGCCCCTGGCTTCCTCAGGACGTCTCCACTGTGTCTGCAGTCCACATTCTTTCCACCCTGCCCGGCTTGTATTTATTTTTGCTAATAAAATGTCCCCTTGTCCTTAGCCAGATATTTCCCCTTACTGGCACCTTACACGCTCGGGCATAGAGCCTACCGATCTTCCCTCTATCCCGGCCATACGCGGGGGGAAGATGCTCATTCAGACGGTCTGAGTAGAGCAGACCTTAAGCAGTGGTTCTCAAGCTTGAAGGAGCATCAGAATAACCAGACATCAGAAATCCTGGAAGAGCTTTTTAAATATGCAGGGTCCTGGGCTCCATCCCTATGAGATGCTCCTTCAGTAGATCTGGGCCAAGTAGGTCCTAAGGTCCCCGGCCAACAAGGCCCCCGAACAATCAGGGAGCCCTGCAATCACTGAGTCACTCTGACAGAAACCAACACAAGCCACCTTCCACTTGAGGCTGCACAGAGGAAATTAACACTCCCTTCCTGTGCCCCTCTAAAACCCACATCTGTCCTGAAGACAGATGAAATTTCTGGCTCTTGAGAGTGAGTCAGGGGATGTCAGATGAACACAGAGTGCCCTTTAGTCTTCCTTCTTCCCTCTTGCCTCTTCCACACCTGTGCGTCCCTTGAGGGGTGGGGCAAGTCTGGAGCCAAGAACCAGAGAGGTGCTTGGGTACCAAATGAATGAGATATAATGTCCCAGGGATTGAAAGGGGGGAGGTGGGGTACTACCAAAGTGTGAGAACTGTTCTCAGGAATGCCAGAAGAGCCTCCTCCAGCCAGAAGGAGGTGGGGGTGGGGGGAGGTGGATAATTGTAGGTCACATTGTGTTTACCTCTACCTGAATGTCCCTGACGTCAGCAGTGACCTTCTTCTCTCTCCCTCCACCTTCCCAGGAGCCGGTTCCTCTGGACTCAGGCCAGGCTTGGAGGAGGGAGGGAGGAAGTGAGGTAGGCACTAGGCTAACCCAACTTCTTTCTCCCTCTCCCTTGGGCCCTTTCTCATTTTTCATGGTGCCAGCTGTGGCCTGCACCAGGGCTAAGCTTGCGGGATCTGACAAAACCTCAAAAGCCTCAGCACCTGGACACGTTAAATTCCAACACACACACACACACACACACACACACACACACACAGAGACACACACACAGAGACACACACACACACACACACACACACACACACACACACACGGCTTCATTCAGACAGCTCTCCAGTTCCTTCTCCCTTCCCTGATTGGGTCCGCACCACCCAGCCCTAGGCCAGAGAACTCTTGCTCCAGGTGTCCACCAGGTGGTGGCATTGACCAAACAATCCTAAGTGCTAACTACTACACATGGATTATAACCACATGAGGAACTGTTCCAACAATTAGTCAAGCCATTTATTCCTCCCAGCACCTTCTATTAGGGTGTAAATACTATTATTATCCAATGGGATCTTGGGCCTCGCATAGCTAGTAAAGGGAAGAACTAGGACTCACATAGCTAGTAAAGGGAAGAATTCAGGGAGTCTGGCTCCAGAGTGTGGACTCTTAATCACTTCAAGATAATACCCCCCACTGCCAGCTGCTGCCTCCCAATCAAGTCACTCTAAAAGGGGCCTCCTTCCCTAAGATGGTAGCTCTGCAAAGGTTTCGTACCCTGCCAGTTTAAAATCCCATGTTTGAATTCTGGGAAGTCTACCTATAGATTTAGGTCTACCCCTAGTACTGGATTTCTATTTCAGCCCCCAAATTCTCCCATAACAACCCTTGGTGAGAAACTGGATTTGATGCCCATTTGAAAGTATCTGGAAAGAAAGTTAGAGGCCGTAGAACCTTCATTCATGCATTCCTTCAACAAATACTTCGGGAAGGTCCATCAGGTGGCAGGCATTGGATACAGCAGTGATTAAACAGACATGGGGATCAGAAAAGTGATAAAATAAGCCATTAAAATGTAAAGAATGCTACTTGGTGATATGTTACAGAGAAAAATAAAGCAAGAAAGGGAATAGAAAAGAGGGGTCAGATAAAGAGAAGGGAAGATTATAGGGACAGAAAGAGGGAGGGAGGAGAGGAAACTTTTTTTTTTTAACCATAGTACTTTGGACCAGGTCCTGAACTTTATCTGTGTTATCTCAGTTGATCATCACAACCACTCAGTAGAGTAGATATTAGTATTCCTCTTTTTTGGGGTGGGGGGACGGAGTCTCACTCTGTTGCCCAGGCTGGAGTGCGGTGGTGCGATCTCGTCTCACTGCAATCTCCACCTCCCAGGTTCAAGTGATTCTCCTGCCTCAGCCTCCCGAGTAGCTGCCACTACAGGCGCGTGCCACCACACCCGCTGGTTTTTTGTATTTTTAGTAGAGACGGGGTTTCACCGTGTTAGCCAGGATGGTCTCGATCTCCTGATTTGGTCTCATGATCTCGGTCTCGGTCTCATGATCCACCCACCTCGGCCTCCCAAAGTGCTGGGATTACAGGCGTAAGCCACCGCGTCACAACCACTCAGGAGAGTAGGTATTATTATTCCCACTTTACAAAGAAAGAAATGGATCAGATAGATAGGTTAAGTAAGCTTGCCTGGGGAACAGCCCTGGCTGGAGGGAAAGGTTCTGACCTGACTCCACCCAGACACCCCCACTGCCACCCCAACTGCTTAGGGGAAGCTGTGAGGAAATCCAAGGCCACTCCTCCCAGGAGCAGTTCACTCAGCATTCACAGCCCTGAGGCTCTGTGATGGGGGCCCTAGCATTGCTGGAGGAACATCCTGGGTAGCTAAAGTACAGAAACATGGGAGTGAGGAGGTCCTAAGAAACCCTCCAGTGTGCAGATTGCTCTGGCCCCAAAGCACTTCTATAAACACTAGTCAGAGGCCAGGTGTGGTGGCTCATGACTGTAATCCTAACACTTTGATAAGTGGATAAATGTGGGAGGCTGAGGCGGGCAGATTACCTGAGCTCAGGAGTTTGAGACCAGCCTGGGCAACATGGTGAAACCCCATCTCTACAAAAAATGCAAAAATTAGTTGCATGTGGTGGCATGCACTTGTAGTCCCAACTACTTGGGGGGCTGAAGCAGGAGGACCTCTTGAACCCAGGAGGTCAAGCCTGCAGTAAGCTGAGATCACGCCACTGCACTCCAGCCTGGGTGACAAAGTGAGACCTTGTCTCAAAAACAAAACAAAACAAAAAAATCCACTAGTTAGGACAGGTATTATTGCCCCATTTTTACTGATGTGGTAGCTGAGGGCTGAGATTTCCCTCAGGGCCTACAGCTAGTAAATGGCAGACCACATTCTTATAAGTGATTCTGCCCCAGCATTTAAACCCTTCTTGCCACCTCCAAGCCTGTGTGACTATAAATGTTAATTGGTAGAGGAGAGGTACAAGCAGGGTCACTGTGGAAAGTTCAAGGCCAGGAGCTAGGGTCAAACTCCCACTGTTCCTCCACCCACAGTGGCCTTTGTGACAAGAAGGGGGAGGGGTGGGGACTGTGAGATCTGGAGGCTACCGAAGGTTACAGAGCCTGGGCTGTCCTTTTTCAACGGTTGAGGCACAACCCATCCCTGAGTCACTCCAGTGGGTTGAGGCGTCCCCAGGCATGGAACCCCCTAGAACCCAAAGAAAAGTGGTCCCTAATCACTGGATCAGGCATCCCAAGGAGAGGGCCCTCCAAGGATGGGGCTGGGGAAGTGTGTGCCACCGCAGACTACCCAGGCTCCACATATTTTCCACCTTGACCCCCAGGCCCTCCCTGAAAGGGCAGATTTGTGCTGAGCTTTAAGTGGTTTCTGTGGTTTAGGGTTGGGGAAGGAAGGAAAGAGATGCTGGGGACTGCTCCCCAGTTCCAAGCCACCACCACCACCTCCCATCCCTTCCAGAGTGTTTGCCCCCAGCATGGAGATTTCCCCAATAAGGGGACTGGGCACGTGGGGATGAAATGATTCTCTGATCCCTATCAGCCCCTTCCTTATATAAGATTGTATTTGAAGAGGAAATAACCACCGCCCTGCTTTGAAAGGACGATTCTTCCAGATAAGGGGCTGTGATTGCAGCAAGAGGGAGAAAGTTTAGACAAGAGGGGGAACTTCCCATAAGGATAACCAAGGGATCTTCTTGCCCTGGGGAGAAAAAAAACTCAAACTATCCATGCTTAGGGCAGGGGAGAGGTAGAGAATGCCTAGGAAGCATGTGACACTCCTAGGCCTAGAGGTCAGGATACTGTCTTCTAAATCTCCAGTCACTTCCTCCCCACCCTACATAGTAGCACAAAGTGGCACAACTGGGGAGTCAGCTGTGCCTGCAGTGTCTGGGGATGCTCTGTGTCCATCCGCAAGCATTCTACGTGACCTCCACTCTGTGCCTGCAATTGGTGGGTTGTAGAAGAGGTAGTCACGAAGGGCCCCTGGGAGACCCAGAGTCAAGAGGAAGAGAGGCCTAAAAAGGAGAAAAGATAGAGAGGGGACAGCTGGAGAAGAGCCACAGACAGGCAGGAGCCAGCAAAGAGAGACAGAGAGATGGGGGATAACTGAGGAGTTCTGGGGAGGAGGGGAGCAGAACGGCATCTCCCCTGCACTCCCACGCCCGGCATGTTGCTGGCTCCTCCTGTCAGCTGGAGGGTGCTGGGGGGGCGGGGGGGAAGGGAGCTGCAAAGCACTTTACCTCTCACTCCAAACCTGCCCAAGGTGCAGAGCCCCCAAACAGACCAACATCCTGTTCTGTGCAGAGATGCATACATGGATGCGTGGGCCCACATTTACCAAAAGAACACGGGGGATAATCAGAGCCTCAGAGGCATAGGCACATACCCTTAGACTCAGTGCAGAAGGTCCCCAAAACTTCCCCTCCTCTTTCTCACTACTCATCCACTGTCAATGACCCTAGGAGTTGAAAAGTCCTTCTCCACTTCTACCTTTATCTCTCAATCTGCAGCCATGGGGAGACTCTGGGAGCTACCTAAGAACAGAGGTGCTGATGGTAGCAGAGTGTGAAGCTCCAGGGTTGGGCAGGAGTGGAGGATGGCGAGACGAGACGGCAGAAGAGGGAAGGGACAGCTGCTTGCCCTCTCCATGCCAGGTGCCACGTGCACCAGGTGGGGGGGAGTGGGCGAGTCACGAGGCTGTGGCATGGCTGACTCCTGCTCTGCTGTTTACCAGCTGGGAACGAGAGCAGGAGGAGGTGCCAGGGAGCCTCTTGCTGCAGCCTGGCCCCTGGCCAGTTGCTTGTTGGGTAACCAGGAGAGTCAGGCCCAGCTAATCAAACTCTGGGCCCAGGCCATGCAGGAGAAAAGCAGCACCAGGATCCCCAGAAGCCTCGTCCTCTTGGCCCCCTTCAGAGCCTTCACTGCAGGCCTCAGTGTGGGCCACTAGGTCTGGGAGCCTCTCCTTCTCCCAATGAGTCCAGTGCAGCATCTCTCCTCTCCTCTTCCCCACCATGGCTTCTCTGCCTCCAGGCACTCCTCCAGGCCTGCCCCTTGCCCCAACAGATGAGGAGCACGTAGAAGCATCAGGGGGTCAGGGAGTCCTGGCAAGAGCAGCAAGGGTTAGGGGCAGGGGCCGAGCAGGCAGAGGCCTCAGGGAACTGAACAGTCACTGGGAGGAGTCTGACTGCATCCTAGAGAAGAGACACAGTCCCCCAAACCTGCCCTCTCCATCTCCCCTATGCCTGTCACCTGTCTTAGGTAGAAATCACAGGATTCTAAAGTCACAAAGACTTGGGTCCAAATCATAGCTCACCCATTTATTGTTCTTGTGTGAGTCCTTGGGCAAAATCATTAATATCTCTGAGAATCCCTCCACTCACTGATCAATCTGGAATAATAATGTTTCCCTGTGGTGGGTGCTGTGAATATTTACACAAAGTAAAAGCATGGATTTACATAAAGTGTCCTGCAAAGGGCCCAGCACACAGTAAGTGATTAATAAATGCTAGTTCCCTTCCTTTCTCCTGTCCTGTTTCTCCTCAAGGCTCCATGCACTGGTCCACTGGTCTCTCCTCATGTCCCCTCCTGGTGCCAGGACACTCTGCCAGCCACTCCTTTTCCCTGCCTGCTGGAGGGCCAGGTGCTCCCGCCTTCCACCCTCCGCCCTCCTCCCTCCCCTGGGCCCTGCTCCCTGCCCTCCTGGGCAGCCAGGGCAGCCAGGACGGCACCAAGGGAGCTGCCCCATGGACAGGGCCCCACAGAGACAGCACCGAGCCTCACGGGGTAAGAGGCCCATGGCCCTGCCTGCAGGTGGAAGAGACTGCTGGAGGTTCAGAGGAGGGCAGAAATGGCAAGAGACTGGGCAAGAAGTGAGGAGGGGAGGGAGGGACAAGAGTGCAGAGGAGAAAGCCCTGGGTTGGCAGGGAGTGAAACTGGAGGAGAAACAGGAGGAGGGGCTGGGGAGATGACAGAGGAGAAGAAATCGCAAAAGGAGAGAAACAGGAAAGAAAGGGAGAAGCGGGAGAAGGAAGAAACAGGTTGGAGGGTAGATGGGGAGGGAAGAGCCAAGTCAGGGGAGCCAGATCTAGACCCAGCGAGGGGTCAGAATGTGGACAGGCCCTCCCAGGTGTGGGCTTACCCCCCAGGAGGCACAGGGACACTGCTTCCTTGATCTGGCCAGGACCCCAGACAGCAGTGGCCGGGAGGCTGGCTGCTCCACCTTCTGTTCATTCACCAGTGGAGAAACCTGTCCTTTAAGGAGTGACAGACTTGGGGAGTGTGGCAGGGGGAACCACACCCTGTCAGCTGCCCATGACCACGTAGCCTGGTCCTTTCCTCGCCACTCACCCAGGGATGTGGGATTTCATCTCTGCAGAGAATGTGGGGCACTGGGCCATCAGCAGGGAAGGACAGAATGTCAGGCCGTCCTTGGCCCCACCCATGGTCCAAGTCAGGAACCCCCTCAGAGCAGGATCGCAGGGCCACAGGCTTGGTCAGCTGTGAGCATGGAGGAGGAAAGTTTGAGGGCCAGAGCCACCAAGCTCCAGGGCCACCTGGTGGAGGAAGAACTGGCTGCCTGGGTGAGCAAGGGGAGCACCCCCACCACAGGACTGCTCTGAGGTGCAAGGCTAGAGGCCAGGAGCCGGTGCCACGTCAGGGAGGAAGCTGGGTGGGGCCAGGCAGGAGCAAGGGGAGGTGGGCGGGGCTGGGTGGGGCCTTGCCACCTCGGGGCAGTCTTTTCTCCTCCCTCACCCCAGCAGAGCCCAGGCCATCAGGCCACTCGCCTCCACACAGCCTAGTGACCACGGCCTGCCAGTGGGGAGCATCTCCCGGGCAGAAGGGCACTGTGTGTGTGTGTGTGTGTGTGTGTGTGTGTGTGTGTGTGTATGTCAGGTGTCAAGACTGAACAGCAGAAGGAAAAAAATAACAGAATAGAGTCAGAGGTTAGGGAAGCTATAGGGGGTATAGGGCATGGTTGAAGGGCTTTCTGAGACAAAAGACTGGCCATGTGTTCTGTGATGAGCTGCTATGTGGATGTAGGAAATGGGCCAAGGTCTGGCAGGGGAATCCTCTTTCCAGGGGCTCCCTGGCTAGGTGTTTCATAGATGTTAACTGCATGAATGGGTGACACCCCCCCACCCACCAACCATGCTCCAGCTAAGGCCCTCCCCTCAACGGCTGCTCCCCCTGGAGGTCCGAGTATCCATGTGACCCCCATCGACCCACTCATGCTCCCTACTGCCCAATCTCCACCCAGACCCGGCCACGCAGCAGCAGCAGAGAAGGGAGGCCTTCCTCTTCAGGCTGGTAGGCCAGGGAAGCCTGGCCCGTGGAAGCCAGAGAGGGGTCTGTATTTGCAACTCTCCCCTCCTCTTCCTCCAAACATCCTCTCCCCCTACTCCCAACCCCCACATCTCTGAAGCCCTGGTGTTTTCAGGCATAGATAAGCAACCAAGAGATTTCAGTCCCACAGAGATTTAACTCTGGCTGTAGGATATTTCTTGTGCACCTCCAATGAAATTACAAAGTAAATAAGACCAACACAGTCCCTGCCTTCACAGGGCTTTACAATTTGGCAGGAAAGACCCATTTCATAGACAATGACACAATTACAGCAGTTAGGTGACAGTTGGTGACATGGTGAGTGCCAGGAAATAAAATGCAAGGAGCTAAATGTGTCAGCACAAGGGCAGGGGAAGGGGGTGTGTGTGGCTTCTCCAAGGAAGAAACATAATCAGAGACCTGAGGGAGAAAGAGAAGTTGGCTAGATTAAGGGGTACAGGAGGGACAGGCATTCTAGGCAAAGGAGCAGCTTGGGGGAGTCCCAGAGGCAGTGAGGAGCCTGACACTTCTGGGTACCTGGAAGAGGGCCAGTGTGGCCCAAGGGCAGAGGAGGAGAGAGGGGCACTGCAGGGGGTGGCCTGCCTGCCCTTCAGACGCCAGGCTCTGAGGGAAGGAGTGCGGCAGTGGGATCCTAGGAGTGGGGAAAGTGTCTCAGCCCCTCATGATCTTCAACCTTTGACGTCAACCCCCTCTCTTGTCTTTACAGAGCTGCTGGCTGCAAAGAAGACCCACACCTGTGAGTAGGGGGTCCGGGGCAAGAAAATGGCTGGGGCATAATGAGATGGAGAATAATTCAGCAAGTGATCTGTGGGGGGACTGAGGTTGGACAGAGGTGGAGGAGTCAGGAAGAGATGGCAGGCAACAGGAAAGCAAGGGGAGGTGCGAGGAAACCACAGATCAGGGCAGTGGGAGGAGATGAGGAAGAAGCCTGAAGCATGAAAGGAAACACTGTAAAGAAACCAGGAGAGAACAAAGGAAAAGGGAACCGCCTTGTGAAAAAAGGCGAGGAGAAATGCTGGACAGAGGCAGGGAGATGGGAGGGGGTGGGGCCGACTGCCAGGCCGGGGAAGGAAGGAGATAGAGGTAGGGGGGTGTGCGGAGGCGGGGTGGCCTCAGGAACTCAGGAACTCAGCGCTGCTGCCAAGGGAGACAGGGAGCCTGCACCAGGCTTTTTTTTTTTTTTTTTGAGACAGAGTCTCACACTGTCGCCTGGGCGGGAGTACGATGGCACAATCTCGGCTCACTGCAACCTCCACCTCCCAGGTTCAAGCGATTCTCCTGCCTCAGCCTCTCGAGTAGCTGGGACTACAGGCACCCACCACCACGCCTGGCTAATTTTTGTATTTTTAGTAGAGACGGGGTTTCACCATGTTGGTCAGGCTGGTCTCAGACTCTTGACCTTGTGATCCACCCCTCTCGGCCTCCCAAAGTGCTGAGATTACAGGCATGGGCCACTGTGCCCAGCCTGCACCAAGCTCTGTGGTCCTGAGCCAGGTTTGGTGTTCATCTCTGTGGTTAACACATCCTGAGGTGTGAACAAGCCTGGAGCCAGCCTGTGCAGGACTAGAGAGCAGGAGAGCTTTATCTCTGTAGGAAACAGAATGGACAGGGGCACTCTGTGTCCTGGGGCCCTGAAAGCCAGACTACAGCAGGTAAGAAGGGCACTAGAGCTCAGAGAGGACTTCCCAGTGGACGCTAGTGAATAAGAATCCTCTCTAGGGACCACTCAGCACATCAGCTCTCCTCTCCTAGTTTGTGGCAAAGGCTAGTCCCCCAGAGAATGCACACAGTCCCAAAGCTATGCCCATCAGGGCCATGCGTGCCCTTCTGTGAGCATGGGTCCCTGAATCGAGAGGATCCCTCCAGGGTAGGAGTGGCCACACCATTTCTCCATAGCCGTCCCTTGACTGCCTTGCCAGTTCCTCCTGAGAGCTCACTGCCATCTCGCCCAATGCCAAAATTGTCTAGAGCCTCCCTGTTCCAAGTAGAGACATCTCAGAGAGCAAAGCATTGCCCTTCTCCATGAGCTGGGCAGCCCAGGGCTGAGGGCCATCCAGGATGCTACCTCCTCCTGGGTGGGGGTTGCTTTGCTCAGCATAATCCTGATCAGTGTCTCGCCTGCCCCTAGCCACAGGGCCCCACGGAAATGCTGAGCAGGGCCCCGGGAGGAAAGCGGGTCAGGGAGTGACGCGGGTGAGCTGGGGGAGGGGGGTCACGGACCTTATGTGGGTGGGGGGAGTAGGGGGACTTTCGGAGCAGCAGGAACTGGGAGAGGTCAAACCCTATTCCTACCCTTAACCCCTGACCTCAGAAACCTCAGCCAGGACTATACCTCCTTATCCCTTTCCCATCCCACCAGTCCTCGTGTCCCCACCCCAAGAGTGTTGTCCTGAGGATCCAGGCTGACAGCCTCTCCCCCACTCCACGGCCCAGCTCCTGAAGCCCCAGGAAGGCCCAGGAAGGCAAGGAAAGGCCTGTGCCTGGATGAGAGGGTCTGGAGTCCCAGCAAGATCAGACACCTCTCAGGAGTTTGCCCCACAGAATCCAGGAGACATTAAGGCCTCCCCCAGGCCGAGAGACTCTGAAAATTGGCTCCTGAATTGAGACAACCCCAAGATGGGGGTCCAAGATGGGGAACCCGGGGGAACTCCCCAGACCAAGAGGGAGCCTGAATACTGAGGGGCCCTGAAGAGGGACTCTCAAAGCCAATGTACCCCACAAAGCACCTAAGAGGCTGAGAAGGTCTCTGGAATTGTTTGGCCCCTGAGAAGGACCCCCCTCCCCCAGGCCAAAAAACACTCCAGAGAGACTCACATACCGAGGGACCTCCCAGGCTGAGACACCCTCAAAAGCAGACTTGAACCAGAGAAACCCTCCCATCCTTCAAGTGGGATCCGAAGCCAGTCTGCCTGGGCTTGAATCCTGACTCTGCCACTTACTAGCTGTGTAACCTTGGGCAAGTTACTTAACCTCTCTGTGTCTCACTTTCCTCCTCGAAATGAGGATAATGGTAGCTACTTCATAAAGTTTTTTTATTTTTTCTTTTTGAGACAGAGTCTTACTCAGTTGCTCAGGCTGTAGTGCAGTGGCATTATCTCAGCTCACTGCAAACTCCGCCTCCCGGGTTCAAGCGATTCTCCTGCCTCAGCCCCCTGAGTAGCTGGGACTACAGGTGCTCGCCACCATGCCTGGCTAATTTTTGTATTTTTAGTAGAGATGGGGTTTCACCATGTTGGCCAGGCCGGTCTCGAACTCCTAACCTCAGGTGATCCACCCACCTTGGGCTCCCAAAGTGCTGGGATTACAGGCGTGAGCCACTGCCCCCGGCCCACATAAAGTATTTTGTGAGGATTAGATTATCCACATAAAACATCGAGAACCATTTCTGACACATAATAGTAAGCACTATTATTATGATTATGAGTATGATGATGGTGATGATGATCATTATCTACACTCCAATTTCAGCAGTTTGGCTCCTAAGGAAATTTCTGGTTTCCTTCTGTGGATTGTGGGTATTTGCCTGGTGATTATTACTGCTTCTATCATTTCCATGTATTCCCTAGCGCAAGATATATGTGGTGTCTGCAGGGAGGAGCGTGGGCATGGGAGTGGTGGGACAGCCCCCCAGGCTGCACCACACTGGGTATGGCTGTTGGCAGTCCACAGGGTGTCAGGTGGCACATGCCACCACCCCAGGCAGACATCCTGTGACTTACCTCTGAAAACATCCCTGTCCCTGAAGTCACCTGGCAAAGAGGGTCAGGCTTGGAAGGTCCTCGGGGGTAGGAGGAGTAGAAATTTGGCTTCAGGCTCGTGTGAGCTCCATTCTGGCTCCCCAGCCAGAACTACCCTGGCGGGTGGAAACAGCTTTTACCGCGTGTGGCTGTCGCATGTGGTTTTGGAATTTTCCAACGCCCCCTACGATTGGCTGCCCCTCCCCTCACACCCTGCCCCAGGCCCAGATTGGCCACGTGGGGCGCCTGTCATCCTACTCACTGCACCCCTTGGGGGTGGGGTGGGGGGTTGTCACTTGGCCACCTGTGTGGTGCAGAGCTTAAACCCCCCAGTCCAGAAGCACTGGGGGAGAGAGCTAGGTGCAGAGCTTCAGGCTGAGGCGCTGCTGAGAGGGCCTCGCCCCGCCTCTGCCGCCAGCTGCACCCCACTCCTGGACCACCCCCTGCTGAGAAGGACAGGGAGCCAAGGCCGGCAGAGCCAAGGCTCAGTCATGAGAAGTAAGTGAATGGGGCCACCTGGGGGCGGGGGAGCCTGGACCCTGTCGTCACCCCTCTGGAAAGGAGGATGTCTTGGGAACAGTGTGAGCAAATCTGAGCAAAGCAGGGTGCGTCCTGGTCAAGGTCAAGATCTGTTGGGAGATGGGTGGAGCAGCTGGGGAGTCCTGCTGGCCAGGCGGCTCCCTGACAGCAGCAATGGTAAGAGGACTGTTGAGGAATTCCTGAGTTCCAAAAAGAACCTCCAAAAGTATCTGAGGTATCCAGGCCCTTAATTTTACAAAAAGACTGAGAGCCAAGGAGGCCGCGTACTTGGCCCAATGTTACACAGCTGGTATCTGATGGGGGCTGGTAATTACTAGGGGCCCTGAACGCACTCTCCTGTTACAGTGTTTCCCTTGTTACGGTGTTTCCCTCTGTGCCTCCAGCCTGCTTGTGAGTAAAAGGAGGCCAGAGCAGTTGCTGTGCTCTGAAGCAACAGGACAGCGAGAGTCAACTGAGGTTGGCAGGCAGCAGGGCACAGAATCCCCGCGTCCAGGCCTCAAAGCCACCAGGCTTTCTGCCCAATCCAGGGACATGAGGACTATGTGGAATCCAGTCAGGGTGCACCCGGGCACATGCCTGCGTGTGTGTGCATGTGTGTGTGTGCGTGTGTGTGTGGGGTGTGTGTGTATGTGTGTGTGTGGTTCTCCAGGGTCAGTCACCCATTTGACCGGGGAAGCAAGGCAATGGAGATGGGATTGGAAAGACCTCGGCCTCACCCTTTTCCTGGCTTGGAGCCCTGGGCCAACAGTTGGTGGGCAGATGTCTGGGGTTCCTGTGCCTTCCAGCAGAGCAAGGGTGGGCAACCTCAGGAAGTCCCCTGTATTTGTTGTGAAGGGAAGCCAGGGAAGCCAGAGAAGCTCTCAGAGCACAAGGTGAAGGAGGAAAAGGGAAGCCCCATGCCCCTGTGGCTGAGGCCTGAAGCAGCCCCAGCTTCAACCTGGGGTCTTCCCACAAGCCACAGAAGGGAGGCCGTATTGAGTCCTGGAAAGACCCCTGGACTGACAGTGTAAGACCAGGCACTTGTGCCGCCTATCACTGGCTAGCCATATAGACTTAGACAAGCCAAGTCACTGGGCCCTGGTCTACCATCCGCAAAACAAGGGAGCTGAATTTTAAGATAGAACAACAAAACCAACTATGGAGAGTCTCCCATTCCAAAGGCCCAGGGCCAAGAGAGAGCCCAGTGCCCTAAGGCAGGCATCCCCAAGGGTGATGATGGAGACTCAGCTCTCCCAGAGGTTAGAAGGAAGGGAAACCAAGGAAAGAAAAGAATTCCACTTCTGTGACAGGGACTGAGGCCACAGTGCAGGCATATGAGCTGGGGTGGATAAGGAGGGCTGGAGAGAAGAGCCAACAGCTTCTACACAGAGGAAAGGGCCCCTTGGAGCTTCCGTTTCCCTTCTAGCTTCTCTCTATTAGCAGCAAACGCTGGCAGACTGGTCTTCCCAGAGATGGCCCCTAATGAGCAAATCAACCCTGGGATGAAATGACTAGGTGTGCTTCTAGCCCAGCAGCGGGGCAGGAGTCCCCAGGAGGGGCTGAGGGAGACACTTGGCCAGCTCTCCATTATTCCCACCCCCACCACACACACACAGCCCCACCCAGGCGGGGAAGTAGGAGAGAGGGCCTCCTCCAACGAGGGGGTCAGTGCCACTGGTCCTTCTCACTTGGACATTTACAGGTATCTCATAGCCCCAAGTTATCTGACCCCAATGAGTGCCAACCACCACCAGCCCCTCCAACCGCCGATGGCAAAAGTCAAAGCACATGGGGCTTGGGACTGTGACACACCCAGAGACCAAGGGCCCGACAAAAGGAGCAGAAACAAATCAAGAAATAAGGAGAGATGCAGAGGCCCAACTCAGAGGGCGAGTTTCTGGAACACCTAGGGAGAGAGTAATGTCCAGCTGGAGGTGTGGTTGGAGAAACACCAATAGAGCCAAACGCATGGAGGTGCAGCCGGGCGTGGTGGCTCATGCCTATAATCCCACTTCAGGAGGCTGAGGCTTGAGGCCAGGAGTTTGAGACCAGCCTGGGCAACAAAGTGAGCCGCTGTCCCTACAAAAAAAGTTTTTTTTAATTCGCTGGGCATGGTGGCGTGTACCTGTAGTCCCAGCTACTCAGGAGACTGAGGCAGGAGGATCGTTTGAGCCCAGGAGTTCAAGGCTGCAGTGAGCTATGATCAATGTCACAGCACCCTAGCTTAGGTGACAGAGCGAGACCCTGTCTCTTAAACAAACAAACAAACATGAAGGTGTGAAGCCCAGAAACAGAGCTGGAATGCAGAAGATCACAAGGCACATAGACACAGGGAGAGGCGGAGAGAAAAGATAACTGGCAGTAAAGGGAAGACAGGGAGACACAGGGTCTAGGCAAGCGGTAAGAGGGAAGTAGGGTGGCTCTGACAAGGATGGCACCAGCACCCTGCCATCCGACCTGCTGCTGTCAAGTGGAGATAATGTGTCTGTACGCCAAAGAGACTCCCAGCCAGCCAGACGGAGGGTAGCCCAGACATCTTCCCCTAAGGGCATGGCCAGCGTGGCGCCAATAGGCACTCAGGCCCTGGCATTTGGTCTGGATGGGGAGGTGGGAGGCCGAGGGGTGTGAGGTCACTGTCTATGAGCTGATCTTTCTTAGGTTTGGTCATGATCATGAGGAACAGTGGGCCAGAAAGGACTCCAAGTCCCCAGGGTACACAGATATCACCCTGAGAGCCCAGGGCCATCTTAGGACTCCGTGAAGGGCTTCTTCCTTCCTTTCATCACTCCAGCACCCTTCTCTTTCCCCGTCTTCCCATTCCTAACAGAAATACCAAACCACCGAGCCCAAGGTGCTAGACTCTGAAAAGACTCAGCTTGTCCCAGCACAATGAAAATATTCGGTCCCTACCAAGGGCTCCTCCCCATCCCCTGCCGCTGTGCTGCTGACTCAAACTAACAGGGAACAGGACTTTCCAAGGGCTAAGGTCTCTCCCAGGCGGGCAGCCCAAGGCCCGCGCTCCTGTTCCCATATAGCTAGTCCTTTCTGAAGTCTCACCTCCACGCCTGCTGCTGCAGTGCAGCCCCTTCCCTGGGGCTCTGAGGCTCAAAAAGGATGGAGATGTCTATTTCGGGGGAGGGACAGTAACAAGGCAGGGCCTCAGGGCCAGAGCCAAGGTCTTTCTGGGTCCACTACCCTCCTGGAGCAGTGAAGGTGCTCTGGGATGAGGGACAGATGGCCCTGAAGGCAGGGAAGGTGCTGATGGTGACGTCTGGGCTCCCACTCGCCAGAGCTTCCTCCTAGTGATTCATCCCCTCCCCCATTCACTGGTTGTTTTCACTCGCCTTTCTCCAGTCCCAGACTGTGGGGGTGGCGGAGGCACCAGGAGGGGGTTTCGGGTGGCTGGCTGGCTGTCATTCATGGCTTTTCAAAACCCCAGACTCTCCCTCGCCCACCTGAGTTTTAGCTTCACTATTTTCTCAGCCCCAGGATCTGGGTGTTTCAGCAGAAAATTCTCACCAGGAGCTGCGGTGAGGGCCCTGGCCTGGGCTGGGGGTAGTGTTCGCCAGGTAGAACCACTTCTCCCCCAGCCCCCACCCAGCCCTCCCGCTCCTGCTCCCCTGTGGTGGCACCCACCACCTTGGTTTCCAGCTTTGCAGAAGCTGGGGGAACTGAGAGCTGAGAAAGGAGGGAGGCTGGTGACAGGTTGGGGTGTGCAAGTGACCCCTGACCGGAGCTGTGGTCTCGGTGGGGATCGAGACAGAGAGTTCTGGCTGTGGGGAGAGGAGGAGCTCAAGCTAAGGAAAGAGATGCATTCCTCTTTCTCACTCATTCATTCATTCTGCAAAGGGAGGCATACCAAGATGTATGGAAACCTAGTCTATACCCTAAAGGGGCTGTGGTGTTCCTGAGGAGTCCCCGGGAACCCTGTTGTTGATATATAAGTCATCCCACTTGGCCTTAGAGAAAGGGGTAAGGGCAGGAGGAGGCTGGGACCTCAGAGGAAGAGTTGGGACAGAGGGAATAATATCTCTTGGGATCTTTATACAAACAGGAGTCCTGGCTTTAGTTCTGTGGGTTTCCTCTGTGAATTCTGTTCCTAGACCACCACAATCACCTCACACTTTTACCCCTACAGCCAAATAACCATGTCCTCTACCCAGGTCTCCGGTGTGCATTTGGGCGTCTTATCCTCATAAAGTATATAGCTTAAGGCTTGAGGGCACTGGCTGCAGAATTACAGAGATCTAGGTTCAAATGCCAGATCTGCCACTTCTGGCTGTGTGACCTTAGTCAAGCTGTTTATTCTCTCTAGGCCTCAGTTTTCTCATCTGTAAGATGAGGATGATACTAGCAGGGCCTATTTCACAGGGTGGTTGTGATCATTGAATGAAAATGCATGTAAAGCCTGGCACAGAGTAAGAATTCAGCCAATGCTTATGTCTATCATTATCCTTTCTCCTTAATCAGTATCCACTGGAGAAAAAGGAGAGAGAAAGAGGAGAGGAAAAGGCCCAGCTCTAGATTGACGAGGCACCAGGAGGAGATGAGGACCCCGGGGTTTCTCTGTGTGAACCCATTCTCTACCATGATGGTGGGGGGGTGGTGGTTCTGGGGTTTGAGAGGAGAGATCCCCCTGGGTTGCAGCCCCTCCCCTGCTCCTACCACTTCCTCTCTGTGGCATAGGGCACCTGGACAGGGCCCAGGGTTGGCTTCCTAAGCTGGCACAGGGCCAGGCTCTGGAAGTACTCAAAGCACTATCATTGAATCTCACAGCTGTGAGAGGCTCGATTAGAGGAGGATGGAGGACTTTGCCTCTACCGTATTTCCCCTCATAGGAGGAGCTACTAGGATGCTCCTGGGGGTACTTCAGTCTCTAAAGCAATTCAGAGGAGATTCAGTTTCTTTTTCTAGTATTGTCTCAGAATGAAGTCTTAGAGGTCACACTGGATGGCAGAAAAGATGCAAGAATGAGCTCAGGAAAAGATCGCCAACCCCAGCCCCACTCCCTGGAAGGAGCAGCCTGGCAAAAAGGCAGGAATAGGGACTAAGTTCTTGCTACTCAAAGTATAAGCTGAAGACCAGTAAGCTTAGGCACCAACTAAGAGCTGACCAAAGTGCAGAATCTTGAGTCCCACCTCAGATCCCCAGGTAATCTTGTTTGAGATGCAGAAAGCCATAGTCATTCAGTCATTAGATGACTTAAGGAGCTGGCGGGTGCATTTGGGCATTTGTCTCTCCTTTTGGAAGATGTGGAATTGGAGTTTTCTTTTGGAGAAAGCTCTCTCTCAGGAGAGAGCTACAGTGAGAGAGCTGCAGGTGAGATGCAAAGATCTTTCCAAGACAGCAGGCGAGGGTAGAGTTAGGGCTGCCATGGGAGCAGTGGTGCAGGGGCTGGTTCGAGGTTCCTGACCTTTGCTTGGCTCTAGTTCCTGGCACTGGCAGGCCCTTAGATGGTAAGTTCCTGGCAGGCCTGGCTCCAGGGCAACAGTTTGAGTAATCCTGTGATTACTCAGCTCCTTCTCCCCAATCTGAGTTCCCACCACCTGCTGCTTCAGGGACGTGTCTCCCAGGGGTAGCTTTTGAAGGTGAGTTATCATCAGAGGTGTTTTCAGCTCCTCTCACCAACCCCCAAGTCTACCAGCCCCCTTCCCGTTCTCCCCCACCCCTTCTCTACAAGTAACACACACCCTCATGTACACAGCACTGGTACTTTCTTTCTGAGGTTTGGGTGGATGGCATTGAAGGGAGTGCAGGTGGCAGGGGAAGGAGGGGGGAGCAGGACTAGAGGGCCTGAAGTGCTGAGGGGGCCATGGGTTGGGCAAAGGCCAGGATACAAGCGTGGATTTTCTGTGTTTCAGTGTTTCCGCAGCCGTCTCTCCATCCCTAGATCTATGTCTCTGTTTTTCCTGGACCCAAACCTCTTGGTCTCTCCAGCTCAGTGAGGCTAGGGGGTCTGACATTCTAGCTCAGAGTCTTTGGCCTTGTGTGTCTGTCTCACTGGGTACTTCTGTCTTGGACTGGGAGGATGGAGGATGGGCTGACCAGGTGGCTGGAGTCCAAGGCTTTGGTGTCGCCCAAACATGGGTATTTGCGAAGGGGGTCCTTGACTGGCCGCATCTTCCTATGAGAAGGTCAAGGTCTTGGTGACACTGTTGTGAGGTTCCTAGGGCCAGGAGAAGCAGTGGGTCAAGCATGGGGCAGGGAGATGTGTCTGGGGTCACCATGTGGTCAGCACACACACGCACGCGGATGTGGCTCTTGGAGAAGGGAAGAGGCAGGGAGGCCTGTGGTTGACTGCTGGGCCAGAGCCCGAGTTCCCACTGCGGCTTGGCCTAATCTCCCTCCCGCTTACTTTTTTGGGTGGCCCACGTTGGTTTCTCCCATCTCTGGTCTTAGGCCACTGAAAAGAGAGATGCCACAGTGTTGGAGGGGGAGGTGTTGGGCAAGAACAGAGTCCACAGGGCCCGAGTGCTCCTCTCAGCCTTGCCAGGCCCACTGGTCTTCTCAGCCTGACCTCTGCTCAGGAGTAACTTGAATACACAGTGCTTTCCATTGGTGATATCATTTCATTACTCTCTGTTACCTACAATCACCCCATGGACAGGCAATAATACTTTTATCCTGATCTTGCTGACAAGAAAACGTAGGTCTAGAGGGAGAATCTAAGTGACTAGAAGTATGGGGGCCCCAACGTTTTCTGCCCCTGTTCCAGACACCCAGTGCCCTCTTATTCTCTCTTCCCCTCCATGTATTAAAATCTGCTCTTAATTTACTGGAAAGAACCTGGAAAACTCACTTACCGCCTGGTCCTGGGGGGACCACAGCTTACAGTGTGAGCACTGGAAGCTTGCTGCTGGGCAGGCACGTGTGGCTGGGGGTTGGGTGAGGAATTGAGTGCTAATGAAGGGATTTCAGATACCCATGTGCCCTGTCCCCGTCAGGGTCAGCTACTGCCTCTGACTCACCTCAAGTCTGGCCTGAGGGATGATGGTTTAAGAATGATGGAAATAATATTTTGGGGAATGGCGGGCAAGCCATGGTCTCCCTGCCCACTTCACATCAACAGGCCCTACATGTGACCAGTGTCCAGGCCAGGGACTGGAGGTGAGATCACAGCAATGTGCATTCGCCCTCCAGAGAGGCTGCCACTTCTTTTGCCCCTTTGGTGGGAGACACGTCATAGATTAAAAGGGGCTTTGGCCCTTCTCTTCACTTTTCTGGCCTGTCCCGCCCCAGGGCTCCCCACTCAGAGGGGAGGCAGCAGGTCAGTGATGGTGGAAAAGAGACCCATGTGCTCTGGGAAATGCTAAAAACACCTACAGTAACCAGGGATCCCAAGCTTTG
Source organism: Homo sapiens (assembly GCF_000001405.40). Classification (NCBI taxonomy): domain Eukaryota; kingdom Metazoa; phylum Chordata; class Mammalia; order Primates; family Hominidae; genus Homo; species Homo sapiens. The sequence continues at coordinate 151,818,561 of NC_000001.11, read as the reverse complement.
CCCAGCTACCTTTCAAGGAAGAGCTGGGAGAAGGCCTCCTGTGGTCCCATGAAGCTCAGCAGAGAGTCGTGGGCATTGACAGGAACAGGGCAAAGCAGAGATGAGCTTAGGGCCAGCAGCAAACCACAGGGGTAGGGAAGCAGGTACAGGTTACAGTGAGTTCAGTGGGAGAGAGAACCCGGGGTCCTAGTGCCCCATGAGCAGACACTAACATACAAATATGCACGTGTGGACGCAGGAGCAACCAGATATGTCGTAGGCTCACAAATGACACATACTTTTCTTGCATATGCACACCCACAAGCACACCTTCAAACATGCCCACTGAAATGTGTACCCGAAAAGACAGGTACACAGAACAGCATAATGGAAAGCTCAGGGGAACTGGGATGTAGATCCAGCTCTCAGGCAAACTAGCCTATGACCCTGGCCCAACCGCTTTGCCTCATCTGGCTTAGTCCTTCATCGGTAAATGAAGAGGTTGAATGAGATGGTCTCTAGTCTCAGCCATTTTTAACATTGATGATTCATGTTCACACAAATGGATACAGATGCCTTTGTACAAACATAAGTGTTCACACTCAGACACACGGATGTACACAAAGCCACCCTCTCTCTGCTCTGGGGCCAAGAGCCTAAGAGCCCTGGCTAATTCTTTCCCTAGGCTCTCAGGCATCCAGCAGAGCTGGGGTGTTGAGCCCCCGTTTCCTGGGTTCCTCCCTGCCACCCCCTCACCCTGTCTCTGTATAGCACCTCCCTGAGCCTTCACTGTCTGGCTGGGAAGGACTGGCATCTCTGCCTATCCCCCACCCCTTGTGTACCACATCTTCCTGCTATACCCTACACTTTGCCCATGGGAGCTGAGCCCCAGCGAGGGAGGGAGGCACAGAGGAAGCCCCTTCGGCGGGAAGCAGGTGTTGTGAGGCCGTGAGGAGTCCTATGTCCCAAGGCGGGAGGGAGGCAACTGGAGCTTTTCAACTCGAAGGGCTGAGCAGGTGGCCCCTCTGCAGCTGCTTTCTCTGCCTCCATAGCACTGATACAACTCCCGGCCACCCCTCCACACTCCCCTCCTCTGTGAAACAAACACAGCTTCCTCACACCCTTTGCTGAGAAGCATTTGGCATTTCACTTCCCCTTCCATTTTGCAAGAGGGAAACAGCAAGCTGGAGCTGGTTGGAGAAGTAGTGGAAGCACCAGGTACCTGTATCTGCAGCCCAGGTACATGGTGGTTGAATGCAGAAAAGCCTCCTGGGCTGACCTACTTCTCTTTCTCTCTTCCAGCACAAATTGAAGTGATCCCTTGCAAAATCTGTGGGGACAAGTCGTCTGGGATCCACTACGGGGTTATCACCTGTGAGGGGTGCAAGGTGAGTCATAGGCATGTGTATGCATGCATGTGTGCGTGTGCATACACAAGCGCGCGCGCGCGCACACACACACACACACACAGTGTCTCCTTAGAGATAAACAAGGGGGTTAATGGCCTTTGTTCTGACTCCAGGGATGATCTCCTGGGCAGCCAGGAAAATGCCTGAGTAGCGCCTTCCTGCAGGGCCCTCAACACTGGCAGGGCCCTGTCTTAAGCTGGGGAAATGACTACAGGATAAATTGCAATTACACAAATAGATGGAGGAGAGAGAAAACTGACAGGTCGTGGGATGTAGAAAAGCTGCCAGAGCTTGTGGGCTGGAGGCCTTTGTGAGTGAGCTGGGCCTGACCAGGATAAGCAGTCTTGCCCTCCACCTGCTTTCCCCAGGGCTTCTTCCGCCGGAGCCAGCGCTGTAACGCGGCCTACTCCTGCACCCGTCAGCAGAACTGCCCCATCGACCGCACCAGCCGAAACCGATGCCAGCACTGCCGCCTGCAGAAATGCCTGGCGCTGGGCATGTCCCGAGATGGTGAGGCCAAGTCGACAGCCCCCTGGGGTTTTCCTGGTGTCTCCAGAGGGGCAGCCTGGCCTGCTGAGCTAGACAAGGCTTAACCTGCAAGACGGCCCATCCTCTGGTCTCCTCTCCATTCCTCCCCGTTACAACCCCTTGTCTCCTCCCCTCCAGGGATGGATGGGTCACCCCCATCAAAGTTCTTTGGAGTCCCCAACTTTAGGCTTTGCTAGAACAAACATCCTCTTTCCAAGGTCCCATACCTCTTCATCTCTTCTTACTTGGAACGAATTCTCCTCACTCTGCTGCCCTCTGGCCCAGCTCCCATGCAGCTCTGGCACCTTCCCCTGCTACCCTGTTGTTGTAGTTCTAGCTCTATCTCCTTTTCTAATCCCCCATTCCCATACTTGGACACAGGACTATAGCCAGGAATGGAAACAGAATTGGCCTGAGAACAACCAGAGGGTGGTCGTGGGGGAGGGCTGGTGTTCCTGGTGCCTTATCCACCCTCCTCACCCACCACCTCCTCACCAGTCTCCCTGCACACCTCCACCACCACAGAAGGAGCCTAGGGTGGAGCTGGGGGGGCATGAGGTGATGAGGAGCCAGAAGGAGCCCGTCAGCACTTTTCAGTGCCCAAAATAACAAAGCAAAAGGAAGCACGCAGGGGTGCAAAGGGGCAGGCGGGGCGAGGGGCTGTGCCCCTACACCTGGGAGGGGTGGCGGGGGGAGTAAAAAGGCAGGAAAGAGAGAGCAGAAGAGGATGTTCAGAAACAAGCCGCGGAGCCCGGGTTGGGCTGTGGTGAGTATCTAGGTCACCAGGGAGCCTGCAGGCCTGACCACAGGGAGACCTGTGTTCTCAGCTCTCCTCTTCCTCCGACCCTCCCAAAGAGGCGAGGTGACCCCAATACAGCTTGAGGCCCTCTGCTCGACCACCCCCAGCCCCAAGATCTGGAGGCCAGAATCCCCAGCCTAGACTCATTGCTTGAATTCTGCCATGATTCAAATCTGATTTAGAACTTAGAAGATTTTGCTTAGCAGATTGAAATGGCAGACTGGACAGACCCCAGAAGCAAACAAGAGTGAGAGGTGGACGGGGTCTTGAGCATAAGTTCCCTAAAGGCTAGAGAAGCTGTGCTTGGAGTCAGCCATTCAGAGAGCAGCAAGTTAATCCTTTAATGACCAAATGCCTCCTGACCCTGCCCTGTGCCATGTTCTCCTGCCTCATAAACCCCTGGTCCCTGGACCTCTTTCAGCTGTCAAGTTCGGCCGCATGTCCAAGAAGCAGAGGGACAGCCTGCATGCAGAAGTGCAGAAACAGCTGCAGCAGCGGCAACAGCAGCAACAGGAACCAGTGGTCAAGACCCCTCCAGCAGGGGCCCAAGGAGCAGATACCCTCACCTACACCTTGGGGCTCCCAGACGGGCAGCTGCCCCTGGGCTCCTCGCCTGACCTGCCTGAGGCTTCTGCCTGTCCCCCTGGCCTCCTGAAAGCCTCAGGCTCTGGGCCCTCATATTCCAACAACTTGGCCAAGGCAGGGCTCAATGGGGCCTCATGCCACCTTGAATACAGCCCTGAGCGGGGCAAGGCTGAGGGCAGAGAGAGCTTCTATAGCACAGGCAGCCAGCTGACCCCTGACCGATGTGGACTTCGTTTTGAGGAACACAGGCATCCTGGGCTTGGGGAACTGGGACAGGGCCCAGACAGCTACGGCAGCCCCAGTTTCCGCAGCACACCGGAGGCACCCTATGCCTCCCTGACAGAGATAGGTGAGCAGCTGGGGAGGTGGAGAGGGTGGTAGAGATGAGGGAGGGGTTTCCACCAGTACCCCGTATCAATCAAACATGCGCCTGAGGGAATTGAGGGGTCCAGACGAGGGGCGGAGGGAGGAGGCGGAGCAGGATAGGCCAGGCTGAGAAGTGCCCTTGCATGGGTAGGCGTAGGAGCTGGCTGAGATCAAGCCATGCCTTCCTTCTCCGGCCCCAGAGCACCTGGTGCAGAGCGTCTGCAAGTCCTACAGGGAGACATGCCAGCTGCGGCTGGAGGACCTGCTGCGGCAGCGCTCCAACATCTTCTCCCGGGAGGAAGTGACTGGCTACCAGAGGAAGGTGAGGCCAGGAGACCTGCAGGAAGGGAACGTATCCCACCCCCACCGGGAGAGTTCAGAGATGGCTACCTGCGCACGACTGGGTCCTGGGGCAGGGCGGGACATCACAGACACAGGCTGGCCAACAAGCATGTGCACACCTTTTATGTACAGTTGCGAATGTGTGTATCTGTCTACACCCCAGCAGATGGATGAGCGCTTTTCCTTAGTTCTTGCCTATTAAAATTGTACCTGGCCTTCATCCTACCTCCTCTACCATGCAGACCTTGGTGCACCCTCCTTCCTCCTCTTCCATCAACAATAACAATAATCAGAACCCTGATTACCATTTGTTAAACACCCCTTCTCTGCCAGGCATTGTGCTAAACGCTTTATGTAAATTATCCTCAGCCCCTACCACAACCAACCTATGAGGGTGGCATTTATTCCTACTTTTAACAGACAGAAACTGAGCCTAGAGGGGTTAATAGGTTTCCTCAAAGTCACAAAGTGGTGGAACCAAAGTCAAATTCAGATTCATCAGGCTCCAAAGTTTATGCTGCCTTTTCGATCACACTCTCATACCACCTGCTCTAAACACACTCGTTTGGCACTTCACATTTGCTTCTCCAGGTTATTGAGACCTTGGGCATAACCTTTGTGGGGGAAGGGGCAGCTGTATGTCCTGTTCACCTCAACGAGATATACCTTGTTGGAGGGCAAAGCTGTATCTCATACTTTTTGGATTCCCTCACAACAGCTAACTCGGTGTCAGCAGCCGGTAGGTGCTCAGTGTGTGGGACTCACTGGCAGGAATCTGTGCATTTGTGCTAAGACCAGGCTTTTGAAAATGCTAGTTGAGAACATAGGAGTTCAGAGCCTACCCCTTGCAGTTTATTAGGTGGGGCTCCAGGGCTCAGGAGGATCACAGGGCCACACAGAGCGCTACAGCGGGACCCTCCTCCCTCCCTGCAGTCCATGTGGGAGATGTGGGAACGGTGTGCCCACCACCTCACCGAGGCCATTCAGTACGTGGTGGAGTTCGCCAAGAGGCTCTCAGGCTTTATGGAGCTCTGCCAGAATGACCAGATTGTGCTTCTCAAAGCAGGTGCCCAGGGATGGGTGGGCAGGCCTGGGGACAAGGGGACAGAGCCAAGTGGAGGGAGGTGGCTTAAGGAAATCAGGGGGACAGAGTCAGATCCTGGCTTTGCTTGACACTGTCCCTGCATCTTCTCTCCCCACTGCCCAGGAGCAATGGAAGTGGTGCTGGTTAGGATGTGCCGGGCCTACAATGCTGACAACCGCACGGTCTTTTTTGAAGGCAAATACGGTGGCATGGAGCTGTTCCGAGCCTTGGGTGAGGGGCAGGGAGAAATGAGAGGGAAGATTCTGATGCCAACCCCAGGCAAAGCTTTGTGACCCAGGGCACCCTCTTTTCAGGGCGAATTGCCCCCTCTGCTCTAAACACAATAAGGGCGGTGTCCTCGGGCACCATCGCTCCAGCCACTCTCTCACTTTTCTCATTTCCACTCCATCAGGCTGCAGCGAGCTCATCAGCTCCATCTTTGACTTCTCCCACTCCCTAAGTGCCTTGCACTTTTCCGAGGATGAGATTGCCCTCTACACAGCCCTTGTTCTCATCAATGCCCGTGAGTGTTGCTGGGCTTGGGTGAAGGACATTCAGGTGGCAGGGGCATGGCAGATATTGAAGAAGAGTCTAGACCTTCAGATGTAGTTAAATCTGGGAAATTGCTTTAAATAGCAGAATGAGCCCTACTCAGTATTGCTATAAAATAAAATGAGTTAAAATAAAGATTCAGAGGACTCTCAGAGAGGGACAAGAGCAGCATAAGGTGGGGTTGTGGGAAGTGGGGAGAAATGAGGTTGAGAGGAAATGAGCCACTTTCCTGACAGAAATGTGTCTGATTGTTAGTCTATGGCAGTGATTTCATTGTAGCACACATCAGAATCACCTGGGGAGCTTTAAAAACTATTGCTGCCTGGGTCCCACTTCCAGAGATTCCAGTGTACATGTGCTCCATGACTTATGATGGGGTTATGTCCCAATAAACCTATCGTAAGTTGAAAATATGGTAAGTTGAAATTGCATTTAACACGCCTAACTTACTGAACACCATAGCTTAGCCTAGCCTACCTTAAATGTGCTCAGAATGCTTACATTAGCCTACAGTCTGGCAAAAGCATATAACACAAAGCCTATTTTATAATAAAGTGTTGAATAGCTCATGTAATTTATTGAATATGGTTCTAAAAGTGAACAGCAGGATGGTTGCATGGGTATTCAAAGTATGGTTTCTACTGAATGCAAGTGGCTTTCTCACCAACATAAAATCAAAAAATAGTAAGTCAACTCATCATAAGACTGGGACCATCTGTAATTGATAAGGGGTGCACTGAATTTTAACAGCCACCCCCAGGCCACCAAGATTAAGAATCACTGCTCTGTGTGAACTAATTTTAAGGCTGTATGCCTATAATAGGAAGACTCTGGATATCCTATCCACTCCCCTGGCATGGAGTAGCTGGGCTGAGCCAGATGAATACTAAATATTCAGAGAACCTAGGGAAGTGGGTCAAGCTGCTAACCTGAGTTTGCAGATCGAGACTATCAGTCTTCTGGCTCTGCCAGTGAGTGGACACCTAAATATGCCCTTCAAACTAGAAGATAAAAACTTTAAAGATGACTTCTGGATATTTTATAGAATCAGGGCAAAAGTTAGTCACAGATTGCTGCAAGCCCCCTGGTGCAGGCCTGGGCACCTTCAGGAAGGCCACCTCCTATCAGGAGCCCTTTTCGTACATGGGGGAGCTCTTTTCCAACTCTTGTTACCCCTATGACAGAATCCTAGTGCCTAGCATTGAATGAGCTATGTGGAATATCAGGTTACCAGGGAGAAGGTAGCTTGGAGTCAGGAGATCAGAAATTCTCATACCTTTCATCTCTTCCCAGTTTTCCTTGTAGACAGCTAGCCAAGCCCAACGTCCAGAGCTTACCATTATCAAACCAAGGCACACACATGCACGCGCTCAGCTTAGAAGACCTCTATCCAGCACAGATGTCCACAAAGATACACCCTTTTGTTGGGAGTTAATGTCCATGTTCTTTCTTGTTCTCATTACGGTCCCACCCCCTCCTCCAGATCGGCCAGGGCTCCAAGAGAAAAGGAAAGTAGAACAGCTGCAGTACAATCTGGAGCTGGCCTTTCATCATCATCTCTGCAAGACTCATCGCCAAAGCATCCTGGCAAAGGTAGGAGCAGTCCCTGGGGTAGAAGAGGCCAGGCCCATCGCTAGCTCTGTAACATCAGAGTTTGCGAGGGCCGGGGTCTGTGGGTACAGAGGAGGGAGTGCGGGAGTACCACTCTCTGTTAGAGAGCTTGCATCAGCAGTGGGAACTAAGGGAATGAACAGCTACTTCCACGTGCATAAAGACTGGAAAGTTAGAGGGCCTGGGATTGGGAGGGACCTCCAGGGAACAATTCAGTTTAATATAGCCAGCACTTACCCAGCACCTGCTTGTACAAGGCACTGTGGAAAGACACAGAGATTTGGTCGCTGCCCCCACCAAGAGATTTTAATCTGGTATGAAGAAGAGATCTGTGTATCACTAACTCTAACATAGAGTAGAATGTGGTATGTGATATAATAATAATGCAATTAACAGAGTGCTTTTGCTGACATGCTTTCTCATCCTCATGGCAACCCAGTCAATAGGACAGGTGTTCAAATCTCCCTGTGTAGCAGCCGGGCACAGTGGCTCACGCCTGTAATCCCAACACTTTGGGAGGCCAAGGCGGGTGGATCACCTGAGGTCAGGAGTTCGAGACCAGCCTGACTAACATGGTGAAACCCCATCTCTACTAAAAATAAAAAAAATTAGCCAGGCATGGTGGCAGGCGCCTGTAGACCCAGCTACTTGGGAGGCTGAGGCAGGATAATCGCTTGAAACCGGGAGGCAGATGTTGCAGTGAGCCAAGATTGTGCCATTGCACTCCAGCCTGGGCAACAAGAGCAAACTCTGTCTCAAAAAAAAAAAAAAAATCTCCTTGTAGCTATCAGGAGACTTCAGTGACTTAAATGCAAGATTGAATCCCAGTGCTCTTTGCGCTCTTTCTATCCCTGTGTCCCCTATGTATAACTATAATAAGTGACACCAGGAAAATGTTATGAGAGTATAAAACAGGGATTAAAAATAATTTGGGGGTAAAAGGAGTGGGTCATAAATACTTCCCAGGGAAGATGACATTTATACTAGGCCATGAATGATGTAAGATTTTAACAGGCATTCATGGGGGTGGGGCAGGCATTCCAGGCTTAGGGAACAATAGGAGCAAAACAAAAAAAATGAAAAAAAATCCTTTTCCTGAGGTTTAACCAAAAAAATGGATGAGATGAGTATGAGAGGCTGGGGATAATTGTTTTATGGGATTTGGGTGTGGGACTAGGGTACAATGAAGACCAAGAACAACAGGAGAAAAATAAGGAGGCAAAATAGTGTGTATGTGGAGAATCACTCATGGTACATCCTCACTAAAGTGTAAAATCAGGAGCTGGGATAGACTGGTGGGGCAGAAGAGCACCAGATGATCAGCCTGAAAATTAGGTCAGGGGCAAATCAGAGAGGACTTTCAATGCCATATAAGCGTTAAAGCTTTATTTCTAGGCCACAGGGAGCTCCAAAGGCTAGAAAAATGACACAATCAGAGCTGTCATTTAGGCAATTTACTTTGGAACCAGTATAAAGGAACCATTTATGTAATTATTCAAGCAGGCCTTTGCTATGTGCCAGGCACAGGGCTGGGTGTTAAGGATACAGCAATGACTTACACGGTCTGTGCTCTCAAGAACTTGAACTTTAATCTGCTACAGGATGGATTTGAAGGAGGAGAGACAGGAATCTGGGAGAGCAATTGGAAAGCACATCCGGTTGGATCTGCTTTCAAAATACATCACCTTCCCTACTATTACCACCACCCTGGCCCCTACCAGCTCTCAGCTTTCACTTGGACTTTAAGAGAGGCCTCCTAACTGAGCCCCTGTTCCACCCTCATCTGCCCTGTAGCAACCACACCTACTCCGCACCCACGGTAGCCCTTTTAAAAATGCAATCTCATCATGCCCTACTCCTGTGGTTTTTTTCTTGTTTTTGTTGTTGTTGTTTGTTTGTTCTGTTTGTTTGTTTTGAGGCAGACTTGCTCTGTCGCCCAGGCTGGAGTGCAGTGGTGTGATCTCGGCTCACTGCAACCTCCACCTCCCAGGTTCAAGCGATTGTCCTGCCTCAGCCTCCTGAGTAGCTTGGATTACAGGGATTACACGCCCGGCTAATTTTTGTATTTTTAGTAGAGACAGGGTTTCACCATGTTGGCCAGGCTGGTCTCGAACTCCTGACCTCAGGTGATCTGCCCACCTTGGCCTCCCAAAGTGTTGGGATTACAGGCGTGAACCACCACACCTGGCCTTGACTCCTGTTCTCAGCCCTCCTGTAGCTGCCTGTGATGCCGAGAATCAAATCTAGAGTCTGCGTCATGGTCAAGTGGCTCATAACATGATCCCTGCCTTCTTTTCTCACTTGATCTTCCACTGCCCCTTCAAACACCCATTGCAGCCACACTTGCTTCCTTGCTATTCCTCGAACACATCAAACCCAGTCGCAGGGCTTTTGTACCTGCTATTGTAGTCACCTGGAGGGTTCTTCCCCCAGTTTTCCAAATGGCTTACCCCATCTCTTCATTCGGGAGAGGTTTTTCCTGACCAGTAACCCCATACAAAAAGCTTTAGTTTTCTTTAAAGAACTTATTATCTGATACACTACATATTTATTTTCTGGGCCCCTCACCAGAATGTAAATTTAATCAAGGTACAGATTATACTTTATTGACTGATATATCTGATATATCACTAGAGGCCATCACAGTGCCTAGCTCAGATCCAGATGTGTTCTCAACAAATATTTGTTGAATGAATGAAGGAAGCTATTGCCATAGCCCAAAAAAGCTCAGAATAAAGCAGTGGTGAGGAAGAGAGAGAATCTAGGAGATATGAAGGGATCACACCCTGCTGCCTGCTTTTCTCTGACTGCCTCTTTCCAAGGAAACTAAGCTGGGGGAGGGAGGCAATGGCAGGCAAGAGACATTTTTAAGCCTCTTGGTTGTAGAGGAGACTGCAAGAGATAAATTGTTCTTTCAGCCTTGCTCCAGTGAGGTCTCCCTGCCTCCGTCTGCTCACTGGTTTCTGTGCCTTTTTCATCTCCCCTTTGGCTGAGTGCTGGCAGCATTGGTTTGCTACTTGCAGTGTTAGGTGCCTGCTTAGAAAGTCTGTTTAGTTCAAAGAGTTATTAAGCATGTGCCATGTGCTAAGCATTATGATAGGTACAGAGGAGACAGGGAAAGAGAGACCTCAGCCAAGGAGCTGAAATCTAGGGTGGGAAGGCAGACAAATTGGACCATTTTCCTGCAATGTAGTAAGTGCTACACAGAGGAAAGCCCAAAAGAAGGGCCCTTAATCCAGATGGGAGGCAGTTAGGGAAATAGTCTTAGGAGAGGTGACACTAGAGGGTAAGGATTAGTAATGGGAAGAGGGGAACAACATGCACAAAGGCAGAGGCATGTGACAGCATACAACAAGAGTCACAGACAATCACTCTTATAAAAGCAGGAAGTGCACATTAGAGTCTTTGACAAGGTTCATTCTAGAAGTATTGGGAACATAAATTGAGGGCTTCACCCAGAAAACATTCACCTGTGCCCCACCCACTCTCACTTCCCTCCAGTGTCCTGAACACACACGTACTTCTACCAGTGGGATTTGGCTGGTGCCAAAGTGCCAAGTACATAAGGGGAAGGCAAGGAGGGTTTGTCCTAGCCCAGGAAGAATGAGCGGACTTCTTTGCTCTGAGGAGAGCTGAAGTATTGACCCTCCCTTCCCCATTAACCCATATCCAGCTGCCACCCAAGGGGAAGCTTCGGAGCCTGTGTAGCCAGCATGTGGAAAGGCTGCAGATCTTCCAGCACCTCCACCCCATCGTGGTCCAAGCCGCTTTCCCTCCACTCTACAAGGAGCTCTTCAGCACTGAAACCGAGTCACCTGTGGGGCTGTCCAAGTGACCTGGAAGAGGGACTCCTTGCCTCTCCCTATGGCCTGCTGGCCCACCTCCCTGGACCCCGTTCCACCCTCACCCTTTTCCTTTCCCATGAACCCTGGAGGGTGGTCCCCACCAGCTCTTTGGAAGTGAGCAGATGCTGCGGCTGGCTTTCTGTCAGCAGGCCGGCCTGGCAGTGGGACAATCGCCAGAGGGTGGGGCTGGCAGAACACCATCTCCAGCCTCAGCTTTGACCTGTCTCATTTCCCATATTCCTTCACACCCAGCTTCTGGAAGGCATGGGGTGGCTGGGATTTAAGGACTTCTGGGGGACCAAGACATCCTCAAGAAAACAGGGGCATCCAGGGCTCCCTGGATGAATAGAATGCAATTCATTCAGAAGCTCAGAAGCTAAGAATAAGCCTTTGAAATACCTCATTGCATTTCCCTTTGGGCTTCGGCTTGGGGAGATGGATCAAGCTCAGAGACTGGCAGTGAGAGCCCAGAAGGACCTGTATAAAATGAATCTGGAGCTTTACATTTTCTGCCTCTGCCTTCCTCCCAGCTCAGCAAGGAAGTATTTGGGCACCCTACCCTTTACCTGGGGTCTAACCAAAAATGGATGGGATGAGGATGAGAGGCTGGAGATAATTGTTTTATGGGATTTGGGTGTGGGACTAGGGTACAATGAAGGCCAAGAGCATCTCAGACATAGAGTTAAAACTCAAACCTCTTATGTGCACTTTAAAGATAGACTTTAGGGGCTGGCACAAATCTGATCAGAGACACATATCCATACACAGGTGAAACACATACAGACTCAACAGCAATCATGCAGTTCCAGAGACACATGAACCTGACACAATCTCTCTTATCCTTGAGGCCACAGCTTGGAGGAGCCTAGAGGCCTCAGGGGAAAGTCCCAATCCTGAGGGACCCTCCCAAACATTTCCATGGTGCTCCAGTCCACTGATCTTGGGTCTGGGGTGATCCAAATACCACCCCAGCTCCAGCTGTCTTCTACCACTAGAAGACCCAAGAGAAGCAGAAGTCGCTCGCACTGGTCAGTCGGAAGGCAAGATCAGATCCTGGAGGACTTTCCTGGCCTGCCCGCCAGCCCTGCTCTTGTTGTGGAGAAGGAAGCAGATGTGATCACATCACCCCGTCATTGGGCACCGCTGACTCCAGCATGGAGGACACCAGGGAGCAGGGCCTGGGCCTGTTTCCCCAGCTGTGATCTTGCCCAGAACCTCTCTTGGCTTCATAAACAGCTGTGAACCCTCCCCTGAGGGATTAACAGCAATGATGGGCAGTCGTGGAGTTGGGGGGGTTGGGGGTGGGATTGTGTCCTCTAAGGGGACGGGTTCATCTGAGTAAACATAAACCCCAACTTGTGCCATTCTTTATAAAATGATTTTAAAGGCAAGAAGTGTGTGTGTCAGAGGGTGGGGGAGATTCTTAAATTAGATTACCTGCATGCCTGCTCTCCAGTCTCATTCCTGGGTCAAGACTCAGGTTTCCAGCTCAGCAATCCATCAGCATTATACAGATCCAACCCACCCTCACCCGACCCCTGCAGTTTCTCCCCAGGTGGAGCAGTCCCTCAGTGAGGACTGTGAACGAATCTTCAGGAACCCCCACTGTAGGAGCCTCAAACTGAGCCCCACGGGAGATGCTCTAGACTGAGAACTTCCCATAAATGATACCCACGGGGAACGTTTAGATTTAGAGGTTGCACAGAATTGCTCCACATCTGGGAGACCAAAAGACAGTCCTCTGGAAGGTGGCTGGCCCAAGCTCCCCAGTGGGGGAATCAGGATGTCAGAGAGATCCTCTAGAACCTGCTGTTCTTGCTATTGCATGACCCCTCCCTGGCACCAGAGCCTCCCTCCTGGCTCCCTCCCCTGTCACTTGCCAGCCTGTAGTGGTGCTTGCTGCAGCCCTCCCTGGTTGCTTTATTTATTTATTTTGCACCAACAGGGTTGCTGCAGACTCATTCTTGCCTGGTTTAAAAAGAGAGAGAGAGAGAGAGGAAAAAAAAAAAGGAGAAATGCTTTCTGGCTCTTTTCTCCACCTCAGTCTTGGCAGCAGCGGCCGCAGCAGCAACAGCAGCAGCAGCAGCGGCAGGCAGCAGCCGGGCAGCCAGGCAGCGGGGGTTGAGGCACACAGGGAAGGTGCAGGGGCCTGAGGTGCAGCTCGAATGGGACAGGGCCCCCAGCGCTGGACAGATGCAGTGCCAAACTTGATGCCACCTTCCAGCTTCTCCGGTAAGTGCCCCCACTCTCTGTCCCAAAGATGCAGCCGCCCTTTTCCATAACATTCTCCGAGACAGGCCAGACTAGGGGCCAGACAGGCCCCTCAAGGCAAGAGGGTTTGGGCCCCCACACTGCTAACAATTAATCCTGGCCCCATGGGACTTTGAGGGGGAAACTCAAATATCCCAAGTACCCCTGGGTGGAAGGGCTCCAAGGAGACCTCCCTTCCATCTCCCCAGTGCTTCCCCTTCCTCTGGAAGGGTTTTTCTCCACAATCGGTGTGGATCTTCCAGAAATCTTTCCCCCAGGAACCCTCTCCCCACACAGTTCCCATTTGTCAGTCAGGTGTGCTTTAAAGAGGATACAGGATACCCAGGTTCAAAAGTGTCTCTGGACTGCCACATAAAGACAAGAAAAAGGCTCCCTACCCTTGAGGGGTGATGCCTTCAAGGGTCATGTCTTGGTGATGTCCCCACCCCACTGAAGGGACAAAAAAGTGGTTCTGACATCTCGCTTCCTGCAAAGTGGCCGGAAGCCGGTCCTGCAGCCATGGAGGTTGGCAAGGGAAATTTGTGATTAAATTAGCCACCTTAGAAATAAAATAGGTTGCTCCAGCTCCCTCAGCCCCTGGCCCAGCGGACTCAGGGGAAACTCACAGGAGCAGGAAGGAAGAAAGCTGGGTTACATGCTTCACTGCACTTTTGCTGAATGCAGAGCGAGGATGGGCAGGAACTGCAGCAGTAGTGATGAAGAGCTAGCTGTCAGGTGGACTTCCCAGAACAAGCCTAGGGAGAACAAGGGAGGCTGGGCCATCTTTCCCGGGAGAGCTCTGGGCATGCCACAGAGACCTGTTAGGTCAGTTTGGGGCGAGAAGAGTCTGCTCTGCAGTCTTTGCCCCACGTTATTCTTTTTCATCCCCAAGCCTCACACCAGTTTTCTGCATCCCTCTGCTCTTTTGGCCTCTTTCTTTAGTTTCCCAACTAGGACAATCCTCTCAAGTGGCTGTAGGATAGCCACTAGAATGATCCTTCTAGGAGGTGGAGAGTGGGAAGGAAAGGGGAAGAAATGACCATCTCTTAAACTGCCTCTCCTAAGTTCCACATGAGAAAAAACAGGGCATGTAGTAGAAAGCTGACCCTGTAGAGCCCAGAGAGCCTGAAGCCCACAAGCCCAAAGGTGATCAGGATTGCCGCTCAGCAGAGACTCAGACGCGCTGTATCCCAGAGAGCATCCATGGGCTTTTGCTCCTATCTCTGTAGCCATCCCTTGCCAATTCCAGTACTTCCTCTGCCTTGGGGTCCCTGTTGACATCTAACAGGATGAGTCAGGGGCCCTCATCACCTAGAGGGCCCCTTCTCCTCTGTCACCTCAGCCATTGTAGTCACCATCTTCCTGAGGGTTCCCGGAACCTGGTACCCAGAAACTGACTATAAGTCTACAGGCTCTGCACACTGTCTGTGCCCAGATACCTGCTGTGCCAGCCAACGGCTCCCTTCCTCCCCATCCTACAGCACTTGGTCAGATGCTGTCTCTCCTCACTTATCTATGCTCCCTGGTCCACAATCTGTCTCTTGGGAATTTCTCAGGCAGCTCAGGCCAAAAGGGACAAGAGCTCTCCCTCAGATCCACACACTGGACCAGAATCCAAACACCATTAAGGAGGGATATGAGGGAAGCCCAAGACTGAAGACCAAGCAACAGAACTCAAAACCTGGGCATCCTTTGGGTCTCTCACACACCCCAACTTCAATTGCAGTAGAGAAGCAGTTGCCCCTGGGCTCTTGCAGGGGATTCCCAGCTTCCCAGTCAAGTGCCTCCTGCATCCTATGCCACAGCTAATGTACAGCTTGGCAGTTGTCCACACAGGCATTTTGGGGAGATTGGATCTTGTTAGTCCAGGGCTCAGGCCCTGGGCCAGGCTGGAAGAGGGCTCAGCATGGGGGTGGAGCTGAGGCCTGCATGTTTCCCAGCCTTGGGTGAGCTAGTCAAGGTGAGGACCTCTCCAGTCAGGACAGGGAACTCTGGGCCAAGGACATGATCTCCCTGAGCCTTAAGCAAAACTATGGGTACATAATGTGAAAGAATAAGCGTGAGCAGAGAGGGACAGAGCAGAGCTTGGGAAGAGCAGGTATCAGGGAGAAGGGACCTGAGATCCTCCTGGATCTCACAGACATCAGGAAACCCCATACAGAAAGACTCAGTACCTCCCTGCTGTTCCCTGCCCCATTCCCATAAGCTTTTTCCCCACAGAAATCAGGCTTGGCTAGGGTTCCATGAGCCAGTAAGCACTTGGCTGGTTATCCAGGGCTGGAAGAGGGAGGAAAGCAGAGATTCCCCAAAGAGAAGCTCCAGGAAGCCCCAGGGAGGTGGCACACAAGAATTCTTCCTGGTTCTGTGCCCTACTTATTGGCAATGCTGAGACAGATAGACCAATTTCTCTCCTCTCTAAGAAGGGCCAGGAAGTCCAGGGTCACCGTCATCTGAAGCCACTTTCCAAAAAGGGCCATGTCATCATCTATTCCAGGACTGAAGAGGGAATGGATGCAGCCACAGCTCCAAAGCAAGCCTGGCCCCCATGGCCCCCGCTCCTTTTCCTCCTCCTCCTACCTGGAGGGAGCGGTGGCAGCTGCCCTGCTGTGTGTGACTGCACCTCCCAGCCCCAGGCTGTGCTCTGTGGCCACAGGCAACTGGAGGCTGTACCTGGAGGACTCCCACTGGACACTGAGCTCCTGGACCTGAGTGGGAACCGCCTGTGGGGGCTCCAGCAGGGAATGCTCTCCCGCCTGAGCCTGCTCCAGGAATTGGACCTCAGCTACAACCAGCTCTCAACCCTTGAGCCTGGGGCCTTCCATGGCCTACAAAGCCTACTCACCCTGAGGCTGCAGGGCAATCGGCTCAGAATCATGGGGCCTGGGGTCTTCTCAGGCCTCTCTGCTCTGACCCTGCTGGACCTCCGCCTCAACCAGATTGTTCTCTTCCTAGATGGAGCTTTTGGGGAGCTAGGCAGCCTCCAGAAGCTGGAGGTTGGGGACAACCACCTGGTATTTGTGGCTCCGGGGGCCTTTGCAGGGCTAGCCAAGTTGAGCACCCTCACCCTGGAGCGCTGCAACCTCAGCACAGTGCCTGGCCTAGCCCTTGCCCGTCTCCCGGCACTAGTGGCCCTAAGGCTTAGAGAACTGGATATTGGGAGGCTGCCAGCTGGGGCCCTGCGGGGGCTGGGGCAGCTCAAGGAGCTGGAGATCCACCTCTGGCCATCTCTGGAGGCTCTGGACCCTGGGAGCCTGGTTGGGCTCAATCTCAGCAGCCTGGCCATCACTCGCTGCAATCTGAGCTCGGTGCCCTTCCAAGCACTGTACCACCTCAGCTTCCTCAGGGTCCTGGATCTGTCCCAGAATCCCATCTCAGCCATCCCAGCCCGAAGGCTCAGCCCCCTGGTGCGGCTCCAGGAGCTACGCCTGTCAGGGGCATGCCTCACCTCCATTGCTGCCCATGCCTTCCATGGCTTGACTGCCTTCCACCTCCTGGATGTGGCAGATAACGCCCTTCAGACACTAGAGGAAACAGCTTTCCCTTCTCCAGACAAACTGGTCACCTTGAGGCTGTCTGGCAACCCCCTAACCTGTGACTGCCGCCTCCTCTGGCTGCTCCGGCTCCGCCGCCACCTGGACTTTGGCATGTCCCCCCCTGCCTGTGCTGGCCCCCATCATGTCCAGGGGAAGAGCCTGAAGGAGTTTTCAGACATCCTGCCTCCAGGGCACTTCACCTGCAAACCAGCCCTGATCCGAAAGTCGGGGCCTCGATGGGTCATTGCAGAGGAGGGCGGGCATGCGGTTTTCTCCTGCTCTGGAGATGGAGACCCAGCCCCCACTGTCTCCTGGATGAGGCCTCATGGGGCTTGGCTGGGCAGGGCTGGGAGAGTAAGGGTCCTAGAGGATGGGACACTGGAGATCCGCTCAGTGCAGCTACGGGACAGAGGGGCCTATGTCTGTGTGGTTAGCAATGTCGCTGGGAATGACTCCCTGAGGACCTGGCTGGAAGTCATCCAGGTGGAACCACCAAACGGCACACTTTCTGACCCCAACATCACCGTGCCAGGGATCCCAGGGCCTTTTTTTCTGGATAGCAGAGGTGTGGCCATGGTGCTGGCAGTCGGCTTCCTCCCCTTCCTCACCTCAGTGACCCTCTGCTTTGGCCTGATTGCCCTTTGGAGCAAGGGCAAAGGTCGGGTCAAACATCACATGACCTTTGACTTTGTGGCACCTCGGCCCTCTGGGGATAAAAACTCTGGGGGTAACCGGGTCACTGCCAAGCTCTTCTGACCTTTCCTTCCCCAGTGGGGAACCCACCAAGTCCGCTTCAGATACCAAAGGGGAAGACAGAACCAAGGCTGCTTGAACCAGAACCTAGTCCCGAGCAGCACCGCTCTCCTGCACCTCCCGCCTGCGTTGTGCCTCCTGCCGGAGAGTCTGCTTCCTGAGCTTTTCCGGTCTGAGGATAGCATTGTCATTTCTTCTCTGAGGGTCCCAGGGAGCTGCAGATGCAGACCCCGTCGTTAGTCCAGCCCCTGCTTCACCCCCTCCACACACAAAACAGGAAACATAATCAAAGCGCTAGTCAGCTAGTCTAACCACTAGGCTTTCTTCACACATGCTTATATCCTTTAATAACCAATTGCCAACCACGGCTATAAGATTATTTCAGAGGTGGGGCTGGGAAGTGCCACTTGCTCCTTAGAGTCTGTTTGTCAACCAGGCAGAGTCCCTTTCTTTTCTGCTCCCCACCCCAACCCTGCCCCTATGTACAGGAATAAGAGCAAAGGACCCACAGGCTACAGAGAAGAGGATGGGGACAGAGTGTGGGATGGAGAGGACAGACCATATACTGCACTGTGTTTGCATGAGCCTCTACCACCTTCCTCTATCTACCAGATCATTAAACCTGCTGTCAAAGGGCCACAACAGTAGCAGCCAAAACTAAATGTCATCTCTGGAGTTTTCTTTACTTCAGTCTATTTCCTACCCTCATTTCTGTTATATCTCCCCAGCTCCTTCTCTTTCTGCTTGCCCATTGATTATGTGTCCCAATGGCATTGCCTCCATCTAACCTGCCTGACAAACAGGGTAAGGAGTGCCCCTCCCACCTTCACTTTCCTCACCGCCCTGCACCCCCACCTCCATGCCCGGAGGGATCAGCACTCCTAGCCCCGGTTTCAGCCTCAATCCTTTCCCTTTCACTCCCCATCTCTGGAACTGGAGAAGGAGCGATCCTCTACCTTCCAGGGGACCCCTACATAGAAATTCCACCTGGGACACCCAGTTGCTGCCTCTCTTTCCCATTTCTCCATGGGAGCTCCTCATCATTTTTGCGTCACAGATCCCTAGTGCCCTTGGGGAAAACTCAGAACTCCAAGATAATGACTAACAAACACAAGAATCCGCAGTTGTCAAAGGAGAGAGACCCAGGACACTGCAGAGACTAGGCTTGGAGGAACAGGGAGGAGGGCACAGCAGGCTGTAGTGAGAAGTGGAGGGAAGGGGGAACAGCAGTAACTGCCTGCCTAGTTAATTTCCACCATCCTTCTGCAGCTTCCTCTGGTTCTGTGCTTAGTGCAGCCCCAGTGGGAAGCTGTCTCCGGGTAGAGGTCACTGATTTACAGAGACCCCCAGATGGGGAGGTGGAGTAGGAGGTGAAACTGCTGAGTACCACTGACTGTGCTTCAAATAGAGGGCAAAGCAGAGCCCAAAAAGAAGTAGAGATGCTGGAAGCTCAAGGAACAGAGCAACAGCCTCAGCATCACTGGAAGGGAGGAGTGACAGGGAGAGGAGAGGAGTCGGAGGAGGGACTGAGAAGGGAAGAATCACGTGGCCCTAGGGAGCCTTTCTGCGCAGTAGCATCTACCCAGCGTCCTTAGTTTCCTCCCACCCACCCCTACACCAAACCAGATGCAAGCATTGTGAGCTTTCTAGTTGATTCCTGCTGCTGTTGTCCTTGCTCTGAGGAGACTCCACTCATTAGAAGATTCCCAGCTCAAACTGCCCGACAGATGAGACACTCAGAGCCACTGAGGAGGTGAAGCTGGACTTCACAGGCAGGCCGCTCTTTAGTGGGGCAGAGATAGGAATATGGGGGTAGTACCAGAGGTGAATGTGAGAACCAGGCAGACAGGAGAGTGGGGCTGGAGAAACTGACCTGCTTGAGAAACGAGTTTCCCTGAGCCTGCAACCTCCCCACCCACCATGCACACACAACTCAATCAGCATCCCAGCAACTTCCCCTTCTTTAGTGTATAATGTACCAGACAGATTTCCTGGGGCACAGCCCTCCCGCTCCTTTCCATAACCTTCCACCAGCAGCTTATTAGGTTGGGACTTGGGAGTCAGACGCTGAAGGTTCTCACTCTAGTTGCCCTCTCTGCAATGCGGAAGCAGCAATGCTGTTCAGAGAAATCTTCTCTGGGAAGCCCCTGACGCTCTGGGGAACAGATGACTGTCTGGTGCTGGGACATGCTGCTGCCCAAGGTCTCTGAAGTCTCAAAGTCTCCAGAGCAGAGCTACCCAACAGACACAGAATCTAAGTCACACATGTAATTTCAAATTTTCTAGTAGCTACTAAATTAAAAAATCAAAATGAAACGGATACATTTAAATACTTACTTTATTTAACCCAATATACCCAAACTATTATCATTTCAATATATTATCAATATAAAAATCAATCATAAAATATTTAACATTTTTTCATATTAGGTCTTTAAAATCCAGTGTATATTTTACACTTACAGTACATCTCAACATCGCAATTCAGTTACTAAATTTTCACCAGAAAAATCTATATTTCATACAGGTCACTGTTGAGAAAGTGGATTCACACATCTAAGTTTTTTCAAACATAAAACATTTTCCAATAACTGAATCGAATCTCTGTCTTAAATTTTAAATTAAACAAATTTAAAATTCCATTCCTCAGCTGTACCACCTACCTTTACAAGCATTCAATAGCCACATGTGGCCAATGGCTACCATATTGGACAGCAAAGCTTCAGACATTGCAACCTGGCGTATAGACTAAGGTCTCCTTGGCAGTGGTGGGTGGACAAAGTATCCCTCAAGAAACACATTTAATCTCAAGGAAATGCCTATGGAGTTAGTCCCACCACAGCCCCTTAGTCTCCTTTCACAGCTTTACCAGAACACTTTTGAGGGGTGAAGCCCATTCAGGAAACAAGCTTACTATGATGAGCACTTCCACAGCTTGTCCAAGCGTTAGCATGCCAGTCCCTCATCTTACCTGTCGGGAAGACTGCCCTCAGCTCAGCTGTGATGGCACAGGCTGCTGTGTGTGTGCTGATGAGTGTGCAAATGCAGCCAAGGACATGAGTGGGTGGTGTGTATGCAGAAGTTTTGTGGCCCATGTGCAGGGATGTATGGTACCACATCATGGGGACAATCTAATGGAGGCTCTGCCCAGGGTGGGACAGCAGTTCAAAGAGAAGAAAATAACATTTATTGAGGGCCTATTCTATGTCAGTGGCTTTATATATATTTTCTTATTTAATCCTTACATCAACCCTATAAAGTAGAGAGGCATCTTAGCTGGTGAAACTAAAGGTCAAAGAGAGTAAGTGCTCAAGTGCACAGAGCTAGTTAGTAAATAGTAACTAGCTATTTGAGCTCATGGCTGTCTGATTGAAAACTCCCCCTTTCCACCACACTGCCATCCTCACTGCCATGCCCTCACGGCTCTCTCTCCCAGGGCCTTTCAGTTGCAGGACACGACCTGTAAGAAAGGAGAAATCTTCCAATGCATCCACTCTGAACTTTCAGTGGGGACTGGGCTAAGTTATTGGTCCTTACATTCTTCATTAACTCTAATGCACCTGATTCAGGATGTTGGGGTTTTTCTTTGTTTTTACTCTTTCTTCTCAGTCCCCTCTCCCAATGTCCTTACAGCCTCTGCCTCAGGGACTGATAGAAAGGAGCAGAAATTCCAGGGAGTAAATGGACTTCAGTGAAATGCCTGGCTTCCAGCAAAGGATTCTCTGAAATGGAGGCTTCACATTTCCTAGTTCTTTTCTGGGTTCTAACCTCAACAACCTCCTAGGTTAGAGAGAGGTTGCACAGATTGGTGGAACAATCTGTGAGCTACTTCAGATTGGAGAAGAATTTGACTCTGCCTACCTTCTGCCTACCCCTGCTTGACAGAACCTTTCTGAGGACATTCCATCCTGCTCTCCTTCTACCCCTCTCTCTTCCATCTCAGACATGGTCTTACCTAAGCTGAGAGAGAACTCTGGACCCAAAGATGCTGTGGCACCATCTCAGCACTTCACATTTCCTTCCCCCATACAATCTTTCTCTATTTCTGACTTCTATTTCCTGTGCTGTGCTGGATCCCTGATTCAGGAGATGAGAGCCCGGCTAAGCAATGATCCTCAACTTTTTTTGAGTCACAGATCCCTCTGAGAATCCCTGATGCAAGCTGTGAACAAAAATGTTTGTAAATTATCCAGTTATTCTGAAGCCATCACAGACTCCATAGAATATAGGTTAAAAATTCTGCTATAAGAAGCCACAGGTTGCAGCAGAAACTGAGGCCTCAGGCCACCTTTGCTCCCCAGGGTCCATTAGAGGCAAAGAGAAAAGGCTGAGAAGGACTACCGTTCAAAGTGGATGTTAGCACAGGTAAGAGCAGGTATTACAATGGGCCCAGCAAGAAAACACACAAAAATGCTCCATCATTCTCTCCTCCCCTGTCCCCTTCTCCCACCAGCACCCATCTGAGGGAGAGGCAAGAGACTTTGGGTGGAACTCTTGCTGTAAGAAGTCAGTACGGTGGTGACTCAGGCTGGAGAGTATCTGAAAACAGGGACTCCTGGGTCCTGTTCCTCCAAATTGCTTCGTAAGGGGAATTAAGTAGGAAGATAGAGCTGGGTGGTGGTGGTCAGAGAGGCTGAGGAGAATTCTTTCCTAGGGCATCTGCCACAATTAAATCTGGCCTAAAGATTGAATAGTAGCACCAGCATAAGTGAGGACACTAAGGCTCTGCTCCCAGTCGCTGGTTTCTGGTGAAGAGGCTTAAGTGGGGAGGAGGGGGTGACTCCTACGATGGGCAACAGGAGAGATGAGTGCTGTTTTTCAGACTCAGACAGCTGAACAGCACTTGAATGAATCATTCGTATGTTGTACAGGGAAGGAACTCTGTGGGCAGCCAAGGCTCCGGAGCCAGGCTCCTTGTATTTCAGAGCCCCTCACTGCCCAGATCCCTAGCTAAGATCTTCTTTCCTGCTTCAGTTTACTAAAGGGAACACCTGCTCACTGAACCCTCTGGGAAACCCAGAACTTATCTTAACTCACTCCACCTAATGCCTCCCACAGCCTGTTCAGAACACCCTTCAGGGAAAGAGAATAGACTCTTAGGACTGGAGATGAGAATAAAGAAATTACAATTCACTCAATCCCAGCATCTCACAATTCAATCTTTCAATCCTGATTTGGGATCTGAGAGGAGAAATGAGATGACAAATCCCAAATGTACAGTGACTTGAGGGTGAGTTTGGCATCAGCTCACTCGAAGTTATTTCTTCTGCTCCCCAACCTCCCTACCCAGCAAGTTAGAATTCAATCTGATTTTAAAATAAGATCAAATAAATCTCATTTTAAAATAAGATCATAGTGGCTCACACCTGTAATCCCAGCACTTTGGGATGCTGAGGCAGGTGGATCACCTGAGATCAGGAGTTCAAGATCAGCCTGGGCAACATGGTGAGACCCCATCTCTACTAAAAATACAAAAATTAGCCGGGTGTGGTGGTGTGCACCTATAATCCCAGCTATTCGGGAGGCTGAGGCAGGAAGATCATTTGAACCCGGGAGGCAGAGGTTGCAGTGAGCCAAGATCGTGCCACTGCACTCCAGCCTGGATGATAGAGTGAGACTCCATCTCAAAAAAAAAAAAAAAAAATCCGGGAAAAGTGATGCCACCTGGCTTTTCACTGCTCTGATTAAGAAATTCCTCCTGTGAGGCTGAGCACACTGACTCACTCCTGTAATCCCAGCACTTTGGGAGGCTAAGGCAGGTGGATGCCTTGAGCCCAGGAGCTGGAGACCAGCCTGGGCAACATGGTGAAACCCCATCTCTGCTAAAAAGACAAAAATTAGCCGGGTGTGGTGGTGCATGTCTGTAGTCTCAGCTACTTGGGAGGCTGAGGCAGGAGGATCGCTTGAGCCCGGGAGGTGGAGGTTGCAGTGAGTAGAGATCATGCCATTGCCCCAAGCCTGGGCAACAGAGCAAGACTCTGTCTTAAAAAAGAAATAAATTCCTCTTGTGGTTTAACTATAAAGTGTAACCCCCTTTTTGGACTTCATTTCCTCTTTTTTGCCCATCCCACCTTCACTGGAGCTAGAAGAAGATGGACCCATAAAGTAGGTCTGTATTTTTATAGCAACACTGGACACATTCTTCCTTGGATTTGAACTACCATTTTACTTTTTTTAAAGTAAAAATAGCTATAGCAATCAAGGCACTCAATACCTAGGAATAATTTTAATAAGAAGTATGTAAATTCTACATAATGAAAACTAAAATTCTACTGATGGGGTACCAATGACTTGAATGTATAGGAAGATAGGAAGATTCTTATCATACATTCTCCTTTAGATAATCTAAAAATATGTGATTCCAGCCAAAATAACAGTAACAGAATAGAAGAGTAAATTATGGTTCAATATAGCCTCACAATATTATACCACACAGTAGTCAGAATGAAGGGACTAAAACTATACACAATATGGCTGAATCTCACAGAAATAATTTGAACAAAGGAAGCCAGACACAAAAGAGTACATACTCTGTGATTCTCTTTATATAAAAAGCAAGAACAGGCAAAATTAGTTTATGGTATCAGGAGTCAGAAGAGTGGTTGTCCTTGAGAAGAGCAGTGACTGAGAGGGAACACACAAGTGGCTTCTGGGGCACTAGCAATGTTCTGTTTCTTGATCTGCTGCTGGTTACACAAATGTATTCCATTTGTGAAAATTCATCAAGATATATACTTGTCATTTGTGCATTTTTCTGCATGTATATTATAAATTAATTTTTTAAATTGTGGTAAAAAAAAAAACCATAATGTATACAATTTAAAAAATTTTTAGGCCGGGCGCAGTGGCTCATGCCTGTAATCCCAGCACTTTGGGAGGCCGAGGCGGGCGGATCACCAGGTCAGGAGACCGAGACCATCCTGGCTAACACGGTGAAACCCCGTCTCTACTAAAAATACAAAAAATTAGCCAGGTGTGGTGGTGGGCACCTGTAGTCCCAGCTATTCGGGAGGCTGAGGCAGGAGAATCGCTTGAACCAGGGAGTTGGAGGTTCCAGTGAGCCGAGATCGTGCCACTGCACTCCAGCCTGGGTGACAGAGTGAGACTCCGTCTAAAAAAAAAAAAAAAAAAATTAATGATCAATGGAACAAAATGAAAAAAATCCAGAAATAGACCCAAATACATATGGCAATTTGGTATTATAAAGGTAGCATTCAAAAACAATGGAGAAAACATGGGTTATTCAATAAGAAGGATTTGAATAAAACAAAACAAAATTGGATCTCTATCTCACACCTTTACACCAAAATAAATTCCAGATGAATCAAATATTTACATATACAAAGACACTATCAAAGTACTTTTTAAAAAAACATAGGAGCTTTAAGAATAATCTTAAATAGTGGGAGACTTTACTAAAAATTATATGAAACACAGAAGTTGGCCAGGCACAGTGGCTCACGCCTGTAATACCAATACTTTGGGAGGCTAAGGCGGGTGGATCACTTGAGGCCAGGAGTTTGAGACCAGTCTGGCCAACATGGCAAAACTACTCCGAGTCTACTAAAAAATACAAAAATTACCCAGGTATGGTGGTACATGCCTGTAATCCCAACTACTCAGGAGGCTGAGGCACGAGAATCTCTTCAACCTGGGAAGCAGAGGTTACAGTGGGCCAAGATCATGCCACTGCACTCCAGCCTGGGCGACAGAATGAGACTCTGCCTCAAAAAAAGAAAGAAAGAAACCCAGAAATTATCAAAGAAAATATTGATAAATTCAATTACATAAAAATTTTTAACATTTGCAAAGAATAACCATAAACAGGCTGAGGGCAATGGCTCAGGCCTGTAATCCTAGCACTTTGGGAGGCTGAGGCAGGCTGATCACCTGAGGTCAGGAGTTGGAGACCAGCCTCAAAATATGCAATATACATAGAACAAACTTGGAAAAGGGAAAATACTTGTTATATGTATAAACAATATACATAGAACAAACTGGGAAAAGGGACATACTTTTTTTTTTTTTTTTTGGAGATGGGGTCTCGCTCTGTTGCCCAGGCTGGAGTGCAGTGGCAATCTCGGCTCACTGCAACCACCGCTTCCCCAGTTCAAGTGATTCTCCTGCCTCAGTCTCCCAAGTAGCTGGGATTACAAGCGCTTGCCACCATAACCGGCTAATTTTTGTATTTTTAATAAAGACGGGGTTTCAGCATGTTGGCCAGGCTGGTCTTGAACTCCTGACCTCAGGTGATTAGCCTGCCTCAGCCTCCCAAAGTGCTGGGATTACAGGCGTGACCCACCACACCTGGCCGGGGAAAATACTTTTAACTTATATACAAACAGCAAGTATTAAGAAATGACCCTATAACCAATAAAAATATGAACAGAATATAAAAACAGAGAATTTACAAAAAAATTGCCATTTAAATATATTAAAAGATGCTCAACTTTACTTATAAGAGCAATGAAATTTTATCTTGCAATGAGATAGCATTTACACTATCAGATTGTCAAAAATCAGGAAGTTTAACAGCACCAGTGTGCTATCAAACAGGTTCTTTTCATACATTGCTGACAGGAGACAAAATTGGTAAAATTTCCAGGGAAGGCAATTTGGTAATACTAACTAAAATCATTTTCAAAAATTGCTGGTGGGATTAAAATTATAAAAATCTTTGTGGGAGGAAGGGAATTTACAAAATTTTATCTATCCAAATGAAAAAACAATGCACACATTTCTTTAACTTGGCACTTGCATTTCTAAGTATTTATCATACACATATGCAAGAGGGAAATGAAGTATCCTTGCATATCAATCAAATGTTAAAGGACTGGTTAAATATATCTTCATATATCCCTCAGGCATACTATGAAACTATCACTATGAGGCAGATACGTATATGCTGCTACGGAAACATTTCCAGACTGTATCAAAGAAAGTTGCAAAATAGTATGTATGTTATCAACTGGGTTAAAAAAATATATGTGTGTGTATATATATATACACTTTATATATTACACATATACACACGTTAACTATAGAATATCTTGTGAAATTTTTCACAAGAAACTGGTAACCCTAGTTGCCTTGAAGGAAGGAAAATTTATTCACTATAATAACCTTGTTTCTTCTGAATTTTGTAGAATGTAAATGTATTACTTATTCAAAACGCATACACATTTTTATATTAATAGAAAGCAAAACCTGAGGCCCAAAGGCATCTGCCTAATTGACAAAAGATACAACCTTGCGTTCTTTCAGCAAATATTTATTGCTCATCACCTGCCAGGTATTGTGATGGAAGCTAGTGCGGAAGATCCCCCAATGACCAGGATCGCCCGACCCCTGTTCCCAGGGTGAGCCCCTAGCGCGGAGCGGGGACAGGGTGGACCGAGTAGGGCGCAGTGCTGGTCTCGCGAGGCTCCCTGCCCCACGGAGGCAGTAGCAGGACCCAACCGTTCCTAACCGTCCAGGGACCAGGACAGCGTCTGGAATAAAATCTTCCAAAGCAAACTTCCGCCTGCGGAGACCCGCTCCCTTCCTCGCCCCCACAGAAACGCCCCCCGCCACCACCCCCTCCCCCGGCGTAGGCCTTCACGCTGTCGCCTCGACCCGTTTCCTCGAATCCCCAGGGAAGGGTGGGCCCCTGGCGCCCCTATGGCCCGCCGCCCCCTTACCACCGCGGTCGGAGCCCGGGTCTCACTCTCCTGCCGCTGTTTCGGGCCACACCGTGTGTCCGTGCCTCCGCAAAGGAATAGAAGAGTGGGTCCTCGCTCTCTGCGGCGCACCGCTTGTCCCTTGACTTCCTGTCCATCTACAAAGCCTATTTCATGTTTTCCAGAAAGAAAACGTTTTCCGTGTCTCTTGAGTCCTCATCGCCATATGCGGGGCGGGACCGATCTATGCAAAAGATCGCAAGAGAAAACTGATGGAGCATCGCCCATCATGAGGCTGCTCTCCCGATGGTCACTGAGTTGTGTTGTGGCACTGTCTTTGTACAAAGACACCAATTTTTGCGAACGGTGCCACTCATGATTCAACGCTCTCATGCCTCGGTCCCAGCTGCTGGAGCGCAGATTTTCCTCCAAGGGTTAGAAGATAGAAAACTCCTCGGTAATTGGCCTAGAGGTGGTCTGCGAGGACGCCGGGAAGCTTGTAATTGGCTGTTTAATTCTCAGCAGGTGCGGTCTCAGTTAACAACATCTGCTTTTCCTGGATCTTATTGGCTGACAGGGTGGGCCTGCTTTGGATTCCATCCGGGTAATTGGGCAGCGGCTAGCAGCAGCCACGTCGCTCAGGGGCAGCCCGCGGAAGGATTGGTTGTGACGGGAGAAGGCGATTGGTCGGACTGCGAGCAGGGTGTTGATTGGTGCTGTCGGGCTGCGGGGGCGGGGAAGTGGCGGCTGAAGCGCCGCCGGCGGGGCTCACTGTGGTGGTGTGAGTGGGAGGCGGCGGCGCTGGTGGCTGCAGCTGGGGTGAGGCGCGAGGCGGCGCACTCGACGGCTGACTGGAGCAGCGGTAAAGGCGAGGATGGAGACCGAAGGTTTGGGGAGTGGGAAAGACAGGGTCATGGGCAGCCCTGGCCACTAGGAGACGGAAATGCGGGAGCGAGGGAAGGGAGGGGTCTGGCGTGCCCCGGGGCGAGGGAAGGATGTGGGGCGCAGCGGGGGAGTCAGAGCCCTGGGCTGTGAGACGCCGCTCGGGGGCAACTTGACCCACTGGGAACTCGTAACTGTATCTGAGGAAGATGCTCCAGTCACCCGCTTACGCCACAACGGACCCGGTGCGGGAGCGTTTGTGTTTGCCCTGAGTCAGTTCAGACTCTTCCACTGGGCCTTTTTGAGACTGAGAGCTGCCATCCGTATATCACTTTGCCTTTAACTTTCCCCAGCTTTTTCTTTAGTTATCGCTAATAGGATGGCTGTTTACAGTCGTCAGAATAATACATTGGGGTTTTTGTTTTTCCAGTATCCCTCATTCCTTAATCCAGGTATCATCGTGGGGGTTGGCTGGAGACCCCTATTTCAAAGACTGACTTTTAGACCCTTTCCTTGTTTTGAGAGAAAGGGGTTGACACTTTTTTTTTTCTCGTGAATTTAAAATAAACGTACCAAGGATGAGAACATTGAGCTGCTTCGATTCAAGCATGTCACCATGTTGTAGGTTCTTTGTAGGTTCTGGTTATTAGGAGATACTGGAATGAGTTATCTATGCTTTCATGGAGCTAACAATGTGATTTGACTTCTCATCACATCCTATTTGACTCCTGTCATTTTAAATGATAAAGTAAGCCTTAGCGATGCATATCAGATAGTTTTTGGCAATTGTTCAATACAAATGTCAGGAAATTTCAAAGTTAGCTTTCACTGAAAACCATTATCTAACCACATTCCTCACTGAACAATGATCCTCATCTTCTCTTCTTAGCTTCCCCTAGAAACTGTGGTCTTAAGTTCTAGTATTTTCCTCCTTCCCATTCAATTTTTAAGTAATAAAATCAAACACAAGCTAGCAGTCAGTACTATGCAGTTATCCCCGTTTACATTATATTATTTTCCATTTCTCTTTAAGAGAAACTTATAGCTGAAAGGATATGAAAATTGTGAACAAAACCATAGTGACAGATCAAGTAGAGTCTCATTTTTTGAGACATCAGCTGATAACTCAATTAGCACAAATTCATTTGTAATGTTTGAAGAGGAGTTAGTGAAATTTACCTTTTGCTTCAAATAGAAGTCGGCCAAAACCGCACCTATAATCTCAGCTACGCCGGACGACTGCGGGAGTTCAAGGCTGCAGTGAGCTATTATCATTCACTGCATTCCATCCTGGGTGACAGACCAAGGCTCTGTCTCTAAATAAACAACAACAAACTCTCCAATTCATCTGTTCTCCATCTCCATCATTGACACCTGGACTAGGCCCTGATTGGTCTCCTGCAGCCACGGTTGCTGCCTTCAATTCATTCTCCTCACCACGGACACAGATGTTAATCAAGAATGACAAGCATGGCATGTGTTATCAAGGGATATTGGGGATTCTGTGGAAACCCATAGCAATGTAATTCAACCCAGTGTAGGGGGTCGAGATTGAGGGGCCTTGGCTGCAGAGACCCCTCTGCACTTGATCTTGATAGTGTCAGAACTGGAAAACAAAAGTGCTGCTAGTCCTTTGGGCCTCTGTAAAGAGGTGTGATTATGACTGGCCATCAAAACAGACTTATTTCTATTGCACACTGTATTGTGTAGAAATGACTAATGAGCTGTGTGATCTTAGATCAATCCTTTTCTATCCCTTAGCCGCAGTTTCCCAAATTGCAACGTTATTAATGGAATCAAATAAGTTCTGTAGTCCCTTCTAGTTATAAAATCTTGTGATTTCTATGCCCCATAAGCATCAATTATGGCCAGTTTTTAAAAGCAGACAGCATGAAAATACAGATCCAGTTTATTCTTGTTCACAGGGCTAGATTTCAGTTTCCCAAAGCCCTTAAGACCTAAAGACTCCTGCCTGTCAAGATCTTCCTTGCCAGACAGGAAACTCCATGAAGGCAGCTGCCAAATCTATCTTGACTGTTGTGTCCCGAGGGTCAAGCACACATCAGAATTCGATATTTATTGGCTTGAATAAATGTCCATTTAGTGCAGTTCATTCATGTAGTATAGGTTTGCGGAAGAAAAGTGAGTTGTATTTTAATGAGATGATTTTCAACTATACACCATCTAAGAAATAAACCTTAAGGTTCTAGCTACTTTCAACTGTCGCATTGACCAAGAATTTATACAGTTGTCCCTCCCTTCGTTATTTGCAGGGGATTGGTTCCAGGAACCCTGCAGAACCCAAATCCATAGATGCTCATGTCCCTTGTATAAGATGCATATTATTTGTATATAACCTACACACATCTTGCCCTATACTTTTTTTTTTTAAACCCCTTGAGACAAATTCTCGCTCTGTTGCCCAGGGTGGAGTGCAGTGGTGTCATCAGTTTACTGCAGCTTCCACCTCCTGGGCTCAAGCCATCTCCCACCTCGGCCTCCTGAGTAGCTGGAACTACAGGTGTGCAACACCACGCCTAGCTAATTTTTTTTTTTTTTTTTTTTTTTTTTTTTTTGTAGAAACAGAGTCTCACTATGTTGCCCAGGCTAGTCTTGAATACTTGGTCTCAAGCAGTCCTCCTACCTTAGCCTCTCAAAGTGCTGGGATTAACAGGCATGAGCCACTGTGCCCAGCCTGTTTTGGTGTTTATGTTTCCTAGACTATGAATATTTCCAAGTAGAAATTCTTCTTCCTCCTTCTGTCCCCAACGTGCTCAGCACACAAGAAAGAGCTAGCACTATTTAACCAAGATGCATTAATAATGGAAACAAGCTTTGCACTTTAGTGGTCATATAAGAAAATACCTAAGCCAGGCGCAGTGGCTCACGCCTGTAATCCCAGCACTTTGGGAGGCCGAGGTGGGCGGATCATGAGGTCAGCAGTTCGAGACCATCCTGGCCAATATGGTGAAACCCTGTCTCTACTAAAAATACATAAATTAGCTGGGCATGGTGGCAGGTGCCTGTCGTCCCAGCTACTCATTAGGCTGAGGCAGAAGAATCGCTTGAACCCGGGAGGCAGAGGTTGCAGTGAGCTGAGATCGTGCCACTGCACTCCAGCCTGGGCAACAGAGTGAGACTCCGTCTCAAAAAATATATATATCTAAAGTAATCAGGGGACAAAAGAAGTCAAATTCTTTCTAGACACCAAGAATAAACCATCTCAATGTAGGAAAGTAGCAGTTTGGGAGGTGTGTATTCAAGAATTATTTAAGTCAAAAATCTCCTTTATGAAACAACTTGTTTCCTTTCCTTTGGTATATACAACGATGCTTATATAATACCATCCAAACTTTCAGGATGGTGAAAGCTTTTATTTGCAGTGTATTTAAAAAAAGAGAAGCTTATCCAATGACTTGGGAAAAGAACCTCATAAATGAAAACAAACAGCCTACATTAACCTCAACCCTTTCTGTCCTACATTCTAAAAAGGTCGGGAGAGAACAGTATTCCCTCAGATTGATAGTCTCTAAAAATGATATACTGAATTCACTGAGTAACTAATGACCCAAAATAGACGACACCCTTGAAAAGAGGTACCCATCCCCCACCTCGGGTAGTAAAAGGCCGTTTTATTATTTGCTCAGGCTTTTGAGTCCGGGCAAGAAGGTGGATTAAATTTGTTTAAAACCAGGATATAGAAAAAATAGATTTGGCAAACTTCTGGTAGTTCTCTGAAGAACTTTATTCAGTTCTGTTGATCAGTAAAGCTGTGAGGCCAGATGCAAATTCTGGTCATCTGTATGACAGTGTAGTAGTCTACCCTTCTCCGTGGTTTTGCTTTCACTTACCCATAGTCAATCCTGGTCCAAAAAGATTAAATGGGAAGTTCCATACGTAAACAATTCTTAAGTTTTAAATTGTGCACCATTCTGACTAGCATGGTGAAATCTCCATCCTGGCCCAGACGAGAATCCTGCCTTTGTCCAGCATATCCATGCTGTATATGCTACCCGCCTCTTAGTCACTTAGTAGCCATCTTGGTTATCAGATTGAAAAAACCTATAGTTTTCAGTACTCCAAGGCATCCACTGGGGTTCTTGGAACATATTCCTCGAGGATAAGAGAGGATGACTGTTGTAAGAAATCTACCTCCAGCCTCCCTTACCTGACTATATCTGCTCCTCAGTGAGATTTCGGTGCTAGATGTTCTCCTTTCTCTCTTTACTCTTCCAGATTGACTGTGCTTTCCCTGAAAGCCTAAGTTTTATTCCACAGTAGGTTTTGTATTAATGAGTATGTTTTTAGCCTTACCAGGATATAGCCAGTTTTTCCCCCCAGGGTGAAATACATTTTTGTTTATTATAATTATTTGGGTTGAATTTTTGTACCTGGAGGTAAATTATGGCATAAGTTACATTTACTCATTTTTAAGCAAATCTTATTTAAAGCCAGCTTGCTTTGTTCTACTAGATTGTAATATCTGGAAATACAGATATTTAGTTTTCAGTTTTTTATCACCTATCTTTAGTTTTTTAGTCTTCAGTGTTTTTTTAACCACCTACAGTACTTTCTACCAGTATTAATTTTGAATTGAATATGTTGATCAAAATAAAGAATAAAAATACAGGTGCTGTTACCCTAAGAGCTTAGGTAAAAGGAAGAGTGGGGAAGGATTTCTAAAATCACTTTACAAGGTTTTTTACAAGCAAGAATAACCCAGACTCTGGGTTAGAGATTAGATAACCTCTTCAAGCATGGGTACTCTTCTATGGGATTAATATTTCCTGCCTTACAGGGTTATATGACTGTAAAATAAAATTATGTAATTTGCCTGGCATAGTAGCTACTCAACACATTATCTCTTCATTTTTGTGTCTTTAGTGCCACAGTAGCATCTAGCACATAGTACTTACTCCAGCTCTTGTGTTGAGAATAAACTGAATGGACAATGGCAAAGGCAGGAACGTAATTAAGCAATGCAGTAATCTAGGGAAAAGATAATGGTGTTTTAGAGCAGGGTCATAGAACTGCAAAGAGAAAAAGTGGTCAGATTCTGGATGATTTGAAGGTAGAGCAAATAAGATTTGTTGACAGGCTAGGTGTGCAGTGTGAGAGAGAGGATGACTAAGGGAGTAAGAGAATGCAGTCGAGGCAGAGCACAGTGGTTCACACCTGTAATCTCAGCACTTTGGAAGGCTGAGGTTGGTGGATCACTTGAGCCCAGGAGTTTGAGACCAGCCTGGGCAACATGGTGAAACCCTTTCTCTACAAAAAATACAAAAATTAGCCGGGCATGGTGGCATGCACCTGTAGTCTCAGCTACTGGGAGGCTGAGAGATGGGAGGATTGCTTGAGTCCAGAGGTTGTGGCTGCAGTGAGCCATGGTTGCGCCACTGCACTCCAGCCTGGCAACAGAGAAAGACCTTGTCTCAAAAAAAAAAAAAAAAACGAATTGCCATTTGCTGAGATGGCAAAGATTATGGGAAGGGGGTGAATCAGGAGCTCAGTGTTAAGTTTGAGATGTCTATTAGACATCAAATGGAGATCCATGTAGGCAGTTGAGAAAGGTCCTAAATGGATCTATTAATTTGGAAGTTATCAGCATCTAGATAGGAGTTAAAGCCAGTCCGTGAATGAGACTTGAGATCACCAAGAAAGTGAGGTAGAACAGAGAAGAGGGCGAAGGACAGATCCCTGAGGCACTCCAGTGTTTAGAGGTTAGAAAAATGTGAAGAAACCAGCAACTGGGAGACTGATGGAATAGCCAGAAAGGAAAGAGGAAAACCAGGAGGGTGTGCTATGGAGAATGTGTTTCAGAGAAGAGGGAATCATCAGCTGTGCCAAATACTGTGGGGACATCTGGTAAGATGAAAACTGAGAATCGATCTTTGGATTGAGCAGTATGAAATCATTGGTGACTCTGATGTGAGCAGTTAGAGTGGATTTAAGAAGAGAACTTGAGGACAGATATATTGACACTCGAGTTTTCCTTTAAAAGGAAGAAAAGAAATGGGAAGTAGTTGAAGTGAAATCCAGGAAGGGTTTTCTTTAAGAACAGAGAATGTTTGTCTGCTGATGGGACTATCCAGTAGAGAGGAAAGAAAACGTTAATCATGTAGTAGAAGCAAGGAGAACTTGTGGAGCAGTGCTTTTATGAAAGACTTCAGTGCTAGGAGCAGAGACAGTTCATCTGTGGTCACAGGAGAGAACAGCAAGCATTTAGGCACAGGTGGAGGAAGGTGGGCAAATGTGTAGAAGCTTGTGGATATTTTCTCTGAATGCTCTCCTTTTTTAGTGAAATAGCAAGGACCTCAGTTGAGAGAGGTTGGAGGAGGCAGCACGAGACGTTTGAGTGGAGAGGGAGGCTGAGAAACTATGTGGAATAAGGAAATATAATGAGGAACATGTTAAAATTTGCTTGGCAGCAAAATGAAGATACAGTGTCAAAGAGAAACTCAGCACAAAAGCCTGTAAGAAGTCCACTGCTGTGGTCTAAATAAGATTTGAGCTTCTGAATCAGGCCAGATGCAGCATTGTTGATGTCATTAGCATATAGGTAGTAATTGAACCCACATATGTGGATGAAATGGTCTAAAGAGAGCAGAGTGACATTAACAATTGATGGCACAGGATGAGAAGCCCAAACTTGGAAGGACCCTCCAGGGAAATAAGAGGAAACCAAGAGAAAGAGGGCACAGAAACCAAGGAAAGAGTTTTGTGGAGGGAGTGGCCACCTTCCTGCTACCGCAGAGAGATGGGTGAGATAAGGCTCCATGCATGACCTGTAGGTTGATTATCTGGGAAGTTACAGTTTTGGCGATGGAGCAGGGAAGAACCCCATTTCACTGTTCGTTAAGGAGTAAATAAATAGAAACCAAAAGTAGAGACAGTAAATGAAGACTGTACTTCCAACAAAGATAAATAGTAAGGCCTTTACTAAGCCTGGAATGGCATTTCTTGCAGAGGCAGCAGCTTCTGGAAAGCCCTGGAGGCATAAAAGGACTTAGATAAGTAATTTTAAATAATTTAATATGAAATCTAAGTATATATATTTCAAATATTTGATTCATTTAATTTTTTTTGTCTTTTAAAACTGACTTGGGTGGGGAAAGTGAAGTATGCTTCTATTTAATTCTATGTGTACCTTAGCTAACTTTTAAAAAATACCCTGAGCCCTTTTTATATGAAATAAATTTTGAAATTGCTGAAGCTCTTGAAATTGGAAGGTAGGCAGTAGTAGTCTTTTCAGTAATAATGTGCTCCCATGCCTCTCTGCTATTCATAAAAGGATTGGATGAAACCTCCCTCTTTTCCCTGCTTTGCTTGTTTCAGGATATAAGTCAAAGAGTACAGCAGAAAATGTCTACTGAACGGACTTCTTGGACAAGCCTGTCCACCATTCAGAAAATAGCCCTGGGCCTTGGGATCCCAGCCAGTGCAACAGTTGCCTATATCCTATACCGCAGGTATAGGGAAAGCAGAGGTACGTGAACCCTATGACTGTGTGTGTGAAAATGTTCAGACATGCTCCTGCCTTGTTAAATTGAAAAAAACTCTTTCCTTGCCAGGTATTGTGTGTGTTTTGTTTTGGGGTTTTTTGTGGGGTTTTTTTGAGACAGGGTCTCACTCTGTCACCTAGCCTGGCGTACAGTGGCACAATCTTGGCTCACTGTAGTGTCGACCTCCTGGGCTCAAGCAATCCTCCCACCTCAGCCTCCAAGTAGCTGGGACCACAGGCCTGTATTTTTTGTAGAGATGGGGTTTTCCCATGTTGCCCAGGCTGGTCTTGAACTCCTGAGCTCAAGCAACCCACCTGCCTCGGCCTCCCAAAGTGCTAGGATTACAGGCATGTGCCTCCATGCCTGACCCAGGTATTTTAATTGACTTTCTGTGAGGAATCTTTGACTAAAATTATTTAGTCTTTTTTTTTTCTTTGAGACAGAGTCTCACTCTGTCGCCCACACTGGAGTGCAGTGGAGCAATCTCGGCTCACTGCAACCTCTGCCTCCCGAGTTCAAGCAGTTCTCCTGCCTCAGCCACCCTAGTAGCTGGGATTACAGGCGTGTGCCACCACTCCTGGCTAATGTTTGTATTTTTAGTAGAGACGGGGTTTCACCACCAGGGTGGCTGACCTCAAGTGATCCACCTGCCTCGGCCTCCCAAAGTGCTGAGATTACAGGCATGAGCCACTGCACCTGGCCTAGTCTTTGCTATGTTCTTACATAGCAAAGTAAGCTAGTCTATGAAATGAACTCATTTTATAACTCCATTGATGTGCTTTCTTCAGCAACATCAACACAGCAAAGAGTTCTTTTTTAATTTCTATACTCATCTTTTTTATATATTCCTTTTCTCTAATTAGTTGTTAGTAGAAGGCACTTACCTCAAAGGCTGGATCTAGAGAATAGGACCTAGAGAAATGACTTATGTACCTATCAGTCAGGAGAAGTTCTGAGCCTAATGGACCCCTCAGGTAACTTTTGGCCTTCATTCTTCTCCAGTAGTCATGTCTTGGGAGAAGTAGTTTGCCCAAACCCCAGCACCTGTTTATTGCAGAATCTGCTTTTCCCATTTTAGCATCTGAAACAGTGTCCCAGAGAAAATGCCCATCTCTGATCCTTTGGGACCTTCTAATTCCCATTCAGATGCCACTTTTCCTTGTTGTTATGGTTGAGATCCTCACTTTATCTCTTGGATCAGTGTCTCTTTGACAGCCAGATTCTGGGGAGGACTGGTAGTTATACTAGCTTTGGGTGTTATCTAAGTCTGATCTGATGAACAATGATCTGTGCAGAAGAGCGGCTGACATTTGTTGGGGAAGATGACATTGAGATAGAGATGCGGGTTCCCCAGGAGGCTGTGAAACTCATCATTGGCCGGCAAGGAGCCAATATTAAACAGGTAAGTGTGTGAG
The DNA here is from genome assembly GCF_000001405.40 of Homo sapiens. Taxonomy (NCBI): domain Eukaryota; kingdom Metazoa; phylum Chordata; class Mammalia; order Primates; family Hominidae; genus Homo; species Homo sapiens. The sequence goes on along the minus strand of NC_000001.11, from coordinate 151,781,467 downwards.
TAGGCAGTCTGCTTTCCCAAGGATTGATTCTGTTTATTGATTTCTTGTTTCCTTCCACTGACCCCATATCACAAAACATTCACATGCTCTGTGTGTGTGTGTATGTGTGTGTGTATATATAAAATATATATATATATATTTTTTTTTTTTGAGATGGAGTTTCGCTCTTGTTGTCCAGGCTGGAGTGCAATGGCACGATCTCGGCTCACTGCAACATCCGCCTCCTGGGTTCAAGTGATTCTCCTGCCTCAGCCTCCCGAGTAGCTGGGATTACAGGCACCCGCCACCACGCCCAGCGAATTTTTGGTATTTTTAGTGGAGACGAGGTTTCGTCATGTTGGCCAGGCTGATCTCGAACTCCTGACCTCAGGTGATCCGCCTGCCTCGGCCTCCCAGAGTGCTGGGATTACAGGTGTGAGCCACTGGGCCCAACCACTATGTATATTTTTAAAAGAACAAATAGAGGAACTTTTTAGCTAACTAAACTTTTTAGCTACTTCCCTTCTAGAGAAGAGTACTTCTCCCTAGAGAAAGGATGACTTAGCTTGAAATACGGGTTTTTGACTGGGTGATTGTCAGCATGGTATAACTTGAATTATCCTTTTTTTTTTTTTTTTTGAGACAGAGTCTGGCTCTGTCACCCAGGCTGGAATGCAGTGGCATGATCTTGGCTCACTGCAAGCTCCGCCTCCCATGTTCACATCATTCTCCTGCCTCAGCCTCCCAAGTAGCTGGGACTACAGGTGCCCGCCACCACTCCCAGCTAATTTTTTGTATTTTTTGTAGAGACAGGGTTTCACCATGTTAGCCAGGATGGTCTCGATCTCCTGACCTCGTGATCCAGCCGCCTTGGCTTCCCAAAGTGCTGGGATTAGAGGCGTGAGCCACCGCGCCTGGTCAAATTATCCTTTTCTACTATGGAATTAATGAACTCTCATTAATTGACAGTAAATATTGAATGGCTACCTGGTTCTTCTTACCATCTTCCATTGTTCAGCTGGAATGTCAAGAAAACAAAATATTTGATTCTCTAATCCAAATAAAATTAGTAAGGGGAAAGGATTCTAAACACAAAGATAAATGGGTTTGAATTTACTGCTATTTGGGGTTACATTTGTTACTAATCTCCTTCCATAAAGTGAGGACTGGTTGTATAGATAGTAACTGAGGTTGTATATAAAGTAATTGAGGACTGGTTGTATAGATAGTATTAGCTAATTCCTTTGGCTAATTCTATCTACCTCCAGGGTTTGTTTTAGAGTGTCTGTAGCTGGGCTCAAATGGGAGCTCTTCCAGAATGTACTGCCAAATGTCCTTTTCTTTGCAGCTGCGGAAACAGACAGGTGCTCGGATTGATGTGGACACAGAGGATGTAGGCGATGAGCGAGTGCTGCTTATCAGTGGTTTTCCTGTTCAGGTGTGCAAGGCCAAAGCAGCAATCCATCAGATCCTGACAGAGAATACCCCAGTGTCTGAGCAGCTTTCAGTTCCCCAGAGATCTGTGGGCAGAATCATAGGTACCACTGGATGGCTTCCTCTATTGTTTCCTTTATTCTTTACCTTTGCCCCTCTTTCACACCTTCCCAGGGTTTTTTCTGGCCTAGTTCCCCTTCACCATGTGAGGGGAAAAAAAGGGACATTGAGACCAGAGGTTTACTGTTTGTAGAACTGGTGGTAAAACCAAACCTGTTTCCTCAAGAAGTTGTATGATCTGAACCTTACAAATTGATTCTTTAAGGGTTCTAGTAGATGTATTATATTTACCTTATAATTGATTTTTAAAGGGAAGCTTGGGATGCTCATGTTATCTCAAGTCTTTCAAGACAGTGCTCTAGAGGGTACCTTTTATGCTTTCCCCTAGAGCATTGCTTAGTGCTGCTGTTAGAGGCAGAGAAATGTCCTGTCCTTGATCCGGTGTTCTGACACACTATGTAGCATATCTTCTTGTGACCTGATATGGCCATGCTGAGTGGTCAAAATGAAAATGACATGAAGTTAGCCAAAGTGTAGAGTTTAAATAAAATGGAAAAAGGAAAGAATATGGTATTCTCCTTTTCACAGTAATGATTTCAGTAGCTCCTGATTTCCATTCAACATCTTGTATTTTGTTCACTTTAGAAATGAGAACTGATTCTCTTCTCCTAGTATATACAAAACAGTGATTTCTCCAGTAGCTAAGGTTGGCCAGGAGGGAAGGGCAGGTTTTTATATATTGTTTAATGTAGGGAGAGGCGGCGAGACAATTCGTTCTATCTGTAAGGCATCTGGAGCCAAAATTACCTGTGACAAAGAATCAGAAGGGACATTACTACTATCAAGACTTATAAAAATCTCAGGAACACAGAAGGAAGTGGCAGCAGCCAAGGCAAGTAGCTAATAGACTTGAATTATACCTGAGCATGAGAAGATCCTTTTACTCTATCCCAGGTCAGAATATCATCCTTTCTCTTGTTTTCCACAGCATTTGATACTGGAGAAAGTTTCAGAAGATGAAGAACTTCGGAAGAGAATTGCTCATTCTGCAGAAACCAGGGTCCCACGCAAACAGCCAATCAGTGTGAGAAGAGAAGACATGACAGAGCCAGGTGGAGCTGGAGAGCCAGCATTATGGAAAAACACCAGTTCTAGCATGGAGCCGACTGCACCCCTGGTGACTCCTCCACCCAAAGGAGGAGGCGACATGGCTGTGGTAGTGTCAAAGGAAGGTTCCTGGGAGAAACCTAGTGATGACAGCTTTCAGAAGTCTGAAGCCCAGGCCATCCCAGAGATGCCCATGTTTGAAAGTATGTAACAAAGAGGGAGCCCATTAATCATTGAAGATAGAAATACTGGCTTAGATATTGGAGAGATTAGAAGGAATGCCTTCTCAGTCTGAGCAGCCAGTATAATATGGCTGGGGTCAGGACAGAAGATTCGGTAAGATATTTTGAAGATGGGATGGAGGTAGAATCCACACCAACAGTTGCTGGACAGTTTGAGGGTGCAGATGTTGATCACTGAAAATGATTTATGCAGGTATAAGATTCTGCTCCTAATTGTAGGAGAGAACTTGGTGCCTCTTCCACTCTGAAGCAAAGTTGATGAAAGTCTTCTTCCTTTTCCAAAACCCAACCTGAACTACTTCTTTCTTGAGACAGACTATATTGAGACAAGTTGTTACCAGCAAAAGATAGATACATGACCTTTATTAACAAAAATGAATTAACCAAGAGGATATTTGTAGTTTATTATTTACCCCAAACTTTCTGTGTCTGGGTACCCTCTGAGTAGGCCTATAATTCCTGCCTTCACTGTATGCATTTTATGTAAGCTAGCAGACCTATGTGGTGAGAATGCACAGGAGCTTGGAGGTATAAATAGACAGGGTGGGAAAGAGAGAGCTCCTTTCGCCATGTTTTACCAGCCCGCTCTGTTATAACCTCTTAGGTTATATTCTTTAATTTCCAACCTTTTAGGTTAGTTTCTGTAACAGAACAAATGAGTCTGGGATAAAGTCCTCAAAGTACTTCAAATGGTAATTGTTTTGTTTTTGTAACGGCTTAACAAATAACCTAGGTTTTCTGTTTAAAAAAAAAAGAAATACTGGCTTAGGGCATGGTGGCGCAACCTGTGGTTCCAACTACTTGGGAGGCTGAAATGGGAGAATCACATGAGCCCAGGAAGTCGAGGCTACAGTGAGCTGGGATTGCACCGTTGCACTCCAGCCTGGGTGACAGTGAGATCCTGTCTCAAAAAAAAAAAAAAAAAATTAACTATTTTTTTAAAAAGAAATACTGGCTTAGATTACCCAAAATAGGAAGCAATAAAAAGTCTTTTTTCATGAATACACTTATGTCTATCATCACAGATATTCCTTACTGGTAATAATATTTTACTTGAATTAATACTAAACATAAATATTTTTCTAAATATAAAACAGCTGATGGAAATGGCAAAATAATGCTGACACAGGAAACAAATGAGTAATACATCAAATAATTGGATTTACATGATATTGTTCCTCTAGACATACTTTTTTTTTTGAGACAGAGTCTTCCTCTGTCTCCCAGGCTGGAGTGCAATGGTGCATTCTCGGCTCACTGCAACCTCCGCCTCCCAGGTTCGAGTGATTCTCATGCCTCAGCCTCCCGAGTAGATGAGACCACAGGTGCACACCACCACATCCGACTGATTTTTGTATTTTTTAGTAGAGATGGGGTTTCACCATGTTGGACAGGCTGGACTCGAACTCCTGGCCTCAAATGATCCACCCACCTTGGCCTCCCAAAGTGCTGGGATTACAGGCATGAGCCACCATGCCCAGCCTAGACATACTTTATCAACAAGTAAAATTCTCAGCCAGATTTTATATTGCCTTTTTCATTACTGTTTTTAAAAATCATCACTATTGAAAAGGCTGTGAGCTTTCTCTTCTGTACATAGGTTTTGGCGTGGGCAAAGAGGACCTGGATTCCCAAGAAGCTCACAGACTTGTCCAGGGTCATGTAAAGAGTCAGTGGTAGAATGGGATCTGGAACAGGTCCATGTCCGTCACTGTCCATGTAAAGATTGCTGTCCATATACCTTTTTACTGATCCATGCTGTAGCTAGCATATGGAGGTTTACCTTCTGTATAATTGGTGACCGATTTGACTATGTAGCACATGACAAAGAATGTAAGCTGTTATTACTCAGTTACATGGAAAGGTACAAAGGATAGCTTAGTATCTTTCTTTAGGATATTCTTGTTTGATTCATCCAGTTGCCTCTCCTGCCATTTTAAAATGGTAACAGCCATTGGTATTTGTACCTCTCACTACCCTGGTTAGTCTCTTCATTCCAACCAGAGATGGGTCTGATGTGGCCACCATCCTTATCTCTGTGTTCAGTCCCCAGTCCTGACTTCAGTTTTCATGCTGATGAGTACCTAGAAGTCTACGTTTCTGCTTCTGAGCACCCTAACCACTTCTGGATCCAGATCGTTGGCTCCCGCAGCCTGCAATTGGATAAGCTTGTCAATGAGATGACCCAGCACTATGAGAATAGTGTGGTGAGTTGCCATAGGGACAGGGCTGGGGTTTAATGAAAAGAAGGCATATCTTTTTCATTGTACTCTTCCTTTCCCTGTGGAGCAACTACTTTTCTTTCTTCCTCCTGCAATTCTGTTTATGAGCCTACCACTTTGTAACTCTCTGCCTTTCTCCTCCTCCCCACATACAGCCTGAAGACTTGACTGTGCATGTAGGAGACATTGTAGCAGCACCTTTACCTACAAATGGTTCCTGGTATCGAGCCCGGGTCCTCGGCACCTTGGAGAATGGGAACTTGGACCTCTATTTTGTTGACTTTGGAGATAATGGAGATTGCCCACTGAAGGACCTCAGGGCTCTCAGGTCAGTGCTGAGGTCAGCTCAATCCCAACTGCTGACTCAGTTCTGGCCATAGGGTGGTGAGCTGTTGGCAGTTGTCAGGGGGATTTGGAAGGGAACCTGTTTACAGAGAGCAGATGGTTATCGTCTCATGTTAGTTGGTTCTTTCTGAAAGCAGCAATGTAAGAAGATGTTTTTGGCCCCAGGATTCTAATTTTAGTTTCTTTTACTTCAGGAGTGACTTCCTAAGCCTTCCATTTCAAGCAATAGAATGTAGTCTGGCACGGATTGCTCCCTCAGGTAAATTGGTCATGCCATCTATTGAGCTTACCTCCAAATAGAATAACTTCATACAGTTCATTGGAAGGAATTCTCACATTCCCAGGCTTTTTGAATTCTGGGGACTCAGGTGCCTTTTCCTCACCAGCACTAGCAGCAGCCAGAAACTTGCCTGGCAGACCCAACCCAACCAGAGAAGACACAGGTGCCTTCCTGAGTAGAAAAGGGTAGTTCCAACTTCCCTCCAGGGTATAAGCCCCACCCCTATCAGCAGTAACCCCTACAATCTTTTGCCAGGTGACCAGTGGGAAGAGGAAGCTTTGGATGAGTTTGATAGACTCACTCATTGTGCTGACTGGAAGCCTCTGGTAGCCAAGATCTCTAGCTATGTCCAGACTGGGATCTCAACTTGGCCAAAGATCTACTTATATGATACTAGCAATGGGAAGGTAAGACTGGCATTCACTCACTGCTTGCCATATCTTCAGTATATTTATAGCCTAATTTACTTTTTCTTCCTCAGAAACCCTTATCTGATATTACTCTTACTGTAAGATCCTTCTCACCATCTCACCAAAGGAATGTCTTTAAAGTATCAGTCCTTCTGCCTTGTTTCCTCAAATTTGCCCTTGCTTACTGAGAGAACATCATTCCCTTTTCATTTTTCTTCTCAGAAACTTGATATTGGGCTAGAATTAGTACACAAAGGATACGCAATTGAGCTTCCTGAAGACATAGAAGAAAACAGAGCTGTCCCAGACATGTTGAAGGACATGGTGAGCTATTGTAGTTATATAGGGTGCTGCTTCCAGGCAAATCTAGCACATAGACACTAAGGGCTTCTAGTCCTGATACTGTGTTAGCTTTCCTAAGGACTTTGAGCTCCTCCAGTAGTTGACCAAAGGAGCATTTTGTCCCTCTTGGTAGCCAAATGCAACTGCCTTAACCAGGTCCTATGAGAAGAATGAAAGGGTGGCCTCTTTTTTCCTAAAAGCCAACATGTTCCTCCTTTTTTCCTGTTTTCATCCACTCAGGCCACAGAAACAGATGCCTCTCTCAGCACGTTGCTCACTGAGACCAAAAAGAGCTCTGGAGAGATAACACATACCCTGTCCTGCCTCAGCTTATCAGGTACAAGCAGTATTTCCTCCCTAGAGCATCTTTGGAGATTAACTTTTCTCATTCAGTCTTTCCAGAGTAGGGAGGTTAATTGAAGGCTTGGTTCCTAGTCAGGTCATTGAGTACCAAGAGGTCCATTTTTCTTTTGAGCCTCGCTGGCATTGCCTGCTAGAATAGGGCAGTGTCTAACTTTCTCCTTCTTATTTATCTTCAATAGAAGCTGCTTCCATGTCTGGTGATGATAACCTTGAAGATGACTACTTACTCTGAAGTCTGGGCTTCAGTTTGCTCAGCCATCTGCTTTGCTGTGTGAGTGCAGCTATCATCTATCTGTAGCAACAGGAAAGTAATGAGGGCGACAGTGGGGCACTTGCTTTGATTCCCTCTTTCCCATGCCCTGTCTTAATATACTTCTCTGCAGCTGCTTTCCTGCAGCTTAACTTGCTCTCAGATTGAGCACTTTCAAGCTTTTTGTGTATTTCTGTCTTTGGCAGGATTTGGCATAGGAATTGGTGCATGGAGGAGAGGAGTGTATGATAAAGGATCCATGCAGTCCTTCCTTTATTACACATATAGTCTGGCTTGCTGTGGACCAAATTAATATTCTCCTCCCATCAGACTACAAAAAAATTGGACTACCACGCTACAAGTGTGTCTCCCCCATTCCACCTCCGGATCCCTCCCCAACCCTCCAGTGTTTGAATACTGCTGTGTTACTTCCAGGCCGTTCAACGTCAGGCTCAGTCCCCTCTACCAGTCATGATTCACATTACTACTAGGCTGTATCCTTTTTGAGGCTGGGAAACAGTCAGGCTTTCGTCATTGGAAGTGATTCTGCAGACTTCTGACTCACCTTATCAGGTGACTCTGGTTAAGGAAAGCTTTTGAGTGGTGAACTCAAAGACTCCAGTTGAATCAGGAGGCAAAGGCAAAAATTAGCATAATTATATTTAAAAGCCTCAGGAAGTGGGAAGAGAATACTGCCTCCCAGCCTCAATTGCTGATATGTTATTGGAGACAGGCTTTTGAAACTGCTCCAGCTATTTCTCTGTAACCTTTAGTTAAAATATAAGTAGAAAGGAGACAGGAGGCTCAGGAAATTTTCTAAATTGCTAGTATAATATCTATATGTATACACACATATACACCCGTGGAGAGAGAGGAAGAGTATACAGTCCTGTTTGAATCATTTGGAGGATTTTTTTGCTGAATAAAGTTCTCAAGAAAATTTTCTAAAACCAAATTCTGATTGAATCACAAGGTGGAAGCAGGCTGTGAGCCTAAATCTGGTGAAAACTGCCAACTGCCTCACAGAAAGGATCACATCTATGAAACAAGTGTCCCTCCCATATACACATTCATATTCTTTCTCTAAAGTCACTTCAGAAATAACCATTCACTGGCTGGGCACGGTAGCTCACACCTGTAATCCCAGCGCTTTGGGAGGCTAAGGCAGGCAGATTACTTGAGGCCAACATGGTGAAACCCTGTCTCTACTAAAAATACAAAAAATTAGCCAGGCATGGTGGCATGCACCTGTTGTCCCAGCTGCGTGGGAGGCTGAGGCAGGAGAATTGCTTGAACCTGGGAGGTGGAGGTTGCAGTGAGCTGAGATCATGCCACTGCACTCCAGCCTGGGTGACAGAGAGAGACTCTGTCTCAAAAAAATACAAAAATACAAAATACAAAAATTAGCTGGGCGTGGTGGCAGGCACCTGTAATCCCAGCTATTTGGGAGGCTGAGGCACAAGAATCACTTGAACCTGGGAAGCGGAGGTTGCAGTGAACCCAGATTGCACCACCACACAACCTTGTCTCATAAAAAAAAATTCACTAGGAACCAGAACCAATTTAGGTTTAGGCTGTGTGAGTAAGACCCCACCTATACTATTCAAAAGAAAAGGCCCAGATTAAGATTCTAGAAACCTGGATTCTAGGAGCAGCTCTGGTAAGTAGCTCATGTAGTCTTGGAGGAATCTTTAAGGAGTAGATCTCCACTGTAAACTTTTTGCAAAATTTTAACGTGTTTCCTTATAGCATCTTTCTGACAGTACTGTGAGGCTCAAATGCGAGGCTTGAAGTACTTGAGGTGCTTGAAAGTAAATATAAATGTATAGTAATGTGGATGGTAGAAAAATGGCAAGTGAATTTTTTTTAAGGATAAAGCAAGATAAACTAGAAAATTTAAAACTAGCACATAAGGATGCCTTACACAGGTCTTTTTTTTAAATTTAGGGATTAGTAACGTCTACCTCTATACTACATGGCAACTATATTTTCTCACAACCACAATTCTCAAAATTTATTTTCTCAGAAAAATCTCAGTATTAGCCAGGCACCGGTGGCTCACACCTATAATCCCAACACTTTGGGAGGCCGAGGCGGGCAGATTGCTTGAGCTCAGGAGTTCGAGACCAGCCTGGCACCATGCTGAAACCCGTAAATACAAAAAAATTAGCCAGGCATGGTGGTGTGTGCCTGTGGTCCTAGCTACTTGAGAGGCTGAGGTGGGAGGATCGCTTGAGCCCAGGGAAGCAGAGGGTGCAGTGAGTGAGCCAAGATTGCACCACTCCACTCCAGCCTGTGTGACACAGCAAGATGCTGTCTCCAAAAAAAGAAAAGAAAAATCTCAGTCCCAATTAGCAGAAAGGCTCTAGTGAAGGAACAGTTCTGGTGAGTAGTTCAGGTACTCTTGGAGGAATCTTTAAGGAGCTTCCATTTATTTGATGTTTCAGATGTTGCCTGCAATGAACTCGCTGAAGCATGCTCAGCCCTGGAACTGGTGCTACCAGAGTTCCGTAGGGAACCTTTACTCTTTAGAGGTTCCCTGATATAAATCATTCATAAGACTTCCTACCCTGGAAAATGAGTAATGTCTCATTCTTACCTGCAGTTTGTTACTATGTATAAAAGTCTTTTTCTTTAATATGCCTTTAAGTCTTACCTGTTTACAGCCCATTCTGATGGGTTCTTTGTCATTCTGTTAGTATAACCCAGTACTTTTCCTGCTGCCTGGAATGCCCTCTTCTATGTTACCTATTCTGTCCGTTGAGATCCCCCAACTTGGGCCAAAGCCAAGAGATCTATGTGCCTTCTCTGGTTTTCTCCACATCTATAGCACCTCAACTGAAATATATGGATAAAAACAGCCTAACAAAGCTCAGTCTTTCTGAACTAGGAAGTTCACTGATTAGTGCTCAGTAAATGGTTAGAATAAATGGGGAAATAGTTTGGGGCATGGAGGAAGGCAAAGGGAACCAAAAATCCTTAGGTACTTTCCTCCGTAGTTCAGGTCCCTGTGATCTTTTCAGTGAATTTAGCTCTGTTAAGGTGTATATCCCACTCCAGTCAACCCTATTACCCACCCCCCCAAGAAACCGTGAACACTTGATGATTGCACTACCCTTTATTCCTAGGATGGAAAGTGTCCTGAATCACATCCCGGGCCCCTGATTCCATGTGTCAAGGCTTCCAGCCCCTCAAAGCGTTGGAATAAGCATGTTCAAGGAGGCTCACTGGGCAGGTGGCCAACATCCCTTTCAAGGGGATACACCATAAAGATGACATTGTCCAAGGGAGGGAGGGCAGGGTGATCTGGTCTGACCACCTCAAAGCCCATGTAGCTGAAGGCCCGCAGCAGGGCACCTGTGAAAGGATAGAACAAATGATTAGAACATGCTTTAAAACTCAATACATGTATGCCCCCAGATTTGATTTCTTCCACTAGGGAGTGGCCCTGGGAAGCAGTGTAGTGCAGGCATATAGGATGTGCTTTAGTCCAACAGACCTAGGCTCTAACTCTGGTTTTAACACTTGTTCTGTGAGTTAGTCCTGCAGAACTTCAGTTTCCATCTATAGAATTTTCCATTTATAAATCATAGAACCTTCCTCCTCACAGAATTTAAGATGAAATGAGATGTTCATGAAGTGCTTAACACTAGAGATTAGTGAGGTCTACCTATATACTAATACAATGATGACATAGTAAGCTCTGAAATAGTATCTATCACTTATGAATGGTTATTCACCATCCCTTATATCCAACAGAGTTTGAGCTCCTTGAGGCAAGAGGCTATAGTTTCTGTAACATATGCTCCAGGCATCCGGTTAAATATGTCCCCGTTCCCTTGGCCTTATGTCTGACCCTTTCACATTGTAGGTGCTCCATATGTTTGAGATCCATTTTGTCCTGCTGGCCACATCCCTTGAATGGATTCTGTGTAATTTCACCAGTGCTCCTTCAGTCTGGCCCCTAACACCACCTGCAGGGGCTTCCTCAGAGTCCAGTTGTAACTTGATGGAACAAGTTACAACTTCCCACCTTCGTGGTAGGTGGGAAGAAAAGAATCCCTGAAATGCCTGAGGGTGCATTTTTAAAGACAGGGGAAGAGGGTCTCCTATAAAGGAAAAGGAGTTATCCAGCTGCCTCAGCGCGAAAAGCAAGGAAGAACAGCAGATCCCCACCTCTGTCGTTCCGATCATTCTGGAAGTTCACAAACACAGAGTCCACATTTGTCTTCTCTTCCACGTACTCCAGGGTTGCAGTCAAACTAGGAGCCACAGAAAAACAGTTAAAATGTTTGGCCGCTCCCTCTCCCTCTCCCTCTCCGTCTCCGTCTCCCCATGGTCTCCCTCTCCCTCTCTCTCCACGGTCTCCCTCTGATGCCACCAAAGTTGTGAAAGCCGAAGCTGGACTGTACTGCTGCCATCTCGGCTCACTGCAACCTCCCTGCCTGATTCTCCTGCCTCAGCCTGCTGAGTGCCTGGGATTGCAGGCGCGTGCCGCCATGCCTGACTGGTTTTCGTATTTTGGTGGAGACGGGGTTTCGCTGTGTTGGCCGGGCTGGTCTCCAGCTCCTAACCACGAGTGATCTGCCAGCCTCGGCCTCCTGAGGTGCCGGGATTGCAGACGGAGCCTCGTTCACTCAGTGCTCAGTGTTGCCCAGGCTGGAGTGCAGTGGCGTGATCTCGGCTCGCTACAACCTCCACCTCCCAGCCGCCTGCCTTGGCCTCCCAAAGTGCCGAGATTGCAGCCTCTGCCCGGCCACCACCCCGTCTGGGAAGTGAGGAGCGTCTCTGCCTGGCCGCCCATCGTCTGGGATGTGAGGAGCGCCTCTGCCCGGCCGTCATCCCGTCTAGGAAGTGAGGAGCGTCTCCGCCCAGCCGCCCATCGTCTGGGATGTGGGGAGCGCCTCTACCCGGCCACGACCCTGTCTGGGAACTGAGGAGTGTCTCTGCCCAGCCGCGACCCCATCTGGGAGGTGAGGAGCATCTCTGCCCGTCCGCCCTGTCTGAGAAGTGAGGAGCCCCTCCGCCCGGCAGCCGCCTCGTCTGGGAAGTGAGGGGCGTCTCCGCCCGGCAGCTGCCCCGTCCGGGAGGTGGGGGGCAGCCCCCGCCCGGTCAGCCGCCCCGTCTGGGAGGGAGGTGGGGGGCAGTCCCCACCCGGCCACCGCCCCCTCCGGGAGGTGGGGGGTGCGTCTGCCCGGCCGCCCCTTTTGGGAAGTGAGCCCCTCTGCCCGGCCGCCACACCGTCTGGGAGGTGTACCCAAGAGCTCATTGAGAATGGGCCATGATGACGATGGCGGTTTTGTCGAATAGAAAAGGGGGAAATGTGGGGAAAAGATAGAGAAATCAGATTGTTGCTGTGTCTGTGTAGAAAGAAGTAGACATAGGAGACTCCATTTTGTTCTGTACTAAGAAAAATTCTTCTGCCTTGGGATGCTGTTAATCTATAACCTTACCCCCAACCCCATGCTCTCTGAAACGTGCTGTGTCCACTCAGGGTTAAATGGATTAAGGGCGGTGCAAGATGTGCTTTGTTAAACAGATGCTTGAAGGCAGCATGCTCGTTAAGAGTCATCACCACTCCCTAATCTCAAGTACCCAGGGACACAAACACTGCGGAAGGCCGCAGGGTCCTCTGCCTAGGAAAACCAGAGACCCTTGTTCACTTGTTTATCTGCTGACCTTCCCTCCACTATTGTCCTATGACCCTGCCAAATCCCCCTCTGTGAGAAACACCCAAGAATGATCAATAAATACTGGGAAAAAAAAATTTGGCCAACTCAGAATCCAGAAAGACACCTACTTGGAGCAGTAAAAATATTATTGGTCGTTTTCTGCCCTCCACCCACCCAAGCCAGGAAATGAAAGTTGCTAAACTAGTTTTGGTAGATTTTTCTTGGAAGCCAAGAGATTGCACATCACTGGATGTAAGCCACAGAAGGGGTCTGGGGAGAAAGGACTACTGAGATGAACAGCTAGAAAGTACTTCCCGTTATTCAACTATTTCTGGATCTGAGTCCAGCTTCCCATGGACTCTTATCCCTTGAACCCCAGATCCTGGCTCAGCTCACAGGCTTGTCTGCATGCCAGGTGAATGGATTGCTTATATCTAGCTCCAGAATTAGCCTTATGTACTATGACATGATAGAAGGGTGAAATCCCCTACCTATTCCCTCCCCATTCTCCCATCCAGGCTCAGTCACCTTTCCCGGTTGCCTTGATCCAAGGCCTGATATGGGATATCCAGGAAGAGTCGACGGTCACAGAGAAGGCCGTGCCAATGGGCAGAGGTCTGGGAGGTAAGGCGGAAGTGAAAGTCTAACTGTACTGGGTCCTGGTGGAGCAGGGGGTCAGTAGCCAGCACCGTCAAGTTCCCAGCCTGGAAAAGGAGTAAAAATGCTCCTCTAGTCTTCAAATCAGACCTCAGGCAGATGGGGGTGTGTCCGTTGAAGCAAGGTGGGCATTGATGGGGAGAGCCTGGGAGAATTGGAGCCAAGATCTTAAAGATGCAATAATATCCCTTAGTCCCAGGAACTAATAGCCTATGCCTATTGTGGAGTTCTCCTTTATATCAAACAATCCAGCTGAGGCAGTATTACTGCCTGTTGACTTCAACCCAGGAGTACAATAACCATTTAGGAACTTAGAAATGTTTACATCAGAGAGCTTAGGATTTAAACAAAGCTTTATAATGTGCTTCCTTTCTCACTAATAATTTCCACTTTTTTCATTATATGGGTTTTCTCTAAATTCTTCTATTTAAAATGCCATGGTTACAACCAGGCTTGTTATTGCAATATGATATGTGGGCAAGTTCTGGATTCCAGATCCTGCTTAGCATCTTTAAGCAGGATCTTGGCATAAACAGCTTTATGTCCCAGAAGTCCTACAGAGTTTGTTTTACCTTTGTCCCCACTCCCTCTTTTCCCAATCCTGATTTTCACTACCATCTGTATGACCTTGATTTTACAGTCTGTGGGCCAGAATGCTTGTCTATATAGCAAGTAGCTTTTACACATGCGTTCCAAGATTCCATCTACCTCTGTAATTCATCTTCCAACTTGCTAATGTCCCTCCTCTGCAAGGTATGCAAGAAAAGGGTTGCCCTGTCACAGCACTAGCTCACAGTCCACTTACCGAATACAGTTCTTTAAGCTGGTCGTGGTTACCCTGCTCGGTGCTTTTGCCCTCCTGGAGGCCTACTAGGGACTCAGGAGCACTGGAGGCAGGAACGGGGCTGGAGTGTCAAGTCCTCCTCTTCCTTATAAGTGATGCTGGTTGGGAAAGAGACCCAAATTAGTTTATCTTGGAATCTGAGGTGGGAAGATACACAGTACCAGGCTCTGGCATGATCTTCTGTATTTTCTGTTGTCCAGCCTGTTTCTATGTTCCTGGGCCCAACCAGATGGAAAAATTCTAAAGTTCCATGCCAGCTTTCCACCCCCTATTCTGTTGTTATTTCTTGCCATTTGGGAAATTCTTTCAAATTCTTTTACTTTTTCCTTACATTTTATATAAACAACTACAAATAGAGATGAAAACAAGTACCTTTTATAACAACGAGGCAGCATCTTCTCCCGGAGAGTGATCCGGTACTTGTAACAGTAAAGGTAATAGGCGTATGGTGACCAGATCGGGTAGAGGTAGTTACGTGTTTTTCCCCTCTTGATATAAGAAAGGGAGTAGACAGAGGGGCGACACCTCTTACAAGGCAGTTTTTCAGTTCAGTGCCTCCCTGTGGCAAAGTGAAGTTCACAGGTGGGTGGCAGAGGTTTAGGCAACCTGGTGGCATTGTGACCCAGTGGGCACTATGACATGGATAAGGGGTCAGCCCTTATGTCACCTCAGGACTCCACTCTGCTGCTTATCTACCCTAATCCCTTATCCAAGGCTCATATTCGACTAGTATGCATGTTATGGCTGTATGAATGATTAAAAAATAGAACTTGAAGACTTCTGTACTGGTTGGCCAAAAGCCCTGCCTGAGCACTTGTGCCCACCCACCCTGCTCCTCTGTGGACACTCCCCTTCCCCCAAAATCCAGCAAGTAAAGAGTTGGTATCTGACTCTTCCAAGGCTCTGATCCAGTGGTGACCTGATTAGTTGGTTCCCAGTTCATACCAGTTGAGTATTTTTATTATCATCCCTACCCTTAATAACCCAGGATCCTTGTAGGGTAGGAATTGCAAACTAATTGTCTAGGCCCCTTCAGGGGCCTAGACAGCTTATGGAAATTAGTGGAGTGGCAGGGTAGGGCTGTAGCAAAATAGGAAAGCTCACACGTTATCTAAAGGAAGTCCACACAACTCAATTCCATCCAGTTCCATGCAAGAATGCAGACTTGATGGTGCTGTATCGTATGATTTTTGAACAGAAACTGGAAAGACAGTTTTGTAGTAAATCTCACCAATTTTAAAAAATATCGACTACTGGGCCGGGCACGGTGGCTCACGTCTGTAATCCCAGCGCTTTGGGAGGCCGAGGCGGGCGGATCACGAGGTCAGGAGATCGAGACCATCCTGGCTAACACGATGAAACTCTGTCTGTACTAAAAATACAAAAAATTAGCCGGGCGTGGTGGCAGGCGCCTGTATTCCCAGCTACACGGGAGGCTGAGGCAGGAGAATGGCGTGAACCCAGGAGGCGGAGCTTGCAGTGAGCTGAGATCGTGCCACTGCACTCCAGCCTGGGCAACATAGCGAGACTCCAACTCAAAAAAAAAAAAAAATCAACTACTAAAAAATTGTTGATAAAAAAACAACATTGTAAGCAAAATTTGGTTCTGGGACTGCCACTTTGAGACCTCTGCATATTTATCCATTCAACAAATATTTATTGAGGGTCTACTATTAGCCAGGCACTATTCTAGGTGCTTGAGATGATACATCAGTGAACAAAACAAATCCCTGCCCTATGGAACGTATCTTCTAAAAGTGAGAGGACAAACCTAGAAAATAAACATAGTAAATTGTTTAGTATGTTAGAAGGTAACTGCTATGGGGTGGGGGGAATAGAGCAAGATAAAGGAAGATAAGGAATGTGAAGGGGATGGGTCAGGGTTACAGTAAGAAATAGGGTGATCTCTCACTGAAAAAAACTGACATTTAATTAAACACTTGGAGGATGTGAGGTTGTTAACCAAGCCAGCATCTGAGGATAAGAGCATCCAACGCAAAAGCAGCCAGTGCAAAAGCCCTGAGCAGGAAACGTGCCTGGTGTTTTCAAGAAACAAGGAGGCCACTGTGGGTGGAGCAGTGTAAATTAGAGAGGAGCTAATGGGGTCAGAGTATGTATGGCCTTGTAGACCATCTGATGGCCTTTTTCTTTTACCTTGAGTAAAGGAGGAAGTCATTACAAAGTTTTGGGTGGAAGAATGACATGATCTGACTTATGCTTTAAAAAGATCATTCTGGCTGCTATAAATAAGCTACATAGAATTATAAACTGTAGAGAATTAAGGGATATCTTTTAGGGGACTATTGCAGTAATCCAGGAGAAAGTAGTGTCTTATTCCAAGGTAGAGCATTGGAGGTGGTGACAAGTGGCTGGATTCTGGAAATACAAGTGCTCCTTGACTTAAAATAGGGTTATGTCCTGATAAACCCATCGTATGTTGAAAGTATCATAAGTTGAAAATGCATATAATACACCTACCAAACACCATAGCTTAGCCTAGCCTATCTTAAACATGCTCAGACAACTTATCCGACAGTTGGGTAAAATCATCTAACACAAAGCCTATTTTATAATAAAGTGTTGAATATTTCATGTAACTTATTGATGTCCTACTGAGTGCACATCACTTTCACACCATCACAAACTCAAAAATTGTAAATCCAAGTCAGGGACTATCTGTAATTTAAAGGTAGAACCCACAGGATTTCCTGATGGAGTATGAGAGAAAAGAGTTAGAATGGAAAGAATGGAGTTTCTGTCAACTGAGAGGAAAAAGGCTGCAGATGGGGCAGTTTTGGGGGCGAGGGGGGAATAAATAAATTAGTTTGGGACAGTTAACTTTGAGGTGTCCTTTGGATACGTAAGAGGAAAATGACGAATAAACAGTTGAATATTTGAGACGAGTTTGGGAGATGTCTAGGATGGAACTAGAAATTTGGGAGTCATTGGCTTATAAATGGTATTGTAAGCCACGAGACTGGATGAGATCAACAGTGAGTGTATACTGAGAAGAGTAAAGGTTCAAAAACGGAGTCCCGAGGGCATTCTAAGAAGCGGGGAGAAAAGGAGAAATCAGCAAACGAGACTGAAGAAGACCGGTGTCCAGGAGGCCAAGTAGTGTATTTAGGAGGAAGGAGGACTGGTCAGTATGTTTAAGGGCCAGTCTTTCCATAATCTCTGCCAAATGGACCTTCTTTCATCCAGTTTTTATGGTCTTCTGTCCAGTACTGAGACCCTCCCCAGAGGGAACTGTCGCGGCCTTACCATAGTTGCTTTTTTTTCTACGGTTTACATAGCTTGTGATTTAGAATTCTCCTTTATTAGCTTAAATACTGCAGTATAATGATTAAGGGTCAGGCTCCTCCTGGAGCTGGCAGAGTTTTCCAAGGGATCCCATCCTTTACCACTTTTAGGTAGATTTGAAGTAAGGAAAAGTGAGAGCATCATTCATTCTCCGGTCAGTATCCAGTCATCACAGAACGTTAGAATTAAAAGTTAGCCCAGCAACTGGAGCTACAGCAAAGCCCACACTTTCAAGAGGAAGAGCGTCTTTTCCGGCGTCAGTCCACCTAACACTCATTCCATTATCAGTCAGTAATTCTAGGCGTCCGTCACCTCTGCCAAAAAGCAAAAATAGGCAAGCCGCGGTGCCATCTGTTCCCCGGCCCGCTCCCCATACTTTCGCTCAGCCGTACCGGCGCGCCGCAGGCAGCACTGGCGGGGGCCTTTCCTGCCGCCGACGCCGGGGTCCTCCCTCAGGTCTCATTCTGTGCCTGTGAACATGGCGGCGCCCGTTGTCACGGCCCCGGGCAGAGCTCTGCTGCGGGCGGGCGCTGGACGGCTGCTTCGGGGAGGCGTCCAGGAGCTACTGCGGCCGCGACATGAAGGGAACGCCCCTGACCTGGCCTGCAACTTCAGCCTTTCTCAAAATCGGGTGAGGGCTGAGTCTGGGGTAGGGGGTAGATACGCTCGAGTATTGTTTCTGGAGGCGCACTGGGACCTGGAGGGGGCCGATGTGGGGGTGGCGGGCTTTCCTTGAGGGGCTGGCGGCCGTGGTGGAGGGAGAGGGTGTTCCTTGTGGAGACTAGCTTACCGTCGCTTTCCTGGCCGCCAGGGCACGGTCATCGTGGAGCGCTGGTGGAAGGTACCGCTGGCCGGGGAGGGCCGGAAGCCGCGCCTGCACCGGCGACATCGCGTCTATAAGCTGGTGGAGGACACGAAGCATCGGCCCAAAGAAAACCTGGAGCTCATCCTGACGCAGTCGGTGGAGAGTAAGGCCCGGGCCGAGGCGCTTCCTCTCAGGCTGGTCCGGTTTGGCATCAGCTTTTTCTAGCCCGTCCCCCTCAACTATTTGCCTTGCTTTTTCTTTGTGGAAACAATCCAACTCTATATGTGAGAAGAGGAAGCCATAAAAACTATTGTGATTGTGACACTGGCCTCCAGCATTGAAAATTAAAACATAAAGGCAGCAACATCATTAACAGTGTGTGGGGAGAGGAGCCTGACAATTTGTGCCACAGATACTGAAATCCTCCATGGGACGACAACTCCCTCTATACAGGGGATATTAAATTTATACATCAAGTTCTAAAGAAACTAATTAGCAGTCTCTTAAATCTTGTTCCTAGTGAATATGAATTAGCATTTCTTTTAGGAAAAATAAGCACTGTGAGAAACTAAGAGGTGCTTCTCTTTTTGACATCTTTTCTTTAGGGACTCCTAGATGGTTCTAATTCCCCTGTCTCTGTTCTAATTGACAGATGTTGGAGTCCGGGGTGACCTGGTCTCAGTGAAGAAATCTTTAGGCCGGAATCGACTCCTTCCTCAGGGACTGGCTGTATATGCATCCCCTGAAAACAAGAAGCTGTTTGAAGAGGAGAAATTGGTGAGCTCAAAGGAAGGACAGAGAGACTTGGGGAGATAAAACTTCTTTTCTCTTGCAGCTTCCTTCCCTTTGACATTTAACTTAACTTGAAAATGAAATAGGAACTAGAAGAACAGGAATGCAGAAGCCCAGCCAATGTCCAACATAGGAATAGTTTGATGCTATTTAACATGGGCTCATTTTTCTTTTACTGCTTTTCATCTTTAACTTTCTTTTCTAGCTGAGACAAGAAGGAAAATTAGAGAAGATCCAGACCAAGGCAGGTGAGGCGGTGAGTAGAAACATAAAAAGTGTTTATTTGTCACAAGACTTACCAACCTCACCCTGAGAGTCTCCCTGATTCCCTTGAGGTCTCCTGATTGCAGACCCAAGAGTGGGAGAAAGGGGAAGTGTTGTGGCTGCCCCACAAAACAGGTATGGAGACCTCTTGGGAGATCCCTGATGTGTTGGGTGAAGTGCCTTAAAGTACCAAGGGAGGTCCCAATCTGGGAATCAGGGAACCCATGGAATAGTCTGAGATGAGGGCTCTGCCTTCAAGGATATTTACGTACAAGTTGGAGAGAACATGGACACATGAGAAGATAATCAGTACAGGCACCCGCCACCATGCCCGGCTAACTGTTGTATTTTTGGTAGAGACAGGGTTTCGCCATGTTGGCCAGGCTGGTTTCAAACTCCTGGGCTGAAGTGACCCACTTTGGGAGACCCACCTTGGCCTCCCAAAGTGCTGGGATTACAGGCATGAGCCATCTTGCTTGGCTTGCATACCCTGTGACCCTGACATGTTTCCTCTCCTTTGACTCAAACTCATAATTCCTTTCAGACAGTGAAATTTCTAAAAAGCTGTCGCCTGGAGGTAGGGATGAAGAACAATGTCAAATGGGAGCTGAACCCTGAAATAGTTGCCCGCCACTTCTTTAAGAATGTGAGTGAGTGTTCCCAAAAACCACTCTACCCCTGAGGTGGAAGCTGCCTCTGGAAAGGAGGCCTGGGATTGATCCCTTTGTTAGGAAGGGGTGTGATCATCCAGTTGTAGTTAAGGAAAGTATTCTTGGTTAGTTTGCAGGAATATGGGAAGGAAATGGCTAAGGACTAAGGATGGTCACATAGAATTTGAAGACTGATAGGAAAAGGTGGTGGTTTCCATTTATTTCCTGTCTACCTAGGGAAATGCTGGGGATTTGTGACTCACTGGAGAATTGTTACTTTTGTGGATGAAGTGGTTTTGGCCTCAAGCCCTGTTTCTCTTTGTGAATCTACCTCCCTTTCTGAGAAATCAGAATTGAATTTCTCTACTACCGTCTATGAAGGTGTATGCCCTTCTCTCCCATGGAATCAGCCAGAGTAGACACCCCAGTTTTATTCATCCCTGTGCAGGGAATCCTGTAACCCTCTTTATGAGGTTCCCTAGAGTGGCAGTCATGAAAACAGAGTTCATTTGAGCTGAGATTTTTTTTTTTTTTTTTTTTTTTGCAGCTTGGTGTTGTGGTTGCCCCACATACATTAAAGTTACCAGAAGAGCCTATCACACGGTGGGGCGAGTATTGGTGTGAGGTGACGGTGAGTGTTTTGCATACTTTCTTTTTTCTTTTCTTTCTCCTTTTCCCCCACTTTTTCCTTTTTTTCCTTTCTCTTAAAGACAGGGTTTTGTTTCATTGCCCAGGCTGGATTCAAACTCCTGGGTTCAAGCGATCCTCCCACCTCAGCCTCCCAAGTAGCTAGGACTACAGGCGTTAGCCACCGCACCTAGCACCTACCTCTCCCTTTTTTCTAATTTTTTTTTTTTTTTTTTTTTTTTTGAGCTGGAGTCTCACTCTGTTGCCCAGACTGGAGTGCAGTGGCACGATCTCAGCTCACTGCAACCTCCACCTCCCAGGTTCAAGCGATCCTTCTGCCTCAGTCCCCCTAGTAGCTGGGATTACAGGCACACGCCACCGTGCCTGGCTAATTTTTGTATTTTAGTAGAGACAGGGTTTCCCCATGTTGGCCAGGCTGGTCTCAAACTCCTGACCTCAGGTGATCCACCTGCCTCAGCCTCCCAAAGTGCTGGGATTACAGGCATAAGCCACTGTGCCCAGCCCTAGCTCTCCTTTTTCTGACTGGGAGAAAAGTCAGGGTGAAAAGCTGGGATTAGGTGGTGCTAAATCTTACTTACCTGACTGATCTCTGAGAATTCCCATTGTTTTGTGTGCAGGTAAATGGGCTTGATACTGTGAGAGTGCCTATGTCTGTCGTGAACTTTGAGAAGCCCAAGACCAAAAGATATAAGTACTGGTTAGCCCAGCAAGCTGCCAAGGCTATGGCCCCCACCAGCCCCCAGATCTAAATCTACTCTCCCTCCAAGGCAGCAAAGCAGAATCGGGAGCAGTGGAGCAGAAATGTGCAAGCACCCTGATCTCACTCCCAGCTCTGACCAAATACAGAATTTTAGAGAACATCTGAAGACATCAGACTGCACTGCGTATACATGTTGAATTCTTCATTTTTGCCATCTTTAACTGTCATCACTGGGGCAGGGAAGTCCTGTTCCAGAAGTACCAGGCTGTAGATTTGATAAGCTAGATGCAGTAGACCGAAACCATCCAAAACCTGTTTAGCTTCTTCCTCCATTGGAGTTTATTGGGACAAACAGGAGAGCCAGCCATTGTCTCCAGTACTTGCCTCATTCTCATCATCCAAACTGAACATTTGTATCCCAAGCAGAAATAAAGAGAATATGTTCTTTTTAAGTAAGTGTTGCTTACTGGTCTTGAGTAGATGAGACAGGACATCCAACTGAGATTTCCTTGAGTCACAGAGGTTTGCTGCTAAAAAGGAAAGAAGAGAATATCTTAGACTGCATCCCACAGTTACTGTGGTATGAACAAATTGTGCTGAACAAGTTGATGATGTGTTTGGTCTTAACACTTACTCTTCTTAGATACATTGATGTAGTCATCAATGTGAATAAGCACAATGGATTCTGCTTCTCTAAGACCTGAGTAAGGCCTAAGGGTAATTGTTGGAAAGCTGGGATGAAAGAAGCTTAAAAAGGGAACTTTTTTCCTTGAACCAGCTCCTGAAATTCTGAAAAAGAAGTTACCTTAATTTTCTAGACCAAGATTAAGATAGGGAGCTAGTCAAAAGGTAACTCTGGAATGGATGAATGGATGTCTTGATGGGAGATAAACGAAAGTAGATAGTTTTTTCCTTTTTCTTTTTCTTTTTTTTTTTTTTTTTTGAGACAGAGTCTTGCTCTGTCACCCAGGCTGGAGTGCAGTGGCATAATCTCAGCTCACTGCACCTCCGCCTCCCTGGTTCAAGTGATTCTCCTGCCTCAGCCTCCCGAGTAGCTGGGACTACAGGCATGTGCCACAGCACCCGGCTAATTTTTTATATTTTTAGTAGAGATGGGGTTTCACCATATTGACCAGGATGGTCTCAAACTCCTGACCTCATGATCCACCCTCCTCGGCCTCCCAAAGTGCTGGGATTACAGGCAGGCATGAGCCACCATGCCTGGCCTGAAAGTAGATAGTTTTCTGTAAGTTCAGAGTTTCATTAGTAGAAAAAAACATTCATTTTCAGGTGGATTGTGCCAAGGTCACTCAAATACAATGTGAGGTCATGCAGTTTAGGGTAGTAAAGATGGGATCATTGACTCCTTTGCTATCCATACCAGACATTGGTTTCTTTCCTATTTGAGCTCACCTACCACTCTGAGTCAGTTAAACACTTTCATCCCATCTCAGCTAATGAGAAAGTCTGTCATCAGTAGTTGCACTGATAACTATAGCCAACTTCATACTTGACAGAGCTCTGTAACTCAAGTGTGGCACTGGCACTATCTGAAATTTAGCATTTCTCCCCTCCCCACCCTTTTCTTTTCTTTTTTTTTTTTTTTTTTGAATGGGAAAATAACATTATTTCACATTAGGGAGTAGGCAGGCATCCAGACTCAGAACTGGAATTGCTTCTTGGTGGCATTGGGGACCATGAGCATGTTGAAGTGTACCATCTTGCTCATGCTGGTGCTTACCCAACCATGATGATGTTGCTGATCTGGACATCCCTGATGCAAGGGGATGGGTGCATGAACATGTTCTTGTGCTTCTTGAAGCAACTGTACTTACACATGTAGTGGAAATAGTCTTGGTGGATGATGTTGATCTTTTGCATCTTTTATCTTGGTCACCATGCCAGACAGGATCCACCCTCAGATGGAGATGTTACCAATAAAGGGCAATCAGTGTAAATATAGGTGCCCTCATAGCCTATTTGGGCATATTGAAGCCCAAACTGATTTTTTTTTTTTTTTTTTTTTTTTTTGAGATGGAGTTTCGCTCTTGTTGCCCAGGCTGGAGTGCAATGGCACGATCTTGGCTCACTGTAATCTCTACCTCCCGGGTTCAAGCGATTCTCCTGCCTCAGCCTCCCAAATAGCTGGGATTACAGGAGCCCACCACCACGCCCGGCTAATTTTTTGTGTATTTTTAGTAGAGACGGGGTCTCACCATGTTGGCCAGGCTGGTGTTGAACTCCTGACCTCAGGTGATCCACCCGCCTCGGCCTTCCAAAGTGCTAGGATTACAGGCATGAGCCACTGCACCCAGCCCCAGACTGATCTTATGGTCCTATAGGAACTTCTCATTGCCAGTATCTCCCAGCAGGACCCTCTTGTTTTGAAAGATGGTTGACTGCTTTTGGTAGGTACACTCAGTCTTGGATTTAACAGAACTTCCTGAAAGGTTTGAGCCTCCATTAACTTGCAGAGACCCCAGTATTTAGGAAGCGCTAATCTAGATTGAAGTAGATGCATACACTTCTGTACCCCAGTTAATCCCTAGTGAGTTGGGGACACCCAGAATTAACCCCCAAACTGAAGCACAGAGTTCTGCCATCCTGGACACGCTCCTGAGGTTTGGGGAGGACCTGCAGCCTCGGCATGAGCCCCAAGCCCACTGAAATTTGCCATTTCAATGATCCCCATTCCTATTGTCCTTGAAATGGTAGGCTAATTAAACACACACAGCATCTCTCAACATGACCATCACGAAACTCTCTGAAATTGAGCAACGAGCACACATTTCACACAGCTAACCTTAAAAAGCATTTAAATACCTGCCATAGGTTGAGTTCTTGGCAAAAACACTCTGTGTTGGAGATTCACATGCAGGAAGTTTATTGGGAGGAGTTATCTGCATCAACACCTATTGGGGAGTAAAGGCAGTAGAATTGGGTAGAGGGAGAAATTGAGCTGATGCAGTCTTAACAAACGCCTCAGTCAATCAGGAGCTCAAACTAGGATGGCTCTGCAGGATGCCCCAGTAGGGTAAGTGGGCTGGACCTTATCTCCCCACTTGACCAGGAAAGGGGTATGATCATGAGTGAGGTGGCTAACTTCAGCCAAAGGCGGTCCCTGGATGAGGCACAGGTGACAGCTGTCAGCATTCTTAGCAGCTTCAGTCCTCAAGGGGAAAATATGGGCAGCACACCACAGTCAACACTGCAGTCCACCCTTTGCACTGCTCAGACTGATTTGTTTCATTAGTTCTGGAATGGTTTCTTCAGGATTCTGATGGATCTCTTTCTGGGGAAACTTAAAAGAGGAAGGTCTGGAACAGGCCACAGCCTCTGCTGCTGTAGCTTGAGTTTGCAACTGGCATTCACCTCCCTTCTCTACTACCTATTGTTGATCTTTCCCCAACCCCCTTGAGGGGGTTGTACCTCTGGTTCACGTGGGTTACCAGATGAGGTACCTGGCCATCATGCCCTTCTCAGACTATGACTGCACTTGTTCATTTATCATCAAAATTGGGCAAGGAGAAACATACTCAAGTGGATGATCTGGGTGCCAGATATATTCTTCCCTGTCCCCACTGTGTAATAGCAGCCCCACCTCCTGATAATGACTCATTTCCTTGCCTTGTTTCTTGGTAGTGATTTGGAGTAATCTAGTGCCTGCCATAGCTTAAAGTTTAGTGAGATTCAGTGTGTTCACTGGTGCAAATATTCCCCTTCTGGGAACCAGGACTTCTAAACCCTTAGAGACCAGAGTTGGGATAGAAGGCACAGTTTCTTCAATTGGGTCACTGGGAGTGATGATAATGCGGGCTGCTCCTACACCCACCCTTTGTTCCCCAGAGCCATATATTTTCCTTAAGGATACACTATTCAATGGCTATTGGTCTCAGGTATGTACTGCATCATGAAGGATGATGCCTTCTCCTTACAGGTTATCATCTCCAATCCGGTGCCTTAGCTGTGCTTTTAACAAGCACTCTATCAGGGAGCAGCTTCTGCATAGTACGGTATGTGATTAAAGCCAATCCTACCATCATGTGCCCAGCATTGTACCTCCTTGCTATCAAGTGGGTCTCTTGGTTTGATGCAATGTTACACAAGATTTCAGGCCAATGGATCAAAATTTTGTAAACCTTTGGATGGTGTTGCTGACCGAGGCTGTGCAGGCAGGAAAGGCAAACCAGTACCCATAATATACATCAGTGCCCCTTCAAAATAGAACACTTCCCCTTCCAAGGTAGCAAGGATACAGTGTAATCAACTTACCACCAAGTGGCTAGACGGTTTCCTTGAGGAATGGTGACATCAGGCTAAGTGTTGGTCTCTGTTGCTGGCAAGCTGGACATTCACTGATGCAGTAGTTAGATCAGACTTGATGAGTCCATGACGTTGAACCCTTGCATTTGCTCCACCATGGCTCCTCCGTTCATTGATCACTTTGCCAGCATTGGGGTGCCAGCAACAAAGCCTGGTTAACATTATTTGGCTAAGTCATTCCATCTGCTTGGTTGGTACCTTTTCTGTGGTGGATGTTATCTGATGGGAATTAACCTGCAATACAAAAATCATCACACTGTATACCCATTCTCGGGTATGTTATGTTCCTTTTCCCCACACTTCCTTGTTTTTAATCTTCCAGTTTGCCTTCCAGGCCCATGAGTCTATATATATTCTTACTTCTGGCAGGTACACAGGCCATCTAAGTGGGGCCATAGTGCAGCCACAGTGTATTTCCAGCCTACTTTCACCTAATGAGACAACCAGTACATTAACCAAGCTCAGCCTTTTTCCTCTTCTGTCATCAGGTCATGAGGGATCTCCGATCCATGTGGCTACAGATGTAAACTGAGAAAGCACCACCAGTGCATCAATAGTGGGTGACAGGGCATCTGGGCACCTGCTTATGTAGCTCACTTTTGCCTTCCAGCCCTGCTTGTTCCCAATTCTACATATGCCACTTTCATTTTATGAAGGATGACCGGTCGACCCACCCAGCCTTATGACTTGTGGGTTTGACAGAACCCAGGTTATAATACATCATGACTTAACGTCCCATAGGTAAGCACATTGTCTCAACTAGTACTCGGTAGCATTCCAGGAGCTATCTTTTGAAAGGTATATAATGCTCTGTTTCAGATGGCATGGCATTGCTCCAGCACTATAGGGGGCTGTGTGTGACTTACTATTGGGATTTATCACGAACAGTATATGATCTTTTCTCACCACTGACACCTCTAATATAATATGGTGTCTTGTGATCCAAGCCGCAGGGCCATTTGTACCACAGTCTTGGCCTGCTACAGAGCTTTTACCTGCTCTGGGACCCACTCAAAGTTGGCAGGCTTTTGTGTCACGTATGATATTTGTGTCAAAGCAACATTTCCAAGTATGGAATATGCTAGCAATAGACCCCAAGACATTTGCAAGGCATTGTGCTTTTTAGTGGTGAGAAATACGAGATGCAAAATTTCTCCTTATCATCTTTGGAGGGAATGTCCTGGTATGCTTCAGACCACTGGACTTTTAAAAACTTCACTGATCTGGCAAGATCCTGAATATTTGTAGGATTCTTGCCCTACTATTTGAAGAAGATTTATCCTACCAAGGCCTCTGATACAGGTATCATTTCAGGTTCATCCTGTACAATTACCATGATGTCATCAGTGCAGTAATGGGATGTCCTATGGAATGTCCTAATGGTCCAGGTCCCTTCAGACTATATTATGACAGAGGCAGGAGAGTTTACATGGTCCAGAGGCAAAACTGGAAATGTATATTATTGCTCATCTCAGTGAAAGCAAGCTTTTATGATCTTCCTTTCTACAAGGATGAAAAAGGGTGCATTGTCCAGATCAATACATACCATGTAGGCTGCGTTAATCTTTTCCAGCAAAGATATCACATTTGGAACAGCAGATAGAATTAGCATTATTTGTTGATTGAGATTGCAGTAATCCATACTCATTCTCCAAGATCTGTCTGGTTTTAGCAGTTGCCAGACTAGTGAATTAAATGGCAATATGATGGGCACCACCACCTCTGCATTCTTTAGGTCTTCAAGCAGGGCACTAATGGAGTAATTTTTATTTATTATATTGGTCTGGAATGGTGGAGGCAGTTCCAGACACTTCATGTTGGCCTTCCTCACTATGATATTTCCTACCTCACAAACCAAAAAACCAACCTGGTGGTTCTGCCAACTGTCAAATATGTCTATTCCAACTGTCCATTAAGGACTCATGAAGTAACTACTAGGTGAGTCTGTAAACCTGGTAGACCTACTGAGAGTCAGAGCTGGAGCTGGAATACAATTATTACCTAGCCTCCACACCCTGCAACTCTAACAGAGGTCCATAATGGAGCTTCCAATCCTAGGGTGTCAATGTCAATGGACTCTATCCAACAGTGCTTTAAATGTTTGCATAGTCCTCTTTCTCTCCTGTGTCTTATGAAAATAAAAGGTCATAAGTCCCTGTGGGTTAGGATTGGGAAAATTACTACCTTATATACTTGTCATGGTGTCTCAGGGTCCTTTCTGCTAGAGACGTAGCCTCTTTAACAAGTTGTTTCCAGCTGAAAAATTGGCCCAAGAAGACTTCCACTTCTCCCAAGAAGGAAGTACAGCTACAGAAATTGCCTTCCCACTATACAACTATGAAACCAGATAAAATTATGAAAGAAATATTTATAGACAATGGAAAGCCAGTAGTGCAGAATTGCCTCAGCTTACTGCCTAGAGGCAGTTTCCTGCACTGCAGAGAGGGGAGCCGCAATAGAGTCAGCAGTCTCATTGAGTGGAGAAAACAGAGATTAGGGTTGGTGGAGAATGTGTTGGCTAGAAATTAAGAGGGAAGGCTGGGCATTGTGGCTCACGTCTGTAATCCCAGCACTTTGGGAGGCCAAGGCAGGCAGATCACCTGAGGAAGAGAGTTCGAGACTGGCCTGACCAACATGGAGAAACCCCATCTCTACTAAAAATACAAAATTAGCTGGGTATGGTGGCGCATGCCTGTAATCTCAGCTACTTGGGAGGTAGAGGCAGGAGAATTGCTTGAACCCAGGAGGCAGAGGTTGCGGTCACCCGAGATTGAGCCATTGCACTCCAGCCTGGGCAACAAGAGCGAAACTCCATCTCAAAAAAAAAAAAAAAAAGAAAAGAAAAAGAAAAAGAAAAAGGAAAGGAAAGGAAAAAAGGGAAAACACTGGAGATGAGGGAATGACACCGAGCGCTTTGGAGATCTGCCAAGAGGTCCCAGACCTTAAAACTTTGGCTGAATACTGATATGTACATTAATGAGGCAAAATTCCACAAGGCAGGGGGTTAAAATCAACAACAACAACAACAGAAAATGAAAGGCCAAACAATTCTCAGAACTTACACAGGATTGGGAATATTTTGTTTGTGTTCCTCACAGCCTATATGAATAGATCCTATAATACATGGGGCATTATATAGAGACTTTAAAAGGACTCAGTAGTGGACACTAGAATAAAGGCTACTCTGGAGCCACCATGCAAAGCTTGAAAACAAGCACTGATGATCGAACTGATACCAAGCATGCCAGAACCAAGTCCAACACTCATTAGAGAAATGCAACAAAACCTATCACTGAACAAAATAAAATTCCCAAGGTTTGACATTCAATTTAATATTATTGTACTGGATGTGGTGGCATGTACCTGTAGTCCCAGCTACTCAGGAGGCTGAGGCAGGAGGATCACTTGAGGCCAGGAGATTGAGGCTGTAATACAGTATGATCACACCCAAGAAGAGCCACTGCACTTTAGCCTGGGCAACACAGTAAGACCCCATCTCTTTAAAAAATGATTATAAAAAGAGATAAGAAAACATTACCCAGAACCAAAAGAAACAGTCCCAGAAATGTCAGAAATGGTGGGATTAGTAGACAGGACATTAAAAGAGATATAAATATGTGGTGTTGTTTTTTTTTTTGGAGATGGAGTTTCGCTCTTGTTGCCCAGGCTGGAGTGCAATGGCGTGATCTCAGCTCACTGCAACCTCCACCTCCCCGGTTCAAGTGATTCTCCTGCCTTAGTCTCCCCAGTGGCTGGGATTACAGGCACCCGCCACCATGCCCAGCTAATTTTTTTTAGTAGAGATGGGGTTTCACCATATTGTCCAGGCTGGTCTCTAACTCCTGACCTCAGATGATCCTCCCACCTCAGCCTCCCAAAGTGCTGGGATTACAGGTGTGAGCCACCGCACCTGGCCTGCATGTTCTTAAGAATTAAATAAAGGAAATGAAAGTAGACCCTTATTTCATACCATATATAAATATCAACTCAAAATGGGGAAAAGACGTATATATAAGACCGGAAACAGTAAAACTACCAGAAGAAAACACAGGGGGAAAGCTCCATGACATTGGTCTGAAAAATGGTTTTTTAGATATGAGCCCAAGAGCACAGGCAACAAAATCAAAAGTAGACAAACAGAATTGCATCAAAATAAAAAGCCTCTGCACAGCAAAGCAAAAAATCAACAGAGTAAAGAGACAACCTACCCAGTGGGAGAAAATATCTACAAACCATACATCTGACAAGGGGTTAATATCCAAAATATATAAGGAACTCTAACAACTCAATAGCAAGAAAGCAAACGACCTGATTTTAAAAATGGGCAACGGGCCAGGTGCAGTGGCTCATGCCTGTAATCCCAGCACTTTGGGAGGCCGAGGCAGGTGGATCACTTGAAGTCAGGAGTTTGAGACCAGCCTGGCCAACATGGTGAAACCCCGTCTCTACTAAAAATACAAAAATTAGCCGGGCGTGGTGGTGCGTGCCTGTAATCCCAGCTACTGGGGAGGCTGAGGCAGGAGAATCACTTGAACCTGGGAGGCAGAGGTTGCGGTGAGCTGAGATCGTGCCATTGCACTCCAGCCTGGGCAACAAGAGCAAAACTCCATCTCTAAAAAAAAAAAAGAGAAAATAGATTTTATGTGCTCTTACCACACACAAAAAATGATAAGTACAAGAGGTAATACATACGTTAATTAGCTAGGTTTAGCCATTCCACAATGTATGCATATATCAAAACATCATGTTGTACCCTATAAATATATGCAAGTTTTATTTGTCAATTAAAAAAAATAAAAACAGACCAAGTCAGGAGAAAAAGTTAAAAAAAGGAGTTTGTACTATTAACTTCACCAAGGCGTCAGAGGAGACATAGTATTTTAGTTCTGAACTTAAAAATATGTGAAACTAGGGGTTATAGAAATAAATATTTAGCCATTTTCCTAGTTGTCTTTTTGTAAAGGTTAACAGTTTCATACTGAATTAAATTTAAAATGAACATATTTAATCTATTTGTTAAATAATGTAAAGAAAAACAAAAATATAATGAGGAGAGAAATGGAAGGTATTTTTAAAAGACCAAAATGGAACTTCTTGAGATGAAAAATATAATATCTGAAATGGAAAATACACTGGATGGAACTTCTGCCTCTGGGAGGTTGGGGTAATGTACTTTGACCACTCCTAGAACAACCATAAACCCTGGAAATTATTTATTAAACGTAAGAAGACTTTGAAAGGTGGAGAAAAGAAAGCAGACTGGATAGAAACCTCAAGACCCAAGAAACACCACAGTGGTGAGTTCTCCGAGTTTTCCTTTTGCTTCATTTATTCCACACTTGGAGCTGAAGAAACCAGCAACCAGGAAATGTCAATGGGCACAGACCAAAAAGAAAAAGAAAAGCTCCAACAAAAGCCTGTTTCTGCTAGCCAAAGGCAAGGGGCAGTCTGCAAGACAGGAACTTTTAGCCATGCTACAGGGTGCCTAGATTAAACTTTATTCTGGGTGGTCTGTGAGGTGTTTCTGGATGAGATTAGCTTTTGAATCCATGGACTCAGTAAAGCAGATTACTCTCCCCGGTGTGAGTGGACATCATCCAATCTGTTGAGGGCCTGAATAGAACAGAAAGGCAAAGGGAGGACAAATGTCCCTGTTTTGCTTCCTACCTGCCTACTTGAGCTGGGACATCAATCTTCTCTTGCTCTTGGACTGGAATTTATACCACTGGCTCCCTTGGTTCTCAGGCTTTCAGACTCAGACTGGCATTACACCACGGACTTTCCTGGGGCTCTAGTTTGCAGATGGCAGATCATTGGGTTTCTCAGCCTCCATAATCACATGAGCCAATTTATACATATATTCCATTGGTTCTATTTCTCTGGAGAACTCTATTACCGTGGCCCTACCCCAACCCATGCCAAAACTAAGTGGGAAACCTAGACTTCCACTCTCTCAAGATTGTAACAGGCCACCCCAATACCCTTACTAGAGTGGTGTCACACAAGGCCAAGTAGGGAACTGGGACTTTTGTCCCAGCCAGCCAGTAATGAGCCCTCCTCTCTGTGTGCATGATGGCAATAAAGACCGTGGTGTCAGTGGGGAACCTGGATATCCATCTGGCAGAAATGAGGTACCCCTCTGCTTTTCTGCTCAGTTGGTATCAGAGGAGGCCTAGTAGAGAGTCAGGACTTTAACCATCACCCAGAGGTAATGAGGCCACCTCTACCACAGTATCAGTAGACACCATGTGGGGCTGGAACAAGCAGCCCTATCCAGCAGTAAGGAGGAGACCTGTCCCGCTTGAGTGTCAACAGAGGTACAGTGGGAAATCTGAACTTCTACCTTCACCTGGCAGCAATGAAATGACACCCCCTCTCATGCCAATGCAGTGACAGACAAAGTTAGTTAAAACAAAAGTTTTAAATTAAGATCCAAAGTCTTATAACATAATACAAAAATGTCCAGATCTCAAACTGAATGAAAAAAGACAATAGAGGTCAACACTGAGATGGCAGCTATATTAGAATATCTGACAAAGATTTTAAAGCAGCTATGATAGAAATGCTTCAAGAAGCAGTTATGAACACACTTGAAAAAAGTGAAAAACTATACAACTTCAGCAAAGAAATAGAAAGTATAAGGAAGAACCAAATAGAAATTTTAAAACTATAAAATACAATAAACAAATAGAAAAGCTCAGTGGATAGGCTCAATGCCAGAATAAAGAGAAGAAAGGGAAGAATCAGCATACCATAAGGTAGAACAATAGAAACTACTCAGTCTGAACAACGGAGAAAATAGAGTGAGAAAATGAATAGAGCCCCAGGGACCTGAGAGATGGTAACAAGAGATCTAACATTCCTGTCACTGGAGTCCCAGAAGAAGAAAAAAAGAAGGCAGGGCTGAAAAAGTACACCAAGAAATAATGACTGAGAACTTCCCAAGTTTGTCAAGAGACAAAACATAGTGATTCATAAACATAGTGATTCAAAAAGATGAGGAAGGCCGGGTACAGTGGTTCACGCCTGTAATCTCAGCACTTTGGGAGACAGAGGAAGGCAGACTGCTTGAGGCCAGGAGTTCAAGACCAGACCGGGAAATATGGTAAAACCCCATCTCTAAAAAAAACCAAACCAAAAAAACAAAAACAAAAACAACAAAAAAAAACCACACACACAAAATATTAGCCAGGTATGTTGGCATGCACCTGTGGTCCCAGCTGTGAGAGGATCACTCAAGCCCAGGAGGTCAAGGCTGCAGTGAGCTGTAATCACACCACTGCACTCCAGCCTGGGCAACAGAGTGAGTCTCTGTCTCAAAAAAGAAAAAAAAAGAAAAAATGCTGAGGAAACCTCAACCAAGATAAACCCAAATAATCTGTGCCAAGACACGTTAAAATTAAACTTCTGAAATCAGACAAAGAAAAAAAACTCTTGAAAATGTCACTATAAGGAAACAAACAATTCAGTGACAATGGATTTCTCATCAGAAATCATGGAGGCCAGAAGGAATTGGTACAATATTTTTCAAGGGCTGAAGGAAAATAGCAGTCAACTCAGAATTCTATACCCAGAAAGAAATAGAATTCTATACACAGAAAGAAAAATCCTCCAGGAATGAAGAGGAAACTAAGACATTATCAGAAGTTTTCTTAGGAAAGCAAAAAGAGTTTGTCACCAGTAGACCTACTCTAAAAGTGGCTAAAAGAGATTCTCTAAATGGAAAGGAAACAATGAAAAAAGAAATCTTGGAACATTAGGAAGAAAAGACACAGTTAGCAAAAAATATCGGAAAATCAATAGACATTTCTTCTATTGAATTTTCTAAACTATGTTTGACAGTTGAAGCAAAAATAACAACACTTTCTGATTTTATTCTAAAGGTATGTAGAGGGAATGTTTTTAGAAATTATAAATTAGAGAGGGAAAAGGGACAAAGAGAGGGTTTCCATACTTCACTCATACTGGTAAAATAATGACAGCATAGGCTATAATAAGTTATGTGTATATATAATATAATACCTGGAACAACCAATAAGAAAGCTATACGAATATACTCAAAAACACTGTAGAAAGTGCTCACTTCAGCAATACATACATTAAAATTGGAATGATACAGAGATTAGCATGGCCTTTGTGTAAGGATAACATGCAAATTTGTGAAGCACTCCATATATTTTTTAAATGCCATAGATAAATCAAAATAGAATTCTAAAAAATGTTCAAGTAATCTTTAGGAGGTAGGCAAAAGAAAACAAAGAAACAAAAATTGGGAAAAAAAAAAACAAAACAAAAAATGGCAGACTTAAGCCCTAACATACCAATAACCACATAAAGATTAGTAGAATGAATTAAAAAGCATGACCCAAACTATGTACTATCTACAGGAAACTTACTTTAAATATAATGATATGGGCAGGCTGAAAGTAAAAGGATGGGGAAAGTTATATCATGCAGACATTAACCAAATTAGCTGGGCTTGGTGGCAGGCACCTGTAACCCAAGCTACTCAGGAGGCTGAGGCAGGAGAATCACTTAAACCTTGGAAGCGGAGATTGCAGTGACCCGAGATTGTGCCACTGGACTTCACTCTGGGTGACAGAGCGAGACCCTGTCAAAAAAAAAAAAAAAAGCCACAAGTGGTGGCTCACACCTGTAATCCCAGCACTTTGGGAGGCCAATGCAGGCAGATCACTTGAGGTTAGGAGTTCGAGACCAGCCTGGCCAACGTGGTGAAACCTCATCTGCACTAAAAAATACAAAAATTAGCTAGACATGGTGGTGGGCGACTGTAATCCCAGCTACTCAGGAGATCAAAGCACAAGAATCACTTGAACCCGGGAGGTGGAGGTTGCAGTGAGCCGAGATGGTACCACTGCACTCCAGCCTGGGTGATGGAGTGAGACTCTGTCTCAAAAAAAGACAAACATTAACCAAAGGAAAGCAAAAGCGGCTATACTAATAACAGGTAAAGTAAACTTCAAAGCAAAGAAAATTATCAGAGACAAAAAGGATCATCATATAATGATAAAAAGGGTCAATCCATCAGTAAGACATAACGATCCTGAATGCATATGCACCAAACAAAGGAGCTGAAAAATGTGTGAGGCAAAAACGAATGGAACTCAAAACAGACACAGACAAATCCACAATTATATTTGGAGACATCAACACCCCTCTATCAAAAATGGATAGAACAACTAGACAGAAAATCAGCAGGTATATGGAAGAACTCAACAATATCATCAAACCAACAAGACCTAATTGACATTATATAGAACACTACACCCAACAACAGCAGAGTACACATTATTTAATGCTCTCACAGATCATATACCAAGGTGGACCATATCCTAGACCATGTAACAAATCTCAACAAATTAAAAAGGATTACACTATACAATATGTTCTCTGACAACTATGGAATCAAATTAATAATAGAAAGATAGGAGGGGCCAGGAGCAGTGGCTCACGCCTGTAATCCCAGGACTTCAGGAGGCCAAGGCGGGCAGATCACCTGAGGCCAGAAGTTCAAGCCAGCCTGGCCAACATGGTGAAACCCCATCTCTAATAAAATACAAAAATTAGCCAGGTGTGGTGGTGGGCACCTGTAATCCCAGCTACTCGGGAGGCTGAAGCAGGAATTGCTTGAACCCAGGAGGCGGAGGTTGCAGTGAGGCAAGATCACACCATTGCACTCCAGCCTAGGTGACAAGAGTGAGTAAAACTCCGTCTCAAAAATAAAGAAGATAGGAGGAAAATTTTCAAATACTTATAAGTCAAACAACACACTTTGTAAAAACCCATGGGTCAAAGAGGGAGTTTCAAGGAAATTTTTAAAAAATACCTTGAATGCCCTGAGTGCAAAGGCACAAGCCTGAAGTCTCAGCTTCTCAGGTGGCTGAGGCAAGAGGATTGCATAAACCCAGGAATTCTACTGGATGATTTAAGAAAAAAAAAAAAAAAGAGTTTTGAAATACATTGAACTGAATAAAAATGAAAACACAACCTATCAAAATTTCTGTCACACAGCTAAAGCAGTGCTGAGGGAAAAATATGGCATTAAATGTATACATTAGGAAAATAAAAAACTCCAACATCAATAATCTAAATTCTCACCTCAAGAACTTAGAAAAAGAAGAGCAAACTAAACCCAAACCAAGCATGAGCAAGGAATAATGAAGATACCAAAAAGAACAGGAAATCAATGAGATTTATTTTTTAAAAATCAATGAACAAAATCAATAAAACAAGTAACTGTTTCTTTGGAAAAAAATTATTAAAATTGGCAGGCCACTAGCAAAACTGATGAAAAACAAAAAGATACAAATTACCAATATCAGGAATGAAACAACATATCACTACAAACATCAAAAGGATAAGGGAATACCATGGATCTATACACGTAAATTGACAGCTTAGACAAAATGGACCAAATCAAAAAACACAAATACCACAATGAACACAATATAAAATATATAATTTAAATAGCTCTGTAACTATTAAGGAAATTAAATTCATAATGTAAAACTTCTCCCACTCCCTAGGAAAGGAAATCTCCAGGCCCAGATAGTTTCACTAGAGAATTCTACCAAATGTCTAAAGAAGAATTAACACCAATTCTACGTAATAGAAATAGAGGAGGAAAGAACACTTCCTACTTCATTTTATGAAGCCAGTATTACCCTGAGGGGGAAAAAGACAAAACAGTATAAAATAAGTACAAACCAATATCTCTCATGAGTATAGATGCAAAAAGCATTAACAAAGTATCAGTAAATAGATCTCAGTAATGTATAAAAAGCATTACACACCATACCCATCTCATTCCAAAGATGCAAGGCTGGTTCAATATTAAAAAATCAATCAATGTAATCCATCCTATTAAAACTCTAAAGAAGAAAATCACAAAATAAAATCAAGTAATGCAGAAGACTCATTTGACAAAATAACACTCATTTGTGATTTAAAGAAAAAAACAACTCTCAGAAAAATAAGAATACAGAGAAACTTCCTTAACTTGACAGAGTACCTGTAAAAAGCTTACAGTTAACATTACACTTAATGGTGAAAGTCTGAATGTTTTTATATTCAACATAGTGCTGAGGTAGTACAAAGGTACTACCTCAATTCAATGAAAAGGTACTACCTCAATTCAATTTAAAAAAATCAATTCGCTGGAGGAAAGCTAGCCTTTTCAACAAATGATGTTGGAGCAACTGGACAGCCATAGGCAAAAAATGAAACTCGATCTAAGTCTAATACCTTCTATAAAAATTAGCTCAAAATGGCAAAAGACTTAAATGTAACTTGTAAAACTATAAAACTTATTTTTAAAACAGAAGAACACTTTCAAATTCTAGGATTAGACAAAGAGTTCTTAGACATGATACCAAAAGCACAATCCATGAAAAAAAAATTGAGATTTTGGACCTCTCAAAATTAAAAACTTTTGCCCTTGGAAAGCCCATGTGAAGAGGGTGAAAAGACAAGGTACTGGGAGAAAATATTTGCAAATTACATATCTAACAAAGGACCAGTATCTTCAGTATATTAAAAAAAAAAAAAAACCTCAAACTCAACAGTAAAAACAAAACAAAACAAAAAAACTGCCTGTAATTCCAGTAAAAAAAAAAAAAAAAACCCTCAAACTCAACAGTAAAAACAAAACAAAACAAAAAAACTGCCTGTAATTCCAGCACTTTGGGAGGCCAAGGTAGGAGGATCACTTGAAGCCAGGAGTTGGAGAACAGCCTGGATAACATAAGGAGACCCCATCTCTACCAAACATTTAAAAATTAGCCAGGTGTGGCCGTGCACACCTGTAGACCCAGCTACATAGGAGACTGAGACAAGAGGATCACTTGAGC
Source organism: Homo sapiens (assembly GCF_000001405.40). Taxonomy (NCBI): domain Eukaryota; kingdom Metazoa; phylum Chordata; class Mammalia; order Primates; family Hominidae; genus Homo; species Homo sapiens. The sequence continues at coordinate 151,743,905 of NC_000001.11, read as the reverse complement.
CCAGGAGTTCCACGTTATAGTGAGCTATGATCGTGCCACTGTACTCCAGCCTGTGCAACAGAGTGAACCCCTATCAAAAAAACAAAACAAACAAACAAAAAACCCCACAAACAATCCACTTAGAAAATGGGCAAAAAACATGAATATACATTTCACCCAAAAGAATATTCAAGCATATGAAAAGATGTTCAACATGATTAGCTATCAGAGAAATGTAAATTAAAACTACAATGTGTTACTACACACCTATCAGAATGGCTGAAATAAAAAATAGCAACAGCACCAAATCCTGCTAAAAATGCAGATAAACTGGTCATACATTGCTGGTAGGAATGCAGAATGAGGTAGGAACTTTGAAAAAGAGTTTGGCAGTTCCTTACAAAGTTAAAACATGCACTTACCATTTAACACAGCAATCCTATTCCCAGATATTTACCAAAGAGAAATGAAAAGTTACTAATGATATGTGAAAGTTCATTGGAGTTTTATTCATGATAGTCCCCAAATGAAAACAATCCAAACATCCATCAACTGCTGCAAAAACAGTGGAATACTACCCAACAAGAGAGAGGAACAAATGATATGTACAACAGTGATAAACCTAAAAGTATAATGAAAGAAGTTGAACACAAAAGACTACATGCTATATGATTCCATTTATGTGAAATTCTTTAAAAAGCAAGACTATAGTGGCAATTTATCAGTGGTTGCTAGGGGCCAGAGCTGAGGATGGGAATTGACTGCAGAGGGTAATGAGCAGCGGTGTCCTGGGAAATGTTTAACAACTGGCTCTTGGTGGAGAGGGAGCCTGGTTTGTAGCATTTGCTGATTTCCATGGTGTAAATACCCCTCCATTGCCAATTTCAAATTACCGATGTGACATGACCGAACATTTAGTAGAGAAGAAAGGCTAGTTAACAGCTGAATCTCCCAAGGTGGCATAAGTGGGATCCAGCGCACCACTGTCCACAAGGAAATTTGGGGGCATGATGGAAATGTTGCATATCTTGTGTTAATGGCTGAACAACTGTACATATCTGTAAAACTCATTAAAGTATATATTTAAAATGGGTGAATTTTAATGTAGGTAAATTGTACCTCAGTAAAGATGAATTTTTTTTTAAGCTGAGCGGGTGCAGAAACAGTAAGGAATTGTAACTTTTTATCAGGGTGGCTGCCCTCCACCTCCTAATCATCCATCCTTAATTTCTTTTTGTTGTTGTTGTTGTTGTTTGTTTTTTAATGCATTGAACAACGTATTTGTTGAGTGCCATCTATCTTGTCCCCAGGAACCCATGCTCTATTAATGATCGCCAAATTTCTCTGCTGGTCAGACCCTGGCTACCTCTCCAACCTTTCTGCTCAGCACAATAATTCTGCTACTTTGACTCTGGCATCCTATTGTCCCTCTGCTACTAGTAAGCCCAGCTCTGTGACCGTATACCCTATGTCAGCCCTGGCCTACAGAGAACAGCCAACCCTGAGCTTCTCTTACCAGCACATTCTTCATCACTTCAAGAAATTGAGTATTCTTTCCACGCCCAGCCTCGCATGCCCACTCTTTTGAGCCTTTTAAAGAAAGTGAATATTCTTTGGGATGTCTGATGAAACATAAGCATTTGGTGAGTTTTCTGACTTTACATATTAATTCTAGCATACCCACTCTTTCTTTTTTAAATAGAGATGGGGTCTTATTATGTTGCCCAGGCTGTGCTTGAACTCCTGGGCTCAAGCAGTCCTCCTACCTCAGCCTCCCAAAGTGCTGGGATTACAGGCATGAGCCACCACACCCGGCCTAGCAGGCCCACTCTTTTGAGCCATTTAACACCTCTTCCACTATATGCCACAGCACTCCTCACACGCCTACTTCACTTAATGTGGGCCATGACTTTCTCCAAGCTTCCCAGAGCCATCCCACTGTAACCAAAACAGGTTCAGTTGCTTGCTGCTTACAGAGTCCAATTAACAAAAGCAAGGTCTGGTATAAAGAAAGCGACTTTTTATTCCAAAGCTAGCTTAGGGGAAGAAGGTATAGCCTCCGGCTTTTAGGGTACCACTTCACTCTTGGAGCAGAAAACAGGTGCTTTTAAAAGGGGACCTGGCATGCTGACATGAATGGCATGCAGGGGAAGAAGCAGGCAGCTGGGGTGCCTGCATACTCGCTTTGGTGCCTTGTCTACTGGGTGGCCGAGCTGGTGACTACTGGCACCTTCATGGGCAGGACTAGGTTGCCAAAGCAGCCAAAAACTCTCCAGGTGAGAGAGTCTCATAGCAGGCATACATTGGCTTGTAGATGGACTTGTAGGTTGTCTCTTCAGGTAACCTCCTGCTTGGGTGAGAGTTCTGCTCTGGGACTTCTAAACACACAGTTAGATGAACTTGCCCTGTAGGGAGTGTCTGGTGAAGAGGAGGTAAAAGGCTATAACTGCATTTCTAAATGCAGTTATAGGGGAAAAGCAGAAAAGAGAAAAAGAGAGAAAAAAATAAACTATCTCTTGGAAAATGGGGTACTCAGTTACACTATCAGAATGTTAGCAACATCTCTTAGGGTCTTTGTCAGAGTACTAAATCCCATATCCTAAGAATGGGCTCCCATAGGCCAGGCGCAGTGGCTCATGCCTGTAATCCCAGCACTTTGGGAGGCTGAGGCGGGGCGGATCGCAAGGTCAGGAGTTTGAGACCAGCCTGGCCAACACGGTGAAACCCCATCTTTACTAAAAATACAAAAATTAGCCGGGCATGATGGCAGGCATGTGCCTGTAATCCCAGCTACTCAGGAGGTTGAAGCAGGAGAATCGCTTGAAACCGGAAGGTGGAGTTTTCAGTGAGCTGAGATCACACCACTGCACTCCAGCCTGGGCAACAAGAGTGACACTCTGTCTTAAAAAAAAAAAAAAGAATGGGCTCCCATATCCATACACTCTCCCTTATCAAACTTTATGTCCCACCCTCCTTGATCCAACACCCTCAGAATCCAGTCCCATACATCTCCAACCTGTATTTGCTAGTTAGGTCCTCTTGAACCTCCAGGGCATGGTGCATTTTTTCTCTTAGGGGAATCTTAGCTGAGTTCTAAAAGTACTTAATCCTAGTTATTGGTTTGCAGATCAGGAGAGGAGGTGGGGTAGGTTTTGAAGGGAACCTGTGTGGTCTTGCAAGCCAGAGGCTTCTCTATCATCCTTAAGCAAGGAAGTAGTGATAGCCTTTACCAGGAACAAGTGGGCACTTTTGCAGGCCCAAAAGATGGAGAATTTAAAAATTCAAGATTTTTTAAAGCATTAACCCAGCTGCCCCCACTCCTATGTCTCAGGGTCTCACTCCTTCTTGCCAGTGTTAAGAATTCAACCTTCTTTGGAGCCCTGCTACTGTTACAATTAAATATTGGACCTTATTCTCAATTTTGGGGGGCCTCTAGATACAAAAGATAAAAAATGTCTTTTAAATTGCTAAGGAGGGCCTTGGGCTTTCACTCTTAGCCTTTATTTGGTGATCAATCACCCTCAACCTTTCATTGCCTTTGTCCAATGCATTGATTGCCTCCAGCTAGCCATCCAATTCCATTGTCTTTATAAAACCTGATATATTTATCAGACCTGATATATTTCCCCCACTAAGCATTGCTTTCCCCCAGGATCCCATCCCAGTTCAGCACTAGTGAAAGCTTTGACAGTTGCACTGATACCTTGCTGGGGAATCTCCATGCTCCACCTACTGCCAGTGGCCCTCCCTGCCAGCGGCCAACAGGTATTTCCAGTTTAGAATCTCATTTTAGAATCTGCTTCCTCAGCACTCTTGGCACTGACTGTCAGGCTGGGTTCCTCGGGAAATATACTCTCAGATGGAGATTTGAGTAAAAGCAGTTCATTGAGTCGTGCTCTCAGGATCAACAACACTGGGAGAAAGTGAAGGCCTTAGAACTGGACAGCAGGAACTCAGGAACTGTTGTGGCCCTGCAGAGTTGTCCCCCACTGAGACAAGGAAATCAGAATCATGCAGGGGAATATACTTCCACATTGACCAGTAGATGCAGACTGTCTTAGGAGGGGGCATAATCTTGAATGAATTTTCACTTAAGGGTAACTCCTGGAGGAAGCCCAGCTGGGAACTGTCAGTCACCCAAATTCTTGGAAATGCTGGTGCAACCAGGAACTGTCAGTCACCCAAAATTCCCAGAAGTGCTGGGGGGAGGACAAGGATGAGTGCTTCAGTCCTGATGGGGGTGGGTATCTGGGTGGCACAACAGTATCCACTATAGTACCTTTTTTTCTTTTCTTTTTCTTTCTTTTTTTTTTTTTTTTGAGACAGAGTTTCACTCTTGTTGCCCAGGCTGGGCTGCTATGGTGCAATCTTGGCTCACTGCAACCTCCACCTCCTGGGTTCAAGCGATTCTCCTGCCTCAGCCCCCTGAGTAGCTGGGATTACAGGCATGCACCACCACAGCCGGCTAATTTTTTGTATTTTTAATAGAGACGGGGTTTCACCATGTTGGTCAGGCTGGTCTCAAACTCCCAACCTCAGGTGATCCACCCATCTTGGCCTCCCAAAGTGCTGGGATTATAGACATGAGCCACCGTGCCTGGCCTATAGTACCTTTAAATATGAGAATTGAGATATATTTTTTGATACTTCTCACCTAGATAAGTATTTTTTAGATATTTCTTACAGCTCTAAACGGCTACTCTTTCTTCCTAGTTGGTTTGGTTGTGGAATTTCACAAGGTTACATTACCATGTTACTTTGCCATTGAAGGGGCATCGCAGAGGAAAAGAAATCATACAGTGTTGTATTTCAAAGCCAAACAGACATTGTGTTTGGATTTTATTCAAGATTAGTCCTGGCTAGGTGTGGTGGCTCACGCCTGTAATCCCAGCACTTTGGGAGGCTGAGGCAGGTGGATCACGAGGTCAGGAGATCGAGGCCATCCTGGCCAACATGGTTAAACCCCGTCTCTACTACAAATAAAAAAATCAGCTGGGCATGGTGGTGTGTGCCTGTAATCCCAGCTACTCAGGAGGCTGAGGCAGGAGAATCGCTTGAAACAGGGAGTCGGAGGTTGCAGTGAGCTGAGATCACACCACTGCACTCCAGCCTGGCAACAGAGTGAGATTCCATCTCAAAAAAAAAAAAAAAAAAATTGGCCTAACGCAGCTATAGCTATTGTATTAGTCTGTTCTCACATTGCTATAAAGAAATACCTGAGACTGGGCAATTTATAAAGAAAACAGATTTAATTGGCTCACAGTTCCACAGGCTGTACAGGAAGCATGGCAGTATGTGCTTCCAGGGGGGGCCACAGGAAGCTTCTAATCATGGCAGAAGGCAAAGTTGGGGAGAGCATCTTACATGGCAGAAACAGGATCAAGGGTGGGGAGAGGTGCTACACACTTTTAAACAACCAGCTCTCACAAGAACTCACTATCACAAGAAAGGCACCAAGGGGATGGTGCTAAACCATTCATGAGAAACCCTCCCCCGTGATCCAATTACCTCCCACCTGGCCCACCTCCAACACTGGGGATTACAATTTAACATGATATTTGAGTGGGGACACAGATCCAAAAATATCATTCCACCCCTGGACCCTTCCCAATTTCATGTCCTTCTCATGTTGCAAAATACAATCATGCCTTCCCAACAGTCCCTCAAAGTCTTAACTCCTTTCAGCATTAGTCAAAAGTCCAAAGTCTATCTGAGACAAAGCTAGTCCCTTCGACCTATGAGCGTGTAAAATCAAAAACAGATTGGTTACTTCCAAGATACAATGAAAGTACAGGCATTTGGTAAATATTCCTGTTTGAAAAGGGAGAAATTGGTCAAAAGAAAGGGGCTGCAGGCCCCACACAAGTCTGAAACCGGGCAGGGCAGTTATTCAATCTTAAAACTCCAAAATCATCTCCTTTGACTCCATGTCTCACATTCAGGGCACACTGATGCAAGAAGTGGGCTCCCAAAGCCTTGAGCAGCTCTGCCCCTAAGGCTTTGCAGGGTTCAGCCCCTATAGTTGCTCTCATGGGCTGGCATTGAGTGACTGGAACTTTTTGAGGTTGAGGGTGCAAGCTGTCAGTGGCTCAAACATTTCAGGGTCTGGAAGGTGGTAGCCCTCTTCTTATAGCTCCACTAGGCAGTGCCCCAGTGGGGACTGTGTCAGGGAGCTCCAACTCCACATTTCCTCTCTGCACTGCCCTACTAGAGGTTCTCTGTGAGGGCTCCACCCTTACCAGCAGGGTTCTGCCTGGACATCCAGACTTTTCCATACATCCTCTGAAATCTAGGCAGAGGTTCTCAAGTCTCAGCTCTTGCACTCTGTGCACCCACAGGCTTAACACTACATGAAAGCCACCAAAGCCTAGGGTTTGCATCCTCTGAAGCAGTGGCCCAAGCAGTACCTTGGCCCCTTTGAGCCATGGCTGAAACTGGAGTAGCTAGGACATGAGGAGTAGTGTCCCAAGGCTACGCAGGGCAGCAGGACCCTGGGCCTGGCCCCTGAAACCATTCTTCTCTCCTAGGGCTCCGGGTGTATGATGGGAGGGACTGCATGTGGAGGTCTCTGAAATGCCTTCAAGGCATTTTCCCGATTGTCTTGGATATTAGCACTTGGTTCCTTTTTACTTATGCAAATTTCTGTGGCCTGCTTGGAATTTCTCCCCTGAAAATGGGCTTTTCTATTCTACCACATGGCTGGGCTGCAAATTTTTCAAAAACTTTTATGCTCTACTTCCCCTTTAAATGTAAGTTCCAGTTTTACATCATTTCTTTGCTCATGCATATGAGATAGGTTGTTAGAAACAGCCAGTCCATATCTTGAATGCTTTGTGGCTTAGAAATTTCTTCCACCAGATACCCTAAATCATCACTCTCAAGTTCAAAGTTCCACAGATCCCTTAGGGCAGGGGCACAATGCCACCAGATTGTTCACTAATATATAACAAAGGTGACCTTGCTCTAGTTCCCAATCAGTTCCTCATCTCCTTCTGAGACTTCATCAGCCTAGACTTTTTATCCATATCACTATCAGCATTTTTGTCACAACAATTTAACAAGTCTCTAGGAAGTTCCAAACTTTCCTTCATCTTCCTGGCTTCTTCTGAGCCCTCCACACCACACTCTTCCAACCTCTGCCAGTTACCCAATTCCAAAGCTGCTTCCACATCTTCAGGTATCTTTATAGCAATGCCCTACTCCTCAGAACCAATTTTATGTACTAGTCTGTTCTCACATTGCTATAAAGAAATACCTGAAGGCCAGGTGTGGTGGCTTATGCCTGCAATCCCAGCACTTTGGAAGGCCAAGGTGGGTGGATCACAAGGTCAGGAGTTTGAGACCAGCCTGACCAACATGGTGAAACCCTGTCTCTACTAAAAATACAAAAAATTAGCCAGGTGTGGTGGCATACACCTGTAATCCCAGCTACTCAGGAGGCTGAGGCAGGAGAATCACTTGAACCTGGGAGGCAGAGGTTGCAGTGAGCCAAGATTGTGCCACTGCACTCCAGCCTGGGCAACAGAGCAAGGCTCCATCTCAAAAAAAAAAAAACACAAAAAACCTACCTGTGAGCAGGTAATTTATAAAGAAAAATTGGCTCATGGTTCCATAGGCTGTACAGGAAGCATGGCAGCATCTGCTTCTGAATCATGGCAGAAGCAAAGATGGAATGAGTATCTTACATGGCAGGACCAGGACCAATAGAGAGTAGGAAGGTGCTACACACTTTTAAACAACCAGATCTCATGAGAACTCACTATCATGAGAACAGCACCAAGGGGATGGTGCTAAACCATTCATGAGAAACCACTCCCTAATCCAATCACCTCCCACCGGGCCCCACCTCCAACATTGGGAATTACAATTTGACCTGAGATTTGGGTGGGGACACAGATCCAAAACATATTAACTATTGAATACATGTAATCAAGAATACACTGTACATCTTACATTTTACTTTTGAAACTGTACTGTAATTATCTATGTATCTATGTATCTGTCTTCACTCACTAGACCATGAGTTCCTTGAGGAGTGTGTCTTATTCCCAAAACTTTGCATCTTGAGTACATAATACGCCCTAATATTTGTTGAATGAGTGAATAAGTGAATGAATAAATGAATGAATAATCAATTTGCAAGGTTTCTCTTCAGATACTTTAAAGAAGTAAACATTGAATGGGTATGGTGGCTCATGCCTGTAATCCAAGTACTTTGGGAGGCCAAGGTGGGCAGATCACTTGAGATCACAAGTCTGAGACAAGCCTGGCCAACATGGTGAAACCCCATCTCTACTAAAAATACAAAAATTAGCTGGGCATGGTGGCACATGCCTGTAATCCTACCTGCTTGGGAGGCTGAGGCATGAGAATCACTTGAATGCAGGAGGCAGAGGTTGCAGTGGGCTGAGATATCACCACTGTACTCCAGCCTATGGACTCCATCTCAAAAAAAAAAAGAAAGAAGTAAACGTCTAAGGTACTCATTGAAGCAGCACTGCCCAGGGCTAAGGCCCTGGTCTTTGTAACATCTAAAGAACTTTCTATTACAGGAATCTGTGTGTTTGTTACTATTTTCCCACTCCCAGCCCAGCCTTGTTTCCTCTTCTCTCCCTCCTGCTGACATTCCACTCAGGCCTTGAGCAGGCATTCTCCAAACAGCATGTCAACTCTGCAGACATGCCCAGGAGAGGGCAGCAGAGACCAGTCCAGCTAGACTGAGAGTGGCCTGCTTTCCAGACATTGCCCTTCCTTCCCACCCCGTGGACACAGCAAGGCAACCACACACTGAGGCAATCCTTACTGCAAGCCTAGGGAGAGCTACTGCTCCAATTTTGAAGATCAGGAACCTGACACAGAGGGGTTGCTGAAGGTCACTAGGTGGCAAAGCATGCCTGCCTGTAGCCAGCTTATTAGCTCGTGTATTTGCTCTCTGGATATCAGATCCAATCTGAGCAGCAATTCCAAGACACTCCTAACTTTACCTTAAAAGTAAAATATATCAGAAGAGATGAAAGCGTCCAATTACTGGATGCTCAAGCATCTCCCATTACAAGAAACCACCCTTGACCCTGCTTCCCCCTCCAACGACTGCCCTTTCTCCATTTCCTCTCCCATCCATGCTCCTAGAAAGCTGTCTTCAAGGGCAGTGTATATCTACTTCCATGTCTTCATCTCCCAATTGCCACCAAGTTGACCGCAATCTGACTTCTGCCTACCCCACTGAAGCTATTCATGTTCACATCACCATGACCCAACTGCAAACTCAGTGGAAAACTTTTGGCCAAAATTCATCTCCCCATTTCCCCTGCCCCTACCTGCTTCCCCTCTGTATTAGTGAATGATTCCAGCATTCCTCTTCTTTCCCATGCAAGAAACCTGGAAGTCATTCTAGAATCTACAACTTCTGTAATAACTCCACCCCATTCAAATTACAGGTCCTGCCAATTCCCCTTCCTAAATATGTCTAGAATTCACCTCCTGTTTTCATGCCACTGCATATATCAAGGCCTCATCCTGCAGTTCAGTCTTCCAACATCCCATCGATTTATCATTCAGCAAATGCGTATTGAGCAGCTGCACGAGGTCAGGAGATCGAGACCAGCCTGACCAACTTGGTAAAAATACAAAAATTAGCTGGGTGTGGTGGCACACACCTGTAATCTCAGCTACTCAGGAGGCTGAGGCAGGAGAATTGCTTGAATCCGGGAGGCGGAGGTTACACTGAGAGTGCAGGAGAGGGCGTACTCTGATTTCAGTTTCTTAAAAGATCATTCTAAAAGATCGCTCTGTCAGCCAGGCTGGAGTGCAGTGGCTCAATCTCAGCTCACTGCAACCTCTGCCTTCTGAGTTCAAGCAATTCTCCTGCCTCAGCATCCCAAGTAGCTGGGATTACAAGTGTGTGCCACCATGCCCGGCTAATTTTTTTTGTATTTTTAGTAGAGATGAGGTTTCACCATGTTGGCCAGGCTGGTCTCAAACTCCTGACCTCAAGTAGTCCACTGCCTTGGCTTCCCAAAGTGTTGGGATTACAGGTTTGAGCCACTGCACCCAGCCTACAAAATTTTTTTTTAAAATCAGTGGTGGCATATACCTGTAGTCCTAGTACTAGGGAGGCTGAAGTAAGAGGACTGTTTGAGCCCAAAAGTTTGAAGTTACAGTGAAGTACGCTGTACTCCAACCTGAGTGACAGAACAAGACTGTCTCAAAAATAAATAAATAAAACTTTAAAAAAAGAATTATCCTAGCTGTTACATGGAAGATGGATCAGAAAGTGCAGGTGGGGCAGATGCTGATTTGGGGCTGACCCAGCAGTTTCCCTCCTGTTCCTGGTCTCTGTTGAGGATGGGCCGCAAGACCCTGGTCTGGCCAGTGAGGGAGAGGTGGGAGACCTTCGGAGAAAGTTTGTCTTTGCTGATAAAAAGGGACACAGTCAGCTGGCGCAGCTCTCTGCCCTTCTCCCTGCCTGAAATGTAAAGAGGACACCTGAGAGTGCAGGAGGCCTCACAGCCATGACGGGACAGGCTAAGGCTGGCAGAGTGAGGACAGAAAAAACCTGGTCTGGGTACTTGTCAACATCATTGACCCTTTGACTCTTGCCTACTGCTGAACTTGTTAGGTGAGAAAAATGACCCCGTATTTGTTTAAGTCACTATAAATTTGGTTTTCTGTTACCTACAGCTAAATACATTCTCAACTGAAATAGTGGACAGAGAGTCAGCAAAGAGACCAGGGTAAGAAGCAACTGAAGTGGTGCAGGTGAGAGAAAATGACAGCTTGGACAATTATAAACAAACAAAAAAAAACAAAAACACAGAATCTCACTGTTGCCCAGGCTGGAGTACAGTGGCGTGATCTCGGCTCACTGCAGCCTTGACCTCCCAGGCTCAAGCGATCTTCCCATCTCAGCTTCCTGAGTGGCTGAGAACACAGGTGTGCGTCACCACACCCAGCTAATTTTAGTGGGGTTTTTTGGTAGAGTCAGGGTTTCGCCACATTGGCCAGGCTGGTCTCGAACTCCTGACCTCAAGTCCACCTCAGCCTCCCAAAGTGCTTAGGATTACAGGCGTGAGCCACCATGCCTGACCAGCTTGGACAATTATGATCGTCTCCCTACAGGTCTTCCCATTTCTAGACTTAGTTTCCCCTAATTTGTCTTCCACGCTATTATACTTTCTCAGTGCAAATCTCTTTATAAATTCCCCTCGGCTTACAATTCTTTGCTGGCTCTCCATTGCCTACATGATGAAAACCTAACCTCCTTTGCCTAGTACACAGCACCCTTTGATTTGTCCTACCTTCTCTTCTGACTTTTCCTCTCACCACCCCTACCCTTGTACTTCATACATCACCAGGGGGCACGCCACTAGCAAACACCTCCCATGCACCAGGTACTGTCCATTCTTTATCTCTAATCCAAACGACCTGGAAAGGTGGGTATTGTAGGTCTTATAGATGAGAAACCCAGTGCTCAAGGAAGTGAAGTGATTTGGACAAGGCCAGACATCTAGTAAGTGGTGGATCAGGATGTAAACTCTGGTTTGATTTTGAAACAAAAGAGATTCACTATTCTCATTTGCCAAGAAGTCTGAAGGTAGGTGGGTGATTTCTGGGCTGTTTAAGTGATCAGAAATGCCATCAGGACCCCAGGGTCTCCCCGTCTTCCCTTTCTGCTGTTTTAGAGGTCTGGCTTTCACCCTCACACTGATTACCTCATGGTCTTAAGATGGCTGCTCAGGCTGAGTGTGGTGGCTCACGCCTGTAATCTCAGCATTTTGGGAGGCCAAGGTGGGCGGATCACATGAGGCCAAGAGTTTGAGACCAGCCTGACCAACATGGTGAAACCCTGTCTCTACTAAAAATACAAAAATTAGCTGGGCATGGTGGCACATGCCGGTAATCCTACTGCTCAGGAGGCTGAGGCAGGAGAATCGCTTGAACCTGGGAGGCAGAGGTTGCACTGAGCCAAGATCGCGCCCCTGCACTCTAGCCTGGGCGACAGAGTGACACTCTGTCTCACGAAAAAAAAAAAAATGGCTGTACAGCTCGAGACATCACATTCAGGTCCAAATCAGAAAGGGAAGGGCTATTCCAACCTAATCTGTTGTCCCCAACTCCGGTTTTTCATTAAGAAAAGCAAAGGTTTTTGTAGAACCCCCAGCACACTTTTACCTCTAGCTTATGAACAAATGGCTACCCCAAGCTGCAAGGAAGCCTGGGAAGTCAGGGAATGCCATTGTTACGGTTGGCCCAGGTCAAATTCCATCCACTACCTGGGGCTGAATCCACTGCTGCCCTCAACAAACCTGGAGTTCCGTTAGCAAGAAAGAAAAGGATAAGGGCGAGCAGGTGACAAACAGGACCTGCCAGCACCATCCTGCTCAGCAGAGTGGAAGCACCAAGGTGCTCTTGACTACCCTCTTCCCAGGTCTACCTGGCAAACTCTTTTTTTTTTTTTGAGACGGAGTCTCGCTCTGTCACCCAGGCTGGAGTGAAGTGGCGCGATCTCGGCTCACTGCAACTGCCGCCTCCCGGGTTCAAGTGATTCTTCTGCCTCAGCCTCCTGAGTATCTGGACTACAGGCGCGCGCTACCTCGCCTGGCTAATTTTTGTATTTTTAGTAGAGACGGGGTGTCACCATATTGGCCAGGCTGGTCTCAAATTCCTGACCGCTTCGGCTTCCCAAAGTGCTGGGATTACAGGTATGAGCCACCGGGCCTGGCCAGCAAACCCTTTCTAATCCATCACATGCCAGTTCTCGTGGGATTGACCTCACCCTCCCAGGCAAACCTGGTGCTTTTTCTTCTACCTCCCCTTATATTATGTACCTACTTCCATCAGAGGTATGTAATTGCCAATATAGCAATTGATGTAATGCGACTGCTCATTCAATTATGCAGGCATCATTTTCTCTGCAAATGCTTGCTGATTTCCTGCTATTTGCCAAAGACTGCTAGGAGTCAGGAATTCAGTAGTGAACCAGTTAGATTTTTAGGTTTGCTCCCTGCCCTCATGGTGCTTTCAGTCAAATAGGTGAGATATTCAGACAGAAAATAAGCCCATCTCCTCAGACTATAAATAACTCTATGGCGGGACTGTCTTTATGTCTTGCCCCCAGGACATAAAACAGCATCTCACACAAAGCAGATGCCCTATGAACATGTGCTAAATTCATTCTTTACTCAGGAAGGCATTGAAATGTACCTTAAGTGTAAATATTTTAAAAGAAATGCATTTCTTATTTCTGCCAGGAAACCACCCCAAGAATGAACCACTATACTCTCCCAGTATTAAATCATGTGCTACAGCATCTTGGAGAACACTTTGCTCTCTCCCCACATTGTTCCAGGTCTCTTTCCCCAGGAAAGGTTCTCGCATTGTCTAATCTAACACTCCACATCAGAGATCCTTAGTAGGTGTGTGTTTTTTGCTGAAGGGTTCGTCTGGATTTTCTAAAGAAGGGTATCTTATTGTCAGTGCCATAGCTCCCGAAGTGTGACTCTGAAGGCACTAAAAATAACTCCTCAGGTTCCTATTCCATAGCTTATTATGTGTAGTTTTAATAGTTCTTTAAACACCCTGTTTTGTTGCCCTTTCTGCTACTGCAAGTGATGGCAGCTAGGAACAAGGCCGACAGAGACAAGGGAAATAAAAATAATACAACCCCTGCTTTGGTCTGGGCTTCTGTTGCTACGGTGATGTTGACAAATAACGCACAGGTGAGAGGTTCTTTCTACAGTGGAGCCAGTGCATCGTGCAGGCCAGAGGGGTAGGACATAACCATGAAAGACCCCCCGCAAGCTCCTAGGCCTGAAAAGGACTTACTGAGGCCATCTGGTCCACTCCCATACCTCTTACCTGAAATCAAGTGGATGGGCAGCAAGTTCCCAAAAATCCTCAAGAACAAAGCCCACAACTCCCAAATCCCTTGTTGGGCACATATTTCACAATATCCATGACCCTGAATGGGTTTTCTGTGGCTAATCTCACATTCTCTTGATGTCCTTCCAGCCCGATTCCTCTTACAATTGCTTCTATGGAAATCAAAGTTAATCATCACCTTACACTCTGTACAGTAACCCAGGAAGTAAGATAAACAAGAAAACAAAACCACAGCTGAAGCATGGACTTGCTTGTTTCTGTGCCCCCGTGATCAGCTGTGTTCTTCCCAGGGGGTGGGCACGACAGCCCACTGACCCAGCAAGAGGCCCCTGGCCGCCCTGAAAGCAGAAACAGGCCGGCTGCCTCACACGTCAAAGTGGGGCACAGCAGCCCTCCCCTGAAGGATGGCTTCCTCCTCTTGAGTGAAATAAAGCAGAGAGAGCAGGAAGGTCCGTGTTTAATGAATATCTTTAAAAGCTTTTGCGACAGTAGACAGAGCCCAAGGCAGCTTGGAAACCCACACTGATGGCAGTAGGGCTCTCATGCCTCCAGATGACCCTGCAAAACAGAAATGGTTCCACCAAATTAGGAGTGTGACCTTTTCCCACCTCACATTTTTTTTTTAAATCCCAGCTTTCAATATCATTTCAGGAATCATTCTGCCTGAAAAACGTGTGGTGGCCTTAATGGCACAGCCTGGCTTGAAGATGAGGCAGGAGTGGGAAAGTGCCCAATCCAAGAAGCAAGGAGGGAAACTGCTCACACCCCTTCCAGAAGCAATGGAACCGTCTCCCCTCTCACCACCAAGGTCACACAGGAAAGGCCACCAGCAGGAACATCATATTGATGCTAATGGCCCCCTCCCCATTTCCCTGTTGCCATCTTTACCCCTGAACTACTGTACTTCCACTTCCATTCCCTTAATCCATTCCACTACATTAAGAAGCTTCCTGCTACTGACATGACAGATCAACCCTGGGCCTCTCTTCACAGTCCCTAATTCCCCAAAACAGTAGAGGAAAAACTAAACATTTACATTAAACTTCTCTTTAAATTCTCCACTTGATTTCTTTCACACCCTGGACCAATAAACCAGAGCTTATTTTCACAAGAGTAAAGAAGCCTCTGTCTGTAAGTGAGGTTAACACCCACCCCGAGGCTGGATTCCGTCTGGTCTCTCCCAACAGCTGAGCATCATGATTTTGCTAATTAAGCCGCTTTCTTGTCTTTAATTAGCTGCATGTGAATCTTGTTGGGAAGTCTTGGATCCGTGAAGTAGTCTGGGATAAAAATCAAAAAGAAGACATCATCTATACCCAAAGGGAAAAGATTTACCCATGGAAGGAGACAGCTTACTCCACCAAAAAGTTAGGATGGCTTGGTACGCAGGACTGCTACTACTGGTGGCCCTGCTTTACAATGTAATATGGTAAAATGAACGGTCACTGCCCCCACCCGAGCAGTTCTGATTCTGCCAGCTCCAACATTCCCAGGAAGGGCTCCCAGAGGCTGGCTGCCTCCCCTCCACGCTGTGCCTGGCCCCACCCCCCACCCCCCACCCCCCACCTACCCCGAGTCGCACCGTTTGCTCCTCCGCCTGCTGACGCACAGAGAGCCATCAGAGGGCTCAGGGATTCTCTGGGTTTTCTGCTCCAGGCCCATCTTGGGGCCCAAATAAATGCCAAGTATTATTCTTGTCTCAGCTCCGCTTGCCAGCTCCTGTCTCTGAGCTATCACGCCTTCTCTGAGAATACCCTCTCAGAGGAGAGCCAGGCTCTCGCAGGATGACGCCAGATGAGGGTTTTTATACACCCAGCATACTGTGAATCAGAGGCAGCATCTGCTGCGCTAGCAAAGGCGTATTGAGATTCTGTTAGCAATGGTTTGAGGTCTGGGATGTAACCAATTCTCAGGACTAACAGGAACCAAGAAATCGTCCAATCCATCCCTTTCCCTCTAAATACCGTTGACCTTAAGGCAGCCAGTCCATTAGAATCACCTGGGGAGTCTTTAAAGCTATGTATGCTGGGCCCCACCCCAGACTAATTAAATAAAACTCTCTGGTGGTGGGGACTGAGCATCAGTAGTTCTAAAAGCTCCCCAGGTGATTCTGATGTACAGCTAGGGTTGAGAACCCTGCTTTAAGATTCCCAAGGGAAAAACTGCCGCTATGTTCCTTTGGGAATCTCAAAATTCTTAACAATCCTCACCATGAGGAAGTTCTGCCTCATTTCTTGTCTGTCCTCATTTTGAGGAAATGATGATGGAGGAAAGAAAAAGCTGAAAAAAGCTCCCTTTGGGGACATCAGGTGAAGGAGTACCCCAGACTCTGGGAGAATCCTGGGCTCATTCAAGTCTAAACTCACAATCATGCTCCCTGCGCTGGCTTTGTCAGATACCCAAAACCGACGCTGCCTTACTCACCTGCAGCAAATTCTAGGATGTTGTCTGGTCTTTTCAAAAATATTTCTCTGGAAAACATTAAGGGATAGGATGGGAGGTAAAGTAGACTTTAACGCAGGCTGTGGCTACTGTTTCAGGTCCTGTACTTTCACAGATGAACCTGAGACACAACCATCTTGGGAGTCAATAAATCCGCAGACTCCTGACAAAGACCCTTTCATTCATGATTTTCCTTCAACTCCGTATCTAAGGCAAGGAGTGAAGCATCCTAAATGGCAATACACTAGGATATTGCTTACGTCGAGAAAGAGCTGTGCTGCAGCCAAGTGGGGCTTGTCATTCCGTCAACAATCTTGTTTATGTGTGCATTTATTTATTTATTTGAGACAGCGTCTTGCTCTGTCACCCAGCCTGGAGTACAGTGGCGCGATCAACCTCCCTGGCTCAAGAGATCCTCCCATCTCCAGCCTCTCGACTAGCTGGGACTACAGGCATGTGCGATGGCTAATTTTTTTTTGTAGCGGCAGAGTCTTACTATGTGGCCCAGGCTGGTTTCTAACTCCCAGGCTCAAGCGATCCTCCTACTTCGGCCTCCCAAAGTGCTGGGATTACAGGCGTGAGCCACGGCACCCGGCCTCAACGATCATTTTCACTGAACCAGATCTCAAGCCAGGGGCAAGAGGCAAAGATGAAGAACATGCCGGCCGGCCCACGAATGGTGGGAGATATGCAGCCCCACAATGTCCTGAGTAAGCTTAACCATGAATTCAAGGGGCAGAGGGAGATACAATAAACAGAGCTAAAAGATGGACCGCAGATGGTTATTGGCCCCTCAGTCCAGCAAGGAGACACTGTGGTAACACCTGCAGGGCCAATGCCACTAGAGAGTTGAAAATGCCTTACATTGCATAGAGTTTTATGGTTCATAAAGTATGTTCACAAATATTGTCTCACTTTACAACAACCCTGTGAAACAACCATTATTATGCCCCCATTTTACATCCAAAGAAACCAAGCCTTCAAAAGATTAATGATTTGCCCAAGTTCATAAACTTGGTAAATGAAGTAAAGAGGGCCCAGGTCTTGTGACTCCAAGGTCAGTGCCCTCTATAATATGTTCTCTTGGCCAAGGCCTCCCAACTCCCCAAGAAGCCCCTCCTTCCTAACCTTCAAGAATTTTGCCCCCCTTCTCCTTCAATTCATTTTGATAATTATTGGGCACAAATTATGTGCAAGTAATTGCACTAGATATGAGTGACTGCTTTTTTCAAAATAAAATAAAATATAGCCCTACCTCAAATAATTTACAGGTAAGTAAAAAGGAAGAGGTTAGTTTCCAAATGTCCAAAAGGCCAAGGAACCTCTGACAAGTGCTAAAGAGGAGTATTAAATAGTGCTCTGGGAGATCAGAGTGGGGAGAGAGGTTACTGAGAGGGGGACCCCAACAATCTTCACAGAGCAGCTGGCATTTGAGAGGACCCTTGAAGTACACATGGGATTGTAGTAGGCAGGATGAGGGTTGAGGGACAAAAACATTCCAGATCCAGGGAAACAGCAAGAGCAAAGGCCCAGAAAGAGAAACAGTTTGTGTTCTATAGACTATGACTTCCTTGAGAGTAGGAAGTGGGTTGTAGACACCTTTCTATCTTGAGTCCAAAAGAGCACTCAAGAGGCATCTGTGCCTGAGCTCCATAGGGTCAGCAGAATGAGCAGAAATGTGGTCTGGCTTGAGTGAGGGACGCATGCAGGGAGTAGTGGGAAACAGAAGAGGTTCTATTACGGAGAGCCTTGAATGCTGGGGAGGGACATTTATACTCAATCTGAAAGACAATGGAAATAGACAAAACATGGCATAACACATGCTGGAATATTATACAGCAGTGAGAATGGAGGATCTACAAGATACGACTGAGCAAAAGGAAACAGGCACAAAAGAGCACATAGTGTAAAATTCCATTCATATAAAATACAAAAGCGCACAATAAATCCGTGCTAGTAGAAGTCAGGATACTGGCTACTGTTTTAAGGGGAGTGACTGGGAGGGGCACAAAGGATGTGAGGTGTTGGTAAGGTTCTATTTCTTCATCTGAACAATAGTACCATGTGTATTTTCACCCTCTGACAGTTCATCCAGCTTAGGATATGTCACTTTTCAGTATATTTCAATAGAATTTTTAAAAACAAACCCAAAAAAGCAACGTTGTGGAACTACTGAAGATTTTTCCAGCCAAGGAAGGACATGATTACTGCTGTATTTGTAATCCCAGCACTTTGGGAGGCCGAGGCAGGCAGATCACGAGGACAGGAGTTTGAGACCAGCCTGGCCAACATAGTGAAACCCCATCTCTACTAAAAATACAAAAAATTAGCCGGGCCTGGTGGCAGGCACCTGTAATCCCAGCTACTTGGGAGGTGGAGGCAGGAGAATAGCTTGAACTCAGGAGGTGGAGGCTGCAGTGAGCCGATATTGCGCCACTGCACTCCAGCCCAGATGACAGTGGGAGACTTCGTCTCCAAAAAAAAAAAAAAAAAAAAGGCGAGGTGCGGTGGCTCATGCCTGTAATCCCAGCACTTTGGGAGGCCCAGGCAGGTGGATCATGAGGTCAGGAGATCAAGACCATCCTGGCTAACGCAGTGAAACCCCGTCTCTACTAAAAAAAAAAAAATGCAAAATAATTAGCCGGGCGTGGTGGCGGGTGCCTATAGTCCTAGCTACTCAGGAGGCTGAGGCAGGAGAATGGCGTGAATACGGGAGGCGGAGGTTGCAGTGAGCTGAGATCGCACCACTGCACTCCAGCCTAAGCGACAGAGCGAGACTCCGTCTCAAAAAAAAAAAAAATACTTTCTACAATTTCATACCTGGCTATCTATCATATCTGCAGCACAAAACCTGAGGTTTCTGTGTACCTTAAAATAAGTCAGATTCCTACTCTTTCCATTTTTCAGGTCCAAAA
The DNA here is from genome assembly GCF_000001405.40 of Homo sapiens. NCBI lineage: Eukaryota > Metazoa > Chordata > Mammalia > Primates > Hominidae > Homo > Homo sapiens. The sequence continues at coordinate 151,724,688 of NC_000001.11, read as the reverse complement.
CTCAAGGTGTTAAGAGTTTGGTACGCTGTATTTACCAATATAGGCTGGAGAATTGTGGCTGAATGGCCATAAATCATTAGGATCTAAAAAACCCAAGTGGGGAGTTTGCTTCCCAGAAAGAACCCTTCAGAGCTTCTTTTGGCTTGGAATGTATCAACAGCAGATATCTGCAGAACAGACAAGGACAGGCACGGTGCTCAGGACTCTGCCCTCACTTCTCCCTTCTTCTTTTCTCATAGGAAGGACCATGTGAGGTGGCCAGCAGGGACAGAAGCTGATTCTGGTTCATCCCGGTACCAATCAAAGGGAACAATGACACCAAACAAACAAAAGTAAACCCTAAAACTTCAAACACTAAACCCTCTGCAAGCTCCACCCAGGAAAAGAGGTCAGAAGAATTTCAGGTAGAGTAGCTTTAGGGACAGCAAAAAGAAAAACCTGGTGGCCTACCTGGCCTTGACAGGAACATGGTAAGAAAGGAAAGGAAGTATCTGGGGCTGTTCCCACAGCAGCCAGTCTCAGATACCCAGGCTGCTCCTGGAAACTGTTCCTGGACAAAGAGAGAATCAAGGCCATCTCTGACAGGTGACTGAAACAACTCATTCTTATTCATCAACCCCAAGCATTCTAATCCTGTTGTTTGTGAGCAATGCAAATGTTGATTTAGTTTCAGCTTTTAACTTCTATCCCCAATCTCTCTGCTGGAACTACTACTAACTTGGAGAGCAAGCTCCCCAGGATAGGAACGATATCATCTTATTTCCCTTTAGAAGAAAAGTTGCAAAAGGTGACGGCCTGATCCTCAGGTCTGATATTGACAGAGGATCCCTAAACTCTCTTTTGCCCAAGGCTTATCCCTGGCCAACCTTCATAACTGGATAGGTTTCAGTTTTCTCTGTTTCCTTCCCCTATCTGCCCTCTGAGAATTTGTTGCCACTTGGAGAAACGTCTATAATATGAATAGTGAGTTTTTTTAATTTTTATTTCATGAGATAGAATCTTGCTCTGTCGCCCAGGCTGGAGTGCAGTGGCGCAATCTCGGCTCACTGCAACCTCTGCCTCCCAGGTTTAAGCGATTCTCCTGCCTCAGTCTCCCAGGTAGCTGGGATTACAGGCACGTGCCACCACGCCTGACTAATTTTTGTATTTTTAGTAGAGACAGGGTTTCCTCATGTTGGCCAGGCAGGTCTCGAACTCCTGGCCTCAAGTGATCCACCCCTCTCAGCCTCCCAAAGTGCTGGGATCACAGGCGTGAGCCAACGCATCTGCCTGGCCAACTTTTTTTTGTTTGTTTGCGATGGAGTTTTGCTCTTGTTGCCCAGGCTAGAGTGCAATGGAGCAATCCCAGCTCACTGCAACCTTTGCCTCCTGGGTTCAAGCGATTCTCCTGCCTCAGCCTCTCAAGTAGCTGGGATTACAGGCATGTGCCACCACGCCTGGCTAATTTTGTATTTTTAGTAGAGACGGGGTTTCACCATGTTGGTCAGGCTGGTCTCGAACTCCCGACCTCAGGTGATCCACCCGCCTCGGCCTCCCAAAGTGCTGGGATTACAGGCATGAGCCACCTTGCCTGACCTCGCCAACTTTTGAGAAGACAAGGGAGGGCCCACCTCTGGCTATAAGCACACAGTCCAGAGGGGAAATGGGGACCGACTGCTTACAGCACAATACAGTGGGAAAACCAGGGGTTTGAATCCTGGTTCAGCAACTTTGGGAAGGTACTTCACCTTTCTAAGCTTAAATTTTCTCACTTATAAAATAAAAATGACAATCACCTGTCTTTTGTGGAGGTGCTGGGAGGATCAGCAAAAGTGTTCCAAGATGCCACACACTGCGTGGGCACTGAGAACACAAACACACTCCACAAGCTCGGAGCTTTGGACCAGTAACAGAAGATTGACAGCTCAATTACAATACAGTGTGGTAAGTGCTAATGTAGGGGAACAGCACAATGCCTGGAGATGGGTGCCATTATAATTATTTAAACCTTGTCTATTTGTCTATAACCAAACAGCATTTGAGATAGCTCTATTGTTTTCATCCACTGATGCTCCGTGATTTATTTTTTTAATTCTCCTTCTTCATCCCATTAGGATATGTTTCCATTCAAGCAAATGCCAGGCTGAAAGGAGGGTGGGGGAAGGAAAGAACATATTCCAGGATACGCTGGTAAATTGTCTTCTCTTCCCCAAGAAAAGAGTGGCTTCCAACCCTTGGAATTTTTCTACAGTAATGTTTTCAAGTAGGGAAGGGCCAACCAGACAACTGATTTTTGTTTTAAGTTCAACTAGTGATTTTGTTAAGCTCCTATGGTTGAGAATAGTGTTCTACACCCAGTGGATGGCTGTTGGGTTTCGCAACGCCAAATTCCCTCTTCCAAGTGTCATAAGGTATGTATTTATCCTTATGGTTAAAGTAAATGAATAGACATATTTTTAAGAATTTAGAGATAACTGAAGGAAACCTCTAGAGATAACGAAGAAAACCCTGCGTGCCACAAATCCCAGAGCCTGGAAAACCACCTACCTGAAGAAACCACTTATGAGCCACTCTACTTCTTTGTGGGTCCTTAGGTACTTTTCGTTAGCAATCCGAGTCTGAATCTGGGGGGCAAGAACAAAGGGTCACTTCCATTAGGAGACAGATTCAGGGTTCAGCCCTGGAGATGTGAAGGGCTGCGGGAAACGGCGTGCGCATTTAACCCAAGTCTTTCCCCAGGATGCTTGAAAGTTTAAGCCACCCATCTTCTTACAGATAAAATATCATTCTGCCGCTTGTTCAGGATGAGGGGCCTTTACTAAGGTCGGATGTGTCTGGCAGTAATTTCGGCCCATTTCTCTGGCCGAGTCCCTGAGTTAGTTCTTCCTGCACTCTCAGATGCCCGTCGCGCTCTGTGCTGGGATCAGACGCCTAGAGGTCCGCCGGGGGTCTCCCCTGCGCCCTCCCCACTTTATCAGGGAACAGGCTCCCGCTCCCCTTCTCTCGGCGGCTCTCTTCCCAGTCTGGGGCCCCAGTCCTGGGGCAGCTACACTTTGGTGGACGCTGGATGGGGGCGCGGGCGCACCCACCTTGAATTTTCGCAGCTGCTCCAGCTGCGCTGCGCTAAGCGCCCCGGGGTCGGGCCGCTGCAGCAAGCCTGGCAGCGTCTCCATCTTGCTGCGGTCGTCAAGGCGACCGGCCGCGAGCCGGCGAGGCCCCGCCCCCGGCCCCGCCCTGCCCCCAAGCCCGGCCCCTTCAGCGAAGCAGGGGCTAGGGGCTGAGGGAACTGAGGGGTGAGCTCCGGGGCGGGGGCTTGGGGGGTGGGTCTCTAAAGGATCGCCTTTCCCGGATTGGGGGACTGATTTCTGGACTTAATTGTATGTGGAATGAGCCCTTTTTGACCCCACCCAACTTCAGGGTTTTTTTGTTAGCTCTAGAGTAAAACAGGAAAAAAGGTCTCCCCGAATCTGCTTCCAGACTCCCTCACTTGGACAGAAGCTAGAGGAAGCCTAGTACTGGGGAAAGAGAACCCAAGCTTCTTCCCTTTCCACTGTCCCAGAAGCCAACCCGTCCCTCTGTCCGGTACACATTCGACACTGGAGCCGTGGATTCTTCAAACAACGTGGAAGCACCCCAGAACATAGAGTGAGCTGAGTTCTGCAAAGGAAGGAACGTTCTGTCCGACTAAAGATGCTGGAAAGGACCTGGGGGACATTCTGCCAGAATTTCCCCCTCTTGGACTGACTTTTTTGTGTAGATTAACTTTCTCTTCACCCTGGGCTCCTCATAAATTCTAAATTATTTTATTCCACTCCCAACTGAATACGGGAGGAGAAAGGGAATTTGGTCTTCAAGATTTGTTCTTCTAGTATCTAATTAAGAAGAGAAAGTGAAACATAAAGCCAGAGAGCTGAAAATAGCCACGAGAAAGGGCATGAGCCTGTCTGTCAATACACACATGCCGAGCTCCTACCCCCACAGAGATCGTGCTCAGCAGAGGCCTTCTGAGAAGCAGGAGAAAAAAGGGAGGCTGTCTTTTCAGATTTGTGAACAACTGCCCTAAGGAGCAAGAAAATACCATGAGAAACAAGCTCAGCATTAGGCCCTGGCCGTGGAGGGGTTATCATTGGTCTGCTTCTGTCCTTTCCAGCAAAGACTGAGGAAAAGAAGTGAAAGTGTTGGCAGTTCCCAAGCCAGGGAAAACCACAAGAAGTAAATTAGGTAGTGGGCTACAAGCCACTTCCCAGGAACCCCATCTTGGTTAGTGATCATTTTGGTTGATTGTCTTTTTTTAAGAGAGAGAGTTAATAGAGTGAGAGAGAGATAAGCTGCCATCTGTCAGAAGTGATTTTTTTTTTCCCGGCAGGAGCAAGAGGTTAACCAGAGATAATGGTTCCTCTTGGCCAAGATCTGTCTTTTCTCCCCATACTCCCTCCAGAGAAGCTGGTGGTGGCACCTCCAGAGCTGTGCCAGCCAGTACAGTCACCACAAGCCACCTGTGGCTCTTGAACACTTGAAAAGTGGCTGTAGGTGTTAAATGTGCAGCAAATATAAAATACACACAGGATTTTGAAGGCTTGGTATGAAAAAAATCTCATTAATAACATGTAATTGATTTACATGTTGAAATAGTATTTTGGATATATCAGGTTAAATAACATTTATTATTAAAAGTAATTTCTCTTGTTTCTTTTTGCTTTTATATATGGCTACTAGACATTTTTAAACCATATATGTGGCTTGTATTATATTAGACAATGCCAGAGCCTGGACCAGCAAACCTACACACTCAAACACACACAGGCATGCACAGTGTTCTCTACCTCCCCACCTCCAAGTAGGAAATGATTGATACCCTCCGTCTGCCAATCTGTGATCTTCTTGTGCTTTGATAATCAATCAAGCCTTTCTTCACTGATCACATCCTATGACCCAAATGCCCATGTATGAGAGGGGCTACTTTTTGTTTTTTTAACAGCGTCTCAGTACTCACTATTATGTATTGTGTTGGCCTGTCTTACCTTCCACTTGAGGTGGAAGCCACTTGAGGGCAGGAAGGTTATAGAATCAATTCTTTGTGCACTCTCATAAATTCTGCTGCAGATGTCTTCACTCTGTATTCAATCAGGGAAGCCAGTAAGTACTTCATGACTAGCCACTCTGCCCACACATACCACCACATTTTGCCCTTTCTGAAAAATATCCCAATTATCCAGCATTTCTCATTTCCTAAGAATCTAAAGCCAGGATCAGAGCTCTCCCTTTATAAATTCAATAATCTTTTTATGTAGGGCAGCCTAGCTTTGACTGCAGAGGAATAAAAAAGAGGGTGAGCTTGGGGGTGGTGGGCAGAGAAAGTATCCTGGAAGCCTCTCTCTCTCCTAGAGAGAAACTTTCCAGAATAGGCATCTGAGTCTCAGGGCTCCCCTGCCTTTACCTCACAGGACTCCCATCCCATGGCCTGAAAGAACACCAGAGATGTGTTCACCGTCACTCAGCAAGGAGAGTCTGATGAGTGGTACAACTCTTCTCCTCTAAACCCTGCCTCTTCTCTCAGACTGACACCTTTGGGGACCACAAACTAAGCAAAGGACTGGACGCATTTTGCTGTCTGCAGCTGTCTCCCCAATTACTGACTGGGAGGAGGAGTGAGGGGAGTTCATTTTAATTCATTTTTGTGAATGTTTAATATTTCAATTAATATGATTAGCCCCAAGCCTGAATGAGCAGCAGGGCGGCAGATCTGCTGAGAAGACATAGAGTAATGAGATCAACAGGGCCATAGGGTCTTCCCCTTCTCCATCCTCAGAGGACATGATCTGTTTAGCATCTCCATAAATACCAAGATCAGATTAGAAGGCAAGGAAAGGAGCAGTGGGGGTGGGGTAGGTGAGTGGAAAGTTACTTTCAAGATGTGTGTGCCCTTCTTGATTCCCTGGCTCTGCCGTCATTCGCTTCTTCTGAGCACCCACCACTGAGTCCTCTAGCACCTCCCCCCACTGCCACCCCATCTTAGGGGACCCTACTTGGGGGACCCGGGCATCCATGTGATGAAGTGTAATCAAGTCTACACACATACACATTCACTCAAATGCAAGCACCTGCCAGAGCGTGGCTCCAGGCCACAACAAAAAAACAGGCTAAGGAAGGATGGGAGGTGGTCCACAGAATCAAGCAGTAAAAAGAAAGACTCTCTCTCATCCAGGGCTTAAATGGAGACAGAAGAGGAAGAAAGGCCAGACTTCACCACTGCTCCCATTCTCAAGAGGAATGTTTGATGTGGGAGTTAAATGCGTGGACTCAGGAGCCAGACTGCCCAGGCTCCAGTCTCAGCTAGACCTCTTTCTAGCTGCATGGCTTTAGGCAAGTTATTTCAGCTCTGTGTCTTGGTTACCTCCTCTCTATTTGGAGATGACAAAATCTACATCATAGGGGGGTGGTGAGGGTTTAGGAGTTAGTAAATATAAAGCACTTGGCACAAAGCCTGGGACACTGTAAGAGCCATGTAAGCACTGGCTGTTACTATTATTTCCCTTCCAGAAGAGAAGCCTGCCTGCCGTGATAGCTCAGGAATGGAGGCCCCTGGGACTCAGCTGGGACACAGTTTAGAGACACGAGTGCCTCTGTGGAAACAGCAGCCCTACCCCGGGGGAGAAGAAGGGAATGACAGGAAGACAGGGTGCTCTACAAAAGCCCAGAGCCCCAGGAGAGCCCCCGTTGCTGAGCACTGACAGAAAGCAAGGGCTACCACCACTGACAAGGTTTGATGTCCACAGATAATCCCTGCACTGAGGGCGTGCTCTGAGTGGGCCCAGTGCATGGAGGGGTCACGCTCCCTCCAGATCGTGGAGCCTGCCAATCATCCATAGAAGTATCCATGGTCAGGGGAGCAATGGTCCCCGAATGTGCCTCCCCTGCTCTTCTGTGCTACCTGGCTCAATTTGAGTCCAACTCAAAGAACCCAACTGAAGAAAGAAGCAAAGGAAAGAGTAATTGGGTTTCTGCATCCTAAGGGGAAGCTTGACAGCTGTGGTTCTTCCCACTGAAGGAATCAGGAATCCACTGTTGTCAGAGGTTGTTTGCATGGAGTGTTTGTTAAGCTCCTGCTACGCATGAGCAAGACAGGGTGCTAGACACTGTGAACAGTAAGATGCTGAATTAAACGGTGTCCTGGTCTTCAAGGAGCTTACAAGTGAGAGCGCCCGCGGCGCCGCCTCCGCGGCCTCCCTGCCCACGCACTTATACACACAAACCCCCCAGAGGGAGAGAAGGGGGCATCGGCAAATGCCAGAAAGCTATCGTTTTTCTTGGTTCCTTTTCTGGAAAATATACAGTTCTCTTTCTGCATTCTTCTCATCCTGCTCCTCCTTCTCCACGTCCCTTTCCATTTTTCCTCTCTGCATTTTTTCTTTTTCCCCCAGACTCTGCGACCTGCTTCCCTCTCCATCTATATCTCCTTTCCCTTCAGCCTATGCAACCGTCCTTTCTCATTTTTCTTTCCCCTGATTTCTTTCCTTGACTCTCTACTCTTGGGGCTCCCCAGATGCCGGGCTCCCCTCTTTCCCCGCCACCCCCCATCTGCTGAGTCTTCCAGCACCGGGGACAGCTCCAGCCCCCGGAACAATGGACCCCACTTTAGGGTTCCTCTATAAATTCTCCATCTTAGTGCTTTGCCCAACTCCTGACTGGGGAGTAAGATGGGGGAAGGGTTATTATCAACAGGACCAGCTGCTCTTCTGGGGGCGGGAAGGGAGTCAGGGAGGATGGAGATAGAAAGAGGGCGTGGCTCGTGCCTGGATTGTGCGTCCCTCTCCAGGGTAGAGAATTTGTATTCGACCCCTGAGACTGACATCACTGATGTCAGGGGAAAGGAGGTGGGAGTGGGGAGGGGGGTGTGGAGGGGGGAGGTTTTTGTTGAGGAGAGCGCGGCCGGAGAGCAGAGCTCCGGGACCCAGGTGACCGGGAAAGCAGGCAGCCCCAGCGGCGGGAGCAGCCGGCAGCAGCCCAGGCCCGGGGACTGGGGTGGGGGTGGGAGGGGGGCTGAGGGGAGGACCTGAAGGGGGGCGGCAGGGCAAAAGGGACCCCTGGAGCCCTGCCGCCATCAGAGATCAAGCATCTGGCATCAGGGATCTTCGGACCCAGCAGAAGGATCCGCCACAGGGGAGGTGTCCTCCCAGGGAAGCCAACGAGAGATTCACCTGCCCCACATCAGGAGTGGGCCCCCCTTACTGACGCTGCTGGCAACCATAGCAGGCCCCTTAACCCCTCAGTCTCCTCCCCATCACCCTCCTCAGGCCCTTTCCCCGCCTCCAGCTCTCATCTCAACTCCCAGTTCCCAGCCCTCTAAGCCCTAGCACCCCCGGCTACCACCTAACCCTCCAGGTCTTGGCCATACTCACCCCCATCCTGGGACATTTGCCAGATCTCTGGGAGGGAGATCGTTTGTTTAGGCGATGCCCCCTGGTGGCATGACAGCGTCTGCCTAGACCCCTGACCCCTAGCACTCAACTCCCTGGGCCTCCTTTGTGTGAAGAGCCGCCCCTCTGCTTAGCAGCGTGGTTGGGGGCCAAAGGGAAAGCCAGCCCCAGCTGGGCCCCCGGGCCCCACCACTTATCTCCTTGCTGGGCAGCTCCCCTTGGCCTTTGGGCCTCTCCCTGCTCCCCTCGGCCCCTCCTCCTGGGCCGCCTCAATGAAGGAGCCGGATGCCATCAAGCTGTTTGTGGGGCAGATCCCGAGGCATCTGGAGGAGAAGGACCTGAAGCCCATCTTCGAACAGTTTGGTCGGATCTTTGAGCTGACTGTCATCAAGGACAAGTACACCGGGCTGCACAAGGGTGAGGGGTCGGGCAGGCTGAAGAGGCTTCGGGGTGGGCTGGGAGGCTGGGGGAAGTTAAGCCAGGCTGGAGGGGTGGAGCGGCTGGGAAGGGCTGATGTGGAAGGAGAAGAGTTCAGGCCTGAGGAAAGTGGATGGAGGAGCTGAAAAAGAACTCAGCTAGAGTGATCAGGAAACCCCGGTGAAGGACTAAGGAGGGCCTCTTTTGGCTGAAGAGTTGTCAAGACGGCTGCAAAGATGTGGATCCCAGACATATGGGTGTGTTGATGTCATGGGATGAACTCAAGAAAGAATGGAGGGACAAGAGAGCTGGTTTGGGAGATAAGCAGCTGGGTAGGGGTGTGTGTGTGTGTGCGTGTGCAGCAAGACTGAGAATCTGAGCAGCCTCAGATAATATTGGGATGGGGGTCAGGACACAGGGTCAGGTGTTCAATGTGGAAAGCGTGGAGCTGGACTGGGCAGGGCAGCTCCAGGACTAAAGAGAGGGACTAGGAAGCAGGGCATGAAGGCTGGAGATTGGTAAAGATCTGGAAAGTGTGGGAGGCTTAGAAAGTTAAGAGAGTGGGGGAGAAGGGAGGGTGCTCCTCAGGCCTATCCAAGGGCTGTGCGGCTAAGTGGGGGCGGTCAGGGTCAGCACTTGGAGAGCTCCACACACCGGGGATCCCAGGGGCCACACCAGCTCCCCCTCCACCTGGCACAGGGAAGAGGCACTTCCGGCTAACTAACTGTTCTTCCCTTCCCTTCTCTATTTCACTCTCCGTCCTCCACCTGCCTATGGTGGAGGTGGGGAGAGATGAGGAAATAGGGAAAATGGGAGAAGAGAGGGATGATGGTGATCAAGATGGAGGGAGGTGGAGGTGAGGGAGAGAGGGGAAAGGAGAACAGCTCAGCAGGAGAGAAAGCCACACTACTCTTACTTGTCTGGCGGTCACATGGTCCTTCTCTCCCTACACAAAGCCCATCTCCTGACAGCCCAAGTGTCCTCCCTCTCCCATCACCACCAGTATTTAGGCCTCCAGGTGTCTGCCCCACTTCTGGGGCAGAGAGTCTACCCCTTGGAGACACCTCTCTACCCCAGCAGGCAGAAGATGACAAGAAGGGAAAGCTTCCCAGTCGTCAGTCTTTGGAAGGGAGCCTTTCAGAGAGGGGAGATGGAGGACTCACCCCCCGCCGTGTTTCTCTGCCCCTGCCCCTCCTCAGGATGTGCCTTCCTGACATACTGTGCCCGGGATTCAGCCCTGAAGGCCCAGAGCGCCCTGCACGAACAGAAGACGCTTCCAGGGGTGAGTCCTGCCCTTTGCAGGGCCAGGGGACTGAGAAGGGCCATAGAAGTGGCAGGAGGCTCACCACCCTCCTGACACTGAGCATAATTTCCACCTCCTCTCATCACCAGGAAGTCCCCCTCTCTCTCTGTAGCATCCATCTTTCTTGCTGTAGATGCATGCATTTCTTGTTACCTGGAGAGAAGGAAAGCAGCGATTAGTGGCGTAAACATGACTTTTACCAGGAGCAGATGCAGCCCCTTCCCCACTTCCCAAGCTGCCCATGGGGCAACACTAGAGGGAGGACTCGCTGGTTGGAAGGTGTGGGGAAAAGTCTCTGGACACCAAGTGTGGATCAGGGTGAGCAGGGGGCACCCAGGCACTCTTTTGTCACTCTGGAAAGGCAGGCTGGGTGGCTGTGAGATGAGGGAGGAGTGCCCAGAGAACAGGCAGCTGGTGCCGGCTAGATTGGCATCTCGGTGCTGGTTCTTGAGCTCTCATCTCCCTTCTGTCTCCCAGGAAGAGTCCCAGGAACAGAGCCACAGAGCATCAGGGTAGAGCAGGGCCTGGGCAGGCCTGGGCAGGTCTGGGCTGGAGGTAGGCCTGGAAGTAGCAGGCAAGGGCAGGGACAGACATTGTAGAGGATCAGGCCTGATGCCACCAGGTATGCCCAGGGAGGCAGGGGTGGCCTCAGAGGTGGCCCCTCTCCTGCAAGGTCCTATCTCTTTGTGTCTTCTTCCCAGCCAGCCTTGCTGATTGTCCCAAGCCCTTCCATGGCCTCAACCTTTGAGTACTGCTAGGAAAGCAAAGCCAACTGCGGCAAATCCACCCAAACCCCCACGCCCACCAAAGATCTTATCCCAGTCAGTGTCAAGAATAGGCATTGCCTGTCACAGCCAGAGTTAAGGGCCATGCACGTGTGTGAGCTGCAGGACCCAAGGCGAGCGTGTGTTTGTGCACACAGGCATGTGAGCTCTTGACAGGCCAGATGTGTGGGGTTTGGGCACACGTATCCCTGGGAAGCTTGGTCCCCATCCAGTCCCAACTTGCCTTCCCTGTTTTTCTCTGTGGAGGCCCCTCACAAATCAACAGTTTTCATCTCCATCGCTGTTTGTCTTTTTCTGTTGTCTCCCTATCTCAGAGCCCCTGCAGAAATGAGAGGGGGTCAGAGGAAAAGGTAGATAAAGAGGACTGGAGTGGAGACATGGATGAGAGACAGCCTGGGGATGGGCATGAGCCCCAAAGGTCATGTGTACCAGCTGCAGGTGTCCACCCTAGGTCTGTGCCCCTCCAGCTGCCTGGCAGCTCAGGCAGAGCTCCATCCTGGGTGTGGAGAGGCACCACCTGCCCTTCTTGAGGAAGTCCAGCCCAGGGTGGGGGTGAGGAAGAAGGGCGCCTGGTTAATGATTGTCTAGCCCTTCTCCAGAGCTTCTAGGTGACGCTGAATTCTCCACTTTAGCCCTTGTCCCAGGGGACAGAATCCAGAGGGACCTGACACAGCTTCCAGTAGGAAATGAGGGTTCCATCCTCCAAGAGGGACCCCCATCCAAGGGGTTTGAAGGAACAGACCCAGGGCAGTTGTGGGGAGCAGATGTCTGTGACCCTTTGTCTTCCCTAAGTCTTCTCCTGCTACCTGCATTCTCCCCTCAGTGTGTGTTTGCACGTGTGTGTGCATGCAGTGTGTGTGTGCATGCATGAGTGTGTGTGCATGCACACGCATGTGTGTGCAGTGTGTCAGCTCCTGCATAACTGTTCTTCCTACTGTTTAATCTCCATGCCTTCCTACTGCAGGTTTTTTTAAAAAAATCAGACATTTAGCCCCCTCTCCTTGCTCCCCATCTCTGTCACCCCAAAAATCTAGAAGGTGCTACCATACTAGGGTGATATTTTGGGCTGCAGAGGGAAAGAGAAAGAATGGGGGCTGGGCCTATAGCTGTTGAGCCCCATTTCCTTTTCTCTCCCCTAAGAGTTCCCAGGAGTGGCTCTGCCACAGGTCCCTGAATTTGTCCTCTGAGCAGGGTGTGGCATCATGGAGGTGGTGGAGTGGGGGTTGCCCTCTGTCCAGCTCTTCCCCCTTCACCCTGAACCAAAATCCCACTTGGGGGACATGGGCCTTCCCTGTCGGTCTGCAGTCAGGAAGGTGGATTCTGGCCCCACGGAGAGAACCTGTGAGTGGTCTGGGACGCCGGGAACAAGTGTGGAGCCAGGAGTGGCAGGACCCCAGGCTGTACCCTCAAAAGAATTAGATTTTGTGAGAACTGTGAGGTCTTCTTGGAAGTGGAGTTTTTGCTATTGGCGAGAAAGATGAAGGCCTTAAAAGTGACCGTGGTGGAGGGGCTCGGCTATACTGGGTTGGGGTATAAATAGCCACTCCTTCTTTGGGAGGCCCGAGGGAGGGCTTGTCACCTGGTGGGTAGTAACTAGGGAGGAAAGGTGCTGCGCCTGGTTGCCAGGTAAACAGGGCACAGCTGGACTCAGGGGAGGGGGCAGGTGTGTCTGAGCTGAGCTAACGAAGCCTGAGCTCCCCACAGGAAGTGCCAGGCCACGAAGAAGGAGGCTGGGAAGGGGACACTGGAGCGCCAAGGGTCCTGTCTGTGAGGGTGTAGGGGGAGCCTACCGTCAGCACGGTCCTTGCTGTGGTCTGTACACTTGTGTGTCTCTTTGTGCGAATCCACATCAGCCGTGGGTATTTCTCGAGATGCTATTTTTGTGCCTGGGAGCCTATGCCAGGAGGGAACTGCATCCTTTCTCTCTGGGTCCCAGGTTCCCATCTCCATCTAGAACAGCAAATCCCCAGGCCTGCTGGGAAGGGGGCTAGCGCCAAGCGTAAGAATCCCCCAACCCTGGTTCTGATTCTGCTTCTTTTGGCGTGGGTGTAGGGGTGGGTGCCTGGCTGCGGAGGTGCCTGTGAGGGAATTTCCTGAGTGCTTTGGCTAGAGCACAGGAGAGAAGGAGGTGAAAGCCCATGCACCCTGAGCATCTGCCCCCACGACACGCTTTGCTTGCGCATGCGCACCCGCACACACATGCCTAAGGAGATTGAGCCTCCGATGGGATAATCCCAGATTGGCGGGTGATAAAGCTGGGGGCAGATTGGCTGGAGGATTTGTATGACTGTTACCCTCCCTCCTCACCAGCTGCTCTCAGATCCAGAGATTTGGGGGGCGGGGGTGGGGCCCTGGGAAAGGAGTATCAGTTGAGGTGGGGCTTAGGTTTGGTCCGAGGCCGGGAATACCTAACTGGTGGAGTCGGCCAGACTGACTGGCATGATGCGACACCTGGGTGAGGATCCAGGGTGAGAAGGGGCAGGGGCAACTGTGACTTCTGCACTTCTCGGCGCTAAGTGATGCCACACACAGGATCTCCACATGCTGGAGCCTGGAGCTGACCGGAACCTGATTAGACATCGCCTGGCCCACCCCCTTGTTTTACAGATAAGGAAGTTGAGGTCCAGAGGGGACTAGTGGCTTGTCCAAGGTCGCCCAGCTAGTAAGTGGCAGGGCAGGGCTAGTCCTCAAATCCAGGTCTCCTGACTCCCAGTCCAGTACCTTTCCTGAGGGTACCTCTAGCCTCACCCTCAGAATGTAAATTGAGGTTTAATTTTTCTGGTCACTGGAACTACTGCCCCACCATCAGATGAGTGGGGCAACCAGGTGTGGTTCCAGCTGTCAGAGTCCTCAAGAGCAAAATATTTTCAGACACTAAATACTAAGTCCTTCTCCTCTTTCTCCAGTTCCTATAATACTCCCCACCCTGGTTAAGAAAATCAACCTGCAGGAGTAATTTCCAAGTCCTCTCACCAGACAAGAACATGGAGAGTGGAACTAGGAATTTCTCCATTTCCACTGAAGACTGAACAAAGGGAGATACTGCAGGGGTCGGGGAGAGGTTAGAGCTCTGGAGGACTTCCGTGCACAGGGTAAATTGCGAAGGAGCACGGGACAGCAACTCCTCCTTTAGAGCCCTCCAGGCACCAAGGATTTGCTCTGGAGGAGGGAGGCAGGAGAAGGGATGGGATGGCCCCTGCAGGGCCTGCTCTGCAAGCCTCCCTCCAGAATCAGGAAGGTTTTCTGGGCCCCTCCCCCACCTCCCAGCCCCCACCAAATCCTCCACCCCCAGCATACCCTGTTAACCACCCCCCACCCCACTCCTTCTCTGGGTGTGTGGAGCAGCAGAAGTGATGACGTCACCACGGTCGCCAGGGCGACGGGGACGGATAAATCAGGCTGAGTGGGCGGTTGCCATGGTGCGCATTCTCCCGTTGCCACGGAGACTGGGCATCTGCTCCCTTTGTGCTGCCCGAGTGCCTTCCCCCTGGGGTCAAGGGGTATAGGGGGGCAGAAAGAGAGGCAGACACACCTCTAGAGGTCAGAAGGAAGTCTGGGCCTTTGTGGGGTCTCCCTCAGTCTAGAGTCCTCCTTGGGGCTTCTTCAGAGTGGCCTCTGTTGCGCCCACTTTGTAGAATTGAGGCAATTCTTATTAAATAACTCCTTGGTCGGGCTCTCTCTCAGGCCCCGGGTCCTATGTGCAGGCCCCCTTCTCCCACTCAGGACAGCAGCACCCATCCCTGGCCAAGTCATCAGGAGCCCAACCTGAGCCTGGAGCTGTGCCCATGAGCCTCTCCCTCTACATCCTCTCTCTCTGTGCCTCTGATCCCCTCAGGCCTTCATCCTGAACAGTATTAGGCCCTGTCCCTTCCTTCCCATCAGAAACTTAGAGGGCCTGGGGCTTGCCCCTCTAGTCTCTCTGCAGGGCCTGGCCTGGGAGGGCTCTTGGGTGTTCAGAGGAGGTCCCCAGCAGCTGCCTTCTCTTCTCTCCTTCAGATGAACAGGCCGATCCAGGTCAAGCCAGCCGACAGCGAGAGCCGAGGAGGTAGGTTCTGTGCCTTTGGACTCTGTCCCTCTCCTCCCACCCCCAGGCCCAGGGCCTGGAGTTGTCGAGGGGTAGCCTTTCTTGAGGGAGAAAGCCTGATGATTCTGAAGAGTTCCCAGCTGCGGTGAGATAGGAGTCAGTGTGGCCAGAGCGGGTGAGATCTGGGGCGGGTACAGATGGCAAAACTGAGGCCCAGGGTGGAGTGCGAGTCCCTCAGAGCTGGGATGAGCACCCTCTGCAACTATACCCCATTCCCCAACCATCAGCCCCTACAGCCATTGGACCCTAAGGGTAGCAGAAGTAGTGTTAGGAGCTCCAGGGAAGGGCGGAAGAAGGGCTGGGAAGGCAGCCAGGAGGCCCTGAACATGCCCTCCTCCTGTGCCCTACCACCCAGAAGACCGGAAGCTCTTTGTGGGGATGCTAGGGAAGCAGCAGACAGATGAGGACGTCCGGAAGATGTTTGAGCCCTTCGGGACCATCGACGAGTGCACTGTGCTCCGGGGGCCAGATGGCACCAGCAAAGGTAGTCCACCCACTTCCCCCTTCCCCACCGGGCCCTTCCCCTTCCTGTTCCACCCCCAAGACTCCCTAGGCATCGGGTTCCACCGCGGGGTCCCGCAGGGATGGGTGCTTACCCCTCTCCTCCTCCATCTCAACCTCTCCAGGCTGCGCCTTCGTGAAGTTCCAGACCCACGCTGAGGCCCAGGCGGCCATCAACACCCTTCACAGCAGCCGGACCCTGCCAGTGAGCCCCACTCCCCTGCCCCCGGGCCTCTCCTTCCCACCCTGCCCACCTGCCAGGCCCTGGCCCAGAGAAGCAGTCCACTCAGGATGGGCTATTTGAATTTATTGGAAAGGAATGTCCTGGCAGAAGAACCAAACTGCTTAGGGACACCCTCACATTTCAAATGGCACTTCCCCACCTCCCCACTCCTCCCCTATTCCCCATCCACCTTCAGCCAAATTCCCTCACATCCCTCTCCTTCTCCCTCCATTCCCCAGCCCTCCCTTCACCCCCGTCTCTTCTCCAGCCTTCCCATATCCCCCTACCCTCATTTGCTGGGGCGCCAGGACACTTGCTTAGAGGCCCCACGTGCACCCCTCTTCCCTGCCCCTGCACAGCAGCGTTAGGTCAGTGACCAGTCTAGAGCCCACCTCTAAATTGGAACTGGCTGACTCAGAAGGCTGTGCACTTCCCATAACTCACAGCTCTCCAGCAAAGGCTGGGCAGACATTTCACGGGGCCTTGGTGGAGGGGACACAGCATTGGGTAGAGAACTGTGTCCAATGACCCTATGCCCCTTCCAGCTTTGAGATTCTAGGATTCTACCATCATCCTTGCAAATGCTCCAATTTGGTTTTTATTCAGCTCAGACTAGTATTAAGATTTGAGGCACACCATGAGGACTGGGGTGTGGGGGCAGGAGTCGTGGTAAGGCACGCAGGGCAGCTACAAGGGAAGACTAGCCTGAGATTAAACATTTGCTGTGGCAACCCAGGGTGGGGATGATTTCCAGTTCAGAGTCCTCACAGAGTAGCCAATGATGCCCTTTTCATTCCAGTAGGCTTTTCACTTTCCAAGCATGTGCCTTCACATTCCTCATTTTTTCTTCTAGCCTCTTGCACATCCTAGCATAGGGAGAGAGTGGGATTAATATCTCCCCATCTTTCATACGCAAAATGGTGGCCGCCCTCTCAGAGAGGCCAAGCCATGCCATGGGGGTGGAATGGAGACCAGGTCCTGAGGGCTTTGGGGAGGAGAGACCCTGACCCTGCACCTCTGACCTGTGTGTGGGCCCGTGCCCAGGGTGCCTCGTCCAGCCTGGTGGTGAAGTTTGCTGACACTGAGAAGGAGCGAGGTCTCCGCCGCATGCAGCAGGTGGCCACCCAGTTGGGCATGTTCAGCCCCATCGCCCTCCAGTTTGGAGCCTACAGCGCCTACACCCAGGCCGTGAGCACTGCCCCTGATGCCGGGCCAGCCCTCCTGACCCCCTGTATCTTGCCCCCACCCTCCCGATGCCAAGGCCCCGGGCTGGGAGGGAGCCAGGCTTGGGCACAGGGGGCCTGCCCCACTCTCCTCTCCCCTCCCCCCAGCTGATGCAGCAGCAGGCGGCCCTGGTAGCGGCTCACAGTGCCTACCTCAGCCCCATGGCCACCATGGCTGCCGTGCAGATGCAGCACATGGCTGCCATCAATGCCAATGGCCTCATCGCCACCCCCATCACCCCATCCTCAGGTATGGCCTGGGCAAGGCCGGGCAAGGGAGCTAAGCATGGTAGGGGTAGGGAGGGGCACAGGGCATTGCTCAGGGAAGCCTCGGGGTCTGGGAGGGACTCAGGGGTCAGAGAGGCCTGCTTCCTCCCCTCTGCCCACAGACTTGCTGACTGGTTCTCTGCCTGTGTGTGTGTCTGCTCCTCTGCTCTCTCCCTGTCGCTTTCTCCTCCCCAGGAACCAGCACCCCTCCTGCCATCGCTGCCACGCCTGTCTCTGCCATTCCGGCTGCCCTGGGCGTCAACGGCTACAGCCCGGTGCCCACCCAGCCCACTGGGCAGCCTGCCCCTGATGCTCTGTATCCCAACGGGGTTCACCCCTACCCAGGTGGGACTCTCTGCCTGCCCACTCCGTCCCAGCAACCATCTAAACCACCACTCCCATTAGGGAGGCAGGACACACCTTCCCTCCCAGCTTTGGGGGTACAGGTGCTTCCTCCTGCCCTGCCATCCTGGGCGGGGATGATCCTTCCTGTTGGGCTCGGCCAGGAAGCTGAGGTGTAGAGCAGTGAAGCGACCTGTCCAGGGTTGCAAGACAGTCAGACCCAAGTCTTCCTAACGCTGGGCTCTTTCCCCTCTTCCCACTGCTTTGTGCATTTCTGCCTTCTCACTTCACACCCCATGCCCAGAGAAGCTCTGCTCCCCACCTGCCTGGCCTCGGCCCAGAGGCCCAGAGAGGCACTGAGGGCCCCCACTGTGTGCCAGGTCCACGCTCATAGTCTGTGCTGCTCTCCCCAGCCCAGAGCCCCGCGGCCCCCGTGGACCCCCTGCAGCAGGCCTACGCGGGGATGCAGCACTACACAGGTGAGGCGCCCTAGCCAGGGCCCCTGCTCAGGTGGGAGAGGTGGCAGGAGGAAAAGAGGCCCAGTAACTGGGTCTGGGCTTCTTGGCTCCCTGCCAATCACCCTCTTCAGGCTTTACTGACAAGCCCAACTGTGGGGAGGGGTCTTTAAGGGCAGCACACCCAGGGGTCTGAGGCAGCTCCTTCCCTGACCACCTCTCAGCCCTGCAGGTGCCACTGGCCTGGGCTAGGGGAAGGGAGACAGGGTTGGCTGGGAGGGCTCAAGAAGTCAGGGAAGCCCCATCAGCCTCTCTCTTCTCCCCACCCCAGCAGCCTACCCAGCAGCCTACAGCCTGGTTGCACCTGCGTTCCCGCAGCCTCCAGCCCTGGTCGCCCAGCAGCCCCCACCACCACCTCAACAGCAGCAGCAGCAGCAGCAGCAGCAACAGCAGCAGCAGCAAAGAGAAGGTGCTGGCTGGGGCCTTGGGAGACAGGAATGCCCTCGTTATGGGCTTGGGGACTCCCTGTCACCCCGCGCTGAGCCCAGCTCTTGCCCACGTGTCAGGATGAAAGCAAGTGGGGAGGGAGTGGCCGGAGACTTGGCCCACACTGTCAAGGACTGGGACTGGAGGGCACTCCCAGGATCTGCTTTCCCTGGGACATTTGCTTCTGGGGTGTGTGCCTCCCAGTCACTGAGCTCTTTCTTCTGTCTCTGTCGCCACCCAGGCCCTGATGGCTGCAACATCTTCATCTACCACCTGCCCCAGGAGTTCACTGACTCAGAGATCCTCCAGATGTTTGTCCCCTTTGGCCACGTCATCTCAGCCAAAGTCTTTGTTGACCGAGCCACCAATCAAAGCAAATGTTTTGGTAAGAATATGATATGGCACATTTTTTGCCATACTCCAAATCAGGACAAGGTCTAATATATTTGAAGGCATTTATGGTCACAGTGGACCCAGTATTTGAAATACTGATTATCCAAGAGTACAAAAGAGCCATTTTGACACACCCAACATGCCACACCCAGCTGCTGCCTCGGCCCATCTCTTCTTCCTTCAGCGTTTCTCTTAAAAACTGGCCAAATTCATGTCCCATGAGGTCTGAAATAGGCTTATGGTCTGGGGATGTTTGGTTTGCAAAAGGTGGGCTTGGGGAGTCGGTTTTAGCTGCCTTCACATCTTTGAAAGTCTTCCTCAGGGGAGAAAGGGAATGTTCTTCTCTGCTTCAGAAGCCATTTAGGGTCTGGAAGTGGCCGTTTTCAAAGGGCAGGCTCAGAGCTATCCAGGCAGAGGAAGGGGTCACTGGCACAGAATGCTGGGAAGAATGTGGTAGTTGGAGTGGCTGGACTGGATTCATCCATTCAACCCATCAATCAACAAATTCCTAAGGAATGCTGCTATGTGGCAGGCAGCTTTCTAGGCATTTGGGACACTTGGGAGACACAGGGTAGTGCCAGAGGTCTCCTAAGCACGGAAGAGCGAGGTGGGGCTGGGCCGGGCCTTATGCCCCTCTCACCCCAGGCTTTGTGAGTTTCGACAATCCGGCCAGTGCCCAGGCTGCCATCCAGGCCATGAATGGCTTCCAGATCGGCATGAAGCGCCTCAAAGTCCAGCTAAAGCGGCCTAAGGATGCCAACCGGCCCTACTGAGGGCCCCCAGGTGGGTCCCGCTCCGTTGTGGCCTCCCTCCCCAGCTTCACACACTGCAGCCAGGGCCCTCGATTGGACTACACCCCCAACCCCTGTCCTCCACCACCCTCAGGGATGCCCACCCCACCCTTGACCCTGGGCACTTGAAGCAGGGGGCTGGGGCAGCTCCCTCAGCTGTTTTTCAATAATCTGAGTCACTCTCTCTCTCTCTCTCTCTCTCACACACACACACCCTCCGTGACCCCAGAAAGAGCCAAGTCTTTGTATATATGTGTCCACTCCCTGGACCTTCCACAATATCTGGTCTCGTTTGTCTGGTCAGTGTCCATGTCTGTGTGTGTCTCTTTCTGGTTTTCCTTCGGGTTAGAGTGGAATTAGGGGAACAGGACTGGAGGATTAAGGGGTTGGCTGAGGGTGCCAGAGGGCCCTAGAATCCTTGGCTCCTAGAATCTCTGTTGTCCTGAGAAGTGAGGACATCAGCCCTGGTTTCCCTGGACTTCAGGTGATTTTTCCCATGTAGCAGCAGACCCATGGGGCAGCAGAGTGCACAGGACAGACTGGGGGAGCCCATTTTCAGGCCTCTTGGGAGTTGCTCTGGTTTAGGTGGAAGAGGTTGAAATGTCGCGCCGCCTGTGAAGTTTACTTAGGTCTCCTCCACCCCATTGCTGGCCACCACCTCAACCTCATGGCCACAGAGCTGTGAGCCTTGGTTACTTTCGCACTGTTTAATCTCCTTTGGACCAAACCCTTGAGAAAACACAACCCAAGAAAAATACCCACATTTTCTGTTTCTCCCCTTTCCCCCCAATCCTGGCTGCTTAACTCCCCCAACCCTGGGGGCCCCCCCAGCCCAGGGCCCGTGTCCATTGTCGGCCGAAGCCCCCATCCCCGGACCCCTGCTCCGGGCCCCTGTAAGTTGCATGGAACGAGCGTGTTGTCTTTGGAGCCGATTGTTTGTTCTTTGGGGAGGGGCCGCGGAGGGAAGCACCCCCAAGCCCAAGGTCAGGGCCGGGGGCAGCTCGCGGGACGTGCTTGGTCTACAGTGGTTGGTGACTGTGGTCTGTGTTCTGTGCATTTCTCTTGCTTTCTGTGTTCCTTTCCAAAAAGGAATGAGAGCACTAACTGGGGGCCGGGGGTGGTCTCACCCCATGAGACTCCATCCCTGAGCCGTGACCTGGGCTCTGCCCTGGCCTTCTCTGCGGGTGTTCCCTTTCTTTTTCCAGGTGTCTGTCTCTTACACGCACCCCCTTCTCTGTCTCTCTCTCGATTTCTCTGCCTGCCTGTCTGTTGTCATCTCTTTGCCTCTCTCCCCCTCCAGTCTTTATTTTTCTCATGGGCTATCTATTTCCTTCCTAATACCGTTTGGTTTCCTGTATGGTTTGCCCCCTCCCTCCTGTCTCCTCTATCCCTGCTCTCATGGCTGGGGGTGGGGGCAGATGGGTCCGTTTGGACTGAGGCCTGATGATCTGCCTTCCTCAGGCAGCCCCATCCTAGATGCTGTCACTCACCCCAGCCCCCTCCCCTCCCCCAGAGCCCGTGATCCGCATCGGGGGTCTCTTCCCCATGCTTCACCCATGTTTCTTCCTTCACAGGTCTGGAGATCCCAGAGGAAGGGGCGCCTCACACCCTCTTCCCACGACTGGCCCCGGCCCTCTCCGCACACCTGCCCTGGGCCTTGACTGGGTTCTGGGGCAAACGCTGCTTCGTGGCCCCCGGGGGCACAAGACACCGGCCCCTCCCACCCCCCTGCCTCTCTGAAGGGCCATGGCTATGCTTCCCTGGCTCCAAGGGCCCATTTCCTCCTAGATGCCCTTTTGGCCTTTGTGAGGGAGCGAGGAACAGGCTCGAAGGCTCCGGGGTATCTGCCTTCTGCTGGGCTCCTGTGACAGGCCTTCTGTACCCAGCGTTTGTACTTGCCTCCCCCAACAGTGGGCCTGTTCTACCCGTGCAGGCCCCAGGAGAGCCGCAGGGGCCTGCCACACACTCCCAGCTCACCCTCACCCCAGCCTCTTCCCCACATTAGGGGTTTCTTGGAAGCTGGCTCTCACTCCCCTCCACCCTCAGCTAGAGGTAGGATATCCCTGATTCCTGGGCTCCCAGCCCTAAAACTCACTGCCTCCCCCAAGGGCCCCCTCTAAGGAGGGTGTGGGGGAGCCCTGAGGGCTGCCTCTCTGCCAGTCAGCCACAGAGACCCTCCTCCTTTCACGAGGAAAAGACCTTCCCCTGAACCCCTAAAAATGTTTACAGTCTCTGCTGGTTCCCTCTGTGTAAATACCACTACCACCCGTGCGTTATCCAGCCCGCCCGGCCTGGCCCGGACGCTGCCATCTCTCTTTCTGGGAGTTTAGACAATGTTGCCCTTGGATTTTTTTCTCTCTCTTAATTTCTCCCTTTGCTTTGGGGGGTAATTGGGTATTGGGAGGAGGGGTGTGGGGAGGGGTCAAGGGGTTTATTACCTGATCATTTTCTTTAGGAAGAGGTTTTAGGGAAAAGAAAATGGGGTGGGGGTGGGGGTGGTAAGGGGAGACCGGGGAGTCAGTTTCAGACAGTTCTCTATGCTTAACTTATTTATTTATTGCATTTTACTTTTAAAGAGTTGGTCTTTTCTGTCTAAATAAAGAAAAAAGTTTAAAAGCATCAAATAAGAGTCTTGGAAGGTTGAGGGTAGGGGATTGTTCCCTACCCACACTGGGAAGGGGGAGGGAGGTAGAGAATGAGGTTTGAGAGAGAAAATCCCATCAGGGAAGGCCGGGCCCTTGCTTTTGAGCAGCATCCAGGCCTTGTTCATGGCTTCATGATCCTGTCCTTCAGCCCTTCTTTGGGGCTTAATTCTGGAATGTCCTGCAGAGTTCGGCACAAGGAGATCTCCCCTGTCGGGGGCTCTCCCCTGTATCCAGCTCTGTCCCTCTGAAGGCTGAGGACTTGCAGTCTCACATCTGGACCTCCATTTCTGCACAGAGGCCAGTGTGGATACTGGGAGCCAGTTGTGACACCACCATTTACTAACCACTGCTCCATATGTGATTCTGTTCCAAGTCCTTATTGTGCATTTCCTCATTTTACCTCCTAACAACCTTGTGAGGCAGGCTATAGTTTATTTATTTTACTTATTTACTTTGAAACAGGGTCTCACTCTGTCACTCAAGCTGGAGTGTGATGGTGAGATCATAGCTCACTGCAACCTTGAACTCCTGGTTCAGGGGATCCTCCTGTCTCAGCCTCCCAAGTAGTTAGGACTATAAGCGGCTGCACCACCACGCCCAGCTCATTTTTAAAAATGGTGTTTTTTTTTGTAGACAGGGTCTTGCTATGTTGCCCAGGCTGGTCTCGAACCCCTGGGCTCAAGCAAACCTCCTGCCTTGGCCTCCCGAAGTGCTCAGATTACAGGCATGAGCCACCACGCCCAGCCTAGGTAGGA
The DNA here is from genome assembly GCF_000001405.40 of Homo sapiens. NCBI lineage: Eukaryota > Metazoa > Chordata > Mammalia > Primates > Hominidae > Homo > Homo sapiens. The sequence goes on along the minus strand of NC_000001.11, from coordinate 151,701,622 downwards.
TATAATTTTATAGATGGGAAAAGGAGGCTTGGAAGGTTAACTAACTTCCCTGGAGTCACAAAGCCAGTAAGGCATGGCTGTAGGAGTTGAACCCAGTTTGTCAGATTCCAAAGCCCATGATGTTCTCTTCTTACCTGTTCTTTGACCTGAGGCAAAGATCCCAAGAAGTAGCAAGCAGGCTTAGGAGTGAGTCCTTCAGGTAGAGGGTGGACTGCATAAGCCCTAAGTCCCTCCACTTCCTAGATTCTTCTCTGTGAGCTGCTTTAGGGCAGGCTCAGGATCACACAGGTGTCTTCTTTGACTTCATAGAACATGTGCTTCTAGGCTGCTACCCCACCCTCTGTCTTCATCATTAGTAAGCAGCACCACTAGGTACCTACTCAAGCCAAAACTTGGATTACACCCTTTCTCTCATGTCTCCTCCCCAATCCAACTGCAAAGCCCTACCAAGTCTACCTCTAAAGTATTCAGCTGATTTACTTACTCATGTCTCTGCATCTCCACAGCCATCAACACTGTCCACGTCACATTGCTCTCATCTGTCTCCATGTTTCTTTTCCTGCTCTCCTACAATTTGTTCTCCCAAGAAGCCAAGAGTCATCTTTTAAAAGTTAATTCACCAACATTTACTACCCAGTCTGCTTTGTCCAGCACTGTATCCTGGTCACCCTAAACAGTGCCCCAAATATTAGACATTGCTTAGTAAATAAGAAATGACTGTTGGACATCTATACTGGACTTCCCATCCATATCTACATCATCATAGGGCCAATGCTAAAACTTTCTCCCATAAAGTCCTGACTCATATATTTCTATTTTCTAGTCACATAGACAGAAAACCTCAAGAGTTTTTAGTACTTTCGCATAAACTCAATGGTATTAAATCATTTAAGATTTCACTTCCACAAACTTTCTCATATCATTTCCCTCTTTTCAATTATCACTGCCTACACTTATTAACTGAGTAATCATAGCAATTTCCTAATTGGTCCTTCTGTCTATGTTCTGAAGCATCAATCTTTCTAAACTGCAGCTAATAAAAAACAAAACTTCTCTGCTGCTGTTTTTTGTTGTTTTTCATAGAACACCTCAGCCTGGCATTCAAGGCTCTTCGAAGCCTTACTTTCCACTTCATTCCTACACATACCCAAATAGAACTATTCATTGTTCTCTAGGCAAGTTTGGTCCCTTTTCTCCCATGTCTTTTCATTCCCAGTTACTACAGTGTCTGGCACATAACGGCTCAATAAATGTTTGTTGAATGCCTTCTTGTTGAAATCCTTCTCACACTAAAACAGTTCACCTTAAACACTACTTTCTTCATGAAAATCTTAACGGCCCTCATCCACAGGTCTTTCTCCTTCCTTTTCTAGTCCTTATGGCACTTAAACCTTTCACTGCTGTGTATCATGGCCATGCGTAAGTGTCTCATTCTTCTGTGAGCCTGTAAGCTGGCAGAAATGTTTCTTTCTTTGCTTTTGTGTCTGTTGCAGTATCTCAAACAATCTCCCCACCCCACCCCCAACAGCAGATACCTAATAAATGTTTGACTTTAACCACTGTAACTCTAATTCTGGAATTCCACTTTGTTCTTCTTTATGGATTCTTTGCTTAGGAAAGGTAACACTTCCCCCCTCCATTAGCACAGTAGTGTTTCTTAGATTTTAAATATCCAAAGCTAATGGGTGGGTGAATGAATGAGCCCCTGAACAATGTCTCTTCCCAAACTGCCAAACAAAGTGCCACAATGGTCCTTGGTCTTATGGTCATCAGTTAGGGAACAAAAGCGTGTGATCGGAAGTTGTAAAAATAATAATAAATGAAGCTTTATAAAAAAATTAAAATGTCTCACCCACCACAAATGCTGAGCTTTTCAGACCAGAGTCAGCTCATAAACAAATGTGCAGAGGAACAGATACCCTTGAGAGAAGGTAATTAGGCCCCAGCCCCTCAGATGCCTCTGTAAAAGCAAAAGGCTGTAGGACCACCCTTCTTCTCAGGAGTGTGGGAGCAGGGGAGAGTAAGGCCACCCACAGTGCCTAGTTTTGTGCTGGACAGTTCAATAGTCATAATGTGTTCCTTTCAGTCCAGATCCCAAAGAGAAAAACTTTCCCGATTTACCTGAAAAAGTATATACCTGTTGCTGGGGGTGGAGAGGAGGGTCCATTGCTAAGATCTGTACCAAAGGCTCTGCCAGGCTCTATCTGCATGGCAGAGAAAGGAATCCTGTGATTCTTCAAAGGATTTTTGTGCAAGCTTGCAGATGGGAGGGGTAAGCTCAATCACCTCTGAGATCTGAAGGAGAAGAAGGAATTTTCAAAGGAGCCACTGGGAAGAGAACTGCAAACCAAGGGCCTCCTGTGGCTTCTTTCCTCACCCTTCTCCATTCCCTGCACTCAAAAAACTGCCACACTAGTTACCTGGGAAAACTGGTTAGATGTTTCTTCTTTTCAGACTGACCACTCTGACTCAAATCTCAAAGGTCCCAGTTCACTTCTTCCCACACAACCCAAAGGATTTGTAGTCTAGGAAACCAAAGAAGTGTTTGATCAATAAATCAATTTATTTAAAAGAATATGTTACAATTAATTACACTAAGTGACATTACCAAACAATTTTAGAGTGGTTAGCTCTAGAACAAGGAATGAAAGAAACAATGTTAGCCATTATTGTGTCTGTGTATTTTCTCTTCACATTTCTTAAATCACAAATAAAAAATACAAGATACTGCAGTGAAAATACAATTAGAGTTTCTCTGAAATAAATTAAATGTGCATGGCCTGGGAAAAACTGAAGCCCAGCTCACTGGCTTAAAAGGGGGTCATGATATAAAATTAATGTCCAAGTTTAGCAGGCGGCCAAGTGCCCCCACCCCGTATCACTCCCCTCTTTGATTCTATTCCTTACCACAGCCCTGACCTTCCCACATACCCTAGATTATTGCTGAGGAGTGAGCTGATGCTGTCCTGGCAGCAAAGAGGCCTGGCGTGATGTGCTCAGGTTTAGGGGAACAGGAAGTCAAGAGGTGGACCTGGAAGATGGGGAGCTAGAGAAGCATACCCACTATCTCTCTTCTCCCTCCCTCTCTCTGAGTGTTCTATCACATCATCCTCCCAAAGGAAGCTACTGTGACACAATGAAGCTGGTGAAGAAACAGCAGTATGCTGGGGTCAACAGATCAAACAGCTTCTACTGCTGAATGAATCTAGCCAAACAGTATGATGGCGAGAAGGGAGAGCACAGCAGTCCCTCCTGGTCTGGAAAATTCAGGTCAACTAGGATGCAGTCCCCTTCAAGAAAACTACCTCCTAGGAGCCCAGCCCAGAAGTTGGCAAATTCTGAGATAGGAGAGAGTTTCATCTCCTGTCAGTGCCCTATTTTGCTGCTCCAAGTGCTGGGTTTGGAGCTACAGGAAGGGATAACCCAAAGCTACTGGCCTGGGTAACTAAAGGATGAAACTAAATGGGCCAGGCATGAGGATGTTGGAATATTTATCTAATTCCCCCCTGAGAGCTCAGTCCAGGCCTAGGAGCTGCCCTGAGCATGCACATATCTGTACCTGTGTTTAGGCCTAGGGTAAGGACGGGGTGGAAAAATGGAGAATAGAATAAACATATAAAGAGCAGAGGGCCCAAAGCATGGCCCAAGGGAACCTTTCTGCAGGGACAGGTTTCTCAGGGTCTACATTTTCTCCTGGGCCATAAAAAGCTCTGAGCTTCTACCCCTGAGGATAGAAACCAAGTGTGGAGGAAGGCCAGTGAGAGACCAGGAGGATCCTGCTGGTTCTGCTGGGATGAAGCTGGGGGCACTGGGAGACCCCCTCTTCCCAGGGACAAATTGCAAAAGAAGTCTGGGTAGAAGCCTCCCTGGGCAGAAGCTGGGACTAAGAAGAACAGTAGGGATTACAGAAAGGAAGTGCAGAGGAAGGGGAGAGAGAAGAGTCACAACACTGCTTCATGCAAAGAAGGGCTTGATCCTATGGGATCCACGCAGCCACAGGGAACCCGCCTCCATCACCCAAGGCCGTGCATGGGTGGAAGAGAAGAAGGCGCTGTCCTTTGGGGTGCCCTCCTTCCCCACCTCCTTGCTGCAGCTGGGTGCGTTGTTACTGGGACACTTTCAAAAGGGCTGTTCCTAAATAAATTCTGCCAACAGGCCAACTACCTATAGGGCCCTCACCTAATCTCCAAAGCACCAAGTGAATGCTATGCCAGAAAGGGAACATAACACCATCTACCCATTCTAAGGGGCCTCCAAATCCCTATGTCTCATGTCTGAAGGTCAGCATTCAAGCTGTCGCATGGAATCCCAGCTCTGTTCACTACTGTCCCACTCTGAGCGAGTAGGGGCAAATTGCTATTTTTACAGTTTGAACAAAGCTGGTGCCAAGTCTCTTTAGCATCTAGGAGTGGGAAATCAACATGTCTTCTTTTCAGGGTCCTTTGGCTCATTTTAAATTCATTTAAGTCAAAAGAAGTTAGTTCTGTGTCAAAGTCTTCAAATTAGGGATCCCTCTGCAACTTTACACATTCAGCATTCTCACGTTTTGTACTCTGTGATTTCACCTAGATTTGGAGAAGGTGAGGGAGGAAAGGCTGTCCTCTTTGATCCCATACCATGCAGGGGCAAATGGCTGCCAGCATAACAAAATAAGAAGGAAAGAAAGAAAAGTGGGCCAGGCGCAGTGGCTCACTCCTGTAATCCTAGCACTTTGGGAGGCCGAGGTGGGCAGATTACTTGAGGTCAGGAGTTCAAAACCAACCTGGCCATCATGGTGAAACCCCGCCCTACCAAAAATACAAAAAATTAGTGGGGCGTGGTGGTGTATGCCTGTAATCCCAGCTACTTGGGAGGCTGAGGCAGGAGAATCGCTTGAACCCAAGAGGCAGAGGGTGCAGTGAGCCGAGATCGTGCCACTGCACTCCAACCTGGGCGACAGAGCAAGACTCTGGGAAAAAAAAAAAAAAAAAACAGAAAAAAAGGAAGGAAGGAAGGGGAAAGAAAAGTGGCCTCACAATGATTTGCAACAACAAATTACAAAAAAGAGATGAAAGAAGGAAAGCAAAAGAAAGAAAGAGAAAGAAAGAAAGAAAGAAAGAACGAAAGAACGAAAGAACGAAAGAAAGAAAGAAAGAAAGAAAGAAAGAAAGAAAGAAAGAAAAAGTGGCCTCACAATGATTTGCAAAAACAAATTACAAAAAAGAGACTTTCCAACCACCCCAACACTGCTTAGTAGAATTGACTACAACCAATTATGACTGTCTCCCAGTTAGAGCAAAAGATGCCATCCTAGGAAGGTTTTTGTTTAGAAAGGGGAGAAGGGAAAAAGAAAAGGCTCAAAGATGTGTTTTAGTTGCATCTGAGCCTGACTTGGTGCTTCTTATGCATTATCTACAGAGCTTAGGGGCTGGGAATATTGTCCTACCCCAATTAGCCCTGGCTTCTGATCCTGGGATGCAGCTCTTAAGTCTCAAAGGGTCTAGCTGCAAGATCAGATGAGGAGCTCTTTAACGGACAGAAAGCAGAAAGGTTTTCGTTCAGTCTCCTTTCAATTAAAACTTGGGAGATCCAATCTAATCAACCATATTCCTACTACTCCTTCCTAGGTTCTCAGCTGGCTTGGATGGGGCTATCGTTTGGTTGGCACAGACCACTGACCCACTGCAAGTTTCCCCAAGGCCTTGAAGATACTATTGGATCCCTTCCCATCACTGCTGTTTAAGGAAGTCACAGAGAATGCCGTAGTTATGGGTGGTTATTGGTCAGGAATGGAGGAGGTAAAACCTCATGTACATAGGGCATTTCTTGCTTTCTTTCCTCTATGTAAGTCCAACCTGTGTGCCTAAGGTATCAGCTTAACTCTGGTCCTGAGTACTATCCCTGCTGCAAAAAAGGCAGGGAAGGACACAGTGGCTCATGCCTGTAATCCCAGCACTTTGGGAGGCTGAGACAAGAGGATCACCTGAGGCCAGGAGTTTGAGACCAGCCTGGGCAACATAGTGAGACCCTGTCTCTACAAAAAAATTTTAAGAAGAATTAGCCAGGTGTGGTGGTGCACACCTGTAGTCCCAGCTACTCAGGAGGGTGAGGCGGAAGGATCACCTGAGCCCAGAATTCAAGGTAACAGTGAGCTATGTTCATGCCACCACATTCCAGTCTGGGCGACAGAGTAAGACCCTGTCTCAGAAAAAAAAAAAAAAAAAAAAAAAAAAGGCAAGGAAAACAGGAAATTACTACCATGAAGTGTTTCAGGTTCAGGTTCCCATGGCATCAACCTCCTGAGCCAGGGTCGGTTGAGGGAAAGCATACCGAGGCTCTAGGAAAGCAGGAAGGAGGTGCAGAATGTGGCTAGAAAGCCAGGAGTGAGAGAAATAGATGGATCAAAAAAATTGTCACAGAATCAAGAGCCCATACCAGGACTTCAGGCTCTCCCTGCAGAACTACAGCCTGTTAACCTTGAGAAACACACCTCTTTCTCCTCCCCAGCACCCTCTTGGAAGATAAAGAAACTATACTCCTTGTTCCTAGACTCTATGGCAACCCATGAGCCGGAATCTATACTCAATACAAAAAAAGGGGCAAAAATCCAAGCAGGTTGTAAACTTTTCAAGTCCTTCATGAGGAGAGGTATTTTTCCCTGTAAAATGCTTTTTTTTCCTTTTTAAAGTTTGTTTCAAAAGAAAGAGAGCACGAGGGAGGTCATGGATTCTAGTGAAAGGTGTGTAAAAACACAAGCTAAAAAAGGTACTGCCATCAATATGAAATTTAAAAAGAAATATATATATGTATATACGTGCAGCTAATTTGTGTATATATAATTTTTACATACATACATATATATGTCTGAACAGTGCAAATGGATGAAGTTCATAGTTCCAGTTTTAAAAATATAGTACAAGGAGAGGCTGTTGGTATGAGGCCCAGGTGAAAGGACAAAGATACCTTTGGCAAGTTGGTTGGGCTTATTTCTTTTCCTGCCTTAACTCAGTTGACTTCTGGTGCTGACCGATCTGCTGTTCACTACCACCTCAATTCCAGAGACATGAAATTCAGAGGGGGTTATTAATAATATTTAGTTTAGGGCTTTTGAATATAACGACTTTAACTTTTTCTCTTCTTTTTTGTTAATGGTTACTCTGTCTGAAATGGGACATGAAAGGAGTAAGAGGATGGGGGTGAAGGGAAGGGAAGGGGATAAGGAAAGGCTAGGTGGCCACATCTCTCTGCTGTGACCTCGCCATCTGGAAAATGTTCTGAAAGGAAAAAAAAAAAGAGTTATTGGGAAGGCACATCTCCTCTTATCTGGAGACAACTCCACAAACAGAAGCTAAAAAGGTATGCCTGGATGACTCAATCTGATTGGCCACATCTTTCTTGATATAACTTCTCATCTAGAATCATAGCCTTTTAGAGCCGGAAGGGACCTTGGATATTAATTACGTGGTTCAGTCTTCCTGTTTCACAGAAGAGAAAACTGAAAGCTAGGGAGGCTGATTTACCCAAAATTACACAGAGGGAAAAAAAAGCCAGGAGAAAACCCAGATAAAATTCCCAGAGCCCAATGTTCTTTCTACTGTACTAAAATATAAATTTTCATGTTCTTGACTTGACCTCCTGATTCTTTCAAAGATTTTCTTTGAGAATAAGTAACTAATTATTCAGAATCTTCCAAATTCTGTTCCAGCACTGGCACATACAGACAGCAGTAAAGCAACAGCAAACACCTTCCCTCACACAAACATTCTTGGTTCGCCTAGAAAGACTGCCAGGACTCATCCAGTCAAGACGGCTACAACTGAGGACAGCTTCCCCTGTGGGTCAGGAACAACATGGAGGGTGATCTGATTTAAAAAACTGGCAGAGGAGGGTCCATGAAGTCATGAGAGATGGAAGAGCCTGTAGCCAATGTCCACCCTCTAGACAAGGGAAGAAGCAGGGCTTTTTTGCACAGCCCGTTCACCATCCAGAGGCCAACCTTGCTGGAAGAATGTCCTGGCTCACATGAGATAATCAGTCTCTAACTAATATTCCTAGAAAGACAGAGATGGAGGTGAGGGTCCCAGGTATTTGGCCACAGGCCTATAAATTTTAAAGAAACAAAAAGATGAAAAGGTCAATTCAAGGACTGTTCAGAATTACCTCTTTTCTCCACTTGAGCTCGCAGAACACCCTCTCGAAGCACTCATGCATGTAATTGAACTGAAAAAAAAGGTGGTGACACTCACTAACTTCTCAAGAGCAGGCATCTCAGGACTGTGCCTTTGAACTCCTGTCCCCAGTCATCCCATCTTCCAAACTCAGTCTAGAGAAAAACCCTGACAAGTACCATAAAACCCAGGCCTGGTTCATCCACTATTCTCTAGCTCCTTCTAGTGGTAACTACGAGCCAAGTGGGATAGGAAATTGCCAATTCCAGTCAGGCCTAAAGCAAAAACAGGATGAATCTGGGGGCTCCAGGATTCAAACAGGTTCGGATCTCAAGACAACTACTAGCTCTATCTCTCTCTCCATTTATGCATTTAGCTGAAAAAAAAAACAAAAAAACAAACTAAGTCCCAGTTACTTTCCCCAAATTGCACTCACATATGGCGTGAAGATTTTAACCCATCGGGGCTTCTTCTCTCCTCGTGCATATTCGAAACAGAAGGCCATCCCTTCTTCATCTGTGTCCCATCGCTGCATCTCATCCCATTCAAATGCAATTACCTGGTTCTGGACAACCAAGACAAGGGAGTAAGGTACAGTCTGTGTTTCAGAGTGCTGGGGAACTGAGGTAGGGGGTTCTGAACCAGGAGACAGAAGAGAAATGAATGGATGTCTGCATCGCTTCAGAGAAAGGACTGTGATAGAAGAATACAAATCAGTGGAAGCAGCCAATGAAGTTGAGGATCAGTGTGGATTCCATGCCTGTTTATTTGCCCCAGTCAAAATACAGTTTTGATTTCATTTCCCCCTAAAATGGAATTAAAACGTCACAAGCAAGTGAGCATCAAAGTATCTCCAGTCCTCGCAGCCAGAGCCCTATGCTGAAAACTCACCTCCAGCTGTCCTTCTTCAGTGCAGGCATGCAGTTTAAAGTGCGTGATGCTGATGGCTGTGATAACGTGCCCCTTCCTCCTGGAGTCACAGGCACAGTGGGGAAAGATGATTTCATTGTAGCCCTCACAAGTCCTTAGCATGTTGAGGTACTAAAAAAAAAAAAAAAAAAAAAAAAAAGGAAGGAGAAACAGGAAACAGGGTTACTATGGTATTAAACACAATAAAGAGCTATTGAGATGTGGTGCAAGAAAAAGAACAAAGAGTATTCTCACCCAACAACCTGAAGACCTGGCCTCTGGTCTCACACCCATCTCTAAGTTGGGAAAGGACTCTGAGACAATTCTTTTCTTTTTATTTTTTGAGACCAGGTCTTGCTCTGTCACTTAGGCTGGAGTGCAGTAGCATGATCTTGGCTCACTGAAACCTCAACCTCCAGGGCTCAAGCAATCCTCCCACCTTAGCCTCCAGTGATCCTCCTGCCTCAGCCTCCCAAGTAGCTGGGACCACAGGCACACACCACCATACCCAGCTAATTTTTTGATTTTCTATAGAGACAGGGTCTCCCTATGTTACGCACGCTGGTCTTGAACTCCTGGGCTCAACTAATCCTCCCACCTCAGCCACCGAAAGTGCAAGGGTTACAGGCATGAGCCACCGTGCCTGGCTAGCAATTCTTTATCCCACTTTCAACTTCTACTTTTTTTTGCCATAAGTAAGGAAACAACACCTTCATACTTCTAACCCTCCTTTCTCTACTTCAAAAAGATACAGGCCAGGCGCGGTGGCTCACGCCGGTAATCCCAACACTTTGAGAGGCCGAGGCGGGTGGATCACGAGGTCAGGAAATCAAGACCATCCTGGCTAACACAGTGAAACCCCGTCTCGATGGAGTGCAGTGGCATGACCATGTCTCACTGCAGCCTCAAATACCTAAAAATACAAAAAATTAGCCAAGCATGGTGGCACATGCCTGTAATTCCAGCTACTCGGAAGGCTGAGGCAGGAGAATCGCTTGAACCCAGGAGGCAGAGGTTGCAGTGAGCTGAGATTGCGCCACTGCACTCCAGCCTGGGAGACAGAGCAAGACTCTGTCTCAAGGAAAAAAAAAAAAAAAAAACCAGAAAAACAAAAAGATACACAGATGAAAACCAGAAGATATACTATAACCAGGACTCACAGGGCTAGAAGGGGTCTCACAATTCTGTTTAGTCTGATCCTCTATTTTCATTGTAATCAAGGGATGGGCATCTAATCTATCCTTACAATTAAGAAAGGGAGTAAATATTTCTCTTTTTCTTTTTTGAGACAGAGTCTGGCTCTGTCACCCAGGCCGGAGTGCAGTGGCACATCTCGGCTCACTGCAAGCTCCACCTCCTGGGTTCACGCTATTCTCCTACCTCAGCCTCCTGAGTAGCTGGGACTATAGGCACATACCACCTTCTATTTCACTTTCTCTTTTTTATTGTCCTTCCTAGATCAGTGATAAACATGGATACTGCTTAATCCTGCCATTGGCACTATAAACAAAATAAATCTCTGACTCCTATACTTTGGTAAATATGACAGGGGTGGGTGGTATAGAACAGAACTCTTCTGGGGTTATAATAAACAGCAATGCCTGAAACACAGAGGAGTGAGGAAGAGGCCCAGACTACCCTGGGCTTGAATCCTGGCCCCATTACTTCCATTACTTCCTAACTGTGCAACCTTGCGCAAGCTACTTTAAGGCAGGCAAATTACTTAATCCCAGGTGCCTCAGTTTCCTCTTCCATAAATGGGAAATAATAATAACATCTAAACCACAGTGTGATTTGTGAGCATTAAATACAGAGTATTTGGCTGGGCATGGTGGCTCACACTTGTAATCCCAACACTTTGGGAGGCTGAGGTGGGAGGATCACTTGAACCCAGGAGTTAGAGACCAGCCTAGGCAATATAGTGAAACCCCATCTCTATAAAAAAAAAAACAAAAAAAAAATTTGCCGGGCACCTGTAGTCCTAGCTACTTGGGAGGGTGAGGTGGGAGGATTGCTTGAGCCCAGGAGGTCAAGGCTATGATGGAACCACTGCACTCCAGCCTGGCTGAGACTGCACCACTGCAATCTCAAAATAAGTGACCTGTCTCAAAACAAGAAATAAAAATAAAAAAGATATTTAACATAGTACTCAGCCATAATTAGGCATTTAATAAATGACAGCTAAAAAAAAACTTTTAAAGTATCTGGAAATTACTTTTAAAAATCCCTGGGGTGAGCTTCAAGTCAGTGACAGTAAAACAAACAAACACACAAATCTCCTGAGGGGAAAAAAGCATGTGAGTGAGATAGAGGCAACATGAATGGCAGAAAGTCGAAGGCTATCGAAGCTGGGTAATGGATACAAGGGGATTAATTGTATTTTTCTTCCAACTTCTTTATGTATTTAAAAATTTATACAGCTGGGTGTGGTGGCTCATGCCTGTAATCCCAGCACTTTGGGAGGCCAAGGCAGGCAGATCACCTGAGGTCAGGAGTTCGAGACCAGCCTGGCCAACATGGTGAAACCCCATTTTTACTAAAAATACAAAAATTAGCCAGGCATAGTGGCATGCACCTGTAATCCCAGCTACATGAGAGGCTGAGGCAGAAGAATTGCTTGAACCTGGAAGGTGGAGGCTGCAGTGAGCCGGGATTGTGCCACCGCACTCCAGCCTGCCTGGGCAACAGACTGAGACTCCATCTCAAAAAAAAAAAAGTATATATAGATACAATAAAATGTTAAAAGAAAAAGAACACCCTAGCAACCAGGCCTCTGGCACTCAATCCAAGCCATCTTCCTAACATAGTCATCAGAAACTTTACATGCTCGATAAGCAGCAATTCTGCTCCAGGACACTTAACACCTCTGTAAATGCCAGTGGGTGTCGTTGACCCTTGAAACTAGTACTACTCATGTCCTTTAACAAAACAGGATTACATACAGCACATCTGTTGAGAGTTCTCTTCGTTGAGAGGTACCACTACTGTTTTGACAAATATTTCTGCCACAATCTCTAATTGGGACTTTTACTATAATAGATCTTTTAAAAAGAGAGAAGCATGCCGACAAAGGCAGGGATTTGGGAAAAGAGATCAGAAGAAGCGTGGAGCTCTGAGTACCTTAAACTCTCTCTTTGTGACCTTGAGTAAGTTATTCTACCTGGGGTCTTCTCTTCTGCCATCTGGAAATAAAAGACATTGCTGCTATCCTGTCTTCCCTGATGCAGGGAAAAATATATGCACTGGAGCCTGACAAAAATGGGTTCAAATCACATTTTCAAATTCTAGTTCCACTTCTGAGAAGCTACGTCATCTTAGGTAAGAATCTTAATCTCTCAGACTTCACTTCTCTGTAAAGTAAGAATAATACCTGCAGGGTTGTTATAAGGAGAAAATGAGACTTCATATAAAGTGCCTAGACCAGTCAGGCACATAATACATGCCCTGTCCGTCCCCTCTGAATCAAAAGACTAATTTATCCCTCCATATTCAAGAATGTAGTCCTTGAAAGCAAAAGACCTTCAGGGGACTTCTTAATGGCATAAGCTCTAAAAATAACCCAAGTGAAAACTAAGGGCACCTGTGCCCTTGGTGAGCCGATAAAGGTAAAGTCTCATTGGAAGACAAGGTTTTCAGAGAGCTCAGATTGGGCAGTATTTATCAGCATTAAGTGGGCAGTCTCTACATTCTTGGGCTTGCACAAAGCCTCAAAGAAGAAACATTTAAAACTTTACAGGAGAGGATCAGAAAAAACACCCAGGTAGTATCATGCTTACTACCTGGGTGACAAAATAATCTGTACACCAAACTCCCATGACATGCAGTTTATCTATGTAACAAATCTGCACGTGTCCCTAAACCTAAAATGAGTTACAAAAATTTATTTATATAAATCAAAAATTCGTAAAAACAGGTGAATTTTTTTTTTTTTTTTTGAGACAGAGTCTCACTCTGTTGCCCAGGCTGGAGTGCAGTGGCATGATCTCAGCTCACTGCAACCTCCGCCTCCCGGGTTCAAGCAATTCTCCTGCCTCAGCCTCCTGAGTAGCTGGGATTATAGGCGTGCACCCCCACACCCAGCAATTTTTTGTACTTTTAGTAGAGACGGGGTTTCACCATGCTGGCCAGGCTGGTCTCGAACTCCTGACCTCGTGATCTGCCTGCCTTGGCCTCCCAAAGTGCTGGGATTACAGGCGTAAGCCACCGCGCCTCGCTGAATTTTTGCTTTTAAGCATGTTTACATAAGGATATTTAAAAGGGTATTTGGTATTTAAAACACCAAATCATCCTGCCCATTCTCCTTTCAGGGACTTCCCACTTAAAGTTGACAAATACTACCCAACCTGAGTCTCTCTGACCACCCTGTCTCCCAGTGAGACTTTACTCTGTTGTCTCACCAAGGACACAGCTTCCCTTAGTTTTCACTTTAAGTTTTGAGTAACTATGTATCCCGAATTATCTTCCTTTATTCATGTATCATGTAGAAAGTGGCCCATTTAAGCCAGAGAATTGGACAGGTATAGTACAGGATATTTTATAAATGTTCAATATTCAGCAAGACAAATAAATACAGACATAGGGCAGTTTTTTTTTTTGTTTTTCGTTGTTTTTTTTTTTTTTTGAGACAGACTCCGCTCTGTCGCCCAGGCTGGAGTGAGCGGCGCGATCGCGGCTCACTGCAAGCTCCGCCTCCTGGGTTCACGCCATTCTCCTGCCCCAGTCTCCTGAGTAGCTGGGACTACAGGCGCCCGCCACCACGCCCGGCTAATTTTTTGTAGTTTTAGTCGAGACGAGGTTTCACCGTGTTAGCCAGGATGGTTTCGATCTCCTGACCTCATGATCGGCCCGCCTCGGCCTCCCAAAGTGCTGGGATTATAGGCGTGAGCCACCGCGCCAGGCCGACAGTTTTTAAAGCAGAGACTCAGTGTTTAACAGAGCAGAACACTTTAGGTGAATGGGTCAAGGTCCACTCCAGAGAACTCTCTGTTCTCCCAAACAACCTGCTAAGGGTCAAACCAGGTCCAAAATAGAAGTAAGGGACTGAGAGGAACTTCAAGAGCCAACTCTCCCAAAACCAGAATCAGAGTAGTGATTCTGAAGCACCTAACGTTCCAGAATCACCAGTGTGCTTTTTAAAAATAAAGTTCCCTAGGTCCTACCCCCAGAGATTCTGGCTTAGTAAATGTGGGGTGGAGTCTAGAAATCTGCATTTTAAGCAGCTTCAAAAGTGTCTTCCATGTAAGTAGACTGGAGACCACACTTTGAGAAAAACTGACATACATGCTGCCTTGTGTGAAATCAATACAAATTATGTAGAGAAACACAAAAGCTCTTTATTTATCTGTTCAACAAGGGCAAAATCAGGCCACTTCAACATAAGAAAAGCATAATTTACACATGTCTACTGTTTGTGTGAGGAGACAGAAAGGGAGGGAGGGAGGAAGGAAGAGAAGAGAAAACATTGTTTCTTGTATATTATATTCTCAACCATCCAAATTTGAGATTCAGTCTAACTTTGTAAGTAAGTAAAAAACAAAAATGTTTTTGATCACACTGGGTATTATAAACTATGCACAGACGTGAGCTCTCTTCTGTATTTGAAGATTTGGAGGACAGGGGAACTTACACAAAGCTTATTTATCTTCCAAGAATCTTGGTGTATTTTGTCAAGATTCTACTTAATAGCTGATAATCGGAATATCCCCATTTTACAGAAAAGAAACTAAAACTGAGAAGTTCATTGTGTTGCTGCAGTTCTCACAGTGATGTGACAACTACTAATTGTAGTGACCTGGCCTAATCGTAGGCCTGTTCACCACACTTAGTTGCTATGGTTAATGGCATCAGGGCCTATGGGCTCAGAAGGCCCATGTGAGAAGTTTCAATGTATTGACCATGACCTAATATTGGCTAGGCTAATGCCTTTGAACACTGATACTTGAATACATATTATACTCATAAAATTCAAACTTTGATGAGCCTTTCTTCAAAATCTGACTATCATATCATGTGGCTAGTACACAGAAATATGTTGGCACTAGGTTTTCAAGACAATCTAATTCCACAAATGTTTAAGCATATTTTATACACAATGGCAAAAGACCATGGGGAAACATATCTGTCTATCAACTATACTTGAGTTTTTACCTGGGTGATTACAAAATATAAACAAGTCTAAAAATGACTTCATAATAGATTACTGTGTTTATTAAATTCAGATTTTCTATATTTTGCCACAGCACAATGCAAACCTATGTATTTCTCTCACACCTTGCACTGTGCCTGGCACGTACTTGGTACTCAACAAATATGTTTTGTTGAATACATAGATGGAAAGATAGTGTGTTTGGAATACTATAAATGCAAAGAAACAGTATGTATTCCACACTGGTATTATCAGAAGACCTTATGAAATTATTTTGACTCTATTAACTTTTCAGAAACAAGAAAACTCTGTTGGCTTTAGCAAAGGCAAAGGATTACTGCAGAAGTTGATGGCCTGTTAGTATTTGGCCCTTTTCACCAAAAAGATGCAAATGTATTGGTCAGAATCATGCATTAATATATAGAAGACAATGCCATTATCTTAAAGAACAGGTGGAAGTCGTGTTTTAAAATTCTGTCTCACACATAGCAAAATTCTCCTAACCAAAATTCTGCCAAGATTTAATTACATTTAAAAGATTTTGCATTTTCTATGTCAGCCTGCTGATACGTAGAACATTGGTAAGGTGGCTCCCTGATCTTCGGCAATTTTCTAAGGTATAGAGATTTATTACTTTTCATCACATAAATGATTAAAATAACTAACTTAGCTAGATATAAGATTACAGGCTAAGTTCAATGGCTGACTGGTTTGCATTTTTTGTTGTTGTTGTTGTTGTTGAGACGGAGTCTCACTGTGTTTTCCAGGCTGAAGTGCAGTGTTGCAATCTCGGCTCACTGCAACCTCCGCCTCCCGGGTTCAAGCGATTCTCTGGCCTCAGCCTCCTGAGTAGCAGGGATTACAGGCACATGCTACCACGCCCAGCTACTTTTTGCATTTTTAGTACAGATGGGGTTTCACCATGTTGGCCAGGCTGGTCTCGAACTCCTGGCCTCAGGTGATCCACCCGCCTCAGCCTCCCAAAGTGCTGTGATTACAGGTGTGAGCCACCGTGCCCCGCAGCTGTTTGCATTCTTATTCCAACCCAATTAATGTACATGAATCAATATTCTCTCCTGAAAAGTACACAGAAGGTACAAAAGAATTCAAATGACCTATCAGAATCACTACTAAAGAATGAAAATGATACAGATGGTCACTAACTTACAATGGTTAACTTAATGCTTTTTTGACTTTATGATGGTGTGAAAACAATGTGTGTGCAGTAGACATTGTACTTCAATTTTTTTTTTAACTTTTCTGCTGTCTTTACAAGTACCTCAAATTTTTGTTCAAAACTTTAAATAACTTTAGGCCTGGCACGGTAGCTTACGCCTGTAATTCCAGCACTTTGGGAGGCTGAGGCAAGCGGTTCACTCAAGGTCTGGAGTTCGAGACCAGCCTGGCCAACATGGTGAAACCCCATCTCTACTAAAAATACAAAAATTAGCCAAGCGTGGTGTTGGGTGCCTATAGTCCCAGCTACTCGAGAGGCTGAGGCAGGAGAATCGCTTGAGCCCAGGAGGCGGAGGTTGCAGTGAGCTGAGATCACACCACTGCACTCCAGCCTGGGTGACACAGCAAGACTCAGTCTCAAAAAAAAAACAGTTTAAATAACTTTATTCTAAACTGGGCTTTGTGTTAGATGATTTTGCCTGACTGTAGGGTAATATGTGTTCTGATCACATTTAAGATAGGCTAGGCTAAGCTATAATGTTTGGTAGGTTAGGTGTATTAAATGCATTTTTGATTTAATATTTTCAACTTAAGATGTGTTTATTGGGATGTAACCCCATCGTAAGTTGAGAAGCATGTATAATTGAAAAAACTTCAACTGCATGTGAATCTGCCAAGAGAGAAATTTAAAAATGTTATAATGAGTAGAAATTTTTATGTGTTCTTTACTAATTTTATTTTTGACAATTTCCATCCCTGTATCTATGGCAGATACAAATTGAAAATGAATTTAAAGCCATTTAAGGAATACTCTAGGCAGCCCTGTTCGGCAAAACTTTCAGTGATGATGAAAATGTTCTATACCTGCACAGTCCAATATGCTAGCTATTCACTGTGCACATATGGCTGCTTAGCATTGAAATGTGGCTAGAGCAGCTAGAGAACTGAATTTTAAATTGCATTTAATTTAAATGAATTTAAATTTATATTTAAATACCTACATGAGTCTAGTAGCTATTGAATCAAATAGCACAATTCTAGGATGATATACTAACCAAGAGCACTACGGAGCATAAATGTTTAAGCAACTGCAGAAATGGAAGCTGTAAAAACAAATGATTTTGCTATTGCTAAATCATGACTAAAATAACTCCTAATGTTAAAAAGCTAAATATCAGGTCTTATACAATCTTATCTATATCCTATTGTAATGTTTTACACAACTTTTGTTTTAGCACTTTTTAACCAAAAAATAGTTATTATTAATAATAAAATTATGGGCCAGGCTCAGTGGCTCAGTCCTGTAATCCCAGCACTTTGGGAGGTCGAGGCAGGTGGATCACCTGAGGTCAAGAGTTCGAGACCAGCCTGGCCAACATGGCAAAACCCTGTCTCTACTACAAATACAAAAATTAGCTGGGTGTGGTGGCACATGCCTGTAGTCCCAGCTACTCGGGAAGCTGAGGCAGGAGAATCGCTTGAACCCAGGAGGCAAAGGTTGCAGTGAGCCTAGATCGCGACACTGCACTTCAGCCTGGGCAACAGAGCAAGACTCTGTCCCTCCCCCACCCCACCCCCCAAAATAATAATAAAATTATGTACTAATACACAGTAATTCAAGATCTTTGTGTGTTAAATGGAGAAACACAATGGACTTTGCATCAAGGTCCCTATTCCCCTCCTTTTTTAAAATTAGTTAAGCCACTAACCAGGTTGTAATCCTTTCAAAAATGACTAGGACTATAGGTTTTAAAGGTAGGAAGGGGCATTTTTAAAGGGATTATGGGGACATAAACTTACCATGACCATTTTTCTTTGTTCGTATAGCTTCTGTAATTGATAGGACTTTTCTTCTGCTTTGATGTAACCTTTCTTCACATCATCGACTGCCTATCACCAAAACAGAAGTAGAGCAGAAAGGAGTGTAAAAATCATTATTATGTACATTCTCGATGAAAACAGACACAGACGCATTTTCAGAAAATCTCTTATCCACTTGGACCACCATCATTACCAGTGAACTCTGCCACATGTCCAGGGATATGGTCTGGCTCTGTGCCTCCACTCAAATCTCATCTCAAATTGTAGTCCCCATATGTCGAGGGAGGGACCCGGTGGGAGGTGACTGGATCATGGTCTGGTTTCCCCATGCTGGTCTCATGATAGTGAGGGAGTTCTCACAAGATCTGATGGGGTTTTTTTGTTTGTTTTGAGACAGAGTCTGGCTCTGTCACCCAGGCTGGAGTGCAGTGGCACAATCTCGACTCACTGAAACCTCCGCCTCCCAGGTTCAAGCGATTCTCTTGCCTCAGCCTCCAGAGTAGCTGGGACTACAGGCATGAGCCATCACGCCCAGCTAATTTTTGTATTTTTAATAGAGATGGGGCTTCACTACATTGGCCAGCCTAGTCTCCAACTCTTGACCTCAAGTGATCTGCCCGCCTCGACCTCCCAAAGTGCTGGGATTACAGGCATGAGACACCGCACCTGGCCTAGATCTGATAGTTTTAAAAACAGCAGTTCCCCCTGCATGTGCTCTCTCTCTCGTCACCTTGTGAAGAAGGTGCTTGCTTCCCTTTCACCTTATGCCATGATTGTAAGTTTCCTGAGGCTTTCCCAAGCCATGCGAAACTGTGAGTCAATTAAACTTCCTTTCTTGCACTTTGGGAGGCTGAGGCGGGTGAATCACAAGGTCAGGAGTTCGAGACCAGCCTGGCCAACATGATGAAACCCCGTCTCTACTAAAAATACAAAAAATTAGCTGGGCATGGTGGCAGGCAACTGTAATCCCAGCTACTCGGGAGGCTGAGGCAGGACAATCGCTTGAACCCAGGAGGCAGAGGTTGCAGTGAGCTGAGATCATGCCACTGCACTCCAGCCCAGGTGACAGTGCGAGACTCCATCTCAAAAAAGCACAAACAAACAAAAAAAAACCTTCCTTTCTTTATAAATTACCTAATCTCAGGTAGTGTCTTTATAGCAGTGTGAAAATGGACTAACACATCCAGTAACAGGTATACTTATTGGAATAACTAGCATTTAAAGAATATCTGGCAAGCGCTCAAGCATTCTTTTAGGTATATGTGAGAGATCTGGTTTCTCGTGTCAGAGGACTTAAATTCCAGTTATTTTATACATGTGTAAACAATTAGAGAGCACTGAAAGACAGTATATAATGCTGCATTACAATGAAATAGCAAACATGTATGGTACAGACAGTGATATAGGCAGTCAGAATGGAAGCACTTATTGATAATTACAGTTATCAGGGAAGCCTTAGGTGGATCCCCAAAGAACAGAATGAAGAAGAGAAACTATAAGCTAAAGATAGGAAACAGGAATGAGTCTGTGCTTAAATACTTTGAGAAAACAGATTTGCCTGATTTAAATAAGGGAACAGGAGACAATTAAAGATAATGCTGGATAGGCAGACTAACACTAGATTATGAAAAATCCTAAAAAGTAGGCACAGGAATTTAGACTTAAGGAAATAAACAACAGGGAGCTAAAATAAGCAATAAGAAATGGCTCCTTCTTTATTAAAGAAAGTTTGATTTGTGTTTGAAAGCCACATGAATTAACCTGAAGAGAGAATGAAATAAGGAAGATCAATGATGTTTGGTACTCAAGGTGGAAAGCATTTCCCAGAGTATTTTAAGGAAAGATAGTTGGATAGGCAAATGAGTTCAAGATTAAGTCAAGAGGGCCAGGCGCGGTGGCTCATGCCTGTAATCTCAGCACTTTGGGAGGCCAAGGCGGGTGGATCACGAGGTCAGGAGATCGAGACCATCCTGGCTAACATGGTGAAACCCTGTCTCTACTAAAAATACAAAAAATTAGCCGGGGAGAGGTGGCAGGCGCCTGTAGTCCCAGCTTCTCAGGAGGCTGAGGCAGGAGAATGGCGTGAACCCAGGAGGCGGAACTTGCAGTGAGCCGAGATAGCACCACTGCACTCCAGCCTGGGTGACAGAGCAAGACTCCATCGCAAAAAAAAAAAAAAAAAAAAAAAAGATTGAGAGACTAATTCAACTTCTAGTTCTGTCACCTACCAATGTGTACTTGCATAAGTCATGTAAACCCTTTCACTGTGTAAAACTGGAATATCTCATAGATGTACAAGAAAAAGATGACAGATGTTAAGAGTTTTGTAAAGTATATATCAGTAGCTATTATTAGTATCATTTAGCTATTAAGTTCTTCTAAGAACCGTACAAGGATATGAATGTCCTGCCAGGAAGTGACTAATAGAAAGATTATGCCAGTCTCTCCCCAACCTGGCCATACAAGTGAAGGCTCACTTAGGCACCGAGGATTATAGCCACAGAGGGGATGTTCAAGAAGAACCACGATGCAATGTCAATGTCCTGAAGATCCTGAACACTTTCCTCTTCATCACCAAAACACTGTACTGCTCCAGCCAAATTTAAACCAATTATTGAAAAGCCAGCAGAGAAGTAGAGGGGGGAAATAAATAAACAATACTGGTCTATCCAGTTTCCAAAGAAACTTACAGTGTTATTTAGCTCAGGGAAAAGGCTTTACAACTATTTTTCTTTATTTCTGTATTGTTTCGATGAGAATAAGAATATAAGAATACTGTCTTTCTGTTTTGTTTTTACCCCTAACGCCTAGAACTATGTCTGACTCACAACAGTACTAATATTTGATGAACACTTTCCCAAGGCAGAGGTGGGTCACAGTGATTATCTACTCCAGCAATTCCAAGTGAGCTCTTTTACACATGGGGCAGTAAAAATGGTCTTCTTTCATTTCTAATCAAGAAATTGCTTACCCAGGTGTGGTAGCTCACGCCTGCAATCCCATCATTTTGGGAGGTGGAGGCGGGAGGATCACTTGAGGTCAGGAGTTCAAGACCAGCCTGGCCAACATGTTGAAACCCCATTTCTACTAAAATACAAAAATTAGCCGGATGTGGAGGAGGGAGCAGGTAATCCCAGCAACTCGGGAGTCTGAGGTAAGAGAATCACTTGAACCCGGAAGACGGAGGTTACATCTCCGTGAGCCCAGATCATGCCACTGCACTCCAGCCTGGGAGACAGAGCAAGACTCTGTCTCAAAAAAAAAAAAAAAAAGATTACACTGCTTGACTGACTAAGTGGAAAACATAAATATCACCACCCTAGTTTCCTTTTCTTCTTAAATTTTTTTAATTAAAGTAAAAGATGTATATAATTTAAAAAAACAAAACATATAGTACTAAAAGGCTCCTAATAAAAACAGCAGCCTCTGATCCCAGAGCGTCATTCCACAAAAGCAACTACTTTTAGGCACTTTAAGCAATTTCTTGTGATAATCCCTCCATAATTCTAAATGGCATGCTTACATTGACAATTCTTGACTTACCAATTTTAGACACTGTTGACTTACTGTGTTGAAAATATTTGGTTTTAACTCTCTTGTAGCACCCAAACACTCCCACTTCCTCTTCCCCCAACTTCTCAATAAAAAATTAAATACTCAATAACTGCATTATTATAAATATGTAAACACTATTCACAACTAAGCTATATACTATGCTATGACTTCCTTTCTTGCAAAATTTTTTATTTCCTCTGAGGTTAAATGCCTCGTGTTTTTGTTTGTAACTTCCCATGTACCTATCACCAATTTTTCCTCCACAATAACCAAATATCAAAACTCTTTTACTTAGACATTCATTTTCTAAAAACTGTCAACGGTTGTCATTTGCTGTGGTATCCTCCCTTGTTCTCTTTGTCCTTGCAAGTTTACGCTTTTTAAAATTCCAATACTGCTACTTTTGTGAGCTTTCAGGAAACAGCAGCTTAAATGTGTGTACACTTTGCTAGGTTTAGCCAGAATTTAAATATAAATGATTAATTTCTACCTTATTAATTTTTAAGGAAAAGGTTCATTATTACCATTAGCAACTAACATATAATATCTCATCAATTTAAATGAATACATTATTTCATATTTTAACATTTCTGAAATTGGGATGTATCTTACAATCAATGATGTATCAGTTTAACTGACAGCTTTTTTCTCTTATCAATACATAAAATAATGGTGCATCTTATAATTGATAACATTTTAGAACTGTGAAATTCGTTAAATATTCCTACCATCAAAATATGATACAAAAATAATTGAAATTAAGTAAGAGAAATTTAATATACTTTTCAAAAGATACAGTTGTTTACTTAGTCCATCAAAAAACAGCTGCCAGGCACAGTGTTTGTGGCCAGGTGCGGTGGCTCATGCCTGTAATCCCAGCACTTTGGGAGGCCAAGCTGGGTGGATCATTTGAGACCAGGAGTTTTGAGACCAGCCAGGGCAACATGGTAAAACCCCATCTCTACTAAAAATACAAAAATTAGCTGGGCTTGGTGATATGCAACTGTAGTGCCAGCTAGTTTTATACTTCAAAAAGGCTGAGGCATAAGAGTCATTGGAACCCAGGAGGCACGGGTTGGAGTGAGCCGAGATCATCCCACTGCACTCCAGCCTGGGAGACACAGCAAGACTCTGTCTCCAAAAAATAAAAAACAAAACAAAAAAATAAGTCATTTGAGATGGTGCAGTCACTATGGAAAATAGTATAGCAGTTCCTCAAGAAGTTGAAAATAGAACTGCCATATGATTCAGTAATCCCACTTCTGGGTATATTGAAAAAAGGATCTCAACAAGATATCTGCACACCCATGTTCACAGCAGCATTATTCACAATAACCAAGAAATGAAAGAAACCCAACTGTCCATGGATCAATGGATAAATTAAATGTGGGATATACATACAACATATTATTATTCAGCCTTAAAAAGGAAGGAAACCCTGTTATATACTACCACAACACGTATGAAACTTGAGGCCATTATGTTAAGTGAAATAAGCCAGTTATAACAAAGGCAAATAGTGTATAATTACACTTACATTAAATATCTAAAGTAGTCAAATTCATAGAAACAAAAAGTAGAATGGTAGTTGCCAAGGGGGAGAGGAAAACGGGGAGTTGTTTGATGGGTACAGAGTTTCAGTTTTAATCTTTTGCAAGATTAAAAGAGTTCTGGGCCAGGAGCAGTGGCTCACGCCTGGTAATCCCAACACTTTGGGAGGCTGAGGTAGGAGGATCGTTTGAGGTCAGACGTTCAAGATTATGGTGAGCTATGACCGCAGCACTGCACTCCAGCCTGGGTGGCAGACTGAGATTCTGTCCCCTCCTTTAAAAAAAAGAATTCTGGAGATCTGTTACACAACATTGTGAATATACTTAACACTATTGAACTATACACTAAAAATGGCTTAGAAATTTAAAAAATTATCAAATTGTATACTTTAAATATGTACAGTTTATTGTATGTAAACTATACCTCAATAAAGCTGTTTAGAAATCATTTGAGGCAATAGGAAAGTTCAGAAAAGTTGCTGGATATAAGATACTGCTCCAAAAACATTAACTTTTCTAAATACTTAAATACTTTTGTCTTCTAGTTTTATACTTCAAAAAGCAATTTCACATGCTCTGCCCTCACTTAAATTTTGATAAGCATTAAAAAAAAGCAGCCAGGTGTGGTGGTTCATGCCTGTAATCTCAGTGCTTTGGGAGGTCAAGGTGGGGGGATTGCTTGAAGCCAGGAATTCAAGGCCAGCCTGGGCAACATAGCGAGATACCTTCTCAATTTTTTAAATAAAAAATACATTTAAAATAAAATAAACAAACCCACCTATGAGACACACCACTGTTCCCCTTTAACAGATGAGAAAACAGATCTCAGCAATGTTATGCAAAGGATTTACCCAATGTAGAGCTTATACTTGAATCAGATATTCTGACTCCTAGCTAATGATTTTTCTACTCCAAAAATACAAAGATAAAATATTCCATTCATAATAGCAATAAAAATATAAAATCCTTGGTGATTAATTTAAGGGGGCATTGATAAAACATAAAACCACGTAACTTTTTTTGAGGAAACAAAAGTCAACTTGAATAAAATAGATACTTTATGCATCTATTATTATAATACAACATTTAATTAAAATGGTGATTCTTCTTCAGTAAACTATAAATTTAACAAAATTCCAGTTGGAATAGTAATAGGATAGATACTTTATAAAGTGTTATGAAATGGGTTAAAAATTATTAGAAAACATAAAATGGGAAAGAATATCAAGACTTTTAAAAAAGGAAGGCTTAGCCTTACCAGATATTAAAATATATTATATAGAAACAATAATCAAAAGGGAATACTGAGTCAAAAATAGAAATACAGATTAAGAGCAGAGAGATGCTAAACATAGGCCATATATATACACACACACACACACACACCAGACAGATATAAATTTAATGAAAGACAAGTTAAGCATAATGTATTAGAAATGAATCATTTAATGTATCCTGATGTGCTATGTGGATAGCAATACCAAGAAAATTTAACTTAGACCAACCATTCATTCATACTACACACCACAATAAACCTTGGGTAAATTAAAGCATTAAATATTAAAAATAAAATATTGTGACAAAAGCACACTAAATATAAGTGTGCTATTGTCCTCTTATATTGAGGAAAGAAAATGTTAGTAGAAATCACAATGGAAAAGATAGATAAACATTGTTATACTAAATGTTAAAACTTCTCTAAAACAAAATTCCTGGCCGGGCGTGGTGGCTCACACCTGTAATCTCAGCACTTTAGGAGGCAGAGGCAGGCAGATCGCTTGAGCCCAGGAGTTTGAGATGAGCCTGGCCGATATGGCAAAACCCTGTCTGTACAAAAAATACAAAAATTAGCTGGGTGTGGTAGTGCAAGCCTGTAGTCCCAGCTACTCAGGAGGCTGAGGTGGGAGGCTCACTTGAGCCCAGGAGGCAGAGGTTGCAGTGAGCCGAGATTGTGCCACTGCACTCCAGTCTTGGCAACAGAGCCAGACTCTGTCTCAAAAAAAAAAAAAAAAAAAAAAAAAAAAAAAAAAAAAAAAAAAAAAAAAAAAATTAATAGCACTAAGATAAAAACAAAAACAATGGAACAGAGTAAATATCTATTAAAATGGCAAAGACATAAAAGTTTAACAAAATACAGCAATTTTTGTACAGCAAGGTACAAAAACACAATCAATAAACAGCTGTATTCAAAAGAAAAATATATCTGGGCACAGTGGCTCACACCTGTAATCCTAACACTTTGGGAGGATTGCCTGAGCCCAGGAGTTCAAGACCAGCCTGGGCAACACTGCAAGATCCTGTCTCTATTTTTTTAAAAAAGTAAAAATTAGCTGGACCTGGTGGTGAGCACCTGTAGTTCTAGCTACTTGGGAGGCTAAGGTGGCAGGATCACCTGAGCCCAAGAGGTAGAGGATGCAGTGAACTATGATCACACCATTGCACTCCAGCCTGGGTGACAGAATGAGAGCCTATATAAAAAAAAAAAAAAAAAAAAAAAAAAAAAAAAAAAGAAAGAAAGAAAGAAGGAAGGGAGGGAGGGAGGGAAAGAAAGAAAGAAAGACAGACACCAAAAAGTGATATTACAAGAGTTAATCACAGCATCATTTATAATCACATACTCAAAAAACAACCTGGCTCTAGCCAGGCACACATGTAGTCCCAGGCACTCTACTTGAGAAGCAGAGGTGGGAGGATTGCTGGAGCCCAGGAGTCCCAGGCCAGCCCCAGCAACATAGGGAAAACCCATCTCAAAACAAAACAAAACAAAACAAAAAAACTCTGGAACAAATAACAGGGAATGACTAAACAACATATACTACATTAACTCAGTCATAAATGACATATAAAAAACTGTATGAAAAAGGAAAAAAGAAAAGAAAAAGGTTGTATCTGTATTAGAATTATAACTATGTAAAAATTATACATCCATATAAAGACCTAAAGCCAAATATACATGTAAATACTTGTAGGAAAAGTTCCTAAAAGAGGGCTTCCAATTAGGGATGGCAGATTAAAAACAAGTATCAACTCTTACTTCCTCCTAAAACCCCATTAAAATTTCAGTAAAGGAATAAACCCATGAGATCAAAGGGAAACAATCAGAACAAAATTTTGTAATCTGGAACACGGATATATAAGTAGTAACTTACAAAACCTGAAAAAAAAAAATGGATTCCCTACCTAGTAGTAGGAAAAGTAGAGAACTACTCAAATTTATATGACGAAATTCCCAAAAGACCGAAGAATCTGTAGCACCAGGTGGCCATCTAGGAGAGGTGGTAGATGTGGCTAAAATAAGGAGGACTGACCGAAAGCATATTTAAGAAACAATCAGTGCCGGGCGCGGTGGCTCACACCTGTAATCCCAGCACTTTGGGAGGCCGAGGTGGGCAGATCACAAGGTCAAGAGATCAAGACCATCCTGGCCAACATGGTGAAACCCCGTCTCTACTAAAAAATACAAAAATTAGCTGGGTGTGTTGGTGGGTGCCTGTAATCCCAGCTACTCAGGAGGCTGAGGCAGGAGAATTGCTTGAACCCGGGAGGCAGAGGTTGCAGTGAGCCAAGATCGCGCCATTGCCCTCTAGCCTGGCGACAAAGCGAGACTTTGTCTCAAAAAAAAAAAAAGAAACAATCAAATTCTGAGATCCTTTCCTTTATTCCCTGGAACCAGATGACTGCCCTCTTCAATGCCAGTAGAAGACTAGTGATTTGGCTAGGCACGATGGCTCATGCCTGTAATCCCAGCACTTTGTGAGGCTGAGGAGAGAGGGCTGCTTGAGCTCAGGAGTTCAAGACCAACCTGGGAAACATGGTTTGAAAACATGGAAAAAGATAACTTCAAAATAAAAAAACATCAAACATGGTTTGATGAACCAATCAAAAGTAATAACTACAACAACTTTTCAAGACATAGTACAATAAGGTATATATAAATAGTAACAACAAAAAGTTAAAAAGTGTGGGGGTATATTTAAGGCATGGAGCCTTTATTCGTTTTCTTTTTGCTTGCTTGTTTGTTTATGCAAACAGTGCTGTTACCAGGTTAAAATAACAGATTACAAGAGAGTATTTGCAAGCCTTGTGGTAACTGCAAACCTACAAACATACAACAAATACACAAAAAATAAAAAGTAAGAAACTAAATCATATCACCACAGAAAATCACCGTCACTAAAAGGAAGACAGGAAGGAAGGAAAGAAGGAAAAGATGATCACAAAACGACCATAAAACAAGTAACAAAATGGCAAGAGTAAGGCCTTACTTATCAATAGGAACACTGAATGCAAATGGACTAAACTCTTCAATCAACAGACATACAGTGGCTGAATAAATAAAAAAAAACAAGAACCACTGATCTGTTGTCTACAAGAAACATACTTCACCTACAAAGACACACACAGATGGAAAATAAACGGATGGAAAAAGATACTCCATGACAATGGAAACCAAAACAGAACAGAAGTAGCTATACTTATATCAGACAAAATAGATTGTAAGACAAAAATATAGGACAAGACAAAGAAGGTCACTATATAATGATAAAGGGGTCAGTTCAGCAAGAGGATGTAACAATTTTAAATATATGTGCACCCAAAACTGGAGCACCCTGACATATATTTAATATCTAAAGCAAATATTATTACAGCTAAAGAGAGAGACAGACTCTAATACAGTAATAGCTGGAGACCTCAACACCCAACTTTCAGTACTGGACAGATCTTCCAGACAGAAAATCAACAAAGATACAATGGACTTAATCTGCATTATAGACCAAATGAATCTAATAGACATTTACAGAACACTTCATCCAATGACTGCAGAACACTCATTCTTTTCCTCAGCACAGAGATCATTCTCAAGAGCAGACCATATGTTAGGTCACAAAACAAGTCTTAAAACGTTTTTAAAAAATGGAGTATCAAGTATTATTAATATCAAATAATATCAATATGATCAAGTATCTGACCATAGTGATATTATAATAATATCAAGTATCTGACTATAATGGAATAAAACCAAAAATCAAAAATGAGGAATTTTGGAAACTATTCAAGTACGTGGAAATTAAACAATATACTCCTGAATGACCAGTGGGTCAATGGAGAAATTGAGAAGGAAATTTAAAAATTTATTGAAATAAATGATCATGAAAACATAACATGCCAAAACCTATGGGATACAGCAAAAGCAGTACTAAGAAGGAATTTTATAGTTATAAATGCCTACATCAAAAAAAAGACAAAAATTTCAAACAATGATGCATCTTAAAGAAATAGAAAAGCAAGAGCAAACCAAACCCAATTAGTAGAAGAAAAGAAATAATAAAGATTAGAGCAGAAATAAATTAAATTGAAATAAAAAAATACAAAAAAAGAGCAATGAAACAAAAAGTTGGTTTTTTTGAAAAGTTAAACAGACAAACCTTTAGCCAGATTAAGAAAAAAAAAAGAAGATCCAAATAAAATCAGAGATGAAAAAGGAGATATTACAACACTGAAGAAATTCAAAGAATCATTTGTGGCTACTATGATTAACTATATGTCAATAAATTATAAAATCTAAAAGAAATGGATAAATTCCTAGACATATACAACCTACAAAGATTGAACCATGAAGAAATCCAAAACCTGAACATACTAATAACAAGCAACAAGATCGAAGCCATAATAAAGTCTCCAGTAAAGGAAAGCCCAGAACCCAGTGGTTTCACTGCTAAATTCTATCAGACATTTAAAGAAGAATTAATACCAATTCTAGGCAAACTATTTCAAAAAAAGAGAGGAGGAGGGAATACTTCTAAACTCATTCTATGAGGCCAGTATCACCTTGATACCAAAACCAGACAAAGACATATCAAAAAAGGAAACTACAGACCAATATCCCTGATGAATATTAATACAAAAATCCTCAACAAGATATTAGCAAAATGAATTCAACAATACATTTAAAAAATCATCATGAGCAAGTAGGATATATCCTTGGGAATGTAAGGATGGTTCACAAACACAAATCAATCAATGTGACACAGCATATCAACAGAGTAAAGGACAAAAACCATATGATCATTTCAACCGATGCTGAAAAAGCATTTGATAAAATTCAACATCCTTTCATAATAAAAACCCCTCAAAAAACTGGGTATAGAAGGAACCTCAACATAATAAAAGCTATATATGACAGATCCACAGCTACTACCATCCTGAATGGGGAGAAACTGAAAGTCTTTCCTCTAAGATCTGGAACACAAGGATGCCCACTTTCACCACTGTTATTCAACATAGTACTAGAAGTCCCAGCTAGAGCAATCAGACAAGACAAAGTTATAAAGGGCATCCAAATTGGAAAGGAAGAAGTAAAATTATCCTTGTTTGCAGATGATATGATCTTATACTTGGAAAAACCTAAAGACTCCACCGAAAAACTATTAGAACTGATAAATAAATTCAGTAAAGTTGCAGGATACAAAATCAACAACAAAAATCAGCAGCATTTCTATATGCCAACAGTGAACAATCTGAAAAAGAAATTAAAACACTATGAAAGAAAGGTGAAGAGAGGACACCAACAAATGGAAAAAGTATTCCATGTTCATGGATTGGAAGAATAAATATTGTTAAAATGTCCACACTACCCAAAGCAATCCACACATTCAATGCAATCCCTATCAAAATACCAATGACATCTTCACAAAAATAGAAAAAAAAAACTATCCTAAAATTTATATGGAACCACCAAAGACCCAGAATAGCCAAAGATATCCTAAGAAAAAGAAGAAAACTGGGTGGGGTGTGGTGGCACACATCTGTAACCCAGCAATTTAGGAGGCTAAGGCAGGAGGATCTTGAGCCTAGGAGTTCAAGCCAGCCTGGGCAACACAGCAAGACCCCCCACCTCTACAAAAACTTAAAAAATCAGTCGGGCATGGTGGCATGGGCCTATAGCCCCAGCTAGTGGGGAGGCTGAGGCAGGAGGATAGCCTGTGCCCAGGAGGTCAAGGCTGCAGTGAGTTGTGATCATGCCACTGCACTCTGGTCTGGGTGACAAAGCGAGACCCTGTCTCTGGAAAAAAAAAAAAAAAAGAACAAAACTGGAGGAATCATATTACCTGACTTCAAATTATACTACAGAACTATAGTAACAAAAACAGCATGGTACTGGCATAAAAACAGACACACAGACCGATGGAACACAATAAAGAACTGAGAAACAAATCCACATACCTACAGTTAACTCATTTTCGACAAGGTGCCAAGAACATGTACTGGGGAAAAGACAGTCTCTTCAATAAATGGTGCTGGGAAAACTGGATATCCATGTGCAAAAGAATGAAACTAGCCCCCTAACTCTTGCCATATACAAAAGTCACATCAAAATAGATTCAATAATTAAACCTAAATCCTCTAGCTATGAAACTACTACAAGAAAAAATCAGGGAAACTCTCCAGGACATGAGTCTGGGCAAAGATTTCTTAAGTAATACCCCACAAGCACAGTCAACCAAAGCAAAAATGGACAAATGGGATCACATTAAGCTAAAAAGCTTCTGCACAGCAAAGGAAACAATCAACAAAGTGAAAAAGCAACTCACAGAATGGGAGAAAATATTTGCAAACTACTCATCTGACAAGGGATTAATAATCAGAATATATAAGGAGCTCAAACAACTCAACAGGAAAAAAAAAGAAATGCACATAGAAACTACAATGAGATATCATCTCACCCTAGTTAAAATGGCTTATATCCAAAAGAGAGGCAATAACAAATACTGGCAAGGATATGGAGGAAAGGGAACCCTTGTTTACTGTTGGTGAGAATGTAACTTGTACAACCACTCAGAGAGCAGTTTGGAGGTTCCTCAAAAAACTAAAAATAGAACCATCATACGATCCAGCAATCCCACTGCTGGGTATATACCCAAAAGAAAGAAAATCAGTATTTTGAAGAGATATCCACATTCCCATGTTTGCTGCAGCACAGTTCACAACAGTCAAGATTTAGAAGCAACTTAAGCATCCATCAACGGATGAATGGATAAAGAAAATGTGGTACTTACACACAATGGAGTACTATTCAGCCATAAAAAAAGAATGAGAGTCAGTCATTTGCAACAACATGGATGGAAGTGGAGGTCACTATGTTAAGTGAAATAAGCCAGGCACAGAAAGACAAACATCACATGTTCTCAATTATTTGTGGACTGTAAAAATCAAAACAATTGAACCCATGGAGATAGAGAGTAGGATGGTTACCAGACTCTG
Organism: Homo sapiens; assembly: GCF_000001405.40. Classification (NCBI taxonomy): domain Eukaryota; kingdom Metazoa; phylum Chordata; class Mammalia; order Primates; family Hominidae; genus Homo; species Homo sapiens. The sequence continues at coordinate 151,670,057 of NC_000001.11, read as the reverse complement.
GGAAGGGTAGTGGGGAATTGGGGAAGAGTCAGGGATGGTTAATGGGTACAAAAAAAATAGGTAGAATTAATGAATAAGGCCTAGTATTTGATAGCACAATAGGGTGACTATAGTCAATAATAATTTAATTGTACATTTTTAAATTACTAAAAGAGTATAACTGGATTGTTTGTAACACAAAAGATAAATGTTTGAGGGGATGGATACCTCATTTTCTGTGATGTGATTATTACACACCATATGCCTGTATCAAAACATCTCATGTACCCCAAAATATATACACCTACTATGTACCCACAAAAATTAAAAATAAAAAATTACATATATAAAAAGAGGAACAGCTCTGAAAATGTATCCTACAAAAATATGGGAGTAAAGCAAAACAAAACAAACAATGTACTCTCACACTGGAAACAGGAGATGGTGGTAGTGAAGGGCAATCCCAGAAGGCCAGCTGTGCACCACAGTAGAGAGCTGCCACTTCACACGGGGATAGAGGAAGAGACTCCACAGGAGATTTCTTCAGAAAGTGGAAATCATGAACTACCTGATGGGTCTGAACTGAATGTCTTTAGAGGAAATTTAGACAACTGGTGAAGAGTATGGAGCTAAATTAATTGTAAGTACACAGAAAATTAAGCAAATGAAAAAGGAGGGCAATAATTAGCTGGGGAAAAATAAAATGTAAAGAAAGTGAAAAGTAAAGACAGTGTTTATTATATGGCTCTGTTGTAAATCTCACTATTTACAGTCATAATATTGTAAACACTGCATATTGACCTTACAAATATTATAATTTGACTATATTAAGGGGATGGGAGAGATGAAAAAGGTATGGGTATATGGTAGGAATGGAGAAGGAAAGACAGCTGGTGTCTCATCTTCAATAGTGGGAAATGAAGAGATGCTGCTGGAATCTGAAAAATTAAGTAGGAGCAATATAACCAAGTTATAATGGAGACATAGAAGTAAATACCAAACAAACAAACAAACAAACCAATAAAAAACAAGAGCTAAAAGAGGTGAAGGTGGTTGCCTATGGGGGGAGATGGAAATAAGTAGGGGCAACTACTGTTTTTCACAATAAACTGTGTAGAACTATTTGATGCTTTAAACTCTATGTATGTATAATATTGGTGGAAAATTTTTGAACAGGTACACAGCCACAATGCTCATTTTCTATTGTTTAAAAATATTAGAATACATATTTAAAAAATACGTATTTTTAAACTCCAGGATATCTTTACTTCTAAAACTTATCTATTATTTATCTTTCGTGAAATGGGATAGAACATTTTACAAATGTAATTCAGACCCAGGAGCAAAGCAGCCTGTCTAAGGATTTACAGGGAATTGGCAAAGTACCAACTATATTCAAACATAAAAAGAAATTGTGCCTTTCAAGAAGATCAATTCACCTACCTGATGAAAGAAGTAGGTAACAGCAAGGTCATTGTCATTTAAGAGAATTTCTTCTTCTGTTGTAAAAAGCCACTTTCGAATGGTCAAGCAGGTGCCTGGCACAGCTGATGTATAATTCTGAATGTAGAGTTTGTGAGGAAACTCATTAGGTGCCAATTTACGTACTAAAGGAAAGACAAAACACAGAAAGCTGGAGTGAAAAGATATAAGAAACTTCCCTAGTATAAACTATGTAAGGCAGATCAAGAATGGTATGTTATCATTAACCAGAACATCATCTCAAATCCACCAAGGAGTTCTGCCTTGGGAGCACAAAACAGCCTTATCTGTCCAGCCAAATATCCTTTCTAGCTATGGCCATGGCCAGTCAAGTCTCAAGCTAACTGAAACCTATCACTTGAATGACAAGTGCCGTGGTTTGGATATTTGTCACCCCGCAAAGTTCATGTTGAAATTTGATCCCCAATGTTAGAGGTGGGGCCTAATGTGATCTCTACACACACCATAGGTGGAAGAAAACAGCCTGAGGACCTTACCAGATGCCCAATTTTGAACCCAGTCTTAAAGATGTTTGGTAGACATCAGCTGAAAACCAGCAGAATCATGAAACAAATAGACCTTTTTTCTTTATAAATTACCCAGCCTCAGGTATTCCTTTATAGCAACACAAAATGGACTAAGACACAGATCAGTTAACATGACAACTCTGCAAACAGCACCAACTCCAAATTTAGTTAAAATATCTAATCCATTAGCTAGTTACAGCTCATGTCCACTAAACATCTTTTTTTTTTTTTTTTTTTTTTTTTGAGACGGAGTCTCGCTCTGTCGCCCAGGCTGGAGTGCAGTGGCGGGATCTCGGCTCACTGCAAGCTCCGCCTCCCAGGTTCACGCCATTCTCCTGCCTCAGCCTCCCAAGTAGCTGGGACTACAGGCGCCCGCCACTACGCCCGGCTAATTTTTTGTATTTTTTTAGTAGAGACGGGGTTTCACCGTTTTAGCCGGGATGGTCTCGATCTCCTGACCTCGTGATCCGCCCGCCTCGGCCTCCCAAAGTGCTGGGATTACAGGCGTGAGCCACCGCGCCCGGCCCACTAAACATCTTTAAAGCAAGCCTCTCCTCTTACCCAGCTATGGTACATTCAGAGTCTCTCATGTGGCAATTCTCAATGAACTGCTTTTATTGTTAAGGCCAAAAGGTTTTTTCCGCCCACCTCCAAAAATCCTACAGCATTCCTCAAACTGAAAACTGTCTTCTGAGTAATGTTACTTCCTCTTTCTAACAGCCACTCGAGCAGGATAAAAAAACTACCACTTTTAATTTCTAAATTGCCTTTTTGTGGAAAGGCTGAGAGGCTGAGTTTTCTTTTCTTTCCTTTTTTTTTTTTGAGACAGGGTCTCACTTGTTGCCCAGGCTAGAGTGTTGTAGCACAATCATAGCTCACTGTAGCCTTAACCTCCTAGGCTCAACTGATCCTCCTACCTCAGCCTCCTAGCTTGGACCGCCTGCATGTGTCACCATGCTTGGCTAATTTTTAAAATTTTTTTAGAGATGGCAATCTCACTATGTTGCCTAGGCTGGTCTCAAACTCTTGGGCTCAAGCAATCCTCCTGCCTCGGCCTCCCAAACTGCTGAGATTACTTCCTCTCTCAATGTTTACTTGGCTTTATAACACTACAAAAGACAGATTTAATATTTTCCATTTTATAGAAAGTGAAACTAAAGCTTAGAAAAAAAATAAGGTTAGAATCCAGATGTCCTGGTACCTTAGTAATCCTTTGTAACATAATTTACATCTGTCTAGTTACACTGCTGTGAGTTGGGAAGAAAAAAAATATTAGGGAGATGGCTGCTTTAGGGGAATCAAAGTTATTCTACCTGGACCTGAGATAGCAAGGCAACCTAAATCTACCAAACTCTCCCCCTTTCTGGGATAAGGAAGGTCTAATCAACCAATATTATCTATATCAATTTTGGCCTTAGCCCTGTATAAATATATATGACATGGAAGAGACCCATAAACTGTAGGAAATCTATGTCATTCAGAGAGAGCCCTCAGACTCTCTCCCCTTTGTAGTCTCAATGCAACCAATGTGACCACCATCCCTAGCTTTTATAAAATAAAATATAAATTTCCTGTCACCACACAATAAAATTTCCTTGGAAGAGGAAATTTATTCACACAGAAACTTAAATGTATGCATTAAAACAAGGCTTTTAACCAACACATATCTTCCTAACTTCTGAAAACAGAAAGCTACGCTTAAGAATCTTTACAAAAATCCTATAAAGTACACTAAAACAACATGTGGCTAAATAGAACATCCCATTTTTAAGCCTGTTTTATTGGAATATATGAATTTTGAACCTCAGATTTAAAAGAACCTCATGAAAGCATCTTCCGATTCATTGCTAGTTATAACCTATACTTACAAAAGAGGAAAAAGAATCAACAGTGATCAGACATGCTTATGACCTGAGTTTAATGGGATATGCTTGGTCTGATTGTTAGAGACAGTTCTAATGAGTGGGATCTCCCCTTGTCTTCAAGCTCTTCTCTAGGTAAATGTTTCTTTCTCATAGTATTAGAAAACAAAACTTAGTATCAGCCACTGGTACTTACCAAAGGAGTGACTGATCACTTCAAATAAGGCAAAGTAATTCACTGTCGTACTGTCCATGCCAACCTTTGCTGCGATAGCCTAAGGTTAAACAGGATAGATTGGTTTCAAGAAAATTAAGTCAGACAATGCTGTAGGAAAAAGCAGGTGTATGTCTGTGGAGGAGGGAAAGGGGAGAGGTTCTGCCATCTTGGCCTCACAAAAATTGCATTAATGGTCCATAGCTATCCTTCTTTGTATGTATGTGTACATGCATGCACGCATACATATATATGAAAGAAAAGGGAAAAAACACCTGTATCTGCCCCAACAGCTATTATCTCTAAATACGAGCTTCTCCCTTCCAGTGTAAGCTGATAATAGTCTCTCCTTAAATATCAGCTTCCCTCTCTAAAATAACTTCATTCTATTTTTAACACCACTTACAAGAAATGTACTTAATAGCACAGATCTTAAAAAGAAAACAAATTCTTAAATATCCAGTTTCACACATTCAGCCTACATTTAATACATTAACACAAAAAAACTATATATTTGATTCTAGAGTGTAAAATAGTTTGTCAATTATATTCTGGCTAAACAAAATTTTTTTGTTTACTTTTTAGATGATCCATGTCTCATGTTGGGATCATTAGGCACCTCCATTTCCTAAGAATTACCATCATAATATCTACATAAAATAGCAAAATGCTGGGACAATAAAGGCATATTAAACAAGAATCACTCATTCTCTCTAGGAACTCAGGTCCTAATATGACAAATAAAAAAGAAATTGGAAAACTGTGTGCAAATAAATGACAATTACATACAAACAACAACAAAACATAAACTGGTAGTAACAAAATTTCTTTTCAAGATCAACCTCAATATAAGTAAGGTATCTCTTTTTCATGCCATTGTTTTGTTGATAAAACAAAGATAAAACTGTTGATTATTAGTATCTCAGTAAGCCAAATGTGATTATATCCCTTCTTCTCATATCTGCTCACATATGAGGCCTAGGTTCATCCATTATGTGATAGAGGAACTGGACATTATAAGCATTCTAAATTACCATTGTATATTGCACTGGATAGAAATTAAAATGCTTTCAAGGTTTAGAAAATAGTTTATAGCTAGAAGTCTCAGTAACAGAGTTGGGAGGAAAGTGTAAAAAACCTAAGCCTTGCTAGAGGAACACTGGAAAAAAGCAATCAAAACAAAACAAAAAGATCAGAAAGCTGTAAAAATAGTACTTTTCTTGAAATTCCCTACCATTGTATAATTTCATAAATGCCTGAGATCCTGCATATATCATTTGCCATAAAATACAGTGAATGAATAAATGTATGGGGGATAGGTTTTTTAATGTTTGCTACAAAAGAGAAATATAAGCATTAGTACCCAGAAACCTGCTTGTCTCCCTGAAAATTCTGATCAAGTTAGGATTAAAGGCCATTGAAAAGGCATACACAGGCAATGATTACACCCAGCACGCAGATCATGATCTCTAAATACAGTTTCTCACTAAAAGAATAGGACTCCTTAGGGAAATGTCCTATTCTAGATATCTAGGGTAAGAAATATACAAAGATGAGGCCAGGACATCTTATTGTACCAAAAAGCAAGGATAATATGAAAATACTAGGTTGCATCAAAAGCATACAGGAGCAGACATGAAGGAGCATTCATTGGCCAAAGATGGAACAATCTGAGCATCAAAAAGATAATATATGTTATCGATTAAATCACACTGAATCTAAAAACCTGAGACTAAATTATTATATATAATATATACTATTTCATAATGCATTATATATTAAATATATATTATTTGTATATTATTATATTATTTAGTATATTATATAATTATATATAAAGTATATATTGTTTAATATGTAACATATCATATGTTATTAATATATATAATTATATTTATATATAATGATATATTTACTCTGAAAATCAGCAATGAAAGGAAAAGCTTAAATATGTATCCTGTCTTTCCCACAAACTGGGAAATTATCTATTTCAAGATAATTAAATAGCGTTAGTTGACAAGGAAAAGTTATTTTCAGAAGAATTCTAGCTAATCGGTGGAAGAAATGAGAGTATTAGAAAATCAGCACTTTGTAATCTTTAATGAAATCACTGGTTAAGGCAATAATCATCAATGGATCGATTCATTTGATCAAAGATCAGTGGTGAATTTTACAAAGAAAACATCAGATTTCACCACCTAAACCTACTGGTTAACCTCAGTACCACTAAAATGGGATAACCCAGTATTGTGTACTTGTTGTTGAGAAGCAATATAAAGTATACAGGACCAATTATGAAGTATTATCAAAAAAGCAGAACCTGAATCTAATTGAGCCTCTAGAGCAAACTTCCATTTATAGAAAATATAGAGACACAGAAGGACATTATTAAATGACACCACCAGAAAACAAACAGATATATTCAGAATATGGGTCATTCCACAGGACACTGACCCATTTCTGCAACAAAACAATGGCATGAAAAAAAAAATGGGGAGAAGTGGGGACTGTTCTATATTAAAACAAACATAAAAATCAAATGTGAGGCCGGGGTGGTGGCTCATGCCTGTAATCCCAGCACTTTGGGAGGCCAATGCAGGAGGATCATGAGGTCAGGAGATTCAGACCATCCTGGCTAACACAGTGAAACCCCATCTCTACCAAAAATACAAAAAATTAGCCGGGCGTGGTGGTGGGCGCCTGTAGTCCCAGCTGCTCGGGAGGCTGAGGCAGGAGAATAGCGTGAACCCAGGAAGTGGAGCTTGCAGTGAGCCAAGATCGCACCACTGCACTCCAGTCTGGGCGACAGAGCAAGACTCCGTCTCAAAAAAAAAAAAAAAATCAAATGTGATCTAAGGACCTTGTTTAGATTCAGATTTTAACAAACCAAATGTAAAAAATCATTTTTAGACAATTGGAAAAATGTGACTATGGAGTAGTTATTAGGCAATACCAAAGCAATAGTGCTAATTTTTAAGGTTTGATAATGGCACTGTGGTTTTGTAAGAAGATGCATACTGAAGTACACACAGGTCCGATAACATGGGATTTGCCTTTAAATACTTAAAGGAAAAGAAAAAAGACATACATAACGCAAATGTGGCAAAATCTTGATAATTATTAAATATAAATGATTACTATATGGAGATTCATTATACTATTCTGTTTTCATGTGTGTTATGGTTTTTTTACAATAAAAAAAGGAGGGGTTGGCCAGGCGTGGTGGCTCATGCCTGTAATCCCAGCACTTTGGGAGGCCGAGGTGGGTGGATCATGAGATCAGGAGATCAAGACCATTCTGGCCAACATGGTGAGACCCCGTGTCTCTACTAAAAATACAAAAATTAGCTGGGTGTGGTGGCGGGCACCTGTAGTCCCAGCTACTCAGGAGGCTGAGGCAGGAGAATCGCTTGAACCCAGGAGGCAGAGGTTGCAGTGAGCGGAGATTGCGCCACTGCACTCCAGCCTGGGTGACAGAGCAACACTCCATCTCCAAAAAAAAAGGAGGCGTTAATCACAACTACTACAACCTGGGATATTTACCGTACCTTTCTTTTAAGGAGGGCAAAGTACTTTCACATTAATAATAACAATAGTAGCTAACATTTAATAAACGGATTATGTGCCAGACACCCTAAGCACTTTATATGTATTGACTTATTTAATCTATCTTCCTTAGCTTCACACCATCCAATGTCAAGTCTACGTGTTCATTTAATTTACCTGATATACTTGGTCTGTAGTACTGTTCTTTTTAACCCTGACTGTAACCGTTGTTCCATCTGGTAATGCTACTCTCAGCTCTACGTCGGACACACCATTGTAGTTCTGGGGGAAAAGACATAGAGAAATAATTTATGGCCCAGTATATCTTCACTCTCCCTGTAACAAGCTAGCTAGACAATAACCTAAAACGTGGTAGAGAAGAAGTGAGTTCCAATGAAAACGGGAAAAAAATCAATACATTTACAAGTCATAAAGCTGACTTCAGGGCTGCAGCAGAAGTTAATCTTTAAGATAAGCAGGAAGGAAAGAAACATGTTGAAGCCAACGTGTTCACATTTCAAAACAGGAAACTTGCGTGAAACAGTCTAGGTCAAACACAGATGAGATTTTTGATTCGCTTCCCTTTCCCCATTCAGAATTCACAAGTGAGAGGAGAAAACAACTGAAAGCAGTAGTTTCGATGTATATTCTCTGGTATTAATGGTCAGGCATATAGACTGGATCAAGAGATATACTAAGTTTCTTTCTGAACCCTGAAATAATCAGGAGATTGTTAAAAGAAAAAATGGATACCTGAGTCTCATCCATTTTTCCTTTCAAAGTTAGCCTGATGCCCAATTTTCTTCTAGCAAAAGGTAAACAATTCTTACTCTCCTTAATTCAAAAGAAATCCTCTTACTGCTTTTGATGATTAACACATTCTTCTAACCTTGTAATTTTTGACCTTGTAATTTTTACGAGAGAAAATTATTTCAGACCAAGTCCATTTTCATTTACCACTTTTAAAAAAGTACTACTCATTGCCTGAAACAATCATAAGCATTGATTTATTGTAAGCCCTTGCCTGTAAGAAATTTATAATCTAGTGGGAAAACAAGGCATATACATATAAAATAAGTAGTGGATAACACACTACTATATTGGCATTAAATATTCATTCTTCTATTCAATTAATATTTATTAAGCACCTACAACATGCTTGATGCTGTGGTAAGGCACTGGGAATATAAAGATGGTCAAGATTTAGCTCTTACCTACAGGTAGCTCACACTCTTGTAAGCTAAAAATATAAAGCGACTATCTGATTATATGTACAAAAATTAGAGAATGAGATAGCAACATGTGATCACTGAATGGAACTAATTGCAAAAGTTTTTGGTGGAATGAAAAATTGATGAAAACTCATCAGGGATGGTTTCAAAGAGAAAGTGGGCCTGGCACTTCAAAGAGAAAGTGGACCTAGGTCTTAAAGGATAGATAAGTAGGATACATATAAAAAGGAAGTAGAAAAAATGGAGTCCTTTGGAGAGCTTATGGAAATTTAATGCATAATCAATACCTTTAACTTATTTTCCCCCACAAGGAGCCAAAAGGAAAATAATCACTAAAAGAGATATTCACCTACCTCATCGGATTCTGATAGGAATTCCTGCATGATGTCACTCTCACCAATTACTCGTATTGAACACACTGTAGAAAATAAAGATAAAATCTGGCATAAGGCCTTAAAATCAAGAATATAAAGTCAAAGACGTATCAAAGTTTTAAGTTTAAATCATCAGTTTTAAGTTTAAATCATCAGTAGCAGGCAATAATGAGGCAGCAAACCATGTCTGGTATATAAGATTTTAAGGCATGACAAACATTCATCTAAATATGATCAGAACAAAGAAATAATAGAAAATACAAAGATGTAGCTTGCTAAAAATATTAAACATAACCAGAGGGAGAAATAAAAGTTCCGTAAATATAACTTTGCAGTCTTGTGTGACCTATTAACAAGCAGAACAACAGAACATGGGGTAAAGAGGTAGTGGTAGGGAAAGATTAATCAGGAATAAACCAAATATAAAATTGAAATACTAAAGGAAAAATATTTATTTGGCCTAAAAACAGGCCAGTCAGAGAACCACAAAAATTAAAAGCTATTTTGGGAAAACTGGGGTAGGTAATTAAGAATTCACATAATTTCACCTTACTGACTTTAACTTTAGCTTCAAAACAACCACCAAAAAAAAAAAAAAAAACTGGGGGGACGTGATGGGATAGGAAAGCAAGCCGGCAGGTAAGGTAGGTAGCTAATCCTCTAAATTTAAGAAAGTTAATTTCCTGACACTCTCATGAGAATGGTAAATTAAACTGGTGACTTTACTTCGTTTGATTTTTAAAAATTGTACCCTTTCTCATTTCCCAAGGGCTTTGTTCAGAGAGGCCAGTCCATGTTAGAAAAAGCTAAAAACAGATAAAGAAGTTCCACTACCTTCTATGGGGAAAATGGTTTCTCTTCACGATAAGGCTCCCTACAAAAGTTTTTAAAATATTCAACTAGGTCAGTTAGTTACAAGGAAACAGAATGACTACATATCACGTAAAACTGTTATTCTATAAGCCAGTATTTTAGAGAAAAACCTACTGAACAGCTACCAAATAATATAACTTTATAATGTAGCAAGGAAAGGTCTCTTCCCTGAGCCAGAAGATGAGCTATCTTATTGAGGAGATCTGTGTCATTTCCCTGCCTTCCTAGACAAACAAATGTTTCACCATCCACATCCACAGACTCCTGATGTATCATTTGGAGGCACTGAGATAACAAGTAAATTTCAATACAGGGCCAGGTGCAGTGGCTCACGCCTCTAGACAAATGTTTCACCATCCACATCCACAGACTCCTGATGTATCATCTGGAGGCAGTGAGATAACAAGGAAATTTCAATACAGGGTCAGGTGCAGTGGTTCATGCCTGTAATCCCAGCACTTTGGAAGGTGAAGACGGGCGGATCACCTGAGGTCAGGAGTTCGAGACCAGCTTGGCCAACATGGAGAAACCCCGTCTCTACTAAAAATACAAAAATCAGCCGGGCATGTGGTGCGTTTCTGTAGTCCCAGCTACTCGGGAGGCCGAGGCAGGAGAATCGCTTGAACCTGGGAGGCAGAGGTTGCAGTGAGCCAAGGTCACACCACTGCACTCCAGCCTGGGCAACAGAGAGAGACTCTGTCTCAAAACAAAACAAAACAAAACAAAACAAAAAATTCAATACAGAAGTATTAGTATCTACCTTTAGCCTGCTTAGAACAAGGGCACTCTAGATTACCTACAACTCAGCAAACCTATCTATGAATACCTGTAAAATGAATAAAGTTTTCATGTAGGATACAGCAGTAAGCCAAGAATCATTTTAATGAAAATGTCTTAAATATTTAAAATGTCTTAATATTGCCCACTTAGTTCCCAAATCAATTCAGCATATTGCTGAGTCTATATGTGTTTGCTGGCAGATAATATAACCCTAAAAATAAAGGTCCATGTAATCCCAGCACTTTGGGAGGCCGAGGTGGGCGGATCACGAGGTCAAGAGATCGAGACCATCCTGGCCAACATGGTGAAACCCTGTCTCTACTAAAAAATACAAAAATTAGCTGGGCGTGGTGGCATGTGCCTATAGTCCCAGCTACTCAGGAGGCTGAGGCAGGAGAATCACTTGAACCCAGGAGGCAGAGGATGCAGTTGAGCTGAGATCGTGCCACTGCACTCCAGCCTGGCGACAGAGCGAGACTCCGTCTAAAAAAAAAAGTCCATTAGGCATCACCAAATGCATCAAAAACTAAATATTCATTTTTCTGTTGTTGTTAAGCATTCAACAAACCAATGAAACAGGCTACTGATCACTGTACTGGACATTTCAGTTTTGCCTTCAAAGTTCAGATCATTCAATACTTAGTCAGAAACCTGACTTACATTCACTATTGAGGTTCTGGAAATTCAGCTATGCAGTTTAGAAGTTGCATATCTAGAACCTACGTCTACTCAATATAGTAGAGTTTGATGGTTTGGATTACCTTTTTCTAGATATTCTTCCAATCCCCGACGTCGGGCATCTAATTGTTGTTCTGATAATGAAAATGGCCACTTCCCTGGGAGTCGAGGAAATGTAAAGTTGGCAAACTCTCTCTTCAGGTTCTGGTGTAGGATAGCAAACTCCCGGTACCGCTTAGAACACAGCTGCCTCCCTGCCATGTAAACATTATATACCTGGTGAAGGAGAAGAACAAAAGAAAAGCATACTTAATACAAATTAAATCACAAAATCATCTAGTCAGGCTTAGATGATATTGGTTAGATGCATTCTGCTATGCATTTAACAAAGACTATATTCAAGCTCACTTTAAAGTAAGACTTACTTTTGACAAACATGCATAAAGTTATATGCATAAAAAAGGACTACCAAAGGAGCATGATCTTGTTTTTGTTTTTTGGGGTTTTTTTGAGATGGAATCTCACTCTGTTGCCCGGGCTGGAGTGCAGTGGCATGATCTCGGCTCATTGTAACCTCCGCCTCCCGGGTTCAAGCAATTCTCCTGCCTCAGCCTCCTGAATAGCTGGGATTACAGGCATCCGCCACCATACCTGGCTAATTTTTGTATTTTTAGTAGAGAAGGGGTTTCACCATGTTGGCCAGGCTGGTCTCGACCTCTTGACCTCAGGTGATCCACCCACCTTGAACCACCGCACCCAGCAGGAGGAGTGTGATCTTATTTTTGCTATTAAAATGACCTCTAGCATACTTTTAAATATCTTCAAAGGCAATTATCAGTTTTTAAGGTGGATTTTATTTTCAGAAAGTTAAAAGTCATTTGAAGCCAATGTGGTAAATATAGTGAGTCAATAAGCAAGCAAATTTGAAGGGAGCTGAAAACCTAGGGTTGATTATAAAGCAATGTAACTGATACTCGTGTGTGGCCTAAACTGGCTCTAAAGTTGATTCCAAAGAAAAGGCCTAAAAATGATGTAAGCGGCCTGGGCACGGTGGCTCACGTCTGTGATTCCAGCACACTTTGTGAGGCTGACAGGCAGGCAGATTGCTTGAGTCCAAGAGTTCAAGACCAGCCTGGGCAACATGGTGAAACCCTGTCTCTACAAAAAAATACAAAAATGAAGCTGGGCATGGTGGCATGCGCCTGTAGTCCCAGGAGGCTAAGGTGGGAGGATTGTTTGAATCCAGGAGGCAGAGGAAGCAGTGAGCCACGATCCTGCCACTACACTCCAGCCTGGACAATAGAAGGACACACTGTCTCAAAAAAACAAAATGATTTCAGCAACAGTGGAATTTTTGTTAGTTCCTTAAGCAGATAATGTGAAAAGCAAAATAAAAGCTAAGCTAAGATCTTGAAAATAATTTACTTTACACCATATAGTCTCCGCCTCCTCTATTCCACATCCTTATGTCCCTGTTTCTCTGACCGCAAAAAGTTATCATATCCAACCATGTTCATGATTCCCTTGCTTTTCTTTTTATATATTTTTTGCATTTATATATAATCCTTAAATTTTTATTTTTATTCTAATTTTAAAGGATATTTTGGTTTTATAAAAATAGAGTATCAAGATGAATGATACTTCAAAGGACTTACTTTTTTCAGTTAATATTATACTATAGTTTCATCACAACATTATATGTCTTTGTGGTATACTCTGCTGCATACAGCATTTTGTTGTGTGAATATATCATAGTTGCTCGTTTGTTTTTAATCTGTTCTCCCACTCATGAGCACTTGGGTTGTTTCTGGATTTTAGCTACCGTGAATAATGCTGCCATTGACATTTGTATAAATGCCTCCTGCTGTACATGCAAAAGATATTCTTCTGAGTACAACCCTGAGTGAACTGCAGAGTTATATGCATATTCAACCTCAGGAGATAATGCCGAAATGTAAGCTAAAGTGGTTGTACCAATTTATTCTCTTTCAGCAATATATAAAAAGATCCTCTTAATTTTGCCAATGGAATTGGTGTGAAAAGATTTCTGTGATCCTAATTACTAATGATGTTTAATATCTCTTCATATACTTATTGACCATGTGAGTGTCATTTTTTGTAAAGTACCTACTCATGCGTTTTGCCTACCTTCATATTAAGTTTTTTGGCTTTTCTTATTGATTTGATTTATGGAGTTCTTTATATATTGACATAATCTGTTTCATTTGTGTGTATTGTGAATATCTTCTTCCAGTTTGTCACTGGTCTTTTTTTTTTTTTTTTTTTTGAGACGGAGTCTCGCTCTGTCACCCAGGCTAAGAGTGCAGTGGCACGATGTCTGCTCACTGCAAGCTCCGCCCCCCGGGTTCACGCCATTCTCCTGCCTCTGCCTCCCAAGTAGCTGAGACTACAGGCACCCACCACCATGGCCGGCTAATTTTTTGTATTTTTAGTAGAGACGGGGTTTCACCGTGTTAGCCAGGATGGTCTGGATCTCTTGAGCTCGTGATCCACCCGCCTCGGCCTCCCAAAGTGCTGGGATTACAGGTGTGAGACCCGTGTCCGGCCAAGAGCTTTTAATTTTTTGTTTTGTCATTTAAGTCCTTAATCCATCTGGAACTTATTCCTCTATATAATATGAAGTAGAGTTCCACTGGCATTTCTTTTAAAGCCAAGAATATTTAAAATCAACTTTTAATCAAATCATCCCTAAATAAAAAACATTCTCCATTTATAGAACAATCTGTGGACTTCCAGGTGGTAATTAACCTCCCATTAAATACAACCAGAAAACTGGACACAATGTAGGCAACAACTATTTTCAGACACTGGACAACAGGCAGCTAAGAACGGTGATCCCTGAGAAAAGGGAAGCAAACAAGATGATCCCTAACATAATCTCAGCTTTCTGCCTAGAGGTAACTCCTAAACTGCAGCTCAGGGAGGGGTACCCAAACAGAGTTTGGCAACTTCACTGAGTTGAATAAACAGAAACTGAAGTTCGAGGAGGCCAAAGCAGCTACAATTTGCAGGACTAATCATGCAAGAGGGAGCTAAAGCAAGACATAGCTCCAGAAATCTGTATTAAGTTCCCTTGAATTTTGACTGAATAACGATCTAAGGAAAGAACTATTATCAGCCGGGAGCAGTAAATAAACAATTCCCAGAGTTCACACAGGTTATGGAATCATTCAACTTCCCTCCAGCCAGAATAAAGAGACCTCCCTAAATCTGCATGGAATTTAGAAGGGAACTCAAAAAGACCATGCTTTAGGAATGGAGCTAAATTGGTTCTAGAGTAAAAGGTACTCTAAACTACTCAAAAAGAGCTTAAAAACAAAGCTAAAAAGGACCAAAGTAATCTTTAAGTAGCTTAACTGTATGCCAGGAGAAAAAAAAAAATTCCAACACTCTTTAAAGAAATGTAACAAAATCTAGCACCCAATCACACTGCATTCACAATATACAATATCCAATCAAAAATTACTAGACATATAAAAAAGCATGAAAATTTGACCTATGACCAGGATAAAAATTAGTCAGTAGAAACAGGCTCAGAAGTTACCAAGACAAAAGAATCAGTAGACAAGGACATTAAGCAGCTATCATATATTAAGAAGTGGGATTACGAAGTGTATTAAGAAGTGGGATCTTTAAGAGGTAATGGCAAAACTCTCGTGATTAATGTCATTATTGAGGCAGTGGGTTATTTATCTCAGGAGTTTGGGCCCCATTTGCTCTCTGTCTCACATGCACTTCCCCACCAGGGAATGCCTTCCTTCATGTTATAACACAACAGAAAGGCCTTCACCAGATGTGGCCCCTTGATATTAGACTTCTCAGGCTCTAGAACTGTAAGCCAAATCACTTTTCTTTATAAATGACCTACAATCTGTGTTATTCTATTAAAGCAGTGAAAACAGGCTAAGACAGGCAGTAAATCCTCTCATTCAGAGTGCACAGGCAAAGATCCACTTCTTCAGGGGAAGGAGTAAAAGTAAAATACTCTATACCCCTGGGGAGAGGCAGGAAACCATATTAGGCCCAGGTTCCTCCACTGTTACCAAGCAGAGGTCGGCTATAGCTGAGGGAGGGACAGGAAACGCTTTCCCAAGACTAACCACAGATACAAGGCCGAGTTTGGCTGCAATAAGAAGGAAGGGCAAAAGAATCAGGACACAGAGACACAGATTCTGCCTAAGACTAAGGGTGAACTACACAACATCTACCTCTACCATGAGTCTAGCCCAAGTAAAAAGCAAGAGTAGTCTACCAGTAGCAGAGGGGTAAGAATGTAAAGAGAGAACTTGTCTGTGGTACTGGTATGCACAGGTGGCTGAAAGCCTGAGGACAAAACACTGAAAAAAACCCTCCAGGGTCGGCCGGGCACGGTGGCTCACGCCTGTAATCCCAGCACTTTGGGAGTCCAAGACGGGTGGATCACGAGGTCAAAAGATCAAGACTATCCCAGCCAACATGCTGAAACTCCATCTCTACTAAAAATACAAAAATTAGCTTGGCGTGGTGGTGTGCGCCTGTAGTCCCAACTACTAGGGAGGATGAGGCAGGAGAATCACTTGAACCCAGGAGGTGGAGGTTGCAGTGAGCCAAGATCGCGCCACTGCACTCCAGCCTGGTGGCAGAGCAAGACTCCATCTCAAAAAAAAAAAAAAACAAAAAAAACTCTCCAGGCTGGGCACAGTGGCTCTTGTCTATAATCCCAGCACTTTGGGAGGCCAAGGCAGGAGGATCACTTGAGCCCAGGATTTTGAGACCAGCCTGAACAAAATAGTGGGACTCTGTCTCTACAAAAAGTAAAAAAAAAATTAGCCAGATGTGATGACGTGTGCTTGTGGTCCCAGCTACTTGGTAGGCTGAAGCAGGAGGAATGCTTAAGCCAGGAAGTCAAGGCTGCAAAGAGCCATTATTGTGCAACTGCACTCCAGTCTGAGTGATAGAAGGAGAGCTTGTCTCAAAAAACAAAAAATAAATAAATTTAAAAACCTTCAGAACCCCAGCCCTCACTCTAAGCACAAGGTAATAGCAACCCATTGCTAGAGAAACTTGAGGCCTATGGCACAGTAAAGGTAATGATAGCTATAACAAAATTCAAGCCCAGCTTAACTGACTACATTCCCTAACAGAAGAGTATTGCCCATTTCCAAGTTGAAACACTATTTACTTCAGTCATCTCTACTATTATTCCACACATGATGCTTGACATTGTTAAATATTACAGAACAAAAATGGAAAACAAACAAACAAACAACAACAACAAAAAAAAAGGCTGGGTGCGGTGGCTCACACCTGTAATCCCAGCATTTTGGGAGGCCAAGGCGGGTGATCACCTGAGATCAGGAGTTCAAGACCAGCCTGACCAACATGGAGAAACCCTGTCTCTACTAAAAATACAAAATTAGCCAGGCATGGTGGCACATGCCTGTAATTCGAGCTACTCAGGAGGCTGAGGCAGGAGAACTGCTTGAACCTGGGAGGCGGAGGTTGCAGTGGGCCAAGATCGAGCCATTGTACTCCAGCTTGGGCAACAAGAGCAAATCTCCATCTCAAAAAAAAAAAAAAAAAGAAACCCAACATTATGTCAAGAGATAAAACAGTCTCAGAGATGACCCAGATGTTGAAATTATCAGGCAGCATATTATTAGAATAACCGTGATTAACAATGCTAAAGATCTCATGCAAAAGGAAAAGGCAGAAAACATGTATGAACAGATACAGAATTTCAGCAGGTGTGAAAATTACAAGCAAATAACAAATGAAAGTGACAGAAATAAAACGCATGGGCTGGGCGCAGTGGCTCACGCCTGTAATTCCAGCACTTTGGGAGGTCGAGGCGGGTGGATCACAACGTCAGGAGTTCGAGACCAGCCTGGCCAATATGGTGAAATGCTGTCTCTACTAAAAAAAAATACAAAAATTAGCCAGGCGTGGTAGCGGCTGCCTGTAGTCCCAGCTACTCGGGAGGCTAAGGCAGGAGAATTGCGTGAACTTGGGAGGCGGAGGTTGCAGTGAGCCGAGATCACACCACTGCACTCCAGCCTAGGTGACAGAGCAAGGCTCCGTCTGAGGAAAAAAAAAAAAAAAAAAAAGGCGTGGTATCAAAAATGAAGAGTTCCTCTAACAGTCTCATCAGCAGACTGGACACAGCTGAGGAAAAAATCAGCAAACTTAATGATAGGTCCATAAAAATTATCTAAAGAGAAAAATTAGATTAAGATTCAGTTTCCTCTCCCTCTCCCTCTCCGTCTCCCTCTCCCTCTCCCTCTCCCTCTCCCTCTCCCTCTCCCCACGGTCTCCCTCTCCCTCTCTTTCCACGGTCTCCCTCTCATGCGGAGCCGAAGCTGGACTGTACTGCTGCCATCTCGGCTCACTGCAACCTCCCTGCCTGATTCTCCTGACTCAGCCTGCCGAGTGCCTGCGATTGCAGGCTCGCGCCGCCACACCTGACTGGTTTTGGTGGAGACGGGGTTTCGCTGTGTTGGCCGAGCTGGTCTCCAGCCCCTAACCGCAAGTGATCCGCCAGCCTCGGCCTCCCCAGGTGCCGGGATTGCAGACGGAGTCTCGTTCACTCAGTGCTCAATGGTGCCCAGGCTGGAGTGCAGTGGCGTGATCTCGGCTCGCTACAACCTCCACCTCCCAGCCGCCTGCCTTGGCCTCCCAAAGTGCCGAGATTGCAGCCTCTGCCCGGCCGCCACCCCGTCTGGGAAGTGAGGAGCGTCTCTGCCTGGCCGCCCATCATCTGGGATGTGAGGAGCCCCTCTGCCTGGCTGCCCAGTCTGGAAAGTGAGGAGCATCTCCGCCCAGCCGCCATCCCATCTAGGAAGTGAGGAGCATCTCTGCCCGGCCACCCATCGTCTGAGATGTGGGGAGCGCCTCTGCCCCGCCGCCCCGTCTGGGATGTGAGGAGCACCTCTGCCTGGCCGCGACCCCGTCTGGGAGGTGAGGAGCATCTCTGCCCGGCCGCCCCGTCTGAGAAGTGAGGAGACCCTCTGCCCGGCAACCGCCTCGTCTGAGAAGTGAGGAGCCCCTCTGCCCGGCAGCCGCCCCATCTGGGAAGTGAGGAGCGTCTCCGCCCGGCAGCCACCCCGTCCGGGAGGGAGGTGGGGGGGGTCAGCCCCCCGCCAGGCCAGCCGCCCCATCCGGGAGGGAGGTGGGGGGGGTCAGCCCCCCGCCCCGCCAGCCGCCCCATCTGGGAGGGAGGTAGGGGGGTCAGCCTCCCGCCAGGCCAGCCGCCCCGTCTGGGAGGGAGGTCGGGGGGTCAGCCCCCCGCCCGGCCAGCCGCCCCGCCCGGGAGGTGAGGGGCGCCTCTGCCCAGCCGCCCCTACTGGGAAGTGAGGAGCCCCTCTGCCCGGCCACCACCCCGTCTGGGAGGTGTGCCCAACAGCTCATTGAGAACGGGCCAGGATGACAATGGCGGCTTTGTGGAATAGAAAGGCGGGAAAGGTGGGGAAAAGATTGAGAAATCGGATGGTTGCCGTGTCTGTGTAGAAAGAAGTAGACATGGGAGACTTTTCATTTGGTTCTGTACTAAGAAAACTTCTTCTGCCTTGGGATCCTGTTGATCTGTGACCTTACTCCCAACCCTGTGCTCTCTGAAACATGTGCTGTGTCCACTCAGGGTTAAATGGATTAAGGGCGGTGCAAGATGTGCTTTGTTAAACAGATGCTTGAAGGCAGCATGCTCGTTAAGAGTCATCACCACTCCCTAATCTCAAGTACCCAGGGACACAAACACTGCGGAAGGCCGCAGGGTCCTCTGCCTAGGAAAACCAGAGACCTTTGTTCACTTGTTTATCTGCTGACCTTCCCTCCACTATTGTCCTATGACCCTGCCAAATCCCCCCTGTGAGAAACACCCAAGAATTATCAATAAAAAATAAATAAATTTTAAAAAAAAAGAGAAAAATTAGAGCTAAAATAGAATAAAACACCCAAAAGCTCTAGGACAATATCAAACAGTGTAAAACACAGGTAACTAGAACCTCCAGAAAGGCAAGAGAAAAAGAATGGGCTGAAGAAATGTCTGAAAACATACTGGCTGATAGTTTTCCAAAAATAATAAAAGATATCAAACCACATATTCCTCAAGCAGGACAAATAAGAAACAAACACCTAGACATGTAAAAATGAAACTCTGAAAACTAAAGATAAGGAGAAAATGCTGCAGGCCAGGTGCAGTGGTTCAGGCCTGTAATCTCAGTGCTTTGGGAGTCTGAGGAAGGAGGATTGCTGAGGCTGAGAGTGTGAGAATAGCCTGGGGAACATAGCAAGACCCCATCTCTACTAAAAATTTTTAAAATTAGGTGGCCAGGTGCGGTGGCCGACACCTGTAATCCCAACATCTTGAGAGGCTGAAGTGGGCAGATCACTTGAGGCCAGAAGTCCAAGGCCAGCCTGACCAACATGGTAAAACCCTGTCTCCAGTAAAAATACAAAAATTAGCCGGGTGTGGTGATGCACACCTGTAGTCCCAGCTACTTGGGAGGCTGAGGCAGGAGAATTGCTTGACCCTGGGAGGTGGAGGTTGCAGCGAGCCAAGATGGTGCCACTGAACTCCAGCCTGGGAGACACAGTGAGACCCCATCTCAAAAAAATAAAATAATAAAATAAAATATAAAAGTTAGACAGGTACAGTGGCACATTCCTGTAGTTCCAGCTACTCGGAAGGCTGAGTCAGGAGGATCACTTGAGCCCAGGAGGTCAAGGCTGCAGTGGGCTATTATTGCACCATTGCACTCCAGCCTGGATGACTGAGTGAGACCCTGTCTCTGTTTTTTAAAAAGAGAGTAAACTTTGAAGGTAGCCAGAGAGGGTTAAAATAATCCATAGAAAAGACCAAAAAATAAAACAAGCAGGCTTCTCATCAGAAACTATGAAAACCAGAAGACTGGAGTGATTTTGTTTTAAATTGAGACAGGGTTTAGCTCTGTCTCCCAGGTTGGAGTGGAGTGGTATGACCACAGCTCACTGCAGCCTCAACCTTCTGGGTTGAAGTGATCCTCCTGCCTCAGCCTCCCAAGTAAGTGGGACTACCAGCATTGTGTCACCATGCCCAGCTATTTTTTCATTTTTTGTAGAGACAGAGTCTCAGTATGTTGCCCAGGGTGATCTCAAGCTCCTGGCCTCAAGCAATCTTGCTGCCTCAGCCTCCCAAAGTGCTGGGATTACAATGGAGTGATTGTTTTTTTCTTTTGGTACTTTAAAAAAATAAATAAATAAAAATTTAAAAAATCGGCCAGACACAGTGGCTCACGTCTGTAATCTCAGCACTTTGGGAGGCAAAGGCGGGTGGATCACGAGGTCAGGAGTTCAAGACCAGCCTGGCCAACATGGTGAAACCCTGTCTCTACTAAAAATACAAAAATTAGCTGGGCGTGGTGGCGGGCGCCTATAATCCCAGCTACTCGGGAGGCTGAGGCAGAGAATTGCTTGAACCCAGGAGGCAGAGGCTGTAGTGAGCCGAGATCGTACCACTGAACTCCAGCCTGGGCAACAGAGCAAGACTCTGTCTCAAAAATAAATAAATAAATAAAAAGAAAAAGAAAAGAAAAAAACAATCCACCAAGAATTCTATACCCTGAAAAAATCTTTCGAATATAAAGGTGAAATGAAGACTTTTTCACATCAACAAAAGCTAAGAGAATTCATTGCCAACAGACCTGCACTATTAATGCAAGAAATATTAATGCAAGTTCTTCAAGCAGAGGGAATCTAATGCCAGACAGAAACTAGATTTACACAAAGGAATAAAGTGCATCAGAAATGGTAAATATGGGCTGGGCATGGTGGCTCACGCCTGTAATCCCAGCACTTTGGGAGGCCAAGGTGGGCAGATCACCTGAGGTCAGGAGTTCATGACCAGCTTGGACAACATGGAGAAACCCTGTCTCTACTAAAAATACAAAATTAGCCAGGCGTGGTGGTTCATGCCTGTAATCCCAGCTGCTCGGGAGGCTGAGGCAGAAGAATTGCTTGAATCTGGGAGGTGGAGGTTGCAGTGAGCCAAGATCGCGCTATTGCACTCCAGCCTGGGCAAAAAGAGCAAAACTCCGTCTCAAAAAAAAGAAAGAAAGAAAGAAATGGTAAATATGTGATCAAATATAAAATAACTCTTTTCTCATGTTTAATCTCTTTAACGCCAGGCGTGGTGGCTCATGCCTGTAATCCCAGCACACTTTGGGTGGCCAAGGCTGGCGGATCACTTGAGCTCAGGAGTTCAAGACCAGCCTGGGCAACATGATGAAACCCCATCTCTACCAAAAACACAAAAAATGAGCTGGGCGTGGTGGTGCGCACCTGTGGTCACAGCTACTCAGGAGGTTGAGGTGGGAGATCACTTGAGCCTGGGAGGCAGAGGTTGCAGGGTGCCAAGATTGCACTACTGCATTCCAGCCTGGGTGACAGAGTGAGACTCCACCTCAAAAAACAAAAACAAAAAACAAAAAACAAAAAAACCCCGACTCTTTAAAAGGCAATTGTTTTTTTGTTGTTTTTTTTTTTAACTTCTTAAATGCACAAATTTATTTTTTCTCAACAAACACACATCTTAATGCCTTTACAACTTTTATCTCCCCAAATATACCTTGCTTTTCTTTATACATGCTGTATACAGAGTTGTTTTCCTTATATTTAGTAGTTATTGCTTTTTTGTGCCCTTTTGGGTCCTGAATTTACACATCAGGCATAGATCTTGGGACAGGAAAGAGCTGTGAAGCAAATTCCTGGAAGATCAAACCCCTTCCAGCATGGCCAGGTAGCACAGCTGAGCCAGGGATGATGGGGCCATATTGGGTTTGGCTCTGCCTTGCAGCTGGCAGTCCAAACACTGAGGACATGCATATTTCTGCAGGCCTCACTATGGTCATCTGTCCAAACCCCAGAATCCAGAGACTCAAAACGAAATACAGTCATACAGTAAGATATGTGCAAGGTTTCAGGGAGCCCAGCAGCCAGACCTTACAGCTTTAGCTCAATTTAGACAAATCAAGCAAGTTTAAGAAATATTCCAGAAGTAGCAGTTTTATGACCTTAAAACATGTAATAGGCTGGGCACGGTGGCCCATGCCTGTAATCCCAGCACTTTGGGAGGCCAAGGTGGGCAGATCACTTGAGGTCAGGAGTTCGAGACCAGCCTGGCCAACATGGTGAAATCCTGTTTCTACTACAAATACAAAAATTAGCCAAGTATGGTGGCTTACACGTGTAGTTTAGCTATTCGGAAGGCTGAGGCAGGAGAATCACTTGAACCTGGGAGACGGAAGTTGTGGTGAGCTGAGATCTCACCACTGCACTCCAGCCTGGGCAATGAGAGCAAAACTCCAGCTCAAAAACAAAAAACAAATTAAAAAAAAAAAAAAAAAGTAATAGAGATGATGTAAACCTGTCTGTCAGTAGACCCAGGCAAAAACAATTATATTTAACTGACAATCCTGAAGCCTAAAAGGCAATTGTTTAAAGCAAAGATAACAATGTATCATTAAGTTTATAACACATATAGAAGTCAATGTATGACAACAATAGCACAAAGGATGGCGGGGGGAAATATACTCTTGTAAGTGTCTTAAATTATATATATAGTGTGTGTTTGTTTGTGTGTGTGTGTGTGTGTGTCTGTGTCCAGCCTGGGCAACAGAGAGAAACCTTGACACACGCACACACACAGAAGGTATTATGCTAAGTATCTTCTATAACTACAGTGGGGTAAAGTTAGAAATTGGTAACAGAGGGAAAGCTAGAAAACTCACAAATTTGTAGGAATTAACATCTGACGGGGGGACAAAATGGCCAATACAAATATATATTATATATTTATATATTATAAAATTAGATATATTAGATATACTTACCTATATACAGTGTTATACTATATATAATATATATGTACTATATATTATGTCTATACAACTACAAATTCAAATATATAATTTGAAGGTAAATGTTCATAAATTATAGATATATACTGTAAACCAAGAAAAAAAACAAATTATACCTAATAAAACAATAGTAGAGATAAAATAGAATCATTTAAAAATACTCTATCCATCCAAAAGAAGGCAGGAAATGAGGAAAAAAATAAATAATGATACAACATAGATAGCAAAGAACAAGATAGTAGATTTAGCCTAACTATAGCAATAATTATACTAAAGGTAAGTAGTCTACACATTCCAAATAAAAACATTGCCAGACTGGATAAAAAAGCAAGACCCAGCTCTAAGCTTTCTATGAGAAACCCAGTTTAATTATAAATGTATAAATAGGTTAAATGGAAAATATAGCAACGAAAACAATAACCGAAAGAAAGGTGACATGGCTACTAGTGGCTATATGTTAGTGGCTCATATGTTATATGAGAGAAAGACTTCAGAACAAAGAATATTACCAGGGATAAAGACAGATAGATATATTACAGATAGAGACTTATATAAAGAGATAAATAATGTTAAAGGGATCAATTCATCAAGATATAATATTCATTATAAATAAAGAAAAACCTGACAGAACTGAAAACTCCATTTCAAGTAGTGCATACACTTCCTGTAGACCAACCCTTCTGCTGTAACCACTATAAATTCTGGACGAAATACAAAAACAATTATCTGAGGAGTCTGAATTACACACTAAAAGCAGGCAGACTGTGGAGGGGACTCAAAACATGGAGCAATGATGCACAGGGTGGGGTACACTCCTGCATTAAGAGGGCTTTGCCCTGCTTGTGGGCATAAGTTACAAAATAGCACAATTTAAGTAACTAAAACTCAGAAAGTGACGTCTTTCTGACTCAAACATATAGGGAAAAGATTCTAGGTAACCATGGCTGCTACCAGAGTGAGTGGAGAATCCAAGACAAGAGAAAACCAGAGAAGGTGATCCTTAATTCTAAGAATAAACACCACATGTATCTCAGACTAATCCCTTCTTGGATGTATACAGACTCAAAGTAGCACAGCAAAGGCTGAAAGAATTAAACTGAGATTTGAAGTTTAACCCACAGAAGGCGACACAGCTTACAGCTTATTGCCAGCTAAAACAAAAACATCGATACTCCTCAGAGGAATATTACAGAACCCAGAGTCTCCACAATGTAACATTCATAAATATGCAAGATACAATCCAAAATGACTCAATATACAAAGAACCAGAAGAATATGACCCATTCTCAAGGGAAAAGACATTTAACAGAAACCAATCCCAAAATGACACAAATGTTCAGACACATAAGGAACAGACCAATGAAACAGAGTAAAAAGTTCAGAAATAGAACCACACATAGTCAATTGATTTTCCACAATGATGCCAAGATATTTCAATGAGGAAAGAACTTTCTTTTCAACACAGGTTGCTGTGAAACAACTGGATATCCATATAAAAACAAAATCAAAAACAAAACCTTGACCCTGGTCAAGGGCTCACACCTGTAATCCCAACACTTTGGGAGGCCGAGGCGGGTGGATTACCTGAGGTCAGGAGTTTGAGACCAGCCTGGCCAACATGGCAAAACCTCATCTCTACTAAAAATACAAAAATTAGCCAGGTGTGGTAGCGCATGCCTGTAATCCCAGCTACTCAGGAGGGCTGAGGCAGGAGAATCGCTTGAACCCGGGAGGCAGAGGCTGCAGTGGGCCAATATTGCGCCACTGCACTCCAGCCTAGCTGACACTCAAAAACAAACAAACAAAAAAACCTTGACCTTTATATCACAATATACTAAATAAATAAATAAATAAATCCCTCAAAATGGATCACAGACCTAAACGTAAGAGTAAAAACTATGGTACAGCCACTTCGGAAAACAGTTTGGCAGTTCCTCAAAAGGTTAAACCTAAAGAGTTACCATATGACCCAGCAGTTCCATTCCTAGGTATATATCCAAGAAAAATGAAAACACATATCTACACAAAAACGTGTACACAAATGCTCATAACAGCATTATTCATAATAGTCAAAAGTGGAAAGAACCCAGATGTCCATCAATTGAAGAATGGATAAATAAAAGTGGTATATCCATATAATGGAATGTTAAAATGAAGTACTGATGCATGCTACAACTTGAATAAGCCTCAAAAATATTATGCTGAGTGAAAGAAGCCAGTTACAAAAAAAACCATGATTCCATTTCTATGAAATGTCCAGAATACGCAAATCTATAAGACAGAGGATAGATTAGTGCTTTCCTAGAATTGGAGGGGATGGGAGGTTTGGAAAATGATGGCTACAAGGAATGAGATTCTTTTTGAGGTGATGAAAATGTTACAAATTTGTTTTATGCTTCAAAAGTGCTAACTTTGAGTCATAAGACATGTAAGAAGTTGAAATCAAGGTCACATCCTAAAAGTAGAGCAGACTGGATGTTGAGACCTTTTGGGAATTACCTAAAACCTTGGGAACTTGAGAAAAGGAATGAAATTACTAATTGTACTTTTATTTATCTATTTTTTTTTTGAGACGAAGTCTCACTTTGTTGCCCAAACTAGAGTGCAGTGGTGTGATCTGGGCTCACTGCAACCTCTGTGAACACACTAAAAACTAAATTGGCCAGGCGCAGTGGCTCAAGCCTGTAATCTCAGCACCTTGGGAGGCCAAGGCAGGCAGATTTCCTGAGGTCAGGAGTTCAAGACCAGCCTGACCAACATGGAGAAACCCTATCTCTATTAAAAATACAAAATTAGCCGAGCGTGCTGGCACATGCCTGTAATCACAACTACTCGGGAGGCTGAGGCAGGAGAATTGCTTGAACCCAGGAGGCAGACGTTGCGGTGAGCCGAGATTGCACTATTGCACTCTAGCCTGAGCAACAAGAGCGAAACTCTGTCTAAAAAATAAAAAAATAAAAAAAACCCTAAATTGTGCACTTTAGGTGAACGTATGGTATATAAATCATATCTTAATAAAGTTCTTATGGCTGGGTGCAGTGGCTCACACCTGTAATCTCAGCACTTTGGGAGGCCGAGGCAGGCGGATCATGAGGTCAGGAGTTCAAGACCAGCCTGGCCAACATGGTGAAACCCCATCTCTACTAAAAACACATAAATTAGCTGGACGCAGTGCTATGTGCCTGTAGTCCCAGCTGCTGGGGAGGCTGAGGCAGGAGAATTGCTTGAACCCGGGAGGCCGAGGTTGCAGTGAGCCGAGATCGCACCACTGCATTCCAGCCTGGGTGACAGAGGGAGACTCCGTCTCAAAATAAATAAATAAATAAATAAATAAATAAATAAATAAATAAATAAAAGGCCAGGCGTGGTTGCTCATGCCTGTAATCCCAGTACTTTGGGAGGCCGAGGCGGGCGGATCACTTGAGGTCAGGAGTTCCAGACCAGCCTGACCAACATGGAGAAACCCTGTCTCTACTAAAAATACAAAATTGGCCGGGTGTGGTGGCACATGCCTGTAATCCCAGCTACTCTAGGAGGCTGAGGCAGAAGAATCACTTGAACCCAGGAGGCAGAGGTTACAGTGAGCCAAGATCACGCCGTTGCACTCCAACCTGGGCAACAAGAGTGAAATTCCGTCTCAAAAAATAAAATAAAATAAAATAAAACAAAAATAAAAAATAGGCAGGGCGCGGTGGCTCACGCCTGTAGTCCCAGCACTTTGGGAGGCCGAGGCGGGTGGACCACAAGGTCAGGAGATCGAGACCATCCTGGCTAACACAGTGAAACCCCGTCTCTACTAAAAAATACAAAAAAATTAGCCGGACATGGTGGCAGACACTTGTAGTCCCAGCTACTCGGGAGACTGAGGCAGGAGAATGGCGTGAACCATGGAGGCGGAGCTTGCAGTGAGCCAAGATTGCGCCACTGCACTCCAGCCTGGGTGACAGAGCAAGACTCCATCTCAAAAAACTAATAATAAATAAATAAATAATAATAAAGTTCTTACAAAAAAAGATAGCTGAAACTATAAAACTGTAAGAAAACATAAAAGATTGGTGTCCTTGGGTTAGGTAGATTTCTTAGAACACAAAAAAGCATTATCCATAAATTTAAAAACTGATAAACGAGACTATATCAAAATTTAAAATTTCTGTTCCTTGAAAGATACTGTTTTAAAAAATGAAAAGGCAAGTCGCAAACTCAAATATTTACAAAACATCTAAGTCCCTTTTTTTTTTTCTTTTTTGAGATGTTGCCCAGGCTGGAGTGCAATGGCACAATCTCGGCTCACTGCAAGGTCAGCCTCCCGGGTTCAAGTGATTTTTCTGCCTCAGCCTCCCAAGTAGCTGGGATTACAGGCTCCTGCCACCACGCCCGGCTAATTTTTGTATTTTTAGTAGAGACGGGGTTTCACCATATTGGCCAGCCTGGTCTCGAGCTCCTGACCTCAAGTGATCCACCGACCTCAGGTGATCTGCCCACCTCAGCTTCCCAAAGTGCTGGGATTACAGGCATGAACCACTGCGCCTGGCTTATCTAAGTCCTTTTTCAAGCTACTGGAAAATATATCATATATATCTGATATATATATATCTCATATATATCTATATCTGATATATATATCTCATATATATCTATATCTGATATATATATATCTCATATATATCTATAGCTGATATATATATCTCATATATATCTATAGCTGATATATATATCTCATATATATCTATAGCTGATATATATATCATATATATCTATAGCTGATATATATATCTCATATATATCTATAGCTGACATATATATCTCATATATATCTATATCTTATATATCTCATATATATCAGATATATATAGCATATATATGATATATATGTATCTGATATATCTATCTGATATATATCATATGCTATATATATCATATATATGATATATATATCAGATATATATGATATATATATCTGATACATATGATATATATATGATACATATGATATATATATATATATATATATATATATATATCTGATAAAGGACTTGTAGAACCAGAATGTATAAAGAACCCCTACAATAAAATAATAAGACAACCCAATTTTTTAAACGGGCAAAAGAGTTAAACAGCTACTTCATCAATGAAGACACATGAATGCCCATTAAGCACACAAAAAGCAGCTCATCATCATGAGTCATTAGGTAAATGCAAATTAAAACCACAGTAAGGTATCACTATGTCCATGAGAATGGCTAGAATTAAAAAGACTGAAAATATCAAGAGGTTATGGAACCACTGGAACTCTCCACTGCATATGATAATGTAAAAATGATATAGCCACTTTGGAAAACTGTTTGGCAGTTTTTTATAAAGTTAAACTTACACTTACCCTGCAATTCCACTTCTTGGTATATACTCAAGAGCAATGAAAACATATGTCTACATAAAGACCTGTACATTTAATATTATTTCATGGCAGCTTTAGTCATACTAGTCCAAAACTGCAAACAACCCACATGTGCATGAACAATGAAAGGATGAACAAACTGTAGTAAATCTATACAATGGACTACTACTCAGCAATTAAAAAGGGACAAATATTTGGTTTAAATAACAATGTCTGCCAATCTTAAGCACTATACTAACTGAACAAAGCCAGATACAAGAGAGTACAAATGGTATGATTCTACTTATTTGACATTCTGGAAAATGTAAAATATGGTGACAGTAAGCTGATCCGTGGTTGACAAGGGCAGTGGTAAGGGGTGAGGACTAACTGTAAAGGGCATGAGGGAACTTTTGAGGGTATGAAAATATTCTAAATCTTCATGGTGGTGGTGGTGGTTATAAGACTATGTACATTTGTCAAAACTTGTAAAAGTGGAGACTTAACATGAGTGAATGTTAATATAGGTAAACTATGTTCAATAAAGTTGATTTGAAAAGTACAATTAGTGGGCTGGGCGCAGTGTCTCATACCTGTAATCCCAGCACTTTGGGAGGCTGAGGCAGGTGGATTACCTGAGGTCAGGAGTTCGAGACTAGCCTGGCCAACATGGTGAAACACCATCTCTACTAAAAATACAAAACTTAGCAGGGCATGGTGGTGCGCACCTGTAATCCCAGCTACTTGGGAGGCTGAGGCAGAATTGTTTGAACCCGGGAGGCAGAGATTGCAGTGAGCCAAGATCACACCACTGTACCCCAGGCTGGGGGACAGAGTGAGACTTCGTCTTAAAAAATATATATAATAAAAATAAAAATAAACAAAGGTACAATTGGTAGTATTATTCCTTTTCTCAGGTTTCCAAGGTTTTAGGTAATTCCCAAAAGGTCTCAACATCCAGACTGCTCTACTTTTAGGATGTGACCTTGATTTCAACTTCTTACATGCCTTATGACTCAAAGTTAGCACTTAGGAAGCATAAAACTCTAAATTCTGTGTGTGGTTCTAAGACTACAGAAGTCCATGCTGAAATAAAACCTATATGCCATTATCTACAGCTAATTACAGATGCAACCAAGCATTATTTGATCCTCTGCAACTCTTTTAGCTTCCTTGCTTTTCTTATCTCTTCACTAAAAAGAATTTACCATAAATGTTTAGTAGCTCGTTCCTATGCAGAGGATAAATCTCAGTTTTAGAGACTGTAACTTTAGTCAACTGTTAAGCTTTAAAACCTGTAGTCTGTTTGCCAGCATCTAACAGAACCCACTGCATTTTCTACTAAGAATAATGAACATTTCTCATTATATCAACACTCCACAAATAATTAAAGGCAAATAAAGCATATTGCAACCAAAAGAAAAATTAAGTAGACTGAGCTATCAGTGGCAATTAGGCTCTGAAGAACAAAGGCATTCAGCAAAGGGGCTAGCACACATCACTAAAAATTCAAGATGGGCTTTCCTGCATAGCTACAACAGCAACAGATTAGAAATGTGTGAAACAGCTCATGGGAATTGCATTCAGGAAACTCGTGGGAAAAACCACAGTTAATCATTCACACGGATATCTCCAAAGAAAATGAAAAAGAACATGATGTGGAAAGAAGAGTAGAGACATCTAAGTTCTGAAATGGGTGAACCTCTCTATTACCCAAATATCTTGAAGGACACCATCCTTTTACATTAATCTTGCCCTATAGCACCACAGAATCAACAGTAAATAAGATACTATTAGCAAAGAGATACGGCAACCAACAAAAGAACAAACAAAAAAGAAACTAAACAAAAACTCACACGTTTACGACAAACCAGAATGCAAACTTGAAACTATCTAAAAATAAAATGGAATTATACTCAAGCTGAGTAGGACTCTTTTCCACTACTGTAATTCACCCCCTGCAATAAATCAGGGTCAGTGTCTTTTATTTATGTGTGAACTCATCCTCCTGGTAGACAAACTGACCTAGGTTGCAGCCTTTTATCTACCACTATAATAGTTTCATAATTATAAGACTAGGGGAAACAAAGCTAGATGTTCGAGGATCGAGTTGGGCTGACACTCACCACAAACTTCTCACCATTCTGCTCCACATGTTTGTATCTGGGGACCGATATGGGCACTGCTTGCTTTTCTGTGTAATCATAAAATGATTGTCCCAACGAGTCGTCACTGGGATCTAGGTTATCTGCCTCATGAGGAGGTACAGATAACACTGTCAAGATCAATTCCTTCTCGCCTGCTCGAATCAGGTCCACCACCTGCTTGTGTGTCGCCCCCTCAACATTCACGTGGTTCCTAAGGGGAAAAAGGGAAAAAGACAATCCCATAAACCAGAAGGGTCCAAACACCTTGTATCTCCACCCTCCTGCCCAAACTCCAGTGTCACACGGTATGAACCATGAAGTCAAAAGATTAATTTGGTTCCAGAAAAGTTGTTTATGTTTTAACAGTTTCTAATGTGAAAAACTTTGTGAACTTATGGCGGGGGGAAAAATGGAAAGAGGTGAGAAGACCTCCCCTTCCTCTATACTAATATCCCACACATAGCTTCAGGAACGCACATGGAAAGAGGCTGAAGCTGAGGAGGAAACAAAGCTTTTTCAGTCAAACAATCCAATTTCCTCATTCTAACTAAGCATGTATACAATTCAATCAAAGTGGCTTTTGACAGCCCTGCCACTTGAATTGTACTTTGTCCTTTTTAAACCTCAAAGGAATTCTGTTAAAAGAACCTTCACAAAATAAATTCTCTTAATTTGTAAATAGAGACTCAAAAAAAGTTATGACTGAAGATAATTCCTTTACATTTACATCCAATTTCTCTCCATATCTCAAATCAGTCAACTTAATTTTCCTTTATGCCAAGTTTCATTACTTTGGGAGCTAAATGGTATTACTCTTCACATACACTAGTTTCCAATTCAATTAACCTCTTGGGATTCCATCAACTTTTTTCCTGCTCTATGCTATCTCATTTAGAGTCCTGTGTAATCAGTCCAAACTAAAAAATATACACCTATAATTATATGGTCAGCCTACTAATTTTCCTTCCTGTTTTGCTGTGTACAAAAGGCTGAAATAAGGCAAACAAAGTACAAGGTTTAGATGAAGTATTTTGTCAAGAAAGATGCTGAGTCTCACAAGACTCCCTCAGCAAACCAAACTACCTTCCAGAATGCTGATCCAGCTGCTCTCTCAGCAAAAACCACTGGGCAGCAGGCCTGGAGGTTCCCTCCCATGGCTATCCCAAGAGAGGTAGGAAATACACACCTGACCTCTAATCAATTTAACATTTAAAGCTTATCTACCCTTTAGAGTTAAATTCTTTTTCAGTCCTGTTCCAAACCATTAGGGATTTTCCTTCCTGAAAAATGATACTAAATTTAGTAACAAGCCTTCCATAAACTTTTCAGTCACTGAAATTGTCTCTGTCAGAGTCTGGTATCTGAAATATCCATTTATATAAACAGAACAGTCAGGAGACCCCCCAGCTAGCCTCCTGGGATTTAATTTAGGGTTTAACAATCTAGCCAGTAAATTCAGCACTCCTGACATTTCACATCCTACAAGTCTAACTTATATACAAAAAAATCAGTAATTTTACAATAAGCTAGCTATAGAAAAAAATAAAGAGCCCCTTTCACTGATGGAAACTTGGGCTTTGAATTCATTCAGTCAGACCTGTGATCAAAAAACATGATCAGGCGCCGGGCGCGGTGGCTCAAGCCTATAATCCCAGCACTTTGGGAGGCCGAGGCGGGTGGATCACAAGGTCAGGAGATCAAGACCTTCCTGGCTAACACGGTGAAACCCTGTCTCTACTAAAAATACAAAAAATTAGCCGGGCATGGTGGTGGGCGCCTGTAGTCCCAGCTACTTGGGAGGCTGAGGCAGGAGAATGGCGTGAACCCGGCAGGCGGAGCTTGCAGTGAGCCCAGATCACGCCACTGCACTCTGCACTCCGCACTCCAGCCTGGCGGACAGAGCAAGACTCTGTCTCAAAAAAAAAAAACAAAAAAACAAAAAAAACGTGATCAACTCTGATCATATACCAGCATGGTAAAATGGAAAGAAAATGGGCTTTGGAGCTACTTACAGGAGTTTAAATCCTGATCCTGACTATTAGTACCAGAATTGGTCTTGACTGAGTTTTTAACCTTTCTTAGCCTTGCTTTCCACATGTGTAAATGGAGACAATAAGTTCCTAACAGAGTTGCTGTGAAGATTAATGTAATAAAACATGTAGAACAATTCCTAAACATTTATATCAGAAGGTTTAAGAAGTAAAGAGGTACTATGTATATAGATTTTGATTAAAGAAGAAATGGAAATCTTAAGTAAGGAACTGGCAAAAGATTTTATCTAAGTATTTGGCCTTACTAGTTCTGAGAAAATGATTTGATGGTATAAGAAAAAAAATGAAAAAGCAAGTTTAGAAATCACCATACATTCTTATATATCCCTAGGAACCTTAGCTAACTCATGAATATCCTTTTTTTTTTTTTTTTTTTTTTTTACAAAAGTGGAAAAAGCTGACACCTTAAAGACTGGCCAAAATACTAATATCTTGGATACAGGCTAGGCACAGTGTGGCTCACACCTGTAATCCCAGCACTTTAGGAGGCCAAGGCAGATGAATCACTTGAGTTCAGGAGTTTGAGACCAGCCTGGGCAACATGGTGAAACCCCGTCTCTATACGAAATATACCAAAAGATTAGCCAGGCCTGGTGGCACGTGCCTATAGTTCCAGCTACTTGGGAGGCTGAGCTGGGAAGAACACCTGAGCCTGGGAGTTCAAGGCTGCAGTGAGCTAGATCATGCCACTGCACTCCAGCCTGGGTTACAAAAGAAGATCCTGTTTTTTAAAAAATGAAATAAAATAAAATCTTAAATACCAAAACAAAATTTCTGTTAATGCAATCAATTTTATGAAACGCACATTTGTGAAAAATAAAAACTGATGCTCAAATCTTACTTTTCGGTTCCCTGATTTTTTTTCCTTTAAAGAATTTTTTATCTAGGGCACTCTGTTGGTAGACTTGAGAGTCACTGGATCTACAAAATTTGTATGTAAAATTCTTTTTATGTGCCTATTATGCGTTTTTTTCTGGGGAGTTTCCCTAGCTTTCATCAGCTTCAAAAAGGAGTATATAAACTCCAAAAAGATTCAGAACTATTGCTTTCAATACACACCTCCACCCATTCAGTTTTCAAATCAAAATACACCGTTCCTTGGGTCACTCACAAAAATAAACCCTGAAAATCGTCAGAGAAACTTAAGTGAGACTTATACCAAGAGCCATCAGGGAGCAAGGGAGCTCACTTAGGTTTCACTTCTTTATTAGTAAGACCAAGTTTCAGATTGACTATAATTCCAAAAACCTCTTTTAAAAAAAGACAGGAAAAAACTTCCAGTGTCATATTCTAAACAGACTTGCTAATATTTATCTGGTTCAACTATAGAAGGAATGCTATACATTCCATGACTTACTACAAAGTGGGAAATTCCTTCATTCTTCAGAGAATGAAATAAGGTCAGTAAAAACCCCAGGATGTCTGATTTGAAAAAGGGCCCTCCTTCCTGAAGAATTAAGAGGTCTTCACAGTCATAAAAATGTTATATGATATAATTTTTTACAAGAAGGCTACTATACCAGACTCAAATTTGGTGTGGCCCAATACTTTGTATAATTCTGAAGACATAAATTAATGCAAAATATAAATTCTTCAATAAGGAGAAACTTTCAGCAGTACAGACTTCAGGTTCAAAGTATGGGTTTGGGAGTCAAACAGACTTGGGTTTGAATACCAATTGTGCTGTTTAATGGATGAGCCCTTAAGTAAATTACTTTATCTCATTAAATCTCAATTTTCTAATCCATAAAATGGGGTTAATATCATCGGCTAATGGAGTTGTTGTGAAAATTAAAATGAGAGGAAGCTCTAGAACATGGTAACTACTCAATAAATGGTAGCTATTTGTGTTATAGTATTTGTATCAATTGGGCAAACAAGTTGGTAGTATTTTCACCTCCTTGATGATACAAACCTTTTCTACCAGCAATTTCCCTTGCCTTTCAATTCTGTCTTTGTAACATAATCTAGCTGAAATTCATTTGAAAATAAATAATTAAGCTCTCAACCAATGACAATGGGGTTCACAGATAGCCAGCTTCACAAGACCACTGGATCAGTGAAGCACCAATTCTCTTATCACACAAAAGTACTGACTGCCCAGTAGGATCTACCAATATATACTGCTTTTATAAAGAAAGGCAGCAGCTTAAATACATCATCAAAAATGTCTAACACATATGCGATTAAGCAAATACAACAAAATGTAATTATAGAATCTAGGTGATAGGTATACAGGTATTCACTGTACAATTCTCTCAATTTTTCTGTAGGTTTGAAACTTTTCATAATAAAATGAAGGAAAAAATTAAGGGGGCCAAAAATTCCAACAATCCACAAATAAGATGAAAATTTGCTTTAGTTACACAGATGATATCTAATTTATTTTATGTCTTTGGCATTGTAAAGACACACGCGATAATTTTAATAAAATACTTACTTTTACATAAGACCAACATTTGGCCCCAATAGAGAGAGGCCTTAAGCTAGCTAATGGGAGTGGCTTCAAATAAGACTTCTATTCAACCAAAGTTGGCCAGCTAGGGAAACTGCAAAGCTAACATAAACATTTCCAAAAGCAGGAGAAAAAGCTCTAGTCAGGATTTGTATACTACTTGTGAAGGAAGCTATATACAATGAAAACTAGGTATAAATGGAAATATGACAAACCCAATCACTATATATACCACAGCAAAAAGCCATTCTACATAGTAAGCAAAATACTATTTTGACCCTCTGTGACATGCACGAAAGTAATAAAAAAGTAATTAGTCTCTCAGAGGCAGCCCATTAAAAATGGATAATAAATTCCTATAACTGCAAGTGCTAAGACATACATTTCAATTTTGTAGATGGCTATATGCCTACACAATGGCTACATGTCTATAAGAATGGCTAAAATAGAGTGGCAATACCAAGTTTTGCCAAAGATGTGGAACAAGTGCCATTCTTATATACAGCTGATAAGTGCATAAAATAAAAACAATCTAGCAGTTTCTCATAATGTTAAACATACATTTACTACAAGACCCAGCAATTCCACTCCTAGGTATTATCCAAGAGAAAAAAAAAAAACACACATACACATCTACACAAACAACTGTAGTTGAATGTCCACCGCAGCTTTATTCAAAATAGTACAAAACAAAAAACAACCCAATGTCTATCAAAAAGCAAATGGATAAACAAGTTGTGGCATATTCATAAAGTGGAGTATCACAGCAATAAAAGGAAAAAGGAATAAAAAGGAAAAACTACTCATCCCCAACAACATAGATAAATCTCAAAAATACACTCGGCGGGAGGAAAGTGAGACAGAAAAGAATCCGACTCATTTGACTCCATTTATTTGAAGTTCTGGAATAGACAAAACTATTCTTTAGTGGTAGAAATCAAATCACTTGTTGTCTGGAGGGGAGGGGATAGTACTGAATGCAAAGGGGCACAAAGAAACTTTCTTACGTGTCACGCCTGTAATCCCAGCACTGTGGGAGGCAGAGGCAGGGCGGATCACTTGAGCTCAGGAGTTTGAGACCAGCCTGGGCAACAAGGCGAAACCCCATCTCTACAAAAAATACAAAAAATTAGCTGGGCATCCTGGAGCAGGCCTGCAGTCCTGGCTACTTGGGGACTGAGGTAGGAGGATTGCTTGTACCTGGGAGTCAAGGCTGTAGTGAGCCAAGATCTCACCGCCGCACTCCAGCCTAGGTGACAAAGTGAGACTCTGTGTCAGGAAAAAAAGAAAAAGTGATGGAACTGTCTGTATCTTGACTGGGGTGGTGGTTAAATGGATGTATACTTTTGCCAAAACTCAAACTCTATGCTTCATATGTGTGCATTTAACTGTATGTTAATTAAGCCTCAGTAAAGTTTATTGGCCGAGCGCGGTGGCTCAAGCCTGTAATCCCAGCACTTTGGGAGGCTGAGGAGGGCAGATCACGAGGTCAGGAGATCAAGACCATCCTGGCTAACACGGTGAAACCCCATCTCTACTAGAAATACAAAAAAATTAGCCAGGCGTAGTGGCGGGCGCCTGTAGTCCCAGCTACTAGGGAGGCTGAGGCAGGAGAATGGCGTGAACCCGGGAGGTGGAGCTTGCAGTGAGCTGAGATTGTGCCACTGCACTCCAGCCTGGGCGACAGAGCCAGACTCCGTCTCAAAAAAAATAAAAAATAAAAATAAATAAAATAAAAATAAAAATTATTATATAATATCCACATCTGTAAGTGTGAAATAGGAGTCCACCATCTGGGTGAAAAGCATAACCCCTATTCTACTTTTAGATTACTCTGAATGTTTTGCTATTGTGAATAAATTTGTTAAATATCTAGTAGATGAATCTGTACATATCTGCAGCATAAAACTGCTTAAATAAAATATATGCTTTTTCCTTCACCTCCCATGTCTTGTGGAAAATAAGCTAAACTTTGGCTATTTCCAAGTCTTACAAGGTTATTTCATGGAGGTAATGAAAAGAAAATTAAGACACAGCTAGTTTACCCCTACTTCTGCTTTGGCTTTTTTGTCTTAATCTCCTATAAACAATAGGACACATATTTCAAACCTAGTATAGTTAAAAACCTCAGCAACATGTCCAGGTGCGGTGGCTCATGCCTGTAATCCCAGCACTTTGGGAAGCTGAGGTGAGCAGATCACAAGGTCAGGAGTTCAAGACCAGCCTGGCCAACATGGTGAAACCCCGTCTCTACTAAAAATACAAAAATTAGCCGGGCGTGGTGGCGCATGCCTGTAATCCCAGCTACTTGGAAGGCTGAGGCAGGAGAATCACTTGAAACTGGAAGGCAGACATTGCAGTGAGCCGAGATCGCACCACTGCACTCCAGCCTGGGCAACAAGAGCAAAACTCCATCTCAAAAAAAAAAAACAACCTCCGCAACAAATTATAAAGTTAAGTCAGATAACAGCAGCATCTCTCAAGTTTATCAAAGCCATAATGTAAGGGACAAAAGTTAAATTCATCAAACACTGCAAAAATACCATTATAGTGCATTACAAACATAATTCAGATTCTTTTTCTTAGGAGGCCTAGATTTCACTTGTTAGATTTTTAAGGGTCAAGCACAGTGGCTAACAACTATAATCCCAACACTTTGGGAGGCCGCAGTGGGAGGATCACTTGAGCCCAGGAGTTCAAGACAGCCTGAGCAACATGGTGGGACTCCGCCTTTACAAAAAATATTTTAAAAATTAGCTGGGCCTGGTGGTGCACACGTATTGTCCCAGCTACCTGAGAGGATTGCTTGAACCCAGGAGGCAGAGGTGGCAGTGAGCTGAGATTGCGCCACCGCACTCCAGTCTGGGTGACAGAGGAGACCCTGTCTCAAGGAAAAAAAAAATTTAAGCATTTAAGATTGTAAAGCATTTTCTTCTGACCAAGTATTTGAAAAGTAATTTGTTCAGCCAAATAATATCCAACATTAGAGAAACCTTTAAAGACACTGAAGTACATCAAACATATGGACTATAAACATCTTAAAAATATTTATGAAAACTATATGCAAACATGGAGAAGTTCTTATGTTAAATGCAAAAACGAAGATTACAAATTGTTTCTATTTTAGCCCATAAGGCACATTATGTAAAATACAAAAATAGTTGAGTTAGGGTGACTGGAACTATGTTTAAAACTTTAACACAGCTATTATATCATCTCCTCAATTATACAGAGCTTTGTAAATGAACTCCCTACCTTCTCCACAACATATCTTCTTAAAAATTAGGAGATCTCTGAAGTTGAAGGAAAAAAGACCCCTGGCATATGAGAAGAGAGACACTTCCTTTGACTTTTCACTGGTTCACTGCTTAGTTGTTCAGTACAACTGTACTAGAAACTACACTGTAAAGACAAGGAACTACTCCACCAAAATGTAAGGGTCTGTCCTTTCTAATTTTTGCAGTTAAATCATCTGACTGGTTCAGTTTGTCTCCTTTTCATCTAACTCTGCCTCCTTGCTATCTTACTTAGGCAAACAAGTGGAAGAATATTCTTTTTTTTGAGACGGAGTCTCACTCTGTCGCCCAGGCTAGAGTGCAGTGGCACAATCTCAGCTCACTGCCAGCTCCGCCTCCCGGGTTCACGCCATTCTCCCGCCTCAGCCTCCCGAGTAGCTGGAACTACAGGCGCCCGCCACCACACCCAGCTAATTTTTGTATTTTTAGTAGAGACGGGGTTTCACCGTGTTAGCCAGGATGGTCTCGATCTCCTGACCTCGTGATCCACCCACCTCGGCCTCCCAAAGTGCTGGGATTACAGGCGTGAGCCACCGTGCCCGGCCGAAGAATATTCTTACTGACTAATTATATAAGCAATCATACTATACTTTGCCCTTAAACTCTTGAGATATAAGATTAGACATGTGTAAGCAATGAATGCAGCCAAAATAGTTGTGAAGCTTGAACAGATTTAAACAAAATTTCCATTCTGGATCACTAAATATCAAAGACATTTGGAATGTTGTTTTAGAAATAATAATATTTTGCCCCTCACATCTTAGAGCATCTTATTTATTGATGGATGATAAAAGCACAACAAGAGAAAGTAAATGGCCAAAGTTTTCCAAAATGCTTGCATTTTCTAATAAATAGTAAAATCTGGTCAACAACTTTTAAAATAAAAAATTATTATCTTAATTATTTTTAATATCAACTTTTATCATCTAGAATATGAGATGGTTTTATAAATAGGTAAAATCCTTTAGAAAGTAATTTCACTGGCAATATGCATCTAAAGATATAAAAATGGTCATAATATTTTAACTAATAATTGTATTACTGAGAATTTATCCTAAGGCAATGACCAAAATATGAGCTTCGTAAGGGCAAAAATTTTACAATGGTATGCAGAACACTCTCAAGTATTTCTTCTAAGAATAAATGAAATAATCCCAAACACAAAAAAGTTTCTTTTTTTTTTTTTGAGACAAAGTCTCACTCTGTCGCCCAGGCTGGAGTGCAGTGGTGCGATCTCGGCTCACTACAACCTTCGCCTCCCGGGTTCAAGCGATTCTCCTGCCTCAGCCTCCTGAGTAGCTGGGATTACAGGTGCAGGCCACCACGCCCTGCTAATTTTTGTATTTTCAGTAGAGACAGGGCTTCACCACGTTGATCAGGCTGGCCTCACAAAAAAATATATATATATATGGAACAGTGGCCGGGCACATTGGCTCACGCCTGTAATCCCAGCACTTTGGGAGGCTGAGGCAGGCAGATCACCTGAGGTCAGGAGTTTAAGGCCAGCCTGGCCAACATGGTAAAACCCCGTCTCTACCAAAAATACAAAAAATTAGCCGGGCATGGTGGCACGCACATGTAGACCCTCAGGAGGCTCAGGCAGGAGAATCGCTTGAACCCAGGAAGCAGAGGTTGCAGTGAGCTGAGATTGCCCCACTGCACTCCAGCCTGGTCAACAGAGTGAGACTCTGTCTCAAAAAAAAAAAAAAATTATATATATACACATATATACACACACATATATACAAACATATATATACGTATACATGTATATATACGTGTATATATGTATATATATACGCATACATGTATATATACGTATATATGTATATATACGTATATATACATGTGTATATATGTGCGTGTATATATATGGAACACTTCACAAATTTACGTATGATCCTTCCACAGGGGCCATGCTAATCTTCTCTGTATCGTTCTAATTTTACTATATGGGCTGCTGAAGCAAGCGCCTAAACACAAAAAAGCTAAGCACAAACATATCCATTATTATTTAGGTTGTTTCCAAATTTGTTTTTATAAAAAGTCAATAGGGGGATGAAAATGTAAGAAAATTGTAGTACAATAATTTAACAAACTAGAAAGCAATCATGTAAAATTGTAAACATGAAGAACAAAATAATCTAGAAATGTTTGAGCCAATGCTGCCTAAAAGTGGATTACAAAAATACAAATCTACAAAACTTCTAAAAGATAACATAGGAGAAAATCTAGGGGGTTGGCAATGAGATCTCAGCTACAACACCAAAAAGCATGATCCATGAAGGAAAAAAATTGCTAAGTTGAACTTTATTAAAATTGAAAACTTCTGCTCTGCAAGAGACACTGTTAAGAGAATGAAAAAACAAAACAGACTAGGAGAAAATATTTGCAAAACACACATCTGATAAAACACTTGTATCCAAAATATACAAAGAGCTATTAAAACTCAACAATAAGAAAACAAACAACCCAATTTAAAAATGGGCAAAATATCTGGACAGATACCTCACCAAGGAAGATATACAGATGGCAAATAAGCATATAAGATGCTCAATATCATTCATCATCAGGGAACTGCAAATGAAAACAAGATACCACTACACGCCTATTAGAATGCCTAAAATCAAAAAACCTGGTAATACCAAATACCAAATGCTGGTGAGGATGTGGAGCAACAGCAATCCTCATTCACTGCTGGTGGGAATACAAAATGATAGTCATTTTGGAAGACAGTTTGGCAGCTTTTTACAGTCTTACCATAAGATCCAGCAATCACATTCCCAGGTATTTACCCAACTGAGCTGAAAACTTACATCTACACAAAAACCTGCACGTAAATAAATGTTTATGGCAGCTTTATTCATAATTGCCAAAAAACTGTAAGTAACCAAGATGTCCTTCAATAGATGAATAAACAATCTGTGGAAGAGCCATACAGTTGAGTATTATGCCTCTAAAAGAAGAAATGAGCTATTAAGCCAAGAAAAGGTCGGACGCAGTGGCTCATGCCTGCAATCCCAGTACTTAGGTAGGCGAAGATGGGCGTTTCACCTGAGGTCAGGAGTTTGACACCAGCCTGGCCAATACGGTAAAACCCCATCACTACTAAAAATACAAAAATTAGCTGGGCATGGTGGCGGGCGCCTGTAATCCCAGCTACTCAAGAGGCTGCGGCAGGAGAATCGCTTGAACCCAGGAGGTGTAGGTTGCAGTGAGCCAAGATTGCACCACTGCACTCCAGCCTGGGCGACAGAGTGAAATTCCATCTAAAAAAAAAAAAAAAAAAACAGTCATGAAAAGACATGCAGGAACCTTAAGTCCATGTTGCCAAGGGAAAGAAGCCAGTCTGAAAGGCTACTATATATGTATTATTCCAATTATATGACATTCCAGAAAAGGCAAAGATCAGTGGTTACCAGGGGCCTGTGGAGAAGATAAGGATGAATTAGCGAAGCACAGGGAATTTTTAGGGTAGTGAAATTATTCTGTACGATACTGTAATGGTGCATATATGACATAATGCATGTCAAAATCTATAGAACTTTATAGAACAAAGAGTGAACCTTGGCCAGGCGCAGTGGCTTACACCTGTAATCCTAGCACTTTGGGAAGCCAAAGCGGGTGGACTGTTTGAGCCCAGGAGTTCGAGACCAGCCTGGGCATCATGGCGAAACCCCATCTCTATTTAAAAAAACAAAAACAAAAAACACCAAGAACAGTGTGAACCTTAATATATGCAAATATTTTAAAAATCAGTTAGTAGGTTGGAAGAATCCCAGACTGTGACAAGAGAACCTAACTGTATTTCAAAGGTATTTTTAAAAACCTTACTAAAGTGAGTAGAGGAAAAGTTATGGATCTAAGTGACTGTAAAGGAAAAGAGTCCATAAGACTAAACGCAAAAGGGACTACCAATAAGTACTGTACTTTAGTCAATAAAGTTGTTTTCCACGAGGGTACTCGTTAACAATTCTGATACTGCTAAACAAGTGTATTGGAATTGAACAATTAAGTAAATGGGTGGCAGATGGGAAAAGCCAAGTTTCTCACTGTGGAATGGAAATTCACGGAAGATCAGCAAGGGGAGGAGGCTAGAATAATCCATGTGGTAATGCAGTAGAGATGAAGAATCAGAACTCATGTTTAATTTAATATAATACAGAGGGTTACATAGAGAAGTATTTATAGATATGTATATACACAAGAGTTAATATACACACACAAATTTCTTTGCTGTCAGCCGAAATGGCCTAAAAGAAACCACACCCTAATGCCCAGAATGCCCAGATCTTGGTCTGTAAAACCAATAAAGGAACCAGGGACCTTTAAATAAATGGTTGATTCTAGGACTACAGCAGGAAATATACAAGATGAGCCTGGAGCACTTTACAGTATTAGAAAACAAAACAAAACAAAAACTATCTTGTCTCTCTTCAG
Organism: Homo sapiens; assembly: GCF_000001405.40. NCBI lineage: Eukaryota > Metazoa > Chordata > Mammalia > Primates > Hominidae > Homo > Homo sapiens. Next base: position 151,626,856 of record NC_000001.11, on the reverse strand, counting down.
TCATGATTTAGTGTAACCACTGACCAGCCTTAGCAACTGCCTAAATACAAGTGAGCAGAAAACAACAACCTCAAAGTTATAGGGTCCCAAAATTTCAATCAATTTAAGTTTTCTCTTCTTCATTTTACATTTATTTATTTATTTATTTATTTATTTAGACGGAGTCTTGCTCTGTCGCCCAGGCTGGAGTGCAGTGGCACGATCTTGGCTCACTGCAACCTCTGCCTCCCAAGTTCAAGTGATTCTCCTGCCTCAGCCTCCCAAGTAGCTGGGACTACAGGGGCACGCCACCACACCCAGCTAATTTTTTGCATTTTCAGTAGAGACAGGTTTCTCCATGCTGGCCAGGATGGTCTTGATCTCTTGAATCTCATGATAAAACAGTATTCTCTTCCTGATTTTTAAAACCATTATCATAAAACATTCTTTTAATGCAATAATTCTGACAAATTATTCTTTTTTAGAAAGAGACAATATAAAAGTGTCTTGGCTCAAAATAAGTCCAAAAATAAAAACAAGCCAAAAAAACCTTCATTTAATTCTAATTAGGTCTCATCTTTGGCAAATGTAGGGAAAAACAAAAAAAAAAAAGTTAATCACATACAGACCAAATTGAACAAATTTCCAAGGTTTTATAGAGAGAGCTTTACTTCTCAAATCCTTTGGTACCTTTTTTTAAGTATGGAAAGATTGATTCAATCTTTTTTAATTTTATTTTTTATTTTTTTGAAACGGAGTCTCGCTCTGTCGCCCAGGGTGGAGTGCAGTGGCGCCATCTCGGCTCACTGCAAGCGACACCTCCTGGGTTCATGTCATTCTCCTGCTTCAGCCTCCAGAGTAGCTGGGATTACATGTGTGGGCCATTGCGCCCGGCCCAATCTTTTATTTTTATTTTATTTTTTTTTTGGTGACACAGTCTCACTCTGTTGCCCAAGCTCTGGAATGCAGTGGCCTGATCTCGGCTCACTACAACCTCTGCCTCCCAGGCTCAAGCAATTCTCCTGCCTCAGCCTCCCGAGCAGCAGGGATTACAGGTGTGTGCCACCACACCCTGCTTTTTTTTTTTTTTTTTGGACACAGAGTCTTGCTCTGTTGCCAGGATAGAGTGCACTGGTGTGGTCTCGAATCACTGCAACTTCCACCGCCCCGGTTCAAGTGATTCTCCCGCTAATTTTTGTGTTTATAGTAGAGACGGGGTTTCACCATGTTGATCAGCTGGTCTTGAACTCATGACCTCAAGTGATCTGCCCCTTCAGCCTCCCATAGTGCTCAGATTACAGGCATGAGCCACCACACCTGGCCAGATTCAACCTTTATACCAATATTTTTTTATTTATCTTTTTTTTTTTTTGAGACAGAGTCTTGCTCTGTCACCCAGGCTGGAGTGCAGTGGCATGATCTCAGCTCACTGCAATCTCCATCTCCTTGGTTCAAGCAATTCTCCTGCCTCAGCCTCCCCAGTAGTTAGGATTACAGGTGCATGCCACCACACCTGACTAATTTTTGTATTTTTAATGAAGACGGGGTTTCACCATGTTGGCCAGGCTAGTCTCGAACCCCTGACCTCAAGTGATCTGCCGCTTCGGCCTCCCAAAGTACTGGGATTACAGGCGTCAGCCACAGCGCCTGGCCTACACCAGTATTTTTAAAGCACCTACGTCCAAAAATTTAACACTGGGCAAAAGCGCGTATTAATAACAATAAAGTTTGCCCCTGGCAAAGCTGAGAAACTGAGAAGTATGTTAATTGGCATCTGGTCTTCCCAAAAAGGAAAAAAAAGAATAAATAACTTGTCAAATAAGTTGCTTACCATCACTGGGACTTTTTACCTTTGACCGGGTGTTCTATTTACAAAGAATGCTGCCTGAGGCAGAAGAAGTACAAATAAGACTCATCTGTTCTTCAACCTTAATACCTCCAGCCAGAAGTAACAAGAGTTTATTACTGGGGAAGAAAGAATTACAGATTCCTCAAACCTTCTAACTCCAAGGCAATCAGTATACAAATATAATCAGGTAGATTTATTTCCAAATAAATGAATCATACTTGTCATTCAGAGAAAAAAGTATAATAAGGCTAAGGATTTAAGATATTTAAAAAATAAATATAAAAATATAATCAAGCTGGCCGGGCGTGGTGGCTCATGTCTGTAATCCCAGCTTTTTGGGAGGCCGAGGTAGGTGTATCACCTGAGGTCAGGAGTTCGAGACCAACCTGATCAATATGGTGAAACCCCATCTCTATTAAAAATACAGAAATTAGCCGGGCGTGCTGGCAGGTGCCTATAGTCCCTGCTACTTGGGAGGCTGAGACCAGAGAATTGCTTGAACCCAGAAGATGGAGGTTGCAATGAGCCAAGATCACGCCACTGCACTCCAGCCTGGGCGACAGAGCAAGACTCCATCGCAAAAAAAAAAAAAATACATATATATATATATATATATATAAAATCAAGCTATTCAGAAAAAAAAAGCTCATTTATTATCTGATCATTACCTGAAAAGCCAATGTAACCACTTGTCACCAAGAATAAAAACAAACCTGTCCATTTCACTCTTAGTAGAATACAAAATTCTAGTTTTAGAATTTTAGGCCAGGTGAGGTGGCTCACTCCTGTAATCCCAACACTTTGGGAGGCCAAGGCAGGAGGACGGCTTGAGCCCAGGAGTTTGAGACCAGCCTGGGGAACATAGCAAGACCCTAACTTTACAAAAAAATTTTTAAAAATGAGCTGTGTATGGTGGCACACACCCATAGTCCCAGCTACTCAGGAGGCTGAGGCAGAAGGATCACTTGAGCCCAGGAGATCAATAGCTGCAGTGAGTTATGATTGTGCCACTGCACTCCAGCATGGGTGAAAGAGTGATACCTTGTCTCTAAAATAAATAAATAAATAAATTTTTAAAAAATGTAAGCACAATGTCTTTATCACATGTGAGAGGCTAAAGAATTACCAGTGAGGTCTTAAAGTAAGTTCTGATGCTCCAAAAATATAAAACACTGATTTATTTTGTCTGGATAGGATTTTTTTTTCATTTTTATCTTTAAAAACCTGATCAATATAGAGCAACCCTATAGTTCTAGCCTATCATAGAGTAGACATGACAATGGGTTACTTCTTTGTACTGGAGGACAATAAATGTTAGAAATGGGAAAGGGTCAGGCGCAGTGGCTCATACTTATAATCCCAGCACTTTGGGAGGCCGAGACGGGAGGATCATTTGAATCCACAAGTTCAAGACCAGTCTGGGCAACAAAGTGGGACCTTGTCTCTACAAAAAAAATATAAAAATTAGGTTAGGAGTGGTGGCTCATGCCTGTAATCTCAGCATTTTGGGCGGCCAAGGCAGGCAGATCACTGAGGTCAGGAGAAGACCAGACTGGCCAACATGGTGAAACCCCGTCTCTATTAAAAAATACTGGGCGCGGTGGCTCACGCCTGTAATCCCAGCACTTTGGGAGGCCAAGGTGGGCGGATCACGAGGTCAGAAGATAGAGACCATCCTGGCTAACAAGGTGAAACCCCGTCTCTACTAAAAATACAAAAAATTAGCCAAGTATGGTGGCCCGCACCTGTAGTCCCAGCTACTCGGGAGGCTGAGTCAGGAGAATCACTTGAACCTGGGAGGCAGAATTGCAGTAAGCCAAAATCGTGCCACTGCACTCCAGCCTGGGCGACAGCGAGACTCCATCTCAAAAAAAAAATATATATATATATTAGGCAGGTATGGTGGCATGTGCCTGTAATCCCAGCTACTTGGGAGGCTGAGGCAGGATAATCACTTGGACCTGGGAGGGGGAGGTTGCAGTGAGCTGAGATCATACCACTGCACTCCAGCCTGGGCGACAGGGCAAGACTGTTTCAAAAAAAATAAGTAAATAAAATAAACAAATAATATAAAAACTAGCCAGGTGTAGTACATGCATGTGGTCCCAGCTACTTGGGAGGCTGAGATGGGAGAATCCCTTGAGTCCAGGAGGTTGTGGCTTCAGTAAGCTGTGATCGCACCACTACACTCCAGGCTGGGCAAGAAAAATAAATTAAATTTAAAAAAAAGAAATGGGAAAGAAAGTTGCTAATAGCCATGATGATTTTCCTAAAGTAACTCATTTTCCTCCTACACATTTCTGAGGATCCCCCACTCAGTTGTTCACCACCAAAACACAACTAGTCCTAAATTATTTCCCAACACCAACTCAGTGTTTGAGAGCTGCTACATTTTGAATCATTGTCAACATGGCCAATTTAAATGCTACCCCCAGATGATTTTAACTTGGTATACTGACCACAGTGAAAGTTAATTAAAGAATAAAATATACTTGTTTTATCAATAACCTTGGTTTGCAAGTCAAGTAAATCATCAAAGGAAAAAAAATTTTGATAATTCTGAAGTTCTATTACACTACTATTTCTGAATTACTACATAATGTAATTAAAAACATTATCCCTCACGTGATCTGGTAAATTTGTTCTGGGGCCGCAACCTGAACCCTGAATCTCAACCACCCATTTCCTATATATTCAATTAATCCCAAGTGGTCCTGTACATGAATGTGAACAGATAGTGTAATCTATCATGACAACTGAAAAAAACAGCTGAAATACCTTCATTTATGAAAGACAGTCTTTACAAATTAGTAACAAGATATACTTTTGAAGGGATATGACCCTTTGACGATCAAATACCATCTTTTAATCCAAATTAAATTTGAGCAATTTATTTTGGAAATGAGAAACACAGACTACAATTTCTGTAAGTCTGTAGTCCATTCCAACATATTGAAAGAGAAGAAAGGTACAGTCGGACCTTTTCCAAATGAGGAATATAAAAGATAACTGGGTAAGACAGGGAAATCTAAAATAATCTACTAGCACATAACTCACAAACGAAACTTCAGTGTCACATTTCCTTGATACAAAACCTCAGGTAGAGAGAACAAAACTCATTGCTGTTTCCAAGTAAAGACAGAGGCAGGAACAAACGTTCTAGATGATTAAACTGATCAGCAAAATAAGTAGAAAAAGTTTCCAAAATTCTCAGAGGCCATCATGCTTTCCAAGATCTCCAAATATTCATTTAATCAATCTCCCAATTTTTAAAACATAATAAATAAATATAAATAAAACTAGATCAACACATAGATATAAAAGTACTGTGGTATTTGCGGGTGGAAGAGACAACCTTCCTAGTTAATAATCTTATTGAAAGTTCTTTAAGAGTAATCAGCCTCTTGAAAGCAGCTGGGAGAGCATGCACCAGAGCAGCTGACTCTCTGCAGACTGCCTGTACTTTTCCAGAGGGAAGTAAGCTAATTCCTTGTGTATCAGGCCTGTAGAAAACATAGGCCTATCATTCTGGTCTTGCTCTGAGGTTTGACACAAGAATCTAAAAAGTTTCAGACAGCTTAAGCAAAAACAGACCATTTCTTAAAAGATGTTTTCGTATCAGTGGAAGTTCACTGAGGAAGTACACATAAGAGTACTCAAATACAACTCCTTATTCAGCAACTCAATACCTTGCAGAAAGGCACATTTCCTCAACTATTATGAGAACCTTATTTAGTTGGCAGGGAGCAATAAATAATAAACAAGAGACTACACACATACTACCTAGCATTTGACTAATACCATACCACAAAATTTAACCCTGGAGTACGAATATTATGAAAGAAAGCAACAATTCACTTTGTGATCACCACCAGGTCTTAAACTTATTTGAAGGAGCTTCACATGAATTTTCATTTTGAAGGTAGGTATTAAGTGTAAACTTTAGTACCACATTAAGTTTCCCCCCCGTCTTCAGTCCACTCAGCTCCCAACATGCTGTATGCCAAAATAAAAGATTTAAATTAAAAGAAGCATCTTCGGCCAGGTGCAGTGGCTTATGCCTGTAATCCCAGTACTTTGGGAGGCCGAGGTGGGTGGACTACGAGGTCATGAGTTCAAGACCAGCCTGGCCAGCATGGTGAAACCCGGTCTCTACTAAAAATACAAACAATTCAGCTGGGCATGGTGGTGCACACCTGTAATCCCAGCTACTCAGGAGGCTAAGGCAGGAGAATTGCTTGAACCTGGGAGGCTGAGGTTGCAGTGAGCCGAGATCGTGCCACTGCTCTCCAGCCTAGGCGACAGAGCAAGACTCTGTCACAAAAAAAAAAAAAGCATCTTCAAATCAGAGGAACAGACTTGGAGGAAAGTAGAGCTAGAACACAACAGGCTTGTAGCACACAAGGATGAAAGTTATCAATTGTAAACACAATAGTAAGTATAGTCATTTAAAACAGAAGAGAAAGAGAAAGGATAACTGAGAAGCTGGATTCGATTGTGAAATAAAATACAAACACAAGTTAAAGGCAACCAGCTCCTCACCAGCTGTTCCCAGTTCTGGGTGTCAGAGCTTAGTTGTTCTTAGTTCCCTTCTTTATATAGTACAAGACAGTCCAAGAGACTAGATGGCTCTGAAATTACTCTAATTCTAATAGTGATTTTCCTCTTTCGCCTTGGAAAAGTTATTCAACTTCTTCTGGTAAATAATTATATAAAACTGAATTCACAGGAAGTCCTGGGTATTAATGCACACACAGCTATATTCTGAGCTCATAAAGAGAAAAAAATCCAAACTTCTTGGGATTACATTCAAAGCCATCTTTTTAAAATCTTACTGCAACCTTCCTTTCCAGTTTCTATCATCACAAATGTCTACAGACAAACAGCAACTTTAAGCCCCTTGCTAGCCTAAGAGCTTTTCACATTTTCCCCTCTTTGGTCACAGTTTTCCTCAACCTATAAAATCCTTGCCCCTTCTCTGAAGTTTTATTTGTTCTTCAATCCAGTTTAAAAGCCTTGTATGAGCTGTCTCCCCACCAGTCTTCTTAGGCATATTCACTCCTGCCTCTATACTTCGATTGTGCTTTTCATTTATCTCTATTACCTCGTTTAGCTTTACACACAGCAAATTGTTTACCTTCCCTACTGCAGTGTAAGCTTCTCAAAGGCAGGGATGCAGAGACCCTGTGACTCATACAAGCCAAGCAGTTCTTTATATACAGTGTGTGCTTACTTGTGGAACCAAACTGAGTATGAAGTAATATTTAGCATGCCAATATCAGGAAAAGTGATGCCCTAAATTACTGTTTTTCAGACAGTGGATCACAACCTAATGAGTTGTGAAATTAATGTACCAGGCCACCACCAGCACTCAAAAAAACAGAACAAAGAAACTCAAAATATGAACAAACTAAAAAATACCAGAGTGGGCCCGGCACGGTGGCTCACACCTGTAATCCCAGCACTTTGGGAAGCCGAGGCAAGCGGATCACTTCAGCCCAGGAATCTCAGACCAGCCTGGGCAACATGGTGAAACCCTGTCTCTACAAAAAATACAAAAAATTAGCTGGGCATGGTGGCATACGCCTATGGTCCCAGCTTTCTGGAAGGCTAAGGTGAGAGGAAAAAAGAAACCAAAAAAACTGTATTTACTGGTATCATGCACTCTGGTGTTCAGTTTTGTTTTATTTTTGAGACAGGGTTTCTGTCTCCCAGGCTTGAGGTCAGTGATGTGATCATGGCTCACTGCAGCCTCAACATCCCAGGCTCCAGCAATCCTCCCACCTCAGCCTCCTGAGTAGCTGGGACTATAGGCATGCGCCACCACACGTGGCTAACTTTTGTATTTTTTGCAGAGATGAGGTTTCACCATGTTGCCCAGGCTGGTTTCGAATTCCTGAGCTCAAGTGATCCGCCCACCTCGGCTTCCCAAAGTGCTGGGATTACAGGCGTGAGCCACTGTGCCTGGCCAGTAAACATAATTTTTGTGAAGCTTATTTCAGGTGTTTTTTTTTTTTGCATATATATTAGGTTATAATGTAAAATGTATCTCTTACTATGAGCTGCAATTTTTTAAAAGATATTTTAAAACTGCCTAAAATTTTTTTCCAAATGTGGGCTGAACTGTACCAACCCATCCATGGGCTCTTACTGGATTGCCCAAGAAGCACAGAAAACATCTGTATAGCTGAGGTGGAAGAAAAGAATGAACCTAAATGGCTCTAACCTAAACCACCACAATATCCTTTTGTCAGCAATGCCATCATCTAATGAATGAACCTGCCAAAGATTATGCTCAAAAAGCATTTTGAGCAGTGATCATAAATTGTTAAGTGTCTGCTTGTCAATTAAGTCTCTTTGCTTATCTACAAGGTCATAAGAATTATTCCCAATGGGACTTACCTAGAAAAATAATTATCTTTGAGAGCATGGTAACAGGCCCTCATCTGAAAAAAACTGGTCAGTGGTGGATGGAAAAAGAACTGTTCTTCACAATAAGTTAAAAGACCCAGACAAATTGTTATGCTACTAATAAAATATATTTTCCTGGTTACAGCAATCTGTGGAAGTGATTTCTGAGGGGAAGGTAATGCTATTTTCAAATTTAGTTTTATTTGTTTGCAACCTCAACTACCTGTGAAATTAAAAGGAATTTAAAAATGATTGTTCTGCTGTCTTCACTGATAACCAACAGGGTAAAGATAGCAATAATAAAGGCAAAGAATGCCTGCTTTAGTCCCCTGTCTCTCATCCAATTTAACAATGGGTAATAGTGAGTAAATAAAGATATAAAATAGTTACATTTCACAATAGTAGAACCAAAGTTCAACCACTATCGACGTTTATATGAATGTAACTGAATTTTAAGCAGCCAGGTGCTCAAGCCTGCAATGCCAGCGGTTTAGGAGGCCAAAGTGGGCAGATCACTTGAGGCCAGGGGTTCAAGACCACACTGGGCAACATGGCAACCCCATCTCTACAAAAAAAAAAAAAAAGTACAAAAAAATTAGCCAGGTGTGGTAGTGCATGCCTGTAGTGCCAGCTACTCGGAAGGCTGAGGTGGGAGGATCACTTGAGCCCAGAATTCAAGTACAGCCTGGGCAACATAGTGAGACTCCTATCTCTTTAAAAAAAAAAAAAAAAAAAAAAACAGCTCTAAAAAGAGAAAATATTCAAGATCTAGAATCCAAAGATCTGGATTTAATTCTGGTTGCCATTCATTGGTACAACACTCAGTTTCCATTTCCTGTCTTATAAAATAGGGATAATACTCATATATTCATTTGGCAAGTATTTACTGAAGAATACTTTCCATGGGCCACCAGACATTTGGCTAGGGATACAACAAATACATAGTATTTGATGTAGTCCCTGCCCTTGATGAGCTTATAATCTTCCTATCTCACAGGACTGTGTGAAGATCAGATGTAAAAACACTACAGACTGACTGGGCGCAGTGGCTCATGCCTGTAATCCCAGCACTTTGGGAGGCCGAGGCGGGCTGATCACCTGAGGTGGGGAGTTTGAGACCAGCCTGGCCTGACCAACATGGAGAAACCCCGTCTCTACTAAAAATACAAAAATTAGATGGGCGTGGTGGCACATGCCTGTAATCCCAGCTGCTTGGGAAGCTGAGGCAGGGGAATTGCTTGAACCCGGGAGGCGGAGGTTGCAGTGAGCCGAGATCGCACCACTGCACTCCAGCCTGGGCAACAAGAGTGAAACGCTGTCTCTAAATAAATAAATAAATAAATAAATAAATAAAACTACAAACTATAACACACTATACACGCTGCAAAGCAGTAAAATGATTATTATAACTATTAATATTAACTTGTGCTACCTCTTAACCATCCATCTTTATTTCAAGAGCTTAGCAAGATCCAATAAATAAAGTATAGACGATCAGATAGAACAGTTAGTATTTAACTGATTTTCCACTTAGGTTGGAATTCGAGAGCCTAACAATTCACTATTTGTTGGTATAACCTTAGCTCATTACTCTCAATATAATCATGAAGATAAAATGAACTGAGAATCCAAGGCCTACAACCTACTGCATCACCCTGGGCATGTAACTGAGTATGTGGGTTGCATTACCCACACCTGGCAAAGGAGTAAAAAAATAAAGATTTCTAGGCCCTATGAAAGATCTACTGAATCATAACCCTTAAAAGGTGAGCCTGAGAATCTGTACTTTAGATAAGCACACCCAAGTGCTTCTCATGTACCCTAAAGCCTGAGAACCGCTGCCAAACAAATTTCCTTTGATCAATAACCATGATTTCATTATTTCAAACATTACCAAAATCTACCTAGAAAATATCAGTCAAATAGAATTCAGTTGCAATTGAGAAAGCGGCTTTTGAGACGGTACCTAGTCTGTGTTACATGACTCACACTTAACTCATAAAAATACTTCTTGTGGCACCAGCCTCTTTAATTCATTTTCAAACTCTCACATAAAATGAAGTTAAAAAACTGACTTTCAAAAAACAAATTGATATACACAGTTTTATTTTATCTTATGACTTTAATGAGGGAAAGTTGATGAGTCTATTATCTGGTGGCTATCAAAGAGGAAAGCATATATACTGACTAGCATAAATATATCATGATTTTGAATGCTTGCAAGCCAATCTTAGTGGTCCATGCTTAAACTAATCCTTCAAAAATACAGACAGTTTTATATCCATATCCACCACACACTAAAACCTTCCAGCAGCGTCTCTCGAGAAATCAATCAAGAGTCCTTGGAACTACTTTAACCTTAAGAAAATTAACCTGAAGTCAAATGTTACTTCACATACTATATAATTAGTGCAAAGACATATTTATTTTGGTTCTGTTTGTTGAAAGCATTCTTTACTCATTAGCCTCCAGGTACATACACATCAAAGGGAAAACACTCAGTATATGTTACACTGGGAAAAATTACAAGGTGGAAACCAGCTTTGCTAGTCAAAAAAACTTTCCATCTGCAGTAAAATTTAGAGCCCAGAGGGCTTGTTCATACTGCAGTACCAAGCCCTGTTAGAATCTAGACAGTTTTGAAAGGAGAAAAGGCAAACTGAACCATATGGGCTCCAATTTAGTTTCAGGACTAAAGATTAGGACAGAGCCTTGGTAAGCCGACTTTAAAAGAAACACAAAGAAACTGAAGCTCTTACTTGTGTCCAAGTTTGTATGCCCTTAAATTTCAAAGTTACTCTGTTCTTTCACACCACTGTCAGTTGTCCAAACAACTGAAAAATACGAAAATTGTTACAAAAACAATTTGTAAACACAATAGAAGAATCTAAAATAGGGAAAAGTCTTAAATAGCAATTATCAAGGTCCATACATTCACCTATGACTTGATACAAACTATATCCACACAATGATAATCCACCTATCCCTAATTCTGACCCCACCTGGCTCTTCAGCAACATGCAAAGCTTTCCTGGGACAACAGAGGTAAACTTTAAGAACTTGGAGGACAGACAAAAGCTCTAAGGAGTATTGCCTAAAAAATGCTTTAGGAAAATTAGCATCAACCTAACCAAGATCGAGACAAGTAGCGGGCACAGATATCCCTCAAGAACCACATCTATTTGGTTGCTGATTTCCCCTCTCACTTGAAACCCTAAAGAGAAGGCGCAGACTATCGAAGAAAGGAAGAAAAAAAAAAAGAAAAGAGAAAGACACTGTATAGTTGGGGTCTCACAGAATGTACCACTAGCTTGGCTTTGGGCTGTAATTATCATTACTTCCCCTATAGTACCAAAGAAGGTTCAGAGAATTTGGAAATCAAAATACAGATAGTTGGAAGAGTGAGAAACCAATGCCAGGAAGATTTCTGATTATCACAACCTTCCAGAGAGGTCTTCTAGGCAGAGTATTCTTTTCCCCTGCCCACTAAAAGTGACAAAGTTCTCTACTTACCACAAAGGATGTGCCAAAAAGTAATGTTTTTTCTCTAGAAGGCAAAGATTTCCCAGCTTCCTAGTCTGGAACCTGAGCCTAAGGCAAGTCCTTCTACCTTTCCTAGGGGATTATCTGAGGTCTCCTTTACAGTTTATACCTAGGCTCTTGGGCAGAAGCCACAATAAAGGCAAGAAGCCACTAACTATGTATGTTGGGATGTGTGCGTGTATCTGCAAAGATAGATCATATTAACTATAGTCTCCTACAGAATTATTCTTTTTGGTTTAGTTCCTTTAGATCCTGTGAAGAGTAAATAATGTAGAACTTCATCATAAATTTATAATTATAAATGCTTTAGTTTTAAATTTAAAAATAAGAAGCTGAGTCCAAAATTAACTTCCAAAGGGAAAGGAAAGTGACAATTCTGAGACCTTCTATTGGAAGAAAACATCAGCCACAAATTTTGAGTTATCTAGAAAGAAAATAATTAGGTGCCCAAGTATAAGAAATCTGAAAGTCATTATTGTAATCCCAGCACTTTGGGAGGCCGAGGCGGGCGGATCACCTGAGGTCAGGAGTTTCAGACCAGCCTGGCCAACATGGTGAAACCCGTCTCTACTAAAAATACAAAATTAGCTGGTCATGATGACACATGCCTGTAATCCCAGCTACTCAGGAGGCTGAGGCAGGAGAATCGCTTGAACCCGGGAGGCGGAGGTTGCAGTGAGCCGAGATCGCGCCACTGCACTCCAGCCTGGGTGACGATCAAAACTCCATCTCAAGGAAAAAAAAAGAATATATTGTCAGACAATACTAGGAATACTAGGAAACAGTATGTAGGACATTAATGAAACAAGAAAGCATCTATTTACAGAAAGGACAGAGGAAAGGTATACTGTCTCCAAACACTGGCCTAGGTGAGCAACTATTTCTTTTTTTTTTTTTCAATCAACTCTCCCAGGTTAAAACCAACCATTTCTTGAGGTGGAAGAGGTGAGGAAACAGAATGAGTGGACACCATGGAGTTAAGAATGTCAAGGATAAGGGTAGATGGCACGAGATGAGTAAGAAGGAATGGATTTCTCTATAAGGCAGATTTTCAAAAAACTATCCCTTTTGCAAACCTACTGTTTTACAAGAGGCAACAGAAGGTTGCGGAAATTACAATTAAAATTTATAAAAAATGAGAACGATTTCAAGTGGGCAAATCGAAATATGGAGGGAGAGAGTAAAAGTGTAAAAAAGGAATGCACAACATAGATTCAGTAAGCAGAAACACAGCACTGAAGACTGCTGAGGAGAACGGAGACAACGCGAGCACACACCACCTGCAAGTCAACCGGCAATCACTATCCGAATTTCAATACGAAGTACAAAAAGGCAAATGTAACACCTAGATTAGGGTAATGGAGGCGGTGTGCACAGAGATTGCAAGACAAGGCAGCATCCCGCAAGAGCATGGAGGGATGTGGTGGGGGAGGCGTATGAAGGGGGAGGGACTGCAGCAGGGGAGAGAGGGTGGGCTGCAGCAGCAGAAGGCGCCTTAAAAAACAGAAGAAAGGAAAAGCAGCCTAGGGGAGGGAAAGACTAGGACAAAGTCAAGTGTGGGATCACAGGAGGATAGAGTAGAAGAGGCAGCAGAGACGGGCATGCCCTAAAAAAGCAAAGCGGTCAAAGACCCAAAAAGGGCTTGAAGTAGTTTTGAAGGAGGAGGAGTTACAAGGGGTCTACCATAAACCTGACTAGGAGGAGGCATGAGTATAGAGCAGGAGTGAAGGCAGGAGGCCAGGGAAGGGATGCTCTCAGAGGGGTGTGCTGATGGAGACGCTAGATTCCAAATTAGGGTGTGATACGGGGCCAACCGAGAAGAGAAACTACGGTGTCAAATCCCACGCCCCCCACCCCAAAGGCATGCAAGGGTCAGAAAGCAAGGTAAACTCTTGGAGTAGAAATACAAAAAGGAGGGGAGGAAAGGGGCACACGGTGGGATGGAAAAATTTAGGGGCAGCGTAACCATGAGGAGAGGGTAACTAAGGAAAGAAAAAGGAGACGAGCGGGGAGGGATGGTGTTTCCGGAGGAAAAGTAGGAGCAGACCAGAGGTCCTGCCTACTTGGTCTGGAGGGCAGAAGGGGCAGTCCACGGGGGCGGAGGGGAGTGGTGGAGAACGAAACTGCGATGCTGAAGATGAGAACTTGGGGGGGACACGGTACTGGCTGGATCAGAAAACGAAACGCCGTCAGTAAGGAGCAGATGAGGTTCCTTCTGAGCAAGACGAGGGGGAGTGAGGAGCAGAATGCAGCACGCCAAACGGGAAGGCAAAGGGGCGGAGAAGAGCCCAGAGTAATCGGGGCACAGGGAGGAGCACTGGGGGCGCAAGGGCATCAGCTGGAGACGACGGGGTGGGAGACCGGCGTCGCAGAAGCCCCGGGGCGGGTGGTGGGAGGGCAGCCCACAAGGAGGGGCCCGGCTGCGGAGGCCTGAGGGGCGGGGGTCCGGAGGCCGGCTCGGAGCTCGGGGGAGGTGCGGCCTGGGGGTGACAAGGGTAGCGAGGAGTGCAGGGGCAGGAGGGGCGCGGGGAGGATGGGGCGGCGGGTAGCCCCGATACTCACACCTCCAGGATGCGGTCCCCCTTGCGCACCCCGGCCCGATCGGCCGCCCCCCCGGGCAGCACGGCGCTCACATGCTGCAGCGGCGCGTACAGCTCCCCGTTGATGCTCCGCAGTTGCCCGCCCTCGCTCACTTGGCCCCGCACGTTGAAGCCGTAGCCGGACTCGGACTTGACGATGCGCACGACCCGCGGGCCGCCGCCTCCCCCGCCGCCGTTCCCGGCGCAGTGGAGCCCAGACCCCCCGCCGCCGCCGCCACCTCCGTTCCTGTGAGGGGCTGAGGGATGAATCCCTTCCCCGTCCTCGTCCGCCATCTTGCGAGCAGGCGAGCCGTACCCCCGCCCCCTACGCCTCCAAGGCCTCCCGGCGCGTGCTCGCCCTGCCTGGCAGCCGGACGACCCCCGACGCGCGCGCCCGATCCGCCGGCCGCGGGACCGACTCGGCCACCGAGCTGCTGGCGCGGGGTGAAGAGGAGGCAGGGGGCGGGCGAAAAGCGGACAATCGGGCACCGTGGGGCCTCCTGGGAGATGTAGTTTATGGGTGGCGGGGGCGGGGAGCGGTCTGGGCCTGGGCCTGAGCCGAGGTTATAAGACGCAGTTCGGAAGCAAGGCCTGCCGGGAGTTGTAGTTTATCTTTCATGCTGGGTTAGGAGTTTGATCTGCTGGGTGGGGAGAGTATAACCCAGCACCCAGCGTGGTAAAATGATTCAGTTCTTGATGCGGACCAAGTTTTTCGCCCCCCCCCCTTTCATTTCATAACCTCTAAAAAACAATAATGTTAGAATAACTTAACGTTTGTGATTCAACACAGTCTTAAATTATATCAACTCATTTTTTGGCACAGTAACTTATATGTTGACCAGGGCCCAACAACCTGTGAGGCAACCGGATCACGATTAGCTTCCCTATTTTACGTTATTAGGAAACAACCTTAGAGTGCTCAAAGTCATCCAGCTACTAAGTATCAGGAACTAAGGCCCAGTTATTGTGCAACTTTCTTGTCCTGTATTGCAACTACAGTCATGTGCCACATAAGGACATTTTGGTCTACAATGGACTGCAAACACGAGGGAGGCCCCCTAAGATGATAA
Source organism: Homo sapiens (assembly GCF_000001405.40). Classification (NCBI taxonomy): domain Eukaryota; kingdom Metazoa; phylum Chordata; class Mammalia; order Primates; family Hominidae; genus Homo; species Homo sapiens. The sequence continues at coordinate 151,611,425 of NC_000001.11, read as the reverse complement.
TGGAGCTGAAAAATGTCTATCACCTAGTGGCACAGTAGCCACCATAAGGTCATAGCACAAGCATTACTCACATGTTTGGAGTGATGCTGGTGTTAACAAACCTGCACTGCCAGTCATGTGAAAGTATAGCACATATGATTATGTACAGTACATAATACTTGATAATGGTAAGAACTATGTTACTAGTTTATGAATTCACTGTAGTTTTTATCACTATTTTAGAGTGTACTCCTTCTACTTTTTTTTTTAAGTTAACTGTAAAGCAGCCTCAGGCAGGTCCTTCAGAAGGTATTCTAGGTATTCTAAGTATTGTGATTTTTTTCCACGTATTCCAAGTATTGTGTTTTTTTGTTTTGTTTTGTTTTTTTGTTTTTTTTTTTTTTAAGATGGAGTTTCGCTCTTATCGCCCAGGCTGGAATGCAATGGCACGATATCGGCTCACCGCAACCTCTGCCTCCCAGGTTCAAGTGATTCTCCTGCCTCAGCCTCCCAAATCCCTTGCGATTAAACGCATGCGCCACCATGCCTGGCTAATTTTTTGGTATTTTTAGTAGAGACAGGGTTTCACCATGTTGGCCAAGCTGGTCTCGAACTCCTGACCTCAGGTGATCCAACCACCTCAGCCTCCCAAAGTGCTGGGATTACAGGTGTGAGCCACTGTGCCTGGCCCCAGTTATTGTTACCATCAGATGACAGCTCTGTGCATGTTATTACCCATGAAGACCTTCCAGTGAGACAAGAGATGGAGGTGGAAGACAGTGAAATTGATGATCCAGATCTGGTGTAGGCATAGGCTATGTTTGTGTTTAAGTCTTAGTTTTTAACCAAAAAAAAAAGTTTAAAACATAAAATTAAAAATTGCCTTAAATAGAAAAAAAGCTTATGGAATAAAGATATAAAGAAAGAAAATATTTTGTACATCTGTACAATGTGTTTGTGTTTTAAGCTAACTGTTATTACAAAAGAGTCCCCCCAAATTTTTAAAGGCTGGGTGTGGTGGCTCATGCCTGTAATACCAGCACTTTGGGAGACCGAGGTGGGAGGATTCCTTGAGCCCAGGAGTTCAAGACCAAACTGGGCAACATAGTGAGACCCCATCTCAACAAAAAATAAAAAATTAGCTGGTGGCTGAGCGAGACTATATCTAAAAAAAAAAAAAAAGCAGCTGGGCATGATGGCACATACCTGTAGTCCCAGCTACTTAGGAGGTTTAGGTGGGAGGATCGCTTCAGCCTAGGAGGTCAAGGCTGCAGAGAGCTGAGATCACACCACTGTACTCCAGCCTGACCATCAGAGTGAGATCCTGTCTCCAAAAAACAAAGATGAGATCTCACAAAATATGGGATGAGGACTCAAAGTCATTATAATTAGAACATAAAAATTAATATGACCTTATTTTACAACCAAGCTAATGAAGAAGGATCTTGACTAGTTACACAATAAAGTTGATATAAGAGTTTTGCTCCAAAATAATAGTGGCATTTGGATTGAATATGAATAATTTGGTTTGAACTGAGCACTGGATGGGGAAAGCAAGGCATCAGAGAAAGGAAAAAGAAGGGAGCCTCCCCTAAAAGAGTTATTTTTTCATTGGTTTATTAGATAAAAATATACTGAATGCCTACTCTGAATTAGATAAAAATATACTGAATGTCCCCGAAAGGCAACAGGACATGGTCAAACTTACAAATACACATATTCCTCAAACTGAAGGCGATTCCACTTCCAGGAGTTCATTCTACTGTTACACTTGCACATGTGTGAAGTGATGTTTTTATGAAGTTAAGTCATTGCAGCATTGTTTGTATTCACAAAAGACTGAAAACAACCTAATGTTTATTTGTTAAATCATAATGTATCCACAATGGAAAATTGAATCAATGTAAACACAGAATAAGGAAGCTCTGTATGCACTTATATGGAATGATCATATCATCAATACTATATATGATTTGGTGAAAACAAAGTGCAGCACAATCTATACAACATGATACTATTTGTATATAAAACGGGAACCATGGGCCAGGCACGGTGGCTCACGCCTGTAATCCCAACACTTTGGGAGGCCGAGGTGGGTGGATCACCTGAGGTCAGGAGTTTGAGACCAGCCTGGCTAACATGGCGAAACCCCGTCTCCACTAAAAATACAAAAATTAGCCGGGTGTGGTGGTGCACACCTGTAGTCCCAGCTACTCGGGAGGCTGAGGCAGAAGAATCACTTGAACCCGGGAGGTGGAGGTTGCAGTGAGCTGAGATTGTGCCACTGCACTCCAGCCTGGGCAACAGAGCAAGACTCTGTCTCAAAAACAAACAAAACAAAACAAATACAAAAATTAGCCGGGCATAATGGCAGGTGCCTGTATTCATCAGAAGGCTGAGGCAGGAGAATCGCTTGAACCTGGGAGGTGGAGGTTGCAGTGAGCCAAGATCACGCCACTGCACTCCAGCCTGGCGACAGAGCAAGACTCCATCTAAAAAGATAATAATAAAATAAAAGGGAACCATATATATTTTTATATCTTTAGAAGTATTCACAAGAAATTGATAACACTGATTGCTGCTGGGGAGGGAGACTGGATAGCTAGGGTGTCAGAGGCGGGGACAGGGGTAGGAGAGAGACTTTTCACTTTATACCTTTATGTAACTTCTGAATTTTCAGTCACATGAGTGTTGCCTATTCAAAAAATAAATTTAAAAATATTTAGAAAGGATCAGGTTGGAAGAAAAGATGATCAGAGCATTAAAATAACAAAAGAAAATAAGACACCATTACTGCTGGTGAGAATTCACAATCTAGCAGGAGAGAAAACAAAAAACCATTGCAATAGAGCATGATGAGAGCTGTGAGGAGAGTCCTGCACAAGCTGCTAGGATTGCACATCGGAGGGACTTCCACGTATCCAGAGGGAGGAGTTAGGGAAGATGACTCACGAAATGGGAGAGCTGAGCTAAGTGATTACAGATGAGAAGAGTTAGCAATTGCGGCAGAGAAGGATAGTGGTGGAAGGGCATTTCTGACAAAGGAAACAGCATATTCAAACACACAGAGATTTGAAAGAACACAGTACAGTGTGAGACCACACAGTTCAGTAGGACTGGAGCAGAGGAGACAGGAAGTGGACAGGGGAGGTGGGCAAGAGTCAGATCCAGGAGGGCTTAAAATATCGAATATCGGCCGGGCGCTGTGGCTCACGCCTGTAATCCCGGCACTTTGGGAGGCCGAGGTGGGCGGATCACGAGGTCAGGAGATCGAGACCATCCTGGCTAACATGGTGAAACCCCTTCTCTACTAAAAATACAAAAAATAAAAAATAAAAAAATTAGCCGGGCATGGTGGCGGGCACCCGTAGTCCCAGCTACTCGGGAGGCTGAGGCAGGAGAATGGCGTGAACCTAGGAGGCAGAGCTTGCAGTGAGCCGAGATTGCGCCACTGCACTCCAGCCTGGGCAACAGAGCAAGACTCTGTCTCAAAAAAAAAAAAAATCAAATATCATGCCCAGGAGTTTGAATTTCATTCCTTATTAGTGAGGGGCCTCTGATTGCTTTTAAGCAGAGCACAGGCATTCACAAATCTGTGCTTCAAAAAGTTCATGCTGCAGGATGTGTGGAGAATGAAGTCAGATAGAAAGATCAGTTATGAAGCATTTGCAGTGATTCCAGTGGGAATTAATGAGGTGCCAACTAGGGCAGTAGTGGTGGGAATACAAGGAGGGGGATGCACAGGAGAGAAGGGACTTGGTGACCACTAGGATCTCAGGTGCAAAGGTAGGGGAGGAAGGAATGACATAAGATTCCTGACATGGTGATGTGATTCCCCAAGACATGGCATAAAAAGGAAGCGGAAGAGGTTTGCAGGGAAAATTAATTTAATTTGTTTAAATTTGTTTGATTTAAACAAGAAGAAGATTAGTTTAATTTGGGGCCTTTGGGAAAGCCCAGAGGAATTGTCCAACAACTGGTTGAACACATGAGTGTGGACCTGGGGAAAGGAGTCTGGGCCAGAACTTAGATTTGGGAGCCATCAGCCCTGGGTGGTGGTAGATGAGAACCCCAAAACATACTGTGCAGTCAGATGAGAAGAGTGCCAAGTCCAGAACGTGGAGAATCTGCTCCCATGGTCACCCCATTTAGGAGACTGAAAGAGGGAGAGCATCCAGTGAAAGAGGAGCCAGGGGGCTGGGGGACCCAGAGAGAGTGGGAGTCAATGATGCTGCTTTCAGAAATAGGATCTGGACCATTGACAGAGCACTTTGCATCCAAGAGCTTGTCTCGTTCTCACAATAACAAAGTCAATCGAAATGGTCACAAGAAGCTAGGCTCAGATAACCAGCAGGTCCCAGTCACACTGCTAGTTAATACCAGACCTGAACCTTGAACCCAAATTTTCTGACACTAAGCCAGGACATTCTCCTTCCCCTACCCAGCTTCCCTTTGGTTCAATAAGAAAAAGTTCCTCCTACCCCTTGTGATCTGCAAGGTCGTCAGGTTTCTGTTACCTTTTTGTGTAGGAATTACTTAGGTGAGAATCCCACCTCCATACTTTTGCTCATGGAGTTCTTTGGTCCTAGATGTTCTGCCTCTTTATTTCCCTTTGCTGAACTAAATTCTACTCTTCCTTTAAGACCTGGCTGAAGTCCTTCCATAAAGCCTCCCCTGGGGACTCCAGTTCACTCTGACATCCCTCTTTTCTAAATTCCTGAGGCAAATATACCTTCAGGTGATCCCCCTCAGTGAGTCATGCTCTTGTGTAATCCCTTCCTCTTGAGTGTGGGTAGAACCTGTGACTTGCTTCTAGGCAATAGAATATGGCAAAGGTGAGGATGTGTCACTCCCATGATTATATGACATTATATAACACTTCTTAGCAGACTAGAGCAGGAGACTTGTGCCAGCCTTGAGGAAGCAAGCTGCCATGTTGTGAAGTGCCTGTGGAGAGGGCCACACAGTAGGAACTGCAGGGCCCTCTCTAGGTGCTCAGTGTGGCTCTGGGCTGACACCAAGAAACTGGGGTCCTCAGTCCTACACCCTCAAGAAATTCTCCCAGCAACCACATGAACTTAGAAGAGGATCCTGGGCTCCACAAAGAAACACAGCCCAGCTGGCACCTTGAAAGCAGTCTTGTGATGCCGTGAGCCAAGGACCCAGTTAAGCCCAGCCCAGACTCCTAACACCAATAGAAACTGTGAGATAGTATATACTTGTTGCTTTAAGCTGCTAACTTTGTGGTACTGTGTTACACAGCAATGGGTAATTTAATGTAACTCTTACTGCATTTAGGTCAGTACCACTCCGTTTAATTTTTTTTTTTTTTTTTTTTTAAACAGAGTTGCCGGGCATGGTGGCTCATGCCTGTAATCCCAGCACTTTGGGAGGCCGAGGCAGGCACATCACCTGAGGTCCGGAGTTCAAGACCAGCCCAGCCAACATGATGAAACCCCGTCTCTACCAAAAATACAAAAATTAGCGAGGCGTGGTGGCATGGTAGCTGTAATCCTAGCTACCACTTATAATCCTAGCAACTCGGGAGGCTGAGGCAGGAGAATTGCTTGAACCTGGGAGGCAGAGGTTGCAGTGAGCCAAGATCGTGCCACTGCACTCCAGCCTGAGACTCTGTACCCCCCAAAAAAATAAAAAGAAATAAACAGAGTCTCACTCTGTCACCCAGGCTGGAGTGCACAGTTTAGACCATAACAATTTAATATCTAGTTTAACTTTACTTTTCCAATCTGAATATAAGCTTCTTGAAGACAAGGAACTGGTCATACATGACTTGTGCCCTGACAGTGTATGAGAATAAGAAGCACAGAGAAGGAGCTGAACAAGTGTTTCTAGAATACAAGTCTAGGAAAGGACAAAAAGTGGCTAATACGGCCATGGTGGGGATCAAATCAGCGATATGTAGAAAATGCCTAGCAGAATGCTTAGCACATCACCTTTTTTTTTTTTTTTTTTTTTGAGACAGAGTCTCACTTTGTCGCCCAGGATGAAGTGCAGTGGTGGCGAGATCTCGGCTCACTGCAACCTCCACCTCCCGGGATCAAGCCAATCTCCTGCCTCAGCTTCCCGAGTAGCTGGGATTATAGGCGTGCACCACCATACCAGCCTAATTTTTGTATTTTTAGTAGAGATGGGGTTTCACTGTGTTGGCCAGTGAACTCCTGACCTCAAGTGATCCACCCATCTCCACCTCCCAAAGTGCTGGGATTACAGGCATGAGCTACTACGCCCGGCTGCTTTTATTTATAATTCTAACAAATATCACATCTAGCCCCATTTGCTCATTTTTTCTGATAAAGAAATATCTCCCTCTACCACTACCCTTCAGAAAAAGCAACATACCCAGCAAGGTACAGCGATTTGTCAAAGGTCACTCAGCAAATCAGTGGCCAGAACTCAACCCTAAGGAGAAAAATTAAATAGTTTAAAAGAGGCAATGAACTGGACACAGTGGCTCACACCTGTAATCCCAGCACTTTGTGGGTCCAAGACGGGAAGTATCACTTGAGTTCAAGACCAGTCTGGCCAACATAGCAAGACCGCATCTTGCCACAGAATTTTAAAAGTTGGCTGGGTGTGGTGGTGCATGCCTGTAGTCCCAGCTGCTCAAAAAACTGAGGCGGGAGGATCACTTGAGCCCAGGAGGTCGAGGTTACAGGGAGCTATGATTGCACTACTGCGTTTCAGGCTGGGCTACAGAGGGAGACCTTGCCTCAAAAAAAAAAAAAAAAAAAAAAAACGGCAATGACACATCCATTATCCATGGGTTCATGGGTTAAAGAGAACAAAAAGGGGGTCCTTGTTTAAGGCCCTTACCCTAATTCTCTCTTCTTTCCTCTTCACTACCTTTCTATACTTTTTCCATGAACACCACATGAAAAATTACTTTTTTGGCAATCTGAGTAACTGACTCACAAGGAGTGAATAATACCTAGAGACTAGAGAGTTTATTAGTCAAGATTCCTTGCAAGTAATTGTCAAGATTAGTTGCAAGTGACAAAAACTCAATTCAAACTAACTTAAGCAAAGAATACGTATTGCTTCACATAGCTAAGGAGGACATTGAGTATTCCAGTTAATTGTAGCTACATAACAAACCACACAGCCAGGTGTAGTGGCTCATGCCTGTAATCCTAGCACTTTGGGAGGATGTTTCAGGAGGATCTTTTGAGCCTAGGAGTTCAAGACCAGTCTGGGAAACATAGCAAGACCCTGTCTCTACAAAACAATTTTAAAATTAGCCAGGCATAGTGGCACATGCCTGTAGTCTTAGCTACACAGAAGGCTGGGATGGGAGGATCCCTTGAGCCCAGGAGTTGGAGGCTGCAGTGAGCTATGATCCCACCACTGCACTCCAGCCTGGATGACACAACAAGACTCTGACTTTATTTTGTGTTATTTTATTTTATTTTATTTTATTTATTTATTTATTTTGAGATGGAGTCTCGCTCTGTCGCCCAGGCTGGAGTGCAGTGGCACGATCTCGGCTCATCCCGGGTTCATGCCATTCTCCTGCCTCAGCCTCCTGAGTAGCTGGGACTACAGGCGCCCGCCACCACACCTGGCAATTTTTTTTTTCTTTTGTATTTTTAGTAGAGAGGGGTTTCACTGTGTTAACCAGGATGATCTCGATCTCCTGACCTCGTGATCCTCCCGCCTCAGCCTCCCAAAGTGCTGGGATTACAGTCGTGAGCCACCGCACCCGGCTATTTTATTTATTTTATTTATTTATTTATTTTTTTTTTGAGATGGAGTCTCACTCTGTCACCCAAGCTGGAGTGCAGTGGCATGGTCTCGCCTCACTGCAACCTCTGCCTCTGAGGTTCAAGCTATTCTCCTGCCTCAGCCTCCCAAATAGCTGGGATTACAGGCGTGTACCACCATGCCCAATTAATTTTTGTATTTTTAGTAGAGACAGGGTTTCACCATGTTGGCCAGGCTGGTCTCGAACTCCTAACCTCAAGTGATCCGCCCACCTCGGCCTCCCAAAGTACTGGGATTACAGGCATGAGCCACCATGCCTGGCCGAGACACTGTCTTTAAATAAGTGAATAAGTAAATAAATAAAGTTTCTAGAAGAACTATGATTATCCAAACCTGGATCCCATGCCCAGGTCATGTGCCTAAGAAGAAAGCTTGCTGGGTAGACGCTAAACAATAGCTAATACAATCAGCACAGGTTTAACTTGAGGGAGAATTTATGTCAGCTTAGCTTGTAATTATCATTCTGTTGGCTCTCTATCAGCATTCTATAGCTGTAGTGTTCCCTTTCCCTGGTCACCTTCATATCATGCCCCTGTCTTCCACTTTGCCATAACATCACCTCTCTGAGGTTCACTGGGTTTCCCATTGGGAAGAAAAGTTCCCTGGCTTTGGCTGAGCGCGGTGGCTCACGCCTGTAATCCCAGTACTTTGGGATGCCGAGGCGGGCAGATCACCTGAGGTCAGGAGTTCGAGACCAGCCTGACTAACATGGAGAAACCCCATCTCTACTAAAAATACAAAATTAGCCAGGCGTAGTGGCGCATGCCTGTAATCCCAGCTACTCAGGAGGCTGAGGCAGGAGAATCGCTTGAACTCAGGAGGCAGAGGTTGCGATAAGCCAAGATTGCACCATTGCACTCCAGCCTGGACAACGAGAGGGAAACTCCATCTCAAAGAGAAAAAAAAAGAAAAGTTCCCTGGCTCTTACAGCCACACTGGCTGGCTTTTTTTTCTGTCATGCCCTCTCACTACATCAGACTGTCATGCTTCAAAGGCCACTCCCAAATATCATTATCATTTTTCACTATCCTTCCAGCAGCAACTATCTAGGCAATTGTCACTCTATTAACTGTGTTTCTCCCTCTTTTCCAGTACTTCCCCCACTTTTTTTTCTTAAAATCAAACTCAATTTTCCAAGGGTCCCTTTTCCTAGAAATTACCTCCCAGGACCAACACTACAGAAATAATACAATAGATCAGGAGACCTCATAACAAATAGACCAATGAGGTTTCTGCATTGTTGGCATTATCCAATGGGAAAATGTGTGAGACTTGGGTCCTCTGCTTTGGTTCCTGTTTAGCTTTCATCTTTAATACGTCCTTAGAATGCTTTTGGCTACAAGCATAGAAAATTCAAAAGTGTAAATAATAAAGAAATTTATGGTCCCACATAAATGTCAGGATTAAAGGTAGAGAGTTCCAGAGTTGGTTAATTTTTTTTTTTTTTTTTTTGAGACAGAGTTTGTTTCTGTCACCCAGGCTGGAGTGGAGTGGTGAGATCTTGGCTCACTGCAGCCTCAACCTCCTGAGCTCAAGTGATCCTCCCACCTCAGCCTCCCCAGTAGCTGGGACCACATGCACATACCAGCACGCCCTGCTAATTTTGTAGTTTTTGTAGAAACGGGGTTTCGCTATGTTGCCGAGGCTGGTCTTGAACTCCTGGACACAAGCAGTCCAACTTGCTTTGGCCTCCCAAAGTGCTGGGATTACAGGTGTGAGCCACTGCGCCCACCCCCAGAGTTGGTTAATTTAGTGACTCATTCACGTAGAAGATCCAGATTCCTTTTCATCTCTCCCCTCTGCCATCTTTGGTGTATCATCTGGGCCATTGGCCAACTCCTCTCACGGTGGCAAGATGGCTTGCTGAACTCCAGGTATCACCAACACACATGGCCACAACACTGAGAAGCAGAAAATAGGAAATTTCTTTTTTTTTTTTTTTTTTATTGATCATTCTTGGGTGTTTCTCGCAGAGGGGGATTTGGCAGGGTCATAGGACAACAGTGGAGGGAAGGTCAGCAGATAAACAAGTGAACAAAGGTCTCTGGTTTTCCTAGGCAGAGGACCCTGCGGCCTTCCGCAGTGTTTGTGTCCCTGGGTACTTGAGATTAGGGAGTGGTGATGACTCTTAACGAGCATGCTGCCTTCAAGCATCTGTTTAACAAAGCACATCTTGCACCGCCCTTAATCCATTTAACCCTGAGTGGACACAGCACATGTTTCAGAGAGCACAGGGTTGGGGATAAGGTCACAGATCAACAGGATCCCAAGGCAGAAGAATTTTTCTTAGTACAGAACAAAATGAAAAGTCTCCCATGTCTACTTCTATCCACACAGACCCGGCAACCATCCGATTTCTCAATTTTTTCCCCACCCTTCCCGCCTTTCTATTCCACAAAACTGCCATTGTCATCATGGCCCATCCCCAATGAGCCGCTAGGCACACCTCCCAGACGGGGTCGTGGCCGGGCAGAGGGGCTCCTCACTTCCCAGTAGGGGCGGCCGGGCAGAAGCGCCCCCCACCTCCCGGATGGGGCGGCTGGCCGGGCAGAGGGGTCCTCACTTCCCAGTAGGGGCGGCCGGGCAGAGGCGCCCCTCACCTCCCGGATGGGGCGGCCGGCCGGGCGGGGGGCTGACCCCCCCACCTCCCTCCCGGACAGGGCGGCTGGCCGACCCCCCCCCCCCCCGCCTCCCTCCCGGACGGGGCGGCTGGCCGGGCAGAGGGGCTCCTCACTTCCCAGTAGGGGCGGCCGGGCAGAGGCGCCCCTCACCTCCCGGACAGGGCGGCTGGCCAGGCGGGGGGCTGATCCCCCCACCTCCCTCCCGGACGGGGCGGCTGGCCGGGCGGGGGGCTGACCCCCCCCACCTCCCTCCCGGCCGGGGCGGCTGGCCGGGCGGGGGGCTGACCCCCCCACCTCCCTCCCGGACGGGGCGGCTGGCCGGGCAGAGGGGTCCTCACTTCCCAGTAGGGGCGGCCGGGCAGAGGCGCCCCTCACCTCCCGGACTGGGCGGCTGGCCGGGCGGGGGGCTGACCCCCCACCTCCCTCCTGGACGGGGCGACTGGCCGGGCAGAGGGGCTCCTCACTTCCCAGTAGGGGCGGCCGGGCAGAGGAGCCCCTCACCTCCCGGACGGGGCGGCTGGCCGGGCGGGGGGCTGACCCCCCCCACCTCCCTCCCGGACGGGGTGGCTGCCGGGCGGAGACGCTCCTCACTTTCCAGACGGGGTGGCTGCCAGGCGGAGGGGCTCCTCACTTCCCAGACGGGGTGGCTGCCGGACGGAGGGGCTCCTCACTTCTCAGACGGGGCGGTTGCTAGGCAGAGGGTTTCCTCACTTCTCAGACGGGGCAGCCGGGCAGAGACGCTCCTCACCTCCCAGACAGGGTTGCGGCCCAGCAGAGGCGCTCCTCACATCCCAGACAGGGCGGCGGGGCAGAGGTGCTCCCCACATCTCAGACGATGGGCGGCCGGGCAGAGACGCTCCTCACTTCCTAGATGGGATGGCGGCGGGGAAGAGGCGCTCCTCGCTTCCTAGATGGGATGGCGGCCGGGCAGAGACGCTCCTCACTTTCCAGACTGGGCAGCCAGGCAGAGAGGCTCCTCATATCCCAGACGATGGGGGGGCAGGCAGAGACGCTCCTCACTTCCCAGACGGGGTGGCGGCTGGGCAGAGGCTGCAATCTCGGCACTTTGGGGGGCCAAGGCAGGCGGCTGGGAGGTGGAGGTTGTAGCGAGCCGAGATCACGCCATTGCACTCCAGCCTGGGCACCATTGAGCACTGAGTGAACGAGACTCCGTCTGCAATCCCGGCACCTCGGGAGGCCGAGGCTGGCGGATCACTCGCGGTTAGGAGCTGGAGACCAGCCCGGCCAACACAGCAAAACCCCGTCTCCACCAAAAAAAAAACGAAAACCACTCAGGCGTGGCGGCGCGCGCCTGCAATCGCAGGCACTCGGCAGGCTGAGGCAGGAGAATCAGGCAGGGAGGTTGCAGTGAGCCGAGATGGCAGCAGTACCGTCCAGCTTTGGCTCGGCATCAGAGGGAGACCGTGGAAGGAGACCGTGGAGAGAGGGAGAGGGAGAGGGAGAGGGAGAGGGAGAGGGAGAGGGAGAGGGAGAGGGAGAGGGAGAGGGAGAGGGAGAGGGAGAGGGAGAGGGAGAGGGAGAGGGAGAGGGAGAGGGAGAGGGAGAGGGAGAGGGAGAGGGAGAGGGAGAGGGAGAGGGAGAGGGAGAGGGAGAGGGAGAGGGAGAGGGAGAGGGAGAGGGAGAGGGAGAGGGAGAGGGAGAGGGAGAGGGAGAGGGAGAGGGAGAGGGAGAGGGAGAGGGAGAGGGAGAGGGAGAGGGAGAGGGAGAGGGAGAGGGAGAGGGAGAGGGAGAGGGAGAGGGAGGAAATTTCATCCTGAGTCTATTGGAAAAGCAAGAAACCCTTTCGAGTAGCCTTGCATCAGCTTTCTCTCATGTCTCATGAGACAAAAGTATATCACATGATAATCTGCTAAACTAATCATTGGCCAAAAAAATGCCATGATTGACTTAAACTAATCAAAACTTACCCCTGGGTCAAAGAGTAGACCCATCCCAGTGTGAGGAGCTTGCCAGTGAATACCAGAACAAAACCGGGGGTCAAAGAAGGATGGGAGTGAGGGGGACAGGGGAGGATGGAGTTGGACAAGCAGCCAATTATATTCAATGCACTTCTCTTTAGTTTGTTCCCTCCAACTATAAACTACAGATGGAGAAATTTCAATAAATATGATTTTGCAGGACATGCTTATCAAAATTGTTTAATTAAAAAACAGTGAGACATGCTGGGCGTGGTGGCTCACACTTGTAATCCCAGCACTTTGGGAGGCCAAGGCGGGTGGATCACCTGAGGTCAGGATTTCAAGACCAGCCCGGCCAACATGGTGAAACTCCATCTCCACAAAAATACAAAAATTAGCCGGGCATAATGGCGGGTGCCTGTAATCCCAGCTACTCGGGAGGCTGAGGCGGGAGAATCGCTTGAACCTGGGAGACAGAGGTTGCAGTGAGCCGAGATCGCGCCACTGCACCCCAGCCTGGGTGACAGAGCAAGATTCCGTCTCAAAAAACAAAACAAAAGCAAAAACAGTGAGACACATGCTACAACATGGATGAACCTTGAAGACATTATACTAAATGAAAAAGCTAGTCACAAAACGACAAATATTGTATAACTCCTTTTATATAAGGTTCATAGAGTAGCCAGATTTATACAGACAGAAAGTAGAATGGCTGTTGCCAGAGGGAAGGAGGAGTGGGCAATGGAGAGTTGTTATTTAAGGAGTTCAGAGTTTCAGTTGGGGAGATGAAAAAGTTCTGGAGATAGATGGTGGTGTTGATTGCACAACAATGTGAATGTACTTAATGCCACAGAACTGTATGCTTAAAAATGGCTAAAATAGGCCGGGCACAGTGGCTCACGCCTGTAATCCCAGGACTTTGGGAGGCCGAAGCAGGCAGATCACGAGATCAGGAGATCGAGACCATCCTGGCTAACACAGTGAAACCCCATCTCTACTAAAAATACAAAAAATTAGCCGGGCGTGGTGGCGGGCGCCTGTAGTCCCAGCTACTCGGGAGGCTGAGGCACGAGAATGGCATGAACCTGGGAGGCGGAGCTTGCAGTGAGCCGAGATCCCGCCACTGCACTCCAGCCTGGGCAACAGAGCGAGACTCCGTCTCAGAAAAAAAAAAGGCTAAAATAGTAAATTTTATGTTATGTATATTTTTCCACGATAAAAAATGTTTAATACAATGGTGAGGCTATTTAAGATATAGAGCAAAAAAATTGTGCTAAACTTGAAAAAATTTTCACTAATAACCCTAATGTTGGGCTTTTGGGCTATTTTAATATGTGAGTGACAGCCATTTCCCAGCCTTAGCGATCACTTCTGTCCTACTCATGTGCCATCCTCTCCTCTTTCCTCAGACCCATGGTTGTTTTGACTAAAGCACAAGTCAAAAAATTCCACCCCCAAGGAACGCCCTGCAAGGGAGTCCCCAGCACGGAATGGAATCAACCATGACACCCACTTACCTTTCCCCTTGAAGGTGACCCTCACCTTTCTTCTTTTGTTGTGTAGTCATCCTTTTTCAATACAGCTGGCTATCCCCATATCCACGCCAAGAGCCTTTGGGACCAGGAGGCAGAGAGAGCCAAAGAGAAGCACAAGCACAGAGCACCAGCTGATACTGGCAGCTCTGGAAAAGTCTATTTACTGACAACACATATGTACTCATATGGACTGATCCCTCCGAAGTTTGCAGATGAGGCTAAGCTGTGGGGAGCAGTACAGAGAAGTGGCAGCCGTGTGTCCAACCTCAACACTCATTCATGGAGGGCCAGGTCATTCCACCTGAAGCTACCAAAGCCCCACACCATGTCCAATGCCCAGAGCGAGCAAGAGACCTATCCAATCCCATTACATAACCTTAAAATCAGAGGTCATCTATTCACATTTCAGCTACTCACTCCACACAGTCTTTTCTGAAAAAATCAGAGACTATAAAGACCTTCAACATTGCAACACCCACCACCCCTTTAACTCATGTCCCAGAGCTTAATCACACTATCAGAAAATTTCTCCTTACATGTCATCTTCTGGGATTAAAATAGATTCTAAACAGCCTCCATCAAATTTTGAATGATGTGTGCCCTCCAGTGCACAAACATTAAACATTAGCATTCAGTTCTCTGCGTTGAGCTCCTGATGCCAGGCAAGTGCCCCAGGGCTGCCTCATGGAGTGATTGTCTTTTGCTCAGTGATCCTGGTCAGCCACCTGGAAAAACACTCTGCTGGTTACAGGAAGGAGAACTTACTTCAGTTCTGCCAGCACTGACTGGGTCCCTACTACCTGCCAGGCACTGGGCCAGGGCTGCAGACATGAAGATGAATAATCAACCCCTTCCCTTAGGAATTCTCAGGCCTGGGGGAGAGGCAGACATGAAAACAAACAAGTAGTGTACATTGTGATAAGTTTTGTGCCAGCTGCTGTGGGAGCCCTGATAAGGGATGATTAACTCTGTCTGGGGATTCTCTGGGGAGTCAGAGAAGACTTCACCAAACAGATGTCATTTGAGTGGGGTTTTGAAGGATGACTAGGAGCTTCTCAGAAGGATAAGGCAGGGAAAAGAATTTCAGGCCGAAGGAAGCACACATGGAAAGGCAGAGAGGTGAAGAAGGACATGGTGTGTCTCAGAAACAACTGGCAAGGTAGCAGAGGTCCAGAAATGAGACTGAACGAGTAAAGCCACAGGCAGCTTAATCCCGACCATGACCCCTCCGTGGCCCAGGGAGAAGGAAGGCAAAAACAAATTGAAGTTCTAGTCCTATTGCTGCTGAGTAAGCAACACTATTTTTCTAGATGAAGATGATATCCTTAACTCTTTGTTCCATGAGTGTTCTAGATCTTCTACAAGATTATAATCTGCTAGTGAGAACTGTCTTCTCAAGGGATCCAGGCCTTCTACATTTGGAAAGGCCATTGGACAGGTCATCTGGAATCTTTTGGGAAGCTGCGTTGATTTGAAATGTCATTATTGCTGATTGGAGCTCTGAAGAACCTGCCATTTGACAGAGGAGGGAACCGAGACTCAGAGAGGTGAAGGGGCCACTTGACCTCATCATGGTAGGATGAGCCAGGCCAGCACCCAGCCCTCCTTGCCACCCTCACTGAGCTTCCTGTCCTACCTTTTTTTTTTTTTTTTGAGACAGAGTCTCCCTCTGTCATCCAGGCTGGAGTGCAGTGGTGCCATCTCGGCTCACTGCAAACTCCGTCTCCCAGGTTCAAGCGATTCTCCTGCCTCAGCCTCCCAAGTAGCTGGGATTCAGGCATGCACCACCACGCCCGGCTAATTCTTGTATTTTTAGTAGAGATGAGGTTTTGCCATTTTGGCCAGGCTGATCTCGAACTCCTGACCTCAAGTGATCTGCCTCAGCCTCCGAAAGTGCTGGGATTATAGGTGTGAGCCACCGTACCTGTCCTGTCCTTCCTTTTATCCCCTTAAGGAGCCCAGGTTGGTGCTCTTTTATTCAGTGGATATGTAATAATTCTGGTTATTTCATCCTCTCCAGAAAAAAAAAAAATAAGTGTATGGTTTGGTGGACTTTCTGGAAACTTCCAGAACCAATTCTTCCTGAGTAAGGGCTTATTAAACATGAGCAGGCCGGGCGCGGTGGCTCATGCCTGTAATCTCAGCACTTTGGGAGGCTGAGGTGGGTGGATCATGAGGTCAGGAGTTGGAGACCAGCCTGACCAACGTGGTGAAACCCCATCTCTACTAAAAATACAAAAATTAGCCAGGCATGGTGGCACGTGCCTGTAATCCCAGCTACCCAGGAGGCTGAGGCAGGAGAATCACTTAAACCCAGGAGGCGGAGGTTGCAGTGAGCCAAGATCGCGCCACTGCACTCCAGTCTGGGCAACACAGTGAGATTCTGTCTCAAAGATAAACAAACAAACAAACAAACAAGCATGAGCAAAATGAACTGAAACTTCCCAAGGAACTCTAGGAAAAGCTGGTCTAACACATGAGCCTTACAAATTAGTTTTTTTTCAATCACCTTTCAGTCTACCAAAATTTTTACCAGTCTTAAAATGCTCCCAGTTCTTTTCTGTTTTTTGGGTTTTGTTTTTTGTTTTTTGTTTTTGTCTGTCTGTTTGTTTGTTTGTTTTGAGACAAGGTTTAACTTTGTCACTCAGGCTGGAGTGCTGTGGCACGATCTCAGCCCACTGCAGCCTCAACCTCCTGGACTCAAGCGATCCTCCCACCTCAGCCCCCCAAGTAGCTGGGACTACAGGCATGCACCATCATGCCCGGCTAATTTTTTTGTATTTTTAGTAGAGACAGGGTTTTGCCATGTTGCCCAAGCTGGTCTTGAACTCCTGACCTCAAGTGATCCGCCCACCTCGGCCTCCCAAAGTGCTGGGATTACAGGTGTGAGCCACTGCAGCCGGCCTAAAATGCTCCCAGTTCTTCTCAAAACTCTGCCTCTGATGATGTGAGCTGTAAGGCAGACTAAACTAGGACACGGACACATTTTCAATTTTTCATAAAATATTTGCTTTCCTAGAATCCAGTATCTTTTTAGGCCTCTTTTTTTATCCTTCTGGTGCTAGGCCTAATTTACAAAATGGCTCCCTCATCTCATCCTAATTTGGCTGGCTGCTCTTTGCTAAAGAACTGAGTTTAGGATTTACAACATGAAAACTACAGAGACCCAGGCAGGTCTGAAGAGACAACTTGCTTGTCTTCCTGTGGGGCCCGGCGGCGGCCACCTGCACAGGTGCTGGAAGACTTGCTGCCCTCTAGTGGCTGCATCCTGGGCGCGCAGGAGTACCTCCACTTCGCAAATGAAAAAAATCCTCGTTTTCAGGTTCACCGGCTAAACGTGCTCTGAAAGCATTGTCTTCCCCTCCGAAGACCCATGGAATTTTAGAGCTAAAAGGGAACTTAGTCCATCCCCTACTTTTCTGGTTTCTCGTTTTGTTTTGTTTTGTTTTGTTTTGTTTTGTTTTGTTTTGTTTTGAAGGAGCCTGAGGATCAGAGAGATTGGGTCCTTCAGCTAAGAACCTGCAACAGTTAGAGAAGTAGACAGGAATAGAATCTCCCCGCTACCCCACACCCTTATTAAAAGACAGGGAAGGGAGAGGAAGTCACCATTTGAAATTTAGAAGTACACAAGATGCAAAAGGGTTGTGTACTCGAGTGAGCCAAGTGATCCCAGGGGATCCCGGAGGGTCTGGCTAAAGGCTGAGCTCTCCCCGTCAGCCACTCCCCTGGCCCGCCCCCTCCCCAAACCGCTTCTGCTTCCCCAGGAAGCTACTTTGTAAGTGCACGCAGGCCTCGGATAGGGACCATCTCTCTGCCGCTTTTTGAACTTTCCTTAGGTCAAGGACACTGCACTCCAGTGTAGATCTAGATTTTTGTCCAAATTTCAACCTAAAGTAATTCACTCCCCCACCCCCGCCATTGGGCCTCGGTTTACTCATCTGTCAAATGAGGGAGTTGGATCGGATGCTTTCTAAGGTTTCTTTTAGCAGTGGTAGTTTATGATTGTCTGCCTCTTGGCATACAAGTGTCAATGAAAAGAGACAAACTATAGAATATTTGAAGAGATTTATTCTGAGTCAAATATGAGGGACCAATGGCCTGTGACATAGCACTCAGGAGATCCTGAGAACATGTGCCCAAAGTGGTCAGGCCACAACTTGGTTTTACACATTTTAGGGAGACATAAGGCATCAATCAGTACATGTAAGCACCCAGCTGATTCCAAGTCTTTAGACAGTAACTTAACTCTTTCAACCAATTGCCAGTCAGAAAAGCTTTGAATCTACCTATGACCTGGAAGCTCCCCCAACCCCCTTCCAGTTGTCCCACCTTTCTTTACTAAACCGATGTACATCCTTACATGTACTGATTGATGCCTTATGTCTCCCTAAAATGTGTAAAACCAAGTTGTGGCCTGACCACCTTGGGCACATGTTCTCAGGATCTCCTGAGTGCTATGTCAGGAATCAATAGAATTAGAATCAATAGAAAGGAATATCTGAGTCAAGATAAGGGATTGTGAGACCAACCTTCTATCATACAGATGAAGCCTCCAGGTAGCAGGCTTCAGAAACAATAGATTGTAAATGTTTCTTATCAGACTTAAAGAGTCTGTTCCATCAGTAATTCCAAAAGGGATGAGGGTTATGATGAGGTATGTCCAGCTCCTGCTTCTAATCAGGACCTGAACTAGTTTTTCAGGTTAACTTTGGAATGCCCTTGGCTGAGAAGACGGGTCCATTCAGATAGTTGGGGAGGCTTAGATTTTTATTTTTGGTTTACACCAGTGTCTGGTGGCACTACTAGACTGGTGGCAACTTGAGAGCAGAGTCTGTGTATCTTTTCCTCTTCACATCCTCAAAGCCATGCCCTATATCTTCTCTGACATTGAATGCTAAAAAAAATTATTTATTTAGTTATTATTTATTTATTATTTGTTTTTGAGATGGAGTTTCACTCTTGTTGCCCAGGCTGGAGTGCGATGGCGTGATCTCAGTTCACTGCAACCTCTGCCTCCCAGGTTCAAGCAATTCTCCTGCCTTAGCCTCCTGAGTAACTGGGATTACAGGCACATGCCACCACACCCAGCTAATTTTTGTATTTTTGGAAGAGATGGGGTTTCACCATGTTGGCCAGGCTGGTCTTGAACTCCTGACCTCAGGTAAAATGCCCGCCTCGGCCTCCCAAAATGTTGGGATTATAGGCATGAGCCACTGTGCTGGGCCAAAAAATACTTATTGACAATTATTAACATATTTAGCATGTGCTACATGCCAAACGTGCCACATAGGATCCCCTCATATGGCTTTGTGCTGGCCACTGCCACACCCATGAGATTGTCAGGCATGGCACTAAGCACAAGTGCTCTGGAATCGAATCACCTATGACCTAGAACTGGTTTGACACTTTCTACCTGTGCATCCTTGGACAAGTGACTTACTATGTCTCAATCCCTCATCTGTAAAATGGGGATTAAATGACAGTGCATGTAAGCACTTGGTAAATGTTCTTATTAGATAGGCATTATTATTTTGGTTTTATAGATTAGGAAATTAAGGCTTAGAGAGCTTAAATAACTTTTCCAAACTAGTATGGCCAGTAACATATCTAAGATTATGAGCAAGATCCAAAGCCCATGCTAACTCCTTAAACTCTATGCTACACTATTCCCCTATTGTTGAATGACTGAATACAAGAACAAGTGAATGAATGCATGAATAAGATTATTTATTGCTGATGGCAATGATAATAGCTGGCATTTGACTCTCCCGTAAGGAGGATATTGGTCCCAGAATCTGTCTCTTCCTCATTCCCTAGGGCCAACTAAGAAAGAAAATGAAAACAATAATTTAAAAAAAAAAACAAACAGAAATGCCTCTTTATGATGAAAAAAATACAGGTTTCTTCTAAATCAGGGCTGTTCAATCTTTTGACTTCCCTGGGCCACAATGGAAGAAGAAGAATTATCTTGGACTACACATAAAATACACTAACACTAACAATAGACAATGAGCTTAAAAAAAACTGCAAAAGAATCTCAATGTTTTAAGAAAGTTTACAAATTTGCATTGGGCCACATTCAAAGCCATCCTGACGCGGCCCAGGATGGCTTGATTGAATAAACTTGTTCTAAATCAGTAAGCACGTATTAACCATCTACTTTGTGGCACTATTAGGGCTAGGCACTGTGGAATTAGAGATATCCCTGACCTTTAAAAGCTTGCAGTCTCTCTGGGGAAACAAACACATGCAAAGTCCGAATTATAATGGAAGACAGTACATTATGACATCCTACAACAGGGTAATACAGATGATCTGTGTTGAGCAGAAAGGGAACACAACACAGGCTTGAGAATTCTGGGAGGGCTTCACGAAAGAGAACACAGGTTAAGTCTTGAAGAATGAGGAACTTTCTTTGATGTTATCTTTCATTATTTCCTCTCCTTTTCTCCTACACCAGTTGGTCAGTCACCAAGGCCTATCAGTTCTTTCCCAGTGACTCTCACACCACCAGTCCCTTTCTTTCCAGTCCAGTGGCCATTATCGCAGTTCAGCCCCTCATTGCTTCATGCCTGGAGGTGCCCTAACATCTATTACTTGTTTCCTTGCTGCCAGCCTTTACCTTTTCAATCCATGCTCTTTGCCTCTTTGGGATTAGCCTTCTTATTTTATCATGTCACTCTAGTGATTCATTCATTCCAACTTCTCTTCAACTAATATTTATTGTGCATCTACTATGTGCCAGGGGCCACTCTTCTAGATACTAGGGATTCAGTGTTGAACAAGACAGGCAAGAAAAATCCCTGCCTTGACAGAACTTACATACTAGTTTAAACAAAAACAAACAAAAACCTCTAATGGAGACCTTTCACTTTAAAGATTAGAGTCCAGGCTGGGTGTGGTGGCTCATCCCTGTAATCCCAGCACTTTGGGAGGCCGAGGCAGGCAAATCACTTGAGGTCAAGAGTTCAAGACCAGCCTGGCCAACGTGGTGAAGCCCTGTCTCTAAAATTACAAAAATACAAAAATTAGCCAGGCATGGTGGTGCGCACCTGTAATCCCAGCTACTTGGGAGGCTGAGACAGGAGAATCGTTTGAACCAGGGAGTAGGAGGTTGCAGTGAGCTGAGATTACACCACTGCACTCCAGCCTGGGTGACAAAGCAAGACACCGTCTCAAACATAAAATAAAATAAAGTAAAAATAAGAATAAAGATTAGAGTCCAGACTCTTCCCAGAAGGCCCACTCCATTTGTCTCTCCTTGCCCTCTTGCCACTTTCCCAAAGGTCTCTTCAGCTGGGCTCACCATCCCCCACATATGCCACATTCATTTCCAACTCAAGCTTTCTTCCTGCCGATCTACCTGCCCAAATCCTTCGGAGCCTAGTTCTAGCTCCACAGCCTCTCCACCCTTCTCTCATATTAGCATTTCACATGTTCCATGACTATTCACCTATTTCACATGCTGCTGTTTTTCTCCCATCCATCTGACAAGTGCAAACTTCTGGAAGGCTACAACCCTGTTCTATATTTTCCATCCAGACATCCCCTACGGTACCTGGCTCAATATCATGCAAATAATAGGTTCTTTCTCTTCCTCCTCCTCCTCTTTTTCCACCTAACAATAACAAGTAACATCTGTGAAGCACTTTACAAAAGTGTTTTCAAATACATTATCTTGCATAAGCTATACAATACCCTTGATTCGATTATCAGTAAATATTTAATGGATTAATAGGTCAAAAGAGGAAGGCATTGCTGGTAAAAGAAATAACACCAGCAATTGTACAAAGACAGGAATGATCCCAGTATGTGCAGAAGGCAGTGAGAACACAGCCTAGCTGGAGAGAGAGTAAACACTCTAGAAAATTTAGATAAAAGAATAAAGGTAACAGAAGACAAAAACAAAGGCAAAACCCACCCCGCTAACATGATTAGCATTTAGGTATATTTATTTCTAGGCTTTCCAGAAACATTTTGTTTTGCAAAGCTGTCATAAATGTTCATAAAATTTTGTGTCCTACTTTTTTCATTTAACATTCTAAGCACTGCTCCCTGATGCGACATAGTCTTCATAACAGCCATTTGTAGTGAATGCATAATGTCCCAGAGTGACTGCATCCTCATTTACTTACCCATTTCTCTATTGTTGGACACATGTTGTTTCCCATTTTATATGATTATAATAAGCACTGCAACAAACCTCTTCTGCAGAGAGAAGAAATGAAAAGAAGCTGGGTATTTGGTGAGACCTCAAGCTTCTCTATGCAGGCTCACTTGAGTCTAAAGTGTCTCTGAACTTTTCTGTCACCTCAACCAGAAACACTGGTCCTTTGTTGTTTAAACCAATTGCAGTCACATTTTCTCCAACTTTTAGCCCATGTTATCCTACCTAACACAAGATGTTTGAGGGCAAGAGCAAAGTTGTATTGTTCGCTGCTGTGTCCCTACCTGAATCCTTGGTCAAAGACACGGTGGCCTGTAGAGAGCAGGAGCTTAATAAATATGTGCATTAAAAATAATACGAATTTATTTACTTATTTTTGAGATGGAGTCTCGCTCGGTCACCCAGGCTGGAGTGCAGTGCCACAATCTCAGCTCGCTGCAACCTCTGCCTCCTGGGTTCAAGCGATCCTCCTGCCTCAGCCTCCTGAGTAGCTGGGACTACAGGCACGCACCACCACGTCCAGCTGATTTTTGTATTTTTAGTAGAGACAGGGTTTCATCATGTTGGCCAGGATGGCCTCGAACTCCTGACCTCAGGTGATCCACCCACCTTGGCCTCCCAAAGTGCTGAGATTACAGGCGTGAGCCACCACGCCTGGCCAGAATATGAATTTTTTGATGAACTATTCTTTTCCTGACCACTGATCTAGTAAAATCTTAGTAATTGTATCAATTTGTTTGAGCTGATCAATAAAAATGTTGCCTGTTCACCACATTTGTCACTAATAATTCTTCATTCTTTGGGCCTTTAGTTTAATTCAGAAATTTTACATTTTTATGAACTAAAAATATGTTCCTTCATGACCTTCAATACTAACATTCTAAATGTATTTCCTTTTGGATTTGATATTCAATTTTATTTTCTTGTAGTTTTTCTACAATTTGTAATATTTAATTAATTTATATAGAATTTAGGTATGCTGTTTAGTTTCTTTTTCCCAATTATTATTCTTATTATTTTGAGATGGAGTCTCACTCTGTTGCCCAGGATGGAGTGCAGTGTCACGAACTTGGCTCACTGCCACGTCTGCCTTCTGGGTTGGAGCAATTCTCCTGCCTCAGCCTCCTGAGTAGCTGGAATTACAGGTGTGCACCACCATGCCTGGCTGATTTTTGTATTTTTAGTAGAGACAGGGTTTTGCCATGTTGGCCAGGCTAGTCTTGAACTGACCTCAGGCGATCCACCCTCCTCGGCCTCCCAGGGTGCTGGGATTACAGGCATGAGCCACCGCGCCCAGCCTTTTCCCAAATTTTTAACCAACTGTTCAAATACCTTTTTCCCCGTTAAGTTGCAATGCTGCTTTTATCCTTTTTAAATGCTTATACTGTATAATTGAGTCTATTTCTGCCTAGCTAGTCTCTTAAATTGATGTATAAGCTATATAATGTTTTGCTATTTGCCAAGGCTAATAATCCTCCCAAATTAGCTCTGCCTTCCAAATTTTCTTTACCATTTTCCCATTTATTCTTCCAGATGAAATTTTAAAATAATTATATCCAGTTCTAAAAAGACTCTATTGAATTACAATGTAACTCACTGTAATTACACAAAGCCTAAAAATAAAGAATTGACATCTTTACAATTTTAATTTTCCATCCAGGAAAATTTTTCTTCATTGTTTTCCCATCTTTCTCCACAAAATGTGGTCATTTTCTTCACATAGGTCATTGACATTTCAAATGAAGCTTATGCCTAGGTATTTTCTATCTCTTGTTATATTTTATGTTGTTTTCTAATTGAGATACTGCTGGTGTGTGTAGGAAAACTTGCTACTTGCCAAGACAGCCCACCCTCCTCGAATTGTCAATGGATTCTTTTGTTTCTTGGCTATCTCCCTGCAACCACCCCACACCATCCAGATTCTGCCCTCTGGAGCAAAACTGCTGCTGCTCCTCCCAAGAGACCAACCTTCATCTTTTTGGAAACTGCTATCATCCTCCTTTTGTCCTGGCTAAATAGCCCTGACTGACAGAAAGAACACTGCATTCCAGGAAGATTCAAATGACAGTGGTGGGGAGGGTAGATGTGGGGCAGGTAAGAGGCTAGAGGTAGAGATCAGCAAGGACTGGCTTCAGTGGTCATCTAGGCTTCAAGAGATGAGTTGAGACTGTCAACATGGGAAGGCACACTTCTGAAATATATTCTTTTTTTTTTTTTTTTTTTTTTTTTTAGCAGAGTCTCGCTCTGTCTCCCAGGCTGGAATGCAATGGCGCAATCTCAGCTCACTCCTGGGTTCAAGCGATTGTCCTACTTCAGCCTCCAAAGTAGCTGGGATTACAGGCGTGCGCCATCACACCCAGTTAATTTTTGTATTTTTAGTAGAGATGGGGTTTCGCTGTGTTGGTCAGGCTGGTCTTGAACTCCTGACCTTAGGTGATCTGCCCGCCTTGGCCTCCCAAAGTGCTGGGATTACAGGCATGAGCCACCACGCCCAGCCCCTGAGAGATATTTCAACAGAGGAAACGTGAGGACCTGTTGACAAACTGGATATAAGGGATAAAGGGACAGGGAGCAGTTTGGAAGGAAGTCCATTTTGGACCTCGATCCTGAGATTACAATACAGCCAAGGACAGAGGTCTGTCCTCTAAGCCAGTGTTCTTCAGATTTGTTCCCACAGTAAGAAATATATTGTACATAGCAGGCCAGTTCACACACAAGCACATATGGACAGATATAAAACAGACACAGGGCCGGGCGTCATGGCTCACACCTGTAATCCCAGCGCTTTGGGAGGCCGAGGAGGGCAGCTCACCTGAGGCCAGGAGTTCAAGGCCAGTCTGGCCAACAGGGTGAAACCGTGTTTCTACTAAAAATACAAAAATCAGCCAGGCATTGTGGCACACACCTGTAGTCCTGGCTACTTGGGAGGCTGAGGCAGGAGAATTGGTTGAACCTGGATAGCAGAGGTTGCAGTGAGCCAAGATCATGCCACTGCACTCTAGCCTGGGTGACAGAGTGAGACTCTGTCTCAAAAAAATAAATAAAATAAAAACAAAACATACATAGGAGGATAAAATTCCTGCAGACATATACAAGTTTGGGCCTGGAATCCTAGTGGGAGGAAGGGCTGGGTGTGTAATCAGCACTGAATTGATAGATTAAGTCACGAGTACTCATGACTTCCTTTCCCTCAGCTGTCTGAGGTCCTGTGGTCTAAGACTTGGCGACCAACACCTTTTAGGAAATTAATTATCCTGCTACTATCTACCCTCAATTCTGTGTCTCAGGGGGCTCCAGGAGAAGAGAAATTCCAGCAGAAAGGCCACACACATTTTGTGTTTAAAGTAGGTCTCACTGCTACAGAGCATGCTGTGCTAGAAATTACCTTTAAGAAACATCTTTATCTTCAGCCTGGGTATGGATTTTCCTTGGAGAAAGAGGGAATAGAGAATATTTAGGTCTCCAACTTTGGAGTTTCAAGGCCATCCTGCTTAGAACTTGGACAGGGAAGACAGGAAACAATTTCTCCTTGCAAAGCTAAAGTCTTAAACTGAAATATGAAAAAAGAGGCCAAGGGCCCTAGGCTAACACCTGTTGTTGAGTCATAGCCTGAAGGAGCTCAGGCCCAAGCGCAGTGATGCTTGGCTCTCAGGAATGAGGAAGCCAGGGGATTATTAGAGGCCCTGCAGAAAACAGCAACACACACTAAAAAGCTGGTTAAAGAGGGAAAGCTGCTTGCTTTTCCAACCCAAAGGCTGTTACCCTCCTCAAATTAAGTTGCTTTTCTTTTGTGTGTGTGTGTGTGACGGAGTCTTGCTCTGTCGCCCAGGCTGGAGTGCAGTGGGCGATCTCTGCTCACTGCAACCTACGCCTCTGGGGTTTAAGAGATTCTCCTGCCTCAGCCTTCTGAGTAGATGGGACTACAGGCACCCGACACCACACCTGGCTAATTTTTTTATTTTTTGGTAGAGACGGGGTTTCACTGTGTTGGCCAGGCTGGTCTCAAAACTCCTGGCCTCAAGTGATCCGCCCACCTCAGCCTCCCAAAGTGCTGGGATACCAGGCGTGAGCCACTGCGCCCAGCCTAATTAAGTTGCTTTAACTCCTGCCATGTCAGAGCACCTTTCCTTTCCAAAGTGGAAACACTTCCTAGTGGGACATATCATAGCAAAAGGTACGTTTAAATAGAGATGAAAATGAGCCAATCAATTCTTGGCCTTAGAAATTTAGTTTGAAAAAGGTTCCAATGCACCATTTGGTTGAAATACTGTGTCACTGCCAGGCTTTTTTCTGTGCAGGGGAAAGAACAGACGAAGATGGGGAAGATGGGGCAGTTGTTCGGCAGGCAGGGTGCTGCTGCTTCTTTTCCCGTGCTGGGCTGACGCTCCAGGTTTACAGGACGCTGTTGATGACGGCTGCATGTCTGAGCAGCTCTCAACACCCAGCTCAAAGAAACAGGCCTTCATGGCAGAGGTCCCAGGGAATCAGACTCTATCCTCCCTCCACAAAATATTAAGGCAGCACAGAGGAGTTGGCTTAAAAATGACAAAACATAGGCAATAAACAGGCCACTAAAGCCAAGAGCCTTACTCGCCACACCTTTTCTTTAGGCCCTGAACACCATCTCATTCTCCTCCAGTTCCCCATTCTCCGTCTCTAATTGACAAGATCACCAAGATACAAACTGTATTTCCCTGACTACATTCCCTTTCCAAACCTGTGCCCCCCGCTCCCCTGTGTCATGCCCCTACTCTCTTTGGTTGTGGCATAACTAAACTCTAGGAAATATACACCAGTGGCATGTTTTTGTCCAAGGACTCTCTTAGACCCCTGGTTCGAGTCTCTGGAATGCCTCCAGACTGCTCCATTATCTGCAACCCAAATCTTGGTTCCTCCCACTGAGCACAGGAGGCCCGGCGGGAGCCTCCCTTTCATGTATGGCAGCACACTCACTCCAGTATTCCTCCAGCCCTGTGAGTCTTCTTGGCACCTTGGTCAACCCCGCCCTGCTTCCACCCTGTTAATATTCTAAGAGCAAGTACAGTCTAGATCTAGCCATGCCAAACAAGACTGCCAGAGAAAGAAGAGAGCCACGGGTGTCAGAAGACAAATCCGGGTCTGCAAAGGAAAGAGGTTTCCAATGTGTTTGAAGCCTGTGGTGTGAATTGGCTGAGAAGCAGGAGAAGGGGGAAGAAATCAGAGAAAAATGTACACTCTTTCAATTGAAGAAGAGAAATGGGAGCTAGAAAGGAAACAAGCCAGGGATGAGGGGTTGTTGTGTTTCTGGTTTCTTTGGCCCAGAGAAGATTCATGTAAATTCAGCTATGTCCCCATTTGGCCCTGCAGTCAACTGCCTTCTTGGCAGAAAGGAAAAAAAAAATCATGAGACTAATTGAATGATGCCCAGAGACAGCCAGAAACGAACCCCCTTGAACAGCTGCAGTCAGCATTTCCAGAGTGCTTTTCATTTCTGCAGAAGGCATGCAGTTACTCATCTACCTCCAGTGCTGCTGTTCTATCTCTATGTAATCACAGGACTCTACCTCTATCTCTTCCAAATGAGACACAATGCGGCCAGGCTTAGGGATCCTACAAGGCCATTGCTCCAGAGAGGGTCAAAGCTAAAGTTAGGGGCTGCCTCCTACAATCACGACTCAGAGCACGGAGGTGAGCTTCTTCTAATACCTCTATAAATGCCACAAAGTCCTCATATCATGGCATTTGGGATGTTTGGACCACACCTCCCACATGTGGATAACAGGGTGCCCATCTTCCAAGAAGCACTAAAATGTTCTTCTTTCATCCTCCCTGAAAAGTGAAAGGAAACCAGACCAGGAGGTCAAAGAGACACATTAATATAATTTATTAAATTCGCCATACAAAGAATATGCCACAGACAACAATATCAGAAAGGGAAGAAACATGGATATCACCTGCTCTGACCCCCTCATTTTACAAATGAGGGAACTCCCTGAAATCCCAGAGCATTGTTATGGACAAAGCCAGAATGTGAGCCCAGTCTTGAGACACAGAAACACACAGACTTAAGGATTCTGGCTGCGTGAGCCACATAGAGCCTAAACACTTAATCCACATTTGTTTTGAATTTTTCTGATTCCTATAGTACCATACTCTGATGCCTATCTACTTCTCAAGGTTGTAGGAAGAGCCCTAAAGAAAAACACCATGGGCCGGGCGCAGTAGCTCAAGCCTATAATCCTAGCACTTTGGGAAGCCGAGGTGGGTGGATCACCTGAGGTCAGGAATTCGAGACCAGCCTAGCCAGTATGGTGAAACCCCATCTCTACTAAAAATACAAAAATCAGCCAGGCGTGGTGGCACACCTGTAGTCCCAGCTACTCGGGAGGCTGAGGCAGAAGAATCGCTTAAATCCGGGAGGCAGAGGTTGCAGTGAGCTGAGATCGCGCCACTGCACTCCAGCCTGGGTGACAGAGTGAGACTCTGTCTCAGAAAAAAAAAAAAACAATAAAAAAAGAAAACCATGATGACCTGCAGGGTCATTCAGAGCCAGGATAAAAGACCAATTATGGAGCAAGGGGTTCAGAAGGGCTAGTGAAGAACTCATCTGGGTCCCAGAAGAGTCCTGATTGCCCTCTTTCTCCAAACAACATATACTCTGACCCCAAAGCCTCAGGGAAAGTAGACTCACCTTCCTTAGCTGCAGAGCAAGTTTGAAGGAGAAAGAGAGAAGAAACAGGCAGAGGAAAGGGAGAGAAAGATTCATAATAGTGTCACTCTGACATTAACAAGCCTAATGGGAACAGTTTTCCCGGTTTCAAGCAAATCCAAATACTGCAAGAGAAGGCTATAGAACTTTGGTATTATATCAATCATGAGATGTAAGCAAAACCACCAATAACTTAGCAAAATAAATACAAAGAGGATTTTGCTGGGACTGGTGGAACCCAGTGAAAACAGTTTTCAGGCTCTGGGTCAAGAAGACTGAGGTGTGCCTGGTGGTACACCTTAGGGAAAATCCCTAAAGAGACTCTGGGAGTTTTCACAGCAGAGAGAAGTCACACATGACTGTCTGTAGCCCTAGAGAATTTTTCCGCAAAAGGCTACTCCCTGAATGTACATTCCCTCCTCCCCAGAAAGACAAGGCCACCCAGTCAAAGCTTAGGTTCACTGGCTCTCACCAGGCCTTGCCAGGTAACCCCACTATCTGTCTGCAGGAGGCCAGGGCAGCGTAGGCTGCAGATGGAGCAAGTAGAAAAACAAACAGTTTGTTGCTAAGAACTGAGCTGTGTTTGTGGAAGGAACTTCATTCCCCCAGGACATTCTCCAATCACTCTGGACATCTGTGTCTCCAGCTTTTAGGGCTGAGGCAAATCTTGTCACCTCTCCCAATCTGATGAAGGCCTGGCTTATGGCACAGCCAGAGTCCAGTCTACAACAGAAGGGAGGCTCTCTACAGAGAAAAATAGTCACTGTAGGAATATAGATATTGCCCTGGCTCCTGCTTGCAGGACAATGTCTTCCAAAGGGCTGCAGTGCCTTGAATAGGTGCTCGTGCTCCGTCTGCCCAGCTTAGAGTGGCCAGGGGCTTGGGAATGGTGAGACACAGGAGCCCGAAGTCCTGGGTGCAGCCAGGGGACAGTCAGGAAGTCAAAGGCAGTGTTAACAGCCAACAGGGGCAGTGGGCTTCTCCGAGGCAGAGGCAGCAGCAATGGCAGCAACCATCTCCAGGCAGCTCAGGTTTCCACCACTCGGATGACAGGCATGGGCTTCGGGCTAGGCGGCTTGGATATCCTAATACTGAAAAGAAGGTTGGAAACACTGAGTTGTGCTGGGAACAGCTGTGTTGTGGCCCACCCTTCACAGAGCCCCTGGAATCTTCACATTGGCCTCTGGAATCTTACACTGCAGTGCTGGCTGATCACTTGGGTTCCAAGTGCTTTAAAACAGTAATTATCAGTGACAACTAGGGGAAGATTTGGGGCATGATACATGTGTCTTGTAGCAAGGGTGAAGAAAAGAGAGGGGCAGTTAAACAACTGAGAAGTGGATATAGCTGTGATTCTCGATTTTGTCAAGATCATGGGTCCTTTTCTGAATCTCTTAGAGGCAAAATACCCTCTCCCTAGAAATATGCAAACATTATAACTAAATTTTTCCTACCATTTCAGGTGGTTCATACATCTCTAGAAGCCATTCATGGACCTCCCTGGGCTTGTGTTAACAGGTTCTACTCTAATTGGGCTAGAAAATGGTTCCGGCAAACAGTGGGTCAGACTGAGGGAGGAAAGTTGGATTTAAAGGAGCCTTGTTCTTGCCTTAGCACTAAAGGTTCTACAGAGCTCTGTCCCTCCTTCTCCCCTCCTCCCTGGCCCCATTCTATCTACACACGCTCACTCACCTGCCCGGGTTCTCTGTCTTGGCCCGGGCCTGGGTGCTGAAGTTGCCATGACTGATTTGTTTTTCTATCAGGTGTTCCATCCGGTCATGCATCTCTAAATTCTGTAACACAAGCTTAGGGGTTAGAGTTGGCCTTTTTCTGGCTTCCCGGGTGCCACGTTCAGCTAGTGCATTCTGGTCTCTCTGCCTGTGTTTATGCTGCTGTTGCCTCTACCCCCACCATGCGTGCCACCACCTGGATACCCACTTGCCTCATCTTCATTACCATAGATTGCGCTTATCCTCCAATACCTGCTCCTCCATAACTCTGTACAACACTGACAGACTGATGGTTTCCTATATGTCCTCTACATACAGTTCTTTTTTTTTTTTTTTTTTTTTTGAGATAGGGTCTCACTCTGTTGCCCAGGCTGGAGTGCAGTGGCGTGATTATAGCTCACTGCAGCCTCGACCTCCTGGGTTCAAGTGATCCTCTCCTTTAAGTCTCCCAAGTAACTGGACTACAGATGCATGCCACCACATCTGGTTAATTAAAAAAATTTTTTCTTTTTCAGAGACAAAGTCTCACTATGTTGCCTAGGTCTTGAACTCCTGGCCTCGAGCAATCCTACCGCCTCAACCTCCCTAAGTGCTGGGATTACAGGCATGAGCCACTGCACCTGGCCCCTATATATAATTTTTTGTCCTCAGTTGAGATACTCACTTGCCTTTGTTGATACGCTATTCTATAAAGCATTCTTTGGTCTTTTTAAAAATACACATTTTATCTCTGACTATAGACTGCAAACTCTCTAAAGATAACCCTTTCTCCCATTTTTCTCCCTCACTACAGGGGATCTTCACAGAGCGTTCGCAAAGTGATCTTCAGGTAGTCAACAGACAGGTAGGGCCCTGTGGCAAAGTGGAAATTAGACTAGGAAGGCAACTCGTTACGTAATCTAGCCCTGGAAAAGGCTCCATCTGTATGAATGCCTCCTCCTCCTTCACAGCCCAGCACCACTGCCAGCTCCTTTGCAAAGCCTGGAGGGTCAGAATTAGCCGTGTGCAGCCATGGCATGTGGCTTGCACCATGATGACATGTCCGTTGAAGGTGGGGCCAGGGGGGTGGTCATCTCATCATTGTTAGCAGCTTCCTGAAGGTTCTCAGAAAATGTTTATTCAGCTGAACTGAAAGTCAACCAACCACCCTAGGTATTCACTTCAGAGCAACAGCAAGACATGACAAAGACCCCTCCCATAACCTCTGTCTCCCTTATGTCCACCTTCTCTTCAAGAGTCCTGTTCCCCTGCTGGGCTGCCCAGCACACACACCTCTGCCTCCAGATAGGCGATTTTCTCCTTGAGCTCCTGGATGGTGGCGTCCTTTGACTGGATCACAGCTTTTGAATTCTGGAGCTGCAAAGGTGTGGGAGACACTGGAGCTCATTTTGCAATGACTCATTACACACTCACCAGACTTCACCCCAGCTGCTGGGGAAGGCAGCAGAGCCCTGCAACTCCATATGACTTCATTAGCTTTTCTACAAAGGCCTCCTTTCAGTCAATATTAGACTCTTGATTATCCCAGGGGTGGGAGTGAGGAGTGTGTGAGGGGAATACCACCCTGAGAATCCAAAATAATGAATGACAAAACCCATTCCATATGGCTTTGGAAAATACAAATTATTTTTTCATTCAAGACATATTTATTGAGTACTTACTATATGACTGACTCTGTTCGAGATAATGGAAAACAGCACTAAATAAAACAGACACTAATGGAGCTGACATGAAGCACATACAGCCTCCCAGTTATGGGGCCTTAGGCTCTCAAAACAATTCTGCAAATAGACAAATCCTAAGTATGCTACCCTCAAGCTCAGGTGGGGTAAGGCAGGAAAGCAGCCATGAGGCTCAAAGACTGATAATCTGCACAGATAACAGAGTTTATTATGACTCAACTACTCATTTACCCACACTCTTCACAGAGTATATGACAAATTAACCTTTTCCTTCCTTTCCTATTGGAAAGCAGAGGCCAAATGGCAAACAAACAAACAAAACAGTAGGGGAAAGATGGGAGAAAAGCAAATCCTAATAACCTGAACCTGGTAATTGGTAGCTATAAATGTTTGACATGGGAAATGCATGAATATAAGTCAAGCTCCCTAGGAAACAAATAAGAGCATAGACTTGGGGTGACTCCCCGAGGGCAGGTTACAAACCAGCCCAACTTACCTGCTCTATCATTTGCCGGACTTTCCGCTGCTGGCTCTTGAGCATGTCATCCAAGTGGTGGATCTTCTCCCGCAACCCGGCCACTTCCTTTTCCAGGGTAGCAGCCCTGGGGATAAAGACCAGAAGGCTGAGGCAATGGAACAAGATCACTTATTTACCCAGTCACAGGAAGAGCCTTGAGCTTGGGAGGTTCCCATTAATATGATTCCCTTTGCCTGATTCCCTGGTAGGCTGCTCTGAAGAGTAGGTGGTGGGTACCTTAGAATATCACATTGGAAGCACTGAGGTCAGGAGTTCAAGACCAGCCTGGCCAACATAGTGAAACCCCACCTCTACTAAGAATACTAAAATTAGCCAAGTGTGGTGGCGTGTGCCTGTAGTCCCAGCTACTCAGGAGGCTGAGGCACAAGAATCGCTTGAACCCAGGAGGCAGAGGTGGCAGTGAGCCAAGATGGCGCCACTGCACTCCAGCCTGGGTGACAGAGCAAGACTTTGTCTCACAAAAAAAAAGAATATTACATTGGAAGCATCATCAGGGATCACCTAGTCTAAGAGAGGAAACTGAGGCTCGGAAAGGTTAGAAGGGATAAGTCATTCTGGATAACTCTGGAGGGTAAATCTAGAAGCAACAGGTAGATGGTTCCAGGGAAGCTGTTTTTATATTAACACAGGAAAGACTTTCTTAGTATTAAAGCTGTCAGAAAGTGGCCAGTCTCATGTGTAATGAACTCCTCGTTACTGGAAAGATTCAAGTAGAAGCTAGGATTTCCCTCTCCGACCTTTTCTTTTTTTTTTTTTCCGGAGACAGGGTCTCACTCTGTAGCCCAGGCTGGAGTGCAATAATGCAAACATGGCTCACTGCCAGGTTGACCTCCTGGGCTCAAGCAATCCTCCTACCTCAGTCTCCCATGTAGCTGGGACTACAGGCACATGCCACCACATCTGGCTAACTAAAAAAAAATTTTTTTTGTAGAGACAGTCTCAGCATGTTGGCCAGGCTGATCTCGAACTCTTAAACCCAAGCAATCCTCCTGTCCCGGCCTCCCAAAGTGCTAGGATTACAGGTGTGAGCCGCCATGCCCAGTTGGAGCTGGGATTATTATACTCAACACCATCAAGCTGTTGGCAGGGATTTGGAGGAGAAAGACAGAATTTGAGGCTCCTTAAAGCCTCTTCACACAATTTTGTTTCTAGGTCTCCTGATTCCCAAACCACTGTTGCTTCCTTTGCATCTTCTAAGCAAACTGAGCCAAGATCCCCCAAAGGGCAGTGTAAAATAATAAGAAATATATAATGGGTCTCTGTCCCGGTTCCTGACATACAGCACCTATGTTTTGTTATATTTGGTCACATTCCCTGGTTCCTGAGCCTTTGCATCTCCAAGACTGATGAGTGTCTTTTTGTATGCTAATGATGACTGGTGGCTGGGGTCCCTAGATAGCTTCAGGATGGGGCTAGTGAAAAGACCAAGGCATGATTAAAGGGTTGAAACTTTCAGCCCCACAACTCCCCCTAGCCTCTGGGAAAGGGACAGGGGATAGGAGCTAGAGACTAAACTAATCACCAGTGGCCAATAATTTAATCAATCATGCCAATGTAATGAACCGCCACAAGAACCCTAAACAAAGGGGTTCAGAGCTTCCAGCTTGGTTAATGCATCCACCTGCTGACCTTGCCCTATGTACCTCATCTGTTTGTTCATTTGAATCCTTTATATTATCCTTTATCATAAGCCAGTAATAAGTGAAATGTTGGCCAGGGGCAGTGGCTCATGAATATAATCCCAGCACTTTAGGAAGGCGAGGTGGGAGGATTGCTTGAGCCCAGGAGTTCGAGACCAGCCTGGGCAACATGGCAAGACCCTGTGTCAATGAAAAACTTTTTAAATTAAAAAAATAAGTAGTCCAGGCGCGGTGGCTCATGCCTGTAATCCCAGCACTTTGGGAGGTCAAGGCGGGCAGATTGCTTGAGGTCAGGATTTCAAGACCAACCTGGCCGACATGGTGAAACCCCATCTCTACTAAAAATACACAAAATTAGCCGGGTGTGGTGGCACACGCCTGTAGTCCTAGCTACCTCCTGGGAGGCTGAGGCTGAACCCAGGAGGCGGAGGTTGCAGTGAGCCGAGATTGCACCACTGCACTCCAGCCTGGGCGACAGAGTGAGACTCCGTCTCGAAAAATAAATAAATAAATACGGAAAATGTTTACCTGAGTTCTATGACAGCAAACCCATTACAGCAAGTTAACAAACCTGAAAAGAGGATATGGGAACCCCCAATTTATAGCCAAGTTGGACAGAAGTGTAGGTACCCTAGACCCCACTACTTGTGACTGGCATCTGAAGCAGGGGCAGTCTTGCAGGACTGGCCCTTAATCTGTGGTTCTGCACTAACTCTGGGTCGTCTCAGAATTGAATTAAAGTGTAGGGTGCCCAGCTGGTATCAATTGAGAATTGGAGAAGTGCTTGGTATGGAAAACCCACATATTTGGTGTAAGAAGTGTTAGGAGTAGAGGAACAGTCTTCTTCTAGTCAGGCTACTTGGGAGAGTATCCTGGGGTTTGGGCCCCTGAAGAATCCATCACTCCCCAGTTCTGCCTGAGGAAGCTGACAAGCGCATGCTGCTTGGGGTACAATGCAACATGAGCTACCCCTTATCCTTCCTAAACTCCAAGCATTCTAAATTTCCACCTTCAGCTCTCCAATGCCCTACTTCTCAGTCTCCTTTTAGGTAGAAAATCAGCACGTACATGGCACAGCTGTCACTGCCATTCCCAAACCCTGGCTTCCGATTATCTAGTCCTTTTGGTCTCTCTTGCTCTGCCCATGCGCACCTACCCACCGAGGAAGGAGTGCTGACTAATTCTGATATTAATTCTGATATAAAGTCCAGTCAGAAAGGAGGCTACAATATGACACGTGTATTTTCCATGCCAGGAAGGTCAAATCTAGGTTATCCTAAAGGAGAGAAAATGCCTCCAAGACTGAGGGGCCCTGAAGGGCAAGAATTGTGTCTGTTCATCTTGGAATTCCTTAAAAGGCCCTTCAGATAATGTCTTGTTGAACTAAAAAAGGTCCACCTTACACAATGAAGATCAAACCAAATATGCTGATGTTAAATGTGATTTACCATTTGAGGTCTTATTTATTAATTGCCAACAGCATAACTTCCAAATTCCTGAAGTTCTAGAAGGCACAATCTTTGCTCTGTAGGCTTCATTGGTTGTCTGGGGCCTCTGATTTCCTCTGATCAGAGGGAATTTGCAAAACCCTCTCACCTTGGAGGTAGAAAGGATCTCAGTGATCACCTACGGGACCCTGCTGACAGGTGGTTCTCAGTTTCTATCTGCATTGCTTCAAGTAACAGGAAGTTCAGTATCTCCTCATGAAGCTGCTCATTCCATTTTTCATCAGCATGACTGTTAATCAATTTTACCCTCAAACAGTTTACAGTCAATTTTTGTTTCGGTGGGGAGGAAACGAAGGCATAACATATCCACTGCACTAATCTGTGGAATGACACACAGCAACAGCAGATGCTCCACCAGCTCTTGCTTGCCCTTGGCTCTAAAACTGTGAAAGCCTTTTCTTTAGGTTATTACCCCATGGAAAATGAACTCCCTGGAGATGGCGGCCTCCCAAATGGTATCTCTTGGGTGGGGCTCCACCCTGAGCAAGCTCACGGTGAGTCAGAGCTGGAAGATCTGACATCAGCACCAGCTTCCTCCCCAGACCAGGCCACCACAGGAGCAACAGGCTGTATGGCCTGCCCTCCCCTCCCTGCAACCCAACTTCACCGTGAACAAGAGCCAAGCCCTTACTTTTCTCGTTCTGCTTGGCAGTCAGCATTGTTGCTCCGAAGTTCCTCTAGGGCCACCTCCCCTTCCCTCACTTTCGCCAGTAAGGCCTGATGCTCCTGGGTGGGCCACAAAAGAAAATCTAGGATGAGAAGATGGCAACAGTTTCTGCGTTTGGGCTAAGATGGGCGCCAGGCTGGGACTCAGCCCCTACTGGGCCTGGACAGCTGCCAAAGAGCAGCAAGATGAGCTGGTTTGATGGGGAGCCATCCCTTGATGAGGAGAACCCTTCCCACTCTCACTCAGCCTCACCCAGCTGCCCTGAGGCAGAACCCAGCCCTGCATCATGCAGGCCCACTCGCCAGCTATGGCTGCCAGTCCCTGAGAAACCAGGACTTCAAAAGGGGCATCTGTACAGGAATCTAATGTGGAAATAGGATCAACTCTAGTTAGGGGGAGGCTAATTCCTTGAAGGCTAAAATGTATTCCAAGGGATCTGCCAAAGGAAGGTGCGAAGTGTGCTTTTCTGGAGAGGCTTGGAAAAGAAGGGTCTCGGCAACCGTTTCGATCCACCTGCAGGCCCCTTCCAGCCCAGGAGTCCAGGCACTGACAAGCAAGATCCCCCGGTTACCGTCTCCATCCCTAGCAAGCGCCTCTGCAGCTCTCCGACTTCTGCCTCTTTCTGCTCCACTCTGTCCTCCTCTCTCTGAAGGGCCACATTACTTTGTTCTGCTTCCCTCTGGTACCGGCTGAGTGTGACCTAAAACACGGAGCAGGAATATGTTAAATGGTGTGGAAAAAAGAGCAAACATGGAAAAAAACCTTAGAAAAGAACCCAGGAACCTGGGCGGCTCTGGAGCCATGACGGGAGAAAGGTGGTGACACTGATGGGCTCACCACCACCTCCCCTTCACTGCACAGGACCACCTCAGCACTCCAGCAGGGTGTCTATTTCCAGGGTTAACTGGCTCACAGTTGATTGAGGTCCACTTTAAAGTGACACCTGGAACCCACAAGCACCACTTTTCAGATAGGTGACTCCTTCAACATCCCCATGAACCCTCCACCACCACCCAAGCTTAACCCAATGTTGTGGCTTTCCTACAAATTCAAAAGCAAATAATCCCAGGGAGGATACCTCCAGTTCCTTTCTTCTGTCTCCTCAACACCTCCCCTCTCACTTCCAGCAATAGAGCCCACACACAACAGCCAAAATGGCACCTGGAAGGGCTACTAAGCATCAGGAAGAATTTGTCTTATTTATTTATTATTATTATTTTTTTTTGAGACAGAGTTTCACTCTTGTTGCCCAGGCTGGAGTGCAATGGCACGATCTTGGCTCAATGCAACCTTTGCCTCCTGGGTTCAAGTGATTCTCCTGCCTCAGCCTCCCGAGTAGCTGGGATTACAGGCATGTGCCACCACGCCCAGCTAATTTTGTATTTTTAGTAGAGACGGGGTTTATCCATGTTGGTCAGGCTGCTCTCGAACTCCTGACCTCAGGTGATCCGCCCGCCTTGGCCTCCTAAAGTGCTGGGATTACAGGAGTGAGCCTTTTATCAGAGATGAGAAACCAATTTAGAGGATAGAAGCAGAATGTTAGAATGAGAAAGCAAAGAACTTGCCTCCTTTCTTCCAACTTGCATCTTTCCAACTCCTACTCATCCTCCAGGTCTCACTTAGATGCCCCTTCTTCCAGAGAGCCTTCAGAGCCTGGGGGAGGAGCCCTTCCTTTGTGTGTCCAGGGAGAGGACATACAAGGAACACACGGCCTTCCCTCTCATAGCATTGAACAGATTTTGCCCAGTCACTCTGTGCACCCCGAAGTAGACTGTCAGTGTCCTGATGGCACAGACCTGAGCACCATTACACTTCCAGAGCTCCCACAGTACCTCATATGCAGTAACTACTCAATAAAATAATGAGTGGAACTGACGTTCTTCTAATCCAACCCTCTCCTTTAACAAGTAAAGGTCAACTGACCTAGTCAAGGTTACACAGCTAGTGAATGACAGCCAGTGCTAGCACCCAGATACTTCACCATCCATTTCAGTGCTTCCCAGGTGCCTCACACTGACTGCTCATCATTTATTAAAAAAGAATCCAGGTAACTTCTGGAAAGCCTAGCAGCCAGCCCTGGGAAAACAGAACATCAGCAGCCAGTTCGTCCAGCCCCTCCCAAGGTCAGAACTGGGGAGGAGAAAGTACGGCACAGGTGATGTGTGATGGGACGTGTCCATGCTACACACCAGCCATGTCCAGAGCAAACTCACTCTCACTGCAAATCCTTCTTGACAGCAAGCAGCCAGTAGAACAGGAAACCCATGCTTAATGGCAAGTTATTTTCATGGTAATTGATCATCTTGCCTTTCCTACCCATAGGTTCAGAAAAGTAGACCAAGGAGTCCAATTCACTAGGAGAGACTGAGACAAGCCTTCATATGACCCATATTAACCTGAAATAGGCCATCCCCATAGGCAGGAACTTAAAAGTAAGGCCTTTTAAAAAAATTTTATTTATGTACATTTATTTATGTTTATTTATGTACATTTCTGTACATAAATAAACACTGCACCTAGGTTGATGTGAGCTCAAGCACAGTGTTAATAAGGCCATGGTCTGATTCTTGCACCCCACTGTCGGAGCAAAAGGTTAAAAAAAATAGACTCCCCTTCCACATTTGACTCTGTAGCTCCAGCCAACCCTGCCCGCAAGGGAACCTCTTAATTATAAAAAGGTGTGCCAACCTAGCCCAACAGTGGGAATGACCCGAGGAGCACCTCCTTTTTTAAAAAAAAAATTATTTATGTACCATATTTATTATTTTTTAGACAAAGTCTCAATCTGTTGCCCAGGCTAGAGTGCAGTGGCACAATCATAGCTCACTGCAGCCTCCACCTCCTGGGCTCCAAAAATTCTCCCACCTCAGCCTTCCAAGTAGCTGGAACCACAGGCATGCTCCACCACACCAGGCTAATTTTTTTATTTTTGTAGAGATGAGATCTATGCTGGCCAGGCTGGTCTCAAACTCCTGGGCTCAAGGATCCTCCTGCCTTGGCCTCCTGAGGCCTCCTGAGGCCTCCTGGCTCACAGGTGTGAGCCACAGCGCCCAGCAAGAAGAAGCATCTCCTACTGCTGCAGGTGGTCCTGCATACTATGGGGTTAAGAAAAATAACCCCTTCTAAATTCTGGGCAGTGGGCTATAGCTGTCAGGGCACTTTTGCTCAGGCTCTGAAATCCAGAGCGGCAGACTCCTCCATGTGTGATTAAAACCAGCAAATATTTCTATAATTTCCACAACTTCATAATGTCTCTCAGTGCAGAAATTTTTTTCCAAAATTCACAACCTGGTCAGTGCTAGAGCCTCAACCTTCCTTTCTTCCTGTTTTGTTTGGAAAAGGTAGGAAACTGCTGGTCACCAACTGATACATCACCAACTAAATTATACAAATTGTGGAATCTGAAATAGATGCAACATACCTCTTCACCACACAGCTACTTTGTTCTGAGATGACAAACTAATTTTAATATTACCCTAAGTCCAAGCTATTAAAATAGGAAAATCTCCTTGTTAAACTGATTGCTAAGAAAAATATAGACTATTTTATATTTCTAAAACCCTTCAGAATAATAAAGTGCCCTCACATATATTACCTCACTCGATCTACACAACAAACTTGTAAGGTGTATTTCATTAACCCTTTTTCCAAAAGTTGAAACAGATGCTTGGAGAGGTTAAACTACTTGTTCAAATAATACTTCGGCTAACATAGAAGCAGTTTATCATCCTTGGTGCCCTTCCTCCTCACCGCCAAGCCTCTTCTCAAAAATTCTCCTTCTCAGTTCCATGAAAATGAAGAGTTCAAGCTGGCCTTTCTCTTTTTACCAGCTCCTAGCATGCCTAGGCAGGCTATAACCCTATCATAACATATTTATAACACAAAGAATACATTACTTGTGGAAGAACAAAAGCAGGTAACAGATGGTTAACCTCACACAGAGCAGTTGGAAAACTGCCCATGGGCCAGGTGTGGTGGCTCATGCCTGTAATCCCCACATTTTGGGAGGCTAAGGCACGCAGACTGCTTGAGCCTTGGAGTTTGAGACCAGCCTGGGCAACATGGCAAGACCCTGTCTCTACAAAAAACACAAAAATTAGCCAGGCATGGTGGTGTGCACCTGTTGTCCCAGCTACTCAGGAGGCTGAAGTGGGAGATGGCTTGAGTCCGGGAGATGGAGGTTGCATTGAGCCAAGATCATGCCACTGCACTCAAGCCTGGCAATAGAGTGAGACCCTGTCTCCAAAGACAGAAAGAAAACTGCCCATGTACCTTGTTTTATACTCAAAGAATTTTCTAGAAAATATGGAAGACCTCACATATAGTAGGGGGCTTTTACTCTCCATTTATAGATTTCTGTATTATAACAATAATTAATATACTCATTCCAGGCCGGGCATGGTGGCTCGTGCCTGTAATCCCAGCACTTTGGGAGGCTGAGGCAGGTGGATCACAAGGTCAGGAGATCGAGACCATCCTGGCCAACATGGTGAAACCCCGTCTCTTCTAAAAACACAAAAATTAGTTGGGCATGGTGGCGCATGCCTGTAGTACCAGCTACTCGGGAGGCTGAGGCAGGAGAATTGCTTGAATCCGGGAGGCAGAAGTTGCAGTGAGCCAAGATTGCGCCACTGCACTCCAGCTTGGCAGCAGAGTGAAAAAAAGATACTCATTCCAGACCACAAAGCTCTGCATAGCAAAGCTGAGTTTAGAGCCCAAATCCTCCAACTCGATGGGTACAGTTCTTTCTACAACAACACAGATTTAGTCACTCATCCAGTCCACGTTTATGAAGCACCTATCTAATACCAGGTATTGCACCAGACACTGGAGACTCGGGGGTGACATGTCAGCAGCAGTCCTTGCCTGCACGGAGTCTCAAGAGCCCAGGGATTCTTACCACGACACAGACAGAAATGACTTCTGAATCACCGGCTGCCCCAGATGGGCACCACCCTCAAACTCATCAGAGCAGAGAATCCCGAGCTGACCTTTGAACTATGGGCTGGCCTTGGACAGTAAACAGTGTAAACGTCCAGGAGAGGGAAAAGCAGACAAGCGTTCCAGGCTTCACAGCCTTGCCTTTCCAGTTTGTGGCACTCAGCCAGAAAGACAGGAAGTCCAAGCTGAGACATCACTGGCACCTGTGTTCAGTAGCCCATCCCTTAGGGCACCTTCTCCCCAAATCCCAAATCTCACCTCAAAAGCCACACAGTCTGACTGGTGTTGCCGCTTGGCCTCCTGAAGCTTGGCCAGCAAGTCCTGCACCGTCTTCCTCAAGCTCTCAACATCCTCATTTATACAGGTGTCCACCTACAGCCAGAACAAGGAAGGGAAGGGGAAGCCCTCAAGTTTCTGACTCAGTAAGAAAAGGTCCCCCCTCCCAGGCACACACTGGTTTGGACCATCTCGTCCAGACCACCCTCAAAAAAGAACTGTCATCACACAAGGGGAGAGTTACCTTAGGCAGCCAGGAATTCTGAGTTATTCAATGAAACATTGTCCCTTCATACCCTAAAGAACCCTGCTAGCCTCAAAACACCCAATTATTTTAGGACATGCTCAGTAATATTTCATGTATGTATCCACTAATCGATTTCTTGGTGAATATGTGGATGCTGTCTGTAGGTGTGCATCCTGCTTCCCTCTATCTGCCTACAGCTCTCTGAGAGCAGAGACCATGTTCCCCTTTGGACTAGAGTTCCCACAGGACAGGGACTATGTCGCGCCCATCACAAAGGGAGTGGTCCAAAAGCACATCCTTTACCATTCTCAGCTTTTGGCACTGACAGCAGCATATAAAGGGTTACTGATGGATGGACAGGTTTAGGGCAAAAGCATGCAATGAGTCCACGAATCTGATTCGATGTGGAAAAAGGTGTCTCATCGAGGTAACTGCTCAGTCTCTCCCAGACACACCCAACTGTGGGCTGGTGGTTAGAGATGAGCTAACATGTAGGGTCTCACCCCCGTCTCTGCTGCACAGGCACCAGACACTGGAGGAAGACAGTGTCCCAGTCTCTGCATCATCATCCTGTGGGTGATAATGAAGAAGTGAAGTCCTGTGGGCCTTCATTTCTTTATCTGTGAGGCAGTCAGTACACTCCCTACCACACCCTGCCTTACAGGCTGCCTCAAAACTAGGTAAGATAACATCCGGTACAGCTTTGAGCTTGTGAGAAGAAAGAGGCCAAACAGATATTACCAGGTGTTATTATAATTTGTTGCCAACAATGTATTTGCCAAATATGGTGATTCAAAAGAAGGAGAAAGTCCAAGCTGCCCATCTAAAGCAAGTGGTTAGAATCACAGCATTCCAAATCTAGATGTCATGAGTTATCCAGTCAATTTCCCTAAATCCTCACCTGAGCCAATGGCCTTTAAAAGGTTCCTGGAACACAGCTATTATGCACTTATTTCAAAGAGTGTTCTCATAAGACTGTTTAATGACATGGAAAACTTTCATGAAAATATTATTTCATCATATGATATAACATGAAGCAAAAAAGTAAGTTATAAAAGTACATGTAGGAGGCAGAAGCAATGAACTAGATTTTAATACAGCAATGTAGATAGATCCTAAAAAACACGGTACCAGGGAAAACAAGAACAAAGAGGGAAGAAGATATAGCACAAGTTCAT
The DNA here is from genome assembly GCF_000001405.40 of Homo sapiens. NCBI lineage: Eukaryota > Metazoa > Chordata > Mammalia > Primates > Hominidae > Homo > Homo sapiens. The sequence continues at coordinate 151,568,327 of NC_000001.11, read as the reverse complement.
CATGTATACTGAACATTTTACAGGCATATTTAAAGCCATATATTGAATTCATTAGAGTGAGTTTCTCTTGCAGGAGGTGGAGAGGCAAAAAAAACAAAAAACAAAAAACTGAAACCAGTGAGAGGCCTTGACAGGACCCATGAGGATGATGTGTCATGAACTAATGGGTGGGTCTGATTCAACCTATACTTGAGGGCCAAAAACACCGAATGCAAAAACATACCCAACTAAAGAAACAAAAAAAAAATTATAAAGAAATGCTACATACTGTACAATGTATTCACATGGTAAATATATATTTGCATTCGGGGAAAGATGAAATTTCACTGTGGTTTTTCTCTGAGTAGATTACAAGTGATATTTGTTTCTTCTTTCACTTTCCTGTGTTTCTGAATTTTCCAAATTTTCTACAATATGAATGTTTTGTATTGTATAATCACAAAAAAACATAATAACACACTTTTTAAAAATACAGTAATGGTGGCGGGGTGCAGTGGCTCACGCCTGTAATCCTAACACTTTGGGAGGCCAAGGTGGGAGGATCACCTGAGGTCAGGAGTTCGAGACCAGCTTGGCCAACATGGTGAAACCCCATCTCTACTAAAAATACAAAAATTAGCCAGGCGTGGTGGCTCACGCCAGTAGTCCCAGCTACTCAGTACGCTGAGGCACGAGAATTGCTTGAACCCAGGAGGTGGAGGTTGCAGCGAGCCAAGATCATACCACTGCACTGTACCCTGGGTGACAGAGCGAGACTCCATCTCAAAAAATAACAAATAAAGTACAGTCATGGAGGCCAAGCATAGTAGCTCATGACTATAATCCCAAAACTTTGGGAGGCCGAGGTGGGCAGATCACTTAAGCCCAGGAGTTTGAGATGAGCCTGGGAAACATGATGAGACCCTGTCTTTACAAAAAATACAAAAATTAGCCAGGTGTGGTGGCACGTGTCTATAGTCCCAGCCACTATAGTGGCTGCCACAGTCCCTCCCAGGCTGAGGCAGGAGGACTACCTGAGCCCAAGAGGTTGAGAATATAATGAGCCATGACTGCACCACTGCACTCCAGCTCAGATGACATAGGGAGACCCTGTCCCAAAAAATAATAATTATAAAAATTTAAAAAGTAGGCTAGGCACAGTGGCTCATGCCTATAATCCCAGCACTCTGGGAGGCGAGGCAAGCAGATCACTTGAGCCCAAGAATTCAAGAGCAGCCTGGGCAACCCCATCTCTACAAAAATTAGCCAGGCATAATGGCGCGTGCCCTATAGTCCCAGCTATTGGGTAGGCTGAGGTGGGAGGATTGCTTGAACCCCGGGGGTCGAGGCTGCAGTGAGCCATGATTGCCACTGCACTCCAGCCTGGGTGACAGGGTGAGACTCTGTCAGTCAGTCAATCAATCAATCAATCAGTCAATCAATCAAGTACAGCCATGGAAGGAAATACTATGTAGTTATTCAAAAGAATGAGGTAGATCTATATGTACTGACATGGAAAGAAGGTTATAATATACTCTTTAGTTAAGAAAAAAAAAGCAAGCAAAGAATAATGTATTTACCATGATCTTATAGTTGAGAAAAGCACATGTATATTATATACATATATTTATCATGTATATATGGTGTGTATATAACATATACATGATATTTAAATATGGTTGTCTATGTATATAAAAATATTCTAGAATACTGGCACTCAACTTTAGCTAAACATTAGTATCACCTGAAGAGCTCTTAAAAGTCCTGATGCCCAGGCCACCTATTGGAACAATGAAATGACAAGCTCTAGGGATGGGACCCAGGCATCATATCCTTTAACGCTTGCAAGGCCATTCCAATGAACAGCTGAGGCTGAGAAGCACTGCCCTAGAAAGATCCACCCACTTCAATCTGTTAACAGTGGATACTCGCAAGGAGAGAGATTGGGGAAGGAGAATTTCTACTCTTTGTATTTCTCTGTGTTTGAATTTTTATGTCAACTACTACTCTTGTATTTAATGAGAGAGAGAGAGAGAGAGAAAGCAATAAACAAAAGGATGGGGAGGAGGCAATCCTGCCCCTGGCTAAGCGGAGCCACCATGGTGTCCTCTGTTACCTACCTCAGGTGGGCTGCTGTACAGGGCTGTGGGACTCTGACTAAAGCCATTTGGCTTTTCTAGCACCACCTGTTCAAAGAAAAATAAAATTGGTAGTTAAAACAGATGAAAGCAACCAACTTTGAAACATTATTCTCCTAACACTCAAATCTTAGAAAGAGAAGGACAGGGAGAGGGAGAGGAAGGTGAAAGGGAGGGGGAGGGAGAGAGAAAAAGAAAGGGAGGGAGAAAAAGGAAGGAATGAAGAAAGGAGAAGAGGAAGAAGGAACGAAGCGAAAGAAGAAAAGATTTCTAGCGTTCCATGAGAAAATAGAAACAAGAGGGGGTGGAGAGATGTTATGCGGCCTTGAAAGGGCCTTGAAAGTCTTGTAGGGAGGATGAAAAAAACCTCAGGCTAAAATCTTTCAGCAGATGGAAAAGTATGTGTAGCCCATTCTTCTTAGCCAGGGAATACATGCAGCTGCCTGCCACAAACAAAGAGCTTCCCTTGCCCCCAGGGATCCTGATAAAGTTTGACAAAGCAAAAATTACAAAGGGAAGATCTTTTTCAATTATTTCTGACCCAAAGCCTGATTATTCATCATATGACAGCCGGTTTGTGCAAACAAGGGGGCTGGACTTTGGGCCAGTCTCTGCACACATTAGGTTCTTCTGATACCTGACAAAGTAGCTCCCACCAGCCAGATGTGAGCTCAAGCACTGAAAGACCTACCTTCAGCCAAAGCAAAAATTAGGTAATTTCCACCACACAAGTGCATGCCCAAGACAAAGAACTTTCCTTGCACCAGCTGCTGGGCCACTGTTCCCCTCAAGGGAATGAAGGCAGGGGCTGCTGCTGGAGCAAGACTCTGCCTGAACCAAAATGCAAATCAAGGATACAACTCAGAATCTAAAGGATGAGGGCGAAGTCACAAAGAGACAGCTCTGCTCTCCTGAGGACATTTCTGTCCTCGAGTTTTGGAAAAACTGAAAAGCAGGATCCCAGGATTATCCCTCCCAGGAAAGACTTACCCAATCTGTTCAGTCTAACAAACATTTACTGATGCCTTCTACATCCCAGACCTGGGGGGAATGGGAGGGTGAGGATACAGACACGAGGTGGGGTGGGGTGGGGTGAACTCCTAACCTTGAGGAACTTCCCATCCCAGGTTAGACATAACTATATACAAGATTAATAACAGGCTAGGGCACGGACTTCAATTTACGCTACAGGTATCACCCAAACTAAGCAAGATCAGCTTATGAGAAGTGTGGATTTACAGGTGATTGTCTGCTTTACAAAATTCTATTATTATAAGAAGCTTGATCACAGAATCCTTATAGATAAGAGGTTTGCTAACAACTGATGATATTTAATTTATATAAGTTCAATTTCTGTACAGTGTTTCAGGAGCAGGTGTACTTATGTTTAAGCTGACATGTGTAAATGTAAGTGCTCATCGGCTGGAGAGTCCTAACCAGATTGTGAGTGCTCCAGAGAAGCCAGCATCACCTCTATTTTCTCCATTCCTGGCAGGGATGCTAGATTTAGCACACACTGGGTAATTGGTAAATGAGACTGCCTGGCACAACCCCACCTCCTCGGTGGGGACCCAACCATGGACCATTTCCTATTACCTGTATCTCCTGTCGATGGAGAGAATCTCCTAGGTTCCTGTCAAGCTTGCTACTTATATCCTCCCGGAGCTTCTGTAGGCAGTTCCTGGCCTGGGAGGGGAGGGGAAGAAACTTGAGCTTTAGGGTAGAGAAAGAGAGCATGCCAACTCACCCAACTCTGTGCCCCATCCCTGGCCTGTACTGCGAGTCAGGCACTGTCCTAACGACTGGCTGCAGGATGGAGGGAGGGACCTTGGTCAAGTGGAGCTACAGCTGACATTCTTGTTGGGGAGACACAAGACACAAAAGACAAATAAGTAAAATGTGTAATATGTTATATGGGCATAAGTGCCAACGAGAAACACGAGCCAGGAAGGGAGTTAAGAAATGCTGTGAAAAGTGGCTGGTAATTTTCGATAGGTGGCTGGGACAGTGCTGGGCCCATAGTACTTAAGTATTTGTGGATTAATGGATCAGGTATGGTCAAAAGTTATATATTTGACACACGGGAGGGCATGGTGGCATTTCAGAGACATAAAGGAAAAAGAAGGGGAAAAACCAGAATCCACAAAAGAAGACAGTCACAAAAAATGTGAGATTTAGAGAAATGACCTAGGCACTGCGTGAGAGGTAAGGGGTGCCCACCTCCTGGATGTACTGGACCTCACTCTTCAGCTGGTTAATATTCTTCTCGTGAATCATCTTGTCTCCAGACCTCCCCTTCAAGTACACCTGAAATAAGAACACCATTTAGTTAAGAAACCTCAAATTAAATTAACTATACAAAAATAGGCAGCTTCATATAGTGCTGGTGGGAGGGTAAATTGTTACCACCAATTTACTGGGTGGAATTTGGTGATTCGGATCAGAAGACCTAAAAATATATTTACTTTTTGGTCTATCAGTTCTACTTCTGGAAATTTACCCTAATGCAATAAATTTAGCTCAATGCTATATAGCTGTATTGGCATAAACACTCACATATATACAGTCATGCATCACTTAATCATAGGAATACATTCTGAGGGATGCATCATTAGGCAATTTCATCCTTGTACAAACATCACAGAGTGTACACACACAAACCTAGATGGCATGGCCTCCTACACCCCTAGGCTGTATGGTGTACCCTATTGCTCCTAGGCTACAAACAAACCTGCACAGCATGTTACTGTACTGAATACTGTAGGTGATCGTCACACAATGGTAATGTATCTAAACCCAGAAAAAATACAGTAAAAATGGAGTATAATAATCTTATGGGACCACTGTTGTCTACGCAGTCCATCACTGACCAAAACGTTGTTATGCAGTTTTGTTATGCACTGACCAAAACTGTAACTGAGTCAATCATGTGGTATGGGATTTATATCTAAAAAAGCTGTTTTATAAAAAAAAAGAGAGAGAGAAATAACAAAAATCATTTTATTTTTTAAAAAATAAGTTCCATCAGCCAGGTGGGCTGGTGCACGCCTATAATACCAGCATTTTGGGAGGCTGAGACAGGACGATTGCTCGAGCCCAGGATTTGGAGACCAGCCCAGGGAACAAGGCGAGACTGTCTCTACAAAACTAAAAATATATAAATAAATAAATAAGTTCCATCAGGATGAACCCATTATAGGAAAACATAAGTTCCATAAACACACCTCCTACCTGTCTCCACAACCTCTAGCAGCAAAACATGGTCAGTGGATAGGCCCCTAGTAAGGTCATCCAGTCCATCCCCTTGCCTGGGGCCAGGCTGCACCAAAGTTGCTAACAGGCAGACTGTAGTCTCCTGGTATTAATTAAGATATTTCTAGGAGATTGCCAGGAACTAGCAGCTCAGGTCTGGTTCCTTCCATCAAACCACAAGCTCCCTTTGGCAACAACATCAACTGCTCCTTCTCATATACGTGCAGGGAGGAAGAGGACAGGGAGAAAAGTTGGAGGTGAACTAAGCTTACCTTAATGATCTCCTCATGTCCATCATGGGACTCCACCAGTTCTGAAGCCAGAGAATGACCAGCTGAGTGGCTGGACACCATGGCATAGGTCTTCCTGCCCGCCTGGCCAAAGAGAGATGAGAGAGAGAGAGAGAGAGAGAGATGGCTCAGACACCACATGGCAAGCCCAGAACTCCTGCCCCTCAGCTAATGCAGAAGACCTGTTTCTCAAAAGACTTGAAGGATTAGTCTGACTTTCCTCTCCAAAAATTCGTTTCCGAACTTCTAACAGAAGCCACACAGCAGCAAGAACACCGGCCAGGGAGAATGGACAGAAGTAGCAGTTTAGTTTTAATTTTAGTGGGGGACTCCTCCTGCCCCAAAGCAGTGCAGAAGGCTGAGGCAAGCTGGATGTTGCTGAAAGGAGGGGCTCCCACGCTCGCATCACCAGAGTCGGCTCCAGGCAGTACTTGGGTAAGAGGCCAGCAGCAAGGAAGCACTGGTGTGGGGAGGGGGCCTTGCCCACCAGAATTCCGCAGTACCTTCTGGGCTATGTGTTCAAGTTCATCTCCTGTCAGTTCACCCTGGAGAGTCAGCCTGAGAATGTCCACGCTGCCCTAATAATGACAATGACAGCAACAATAACCCCTCAACTTTACAGTCTACAGGTACAAACTGCTACCAGTACAGGGGTGCTTCTGCCAGCTCTGTGGAGCGGGTCTTATCATCACCACTTCACAGACTAGGAAAACTGAAGTCCAGGGAGGCAGCATTACCTTGCCCAAGATCAGGTGTTTGGGGTGGTGACTCTGGGACCACCCAACAGTTTTTTCTTTCACAACAAAGATTACCTGGCACATGGCTCTGTAGAGCTCCAGCAGGGCTACCCTGGTTCTTGGACTACAGGGAACACATTGCATGCATTCTTCTTTCTCTAGTTGTAGAGAGGTCATTCCTGGACTGCTCATCCTCAATCCAGAATTTCTGCTCCTGACAACCAGCCAGCAAGTTATTGATGCACTTTACAAGACTAGCATATTCTTCCTGAACTAAACTATAGGAAAGTACCTGAATTCAAACTCCCATTTCTATGAGCCACATGGAAATTATCCAAGTGAAAACAGGCAAGATAATAGGTATTCATCTAGAGATCAACCTAATTTCAAAGAATGAAGCAGGTTTTCTTTCATAAGTCAAAGAAGTGTGTGTGTGTGTGTGTGTGTGTGTGTGTGTGCGCGCGCGCGCGCATGACTGCAGCCTCAACCTCCCAGGCTTAAGTGATCCACCCACCTCAGCCTCCCAAGTAGCTGGGACTACAGGCGCACCAATATGCCCATCTAATTTTTGTATTTTTTGTAGACATGAGGTTTTGCCATGTTGCCCGGGCTTCAAAGAAGATTTTTTTAAAAAGGCCGGGCACGGTGGCTCACGCCTGTAATCCCAGCACTTTGGGAGGCCAAGGCAGGTGGATCACGAGGTCAGGAGATCGAGACCATCCTGGCTAACACAGTGAAACCCCGTCTCTACTAAAAAATACAAAAACAAAATCAGCCTGGCGTGGTGGCAGGCGCCTGTAGTCCCAGCTACTCGGGAGGCTGAGGCAGCAGAATGGCGTGAACCCGGGAGGCGGAGCTTGTAGTGAGCCAAGATTGTGCCACTGCACTCCAGCCTGGGTGACAGAGCAAGACTCCGTCTCAAACACTCACACACACACACACACACACACACACACACACACACACACACACACAATACTTTGCAGGGAAAATTAAAAACCTGAAAGGAAAAACGTGGTAGGAGGGAAAAGTAAGGGCCTGTAGATTGGGAAGATGATAACGTTGAGAGAAGGCTAACAAGGCAGAGTAAATCACCTGCACTATGCATGGAAGTGAATGAGGGGCTTAGCCACTATGGATCTCTGGTTCCCACTGGAAAAATAAGGAAGTTGGACCAAGTATATCTCAGGCTCCTTCTGGATTCCATTCTGTGACAGCGTGAGGATGGAGTATATGCCTCTCCCAGACAATGAAGAGAAATAGGTGCTGGGCTATCCAAGAATGAAAGTGATCTTGAGGTCATCTGGTCATCCCCTGCCTTGAGGCCCAGCTGCATAAATGACATCTTACTGGTAACAGGTTTTAAGGAACCCTCTTAACCTTCCAAATGTCTAGAGAAGATAACGTTCCAACTTGGTGGAGAAGAAATCAGTCTTTGGTGAGATACTTAACTCTTGATGTTTTTATCTGTAAAAGGGGTATATTACCATCCAACTGAGGGTTTTTTGTTTGTTTGAGATGGAGTCTTGCTCTTGTCTCCCAGGCTGGAGTGCAGTGACACGATCTTGGCTCACTGCAGCCTCCGTCTCCTGGGCTCAAGCAATTCTCCTGCCTCAGCCTCCCAAGTAGCTGGGATTACAGGCATCTGCCACCACACCTGGCTAATTTTTGTATTTTTAGTAGAGACGGGGTTTCGCCACATTGGCCAGGCTGGTCTCGAACTCCTGACTTTGTGATCCTCCCGCCTCAGCCTCCCAAAGCGCTGGGATTACAGGCGTGAGCCACCGCACCCGGCCCCCAACTGAGGGTTTTTTTGTTGAATATTACTTAAAAATATTGCCGGTGTGCTGGCTCATGCCTGTAATCCCAGCACTTTGGGAGGCCGAGGTGGGAGGATCACCTGAGGTCAGGAGTTCGAGACCAGCCTGGCCAACATGGTGAAACCCCATCTCTACCAAAAATACAAAAAAATTAGCCAGGCGTGGTGGTGGGCGCCTGTAATCCCAGCTGCTCAGGAGACTGAGGCAGGAGAATCGCTTGAACCAGGGAGGCGGAGGTTAAAGTGAGCTGAGATCGCGCCACTGCACTCCAGCCTGGACGACAGAGTGAGATGCTGTCTCAAAAAGAAAAAGAAAATGAGAAAATGTATGGAGGTTACTCTCTGCCACACAGGAGGGTGGCACTGAAACATCAGCATCCTCCCACTTTTTGGATTGGGAAGACAGAAGACACTGTCACAATGGCCCTTAAACCTTCCCAACCCTAGCAAAGTAGCTGGTTTTATGAAAACACTTAATTCCTATGAAATAAAAGCCACATCCTTAGAGTGGCATGCAAGGCTTTCCACAGTCTGGGTAAACTCACACCTCTTGCTACCATCTCTCAGTGCCCTATCCAATACATTCCATGGTTTCCAACTTCAGTGCCTTTGCTCCCATCATTTCCTGTGCCTTAAATATCTATTCTTCCCATTTTCACCTAAGGCGTCTCCAAGTTCCTCAAGTTCATGTTCAAATGCCTCATCTTCCAAGATGCTACCCCGCATCCTGTGGGAAACACATCTTCCCCTCCTTGAGCTCCCACAGCGTCACAAGGCCTCCCATGGCATCTGCCTCTCAGTTATTTGTGTTTTGTGAAGAATTACCCCTTCTGTTAACTCCTCAAGAGCTGTTGTATGCCACAGCCCTTAGCAAAGGTATTTTCTGAATGCACAGAGAATGCTCCATGACATCTAGGTCAAGAAAATATTACAAAAGAAAAAAGAGGAAATGATTTCAAAATAGCCAGAATGGCTGCCAAATTCTTCCTTCCCAGGACATACCTGCACTTTTATTAAAACAGTATCTCGACCAGGGGCAGTGGCTCATGCCTGTAAACCCAGCACTTTAGGAGGCCAAGGTGGGTGGATCACCTGAGGTCAGGAGTTTGAGACCAGCCTGGCCAACATGGTGAAACCCCGTCTCTACTGAAAATATAAAACTCAGCTGGCTGTGGTGGCAGGCACCTGTAATCCCAGCTACTAGGGAGGCTGAGGCAGGAGAATCGCTTGAACCTAGGAGGTGGAGGTTCCAGGGAGCCAAGATCATACCACTGCACTCCCGCCTGGGCAACAGAGCAAGACTCCGTCTCAAAAAGAAAAAAAAAAAAAAAGGACACTATCTCCCCATAGTGTTCTATGGAGGCAGGCTGGGAAAAGGCAGGGCATCCTTCAGTCAGAACAAAGGGGTTATTAGCTAATGAAGGTCAAGTCTGGTCTGTTTCATAAACCTACGCATTCCAATTGGAAGAGCATAGACAACTAGGCTGGGTTGGGGCACTGAGAGATGATTCCATCCAGCCATCAGAATTCCAGGTAGAGAGGAGAAAGAGGGTCAGTTGAAAATGTTCTCAAAGAAATAATGACCAAAAATTTTCAAAATTTGGCAAAAGACACAAATCTATAGATTCAAGAAGCCAAGCAAACTTCAAACAGAATAAACATGAAATTCATGCCATGATAGATCATAATTAAATTTCTGATAACTAAAGACAAAGAAAAAGTCTTGAAAGCAGAGAAAATAACCTTTGAGGGGATCCCTCAAAGGTTATTTTCTCTTCGGAAATGACAGAGAGTAGAAGGAAGTGGCATACTATTTTTCAAATGCTGAAAGAGAAGAACGGTCAATTCAGAATTGACAAAGGAAAATATCCTGTAACAAAGGAAAATATCCTTCAGAAATGAGGGGGAAATCAAGACATTCTCAGATGAAGGAAAACTAAGAGAATTTCTCACCAGCAGACCTACACTAAAAGAATGGCTTAAAAAGTTCTCTAAACAGAAAGGAAATTATTTTTTAAAAAAAGGAAACTTGAAATAATGGGAAGAAAGAAACATGAGTTGAAAAAAGATGGGTAAATACAACAAGATTTCCTTCCCCTCTTAGGTTTTCTTTTTTTTTTTTTAAGTTTTTTTGCTGTAAGTTTATTCAATGCAAAATAATCCTCTCCAATTTTACTGAGGTGGCTGACCACATCCTCAACCAAATCCACCTCTAAACTGGAATTCGGTTGCTGACCCAGCCCCAGCCTCAGCTTTGCTGTCGGCACCAGGCGGCACAGCACTCCGTCTGTAGGTTATCTCTGTCCGCTTTCCCTCTTGTGAGTCTTGCAGGTCGCTCACCCTTCAGACCTTTAGGCTGAGGACTTCCAGTCTCTGGACGGCTGCAGCATAGAGTGGCAGGCACAATCTCCGGGGCAGATGAAGGTAATCACGGAGATACTGGATGCCCTCATTGGTAACGTACCAGTGGAAATGTCTCCAGGCAAACTGTTCCTTCACGTAGCCTCGGGACTTGAGAGGCTGCATGGCCTTCATGACATGAAGATTGGGCACATCCTTGTCTGCCAGCTCCCGGTGCTTAGGCATGTGGACATCCTTCTTGGCCACCATGACTCCCTCCTTAAAAAGGAGTTCATAAATGGCAATCCGGTTCTTAGGCATCAACATCTCGGTGGCTGTAGGGGCCGGGGCTGGGGCTGGAAAGCCCCTCTTAGGTTTTCTAAGTTACATTTGATGATTAAAGCAAAAAGTATAACAATGTCTGATGTGGTTCTAAATGTATGCAGAGAAAATATTTAAATATGATAATATTATACTATTAAATATTTAGTATCATAAATGGGAGAAGGTAAAGGGATGTAAAGGAAGGAAAGGTTTCTCTTCTTCACTCAAACTAGTAAAATGCCAACACCAGGAGACTGTGATAACCTATGTATACATAATGTATAATACCTAGAGTAACCACTAAAAAGTCTATACAAAGAGATAACACTCAAAAACATTATAAATGAATAAAAATGGAATCCTAAAAAGTGTTCAGTTAATCCACAGGAAGGCAGGAAAAAGAAAACAGATAAATGAAAAACAGAACCGGGCATCATAGCTCACATCTGTAATCTCAGCATTTTGTTTGGTTTTTGAGACTAATTCTGTTTCTGTCACCCAGGCTGGAGTACAGTGACGCAATCTCGGCTCACTGCAACCTCTGCCTCCCAGGTTCAAGCAATTCTCCTACCTCAGCCTCCCACGTAACTGAACTGGGATTACAAGCTCCCGTGACAATGCCTGGCTAATTTTTATATGTTAATATAGAGGGGGCTTCACCATGTTGGCCAGGCTGGTCTCGAACTCCTGACCTCAAGTGATCCATCTGCCTTGGTCTCCCAAAGTGCTGGGATTACAGGCGTGAGTCACTGTGTCCGGCCTGTAATCTCAGCATTTTGGGAGGCCAAGGTGGGAGGATTGCTTGAGGCCAGGAGCTTGAGACCAGACTGGGCAACAAAGTTGCCCCTCTCTTCAAAAAAACATGTTTTTTTCTTATCCAGGCATGGTGTTGTGTGCCTGTTGTCCCAGAAACTCAGGAGGTTGAGGTGGGAGGATTACTTGAGCTGGGGAGGTTGAGGCTGTAGCTAGCTGCTATCATACCACAGCACTCCAGCCTGGGCTACGGAGTAGGACCCTGAGGAGAGGAGCTGGGGGGTGGGAAGGGAGGAGACGGGGAGGGGGAGGAGAAAGGAAGGGAAGGGAAGGCAGGGAGGGAAAGGGAAAAGGAAGGAAAGGGAAGGGAAGGGGAAAGGGGAAAGGAAAGGGAAAAAGCAGCTTTATTTGTAACAGCCAAAAACTAGAAACAACCCAGATGCCTTCAGTAGAGAAATGGTTAAACAAACTGTGGCACATCTGTTATTGTGGAATACTACTCAGCAATAAAAAGGATCAAACTATTGATACATGCAACAACACTCTCCAGAGAATTTGCTGAGTGAAAAAAGCCAATCACAAAAGTTTACATGCTCTATAATTTCACTTGTGTAACATTTTTTAAATAACAAAGTTATAGAAATGGGAAAAGGACTGGTGGTTACTAGGAGTTAAGAAGAAAGTGGGGGGGAGGAGGGAAATGAGTGTGGCTCTCAAAGGGCAACATGAGGGGTGCTTTTGGTGATGGAAATGTTCCATAGCTTGACTGTATCAATGCCAATATCCTGGTTGTGATAGAGTACCACAGTTTTGCAAGATGTTACCACTGGAAAAAATGGAATAAAGGATATGGGGGAATTCTATTATTTCTTATAACTGCATGTGAATCTATAATTATCTTTTTTTTTTTTTTTTTTTTGAGACGGAGTCTCACCTTGTCACCCAGGCTGGAGTGCAATGGCACCATCTCAGCTCACTGCAACCTCTGCCTCCTGGGTTCAAACGATTCTCCTGCCTCAGCTTCCCAAGTAGCTGGGACTATAGGCACCCACCACAACGTCCGGCTAATTTTTGTATTTTTAGTAGAGAAGGGGTTTCACCATGTTGGCCAGGTTGGTCTCAAACTCCTGACCTCGTGATCTGCCTGCCTCGGCCTCCCAAAGTGCTTGGATTACAGGTGTGAGCCACCATGCCCGACCTATAATTATCTTTTTTGTTAAAAAAAAAAAAAAGGAATTAATATTCCTTCAAGTACTTGCAGGGACAAAAAGAATATACTGAAGAAAATAAGCATTTATAATCCTGCCACCCAGAAACAGCCACTATTAAAATGTTAGTGTATGCCTTATAATTTTTTTTTTTTTTTTGAGAGGGAGTCTCATTCTGTTACCCAGGCTGGAATGCAATGGCACAATCTTGGCTCACCACACCCTCTGACTCCCCAGTTCAAGCAATCCTCCTACCTCAGCCTCCTGAGTAGCTGGGATTACAGGTGTGCACCACCATAGCTGGCTAAGTTTTTGTATTTTTGATAGAGACATGGTTTCGCCATGTTGCCCAGGCTGGTCTTGAACTCCTGACCTCATGTGATCCACCCGCCTCGGCCTCCCAAAGTGCTGGGATTACAGGAGTGAGCCACCATGCCCGGCCTTAAAATTTAGAACTTTTATTCATCAAAAGACACTGCTAAGAGGGCTGGTGTGGTGGCTCACACCTGTAACCCCAGCACTTTGGGAGGCCGAGGTGGGTGGATCACCTGAGGTCAGGAGTTCAAGACCAGCCTGGCCAACATGCTGAAACCCTGTCTCTACTGAAAATACAAAAATTACCCAGGAGTGGTGGCACATGCCTGTAGTCCCAGCTACTCAGGAGGCTGAGGCAGGAGGATCGCTTGAACTCTGGAGGCAGAGGTTGCAGTGAGCCAAGACTGTGCTATTGCACTCCAGTCTGGGCAACGGAGTGAGACTCTGTCTCAAAAAAAAAAAAAAAAAAAAAAAAAAGGGGGCCGGGCACAGTGGTTCACAGTCCCAGCACTTTGGGGAGGCCAAGGTAGGTAGATCACGAGGTCAGGAGTTCGAGACCAGCCTGGCCAACATGTTGAAACCCCATCTCTACTAAAAATACAAAAATTAGCCGGGTGTGGTAGCACGTGCCTGTAGTCCCAGCTACTCAGGAGGCTGAGACGGGAGAATTGCCTGAACCCGGGAGGCAGAGGTTGCAGTGAGCCAAGATCGTGCCACTGCACTCCGACCTGGGCAACAGAGCAAGACTCTGTCTCAATAACAATAAAATAAAATTTAAAAAAACACTGCATGGCAACCCACAGAGCAAAAGAAATTCACTATATGTATATCTGACAAAAGATGTCCAGAATATATAAAGAATTCCTACTAAACAAAATGATTAACATGGGATCCTGGACTGAATCCTGGATCAGAAAAAAGATATTAGTGGAAAAAGTGGTGAAACCCAGATAGTCTACAACTTTGTTAACAGCATTGTACCAACATTAATTTCTTTATATGACAAACGTGCCATGGTGACATAAGATGTTAACATTGTGGGAAAACTGGATGAAGGGTATATAAGAGTTCTCTGTACTACTTTGCAACTTTTCTGTAAATTTAAAATTATTTCAAAATAAAATGTTTACTTAAAGAAAGAAAGGGAGACAGCCAGCCAGACATGCAGCCCAATAGAAAAACAGGCAGAAGATGCCAACAGACACATCATTGTGAGGATACCCAAACAGTCATTAAACATATGACAAGGGGTTCAACTTCATTAGGCATTATCAAAGAGCTGGAAAGTAAAACCACAAAACAATGCCACAAAATACCTATCAGAATGACTAACATGAAATGGATAAAAAAAAAATACGAAGTGTTCAGCAGATGTGGAACAACCGACACTCTGAGACACTGATGCTGGGATTGCGCAGCAACACAATCGCTGGAAAATTCAGAAGCATGGACCAAAGATAAACACAAAAGTACTCTAAGGCACAGCAATTCCACCACTAGTTACTCTACCCAACAGAAATGCAAATGTAGGATCTCAGAATATGATACCCCAAAATGAAGACCTCGGAAGAAAAAAGTTTTCTCTGACTTTCTCCTGACCTCTTTTCTGGCCTTTCATTCCTCCCCTCCCCATCCCGGGGCTAGCCATAGAAACTAGAATCCCTCTTCTCAAGGTGGGTCATAGAAACCAGAACCCCTTTTCCCCAAAGCCAGCCATAAAACCTAAAAATATTACTCTGACTTTCCACCTCTCTTTCTATTAAAAGCTAGCTATAAAGAAATTATCTGGCCGGGTGCAGTGGCTCATGCCTGTAATCTCAGCACTTTGGGAGGCGTGGGCAGATCACGAGGTCAGGAGTTCGAGACCAGCCTGGCCAACATGGCGAAACCCCATCTCTACTACAAATAGAAAAATTAGCCAGGCGTGGTGTCAGGTGCCTGTAGTCCCAGCTACTCAGGAGGCTGAGGCAGGAGAATTGCTTGAACCTGGGAGGTGGAGGTTGCTGTGAGCCAAGATCGTGCCACTGCACTCCAGCCTGGGGACAAGAGCAAGACTCCATCTAAAAAAAAAAAAATTATCTGACCCACCTTGCTTGATCTGAAGTCATAAGACCCCCATTCCAGAGAGGGCCCTGTCTCACACCTGGAAGGAATGCTTAGAGAGGTCAAGAAGAATCTAGACAGACAGGCCTTGCTGGGTTTCCCCATTTAGTCTCTCAGCATTAGATCATACCCTTTTTGTCCAATCATATTTCTACACAGCTGCCTATACTTTTTCAAATCTAAGAATGGACTGCTTCTGATTCAGTAAGGCTAGCTTTTAAAAAATAATAAAAATTGAAAATTTAAAAATAATGGACGTTTTCCTCTGTATATTTGGGTCTTCATTCAGAAGGTTCCTATGTCACCTAAAACTATGATCAAATAAATCTGTATGCCTTTTTTTTTTTTTTTTTTTTTTTTTTGAGACAGAGTCCCTCTCGCTCTGTCGGCCAGGCTGGAGTGCAGTGGCACGATCTCGGCTCACTGCAACCTCCACCTCCCGGGCTCAAGCAATTCTCCTGCCTCAGCCTCCCAAGTAGCTGGGATTACCGGCGTGTCCCACCACACCCAGCTAATTTTTGTATTTTTAGTAGAGATGGGGTTTCACCATGTTGGGCAGGCTGCTCTCGAACTCCTGACCTCAGGTAATCCACCCGCCTCGGCTTCCCAAAGTGCTGGGATTAAAGGCGTGAGCCACCGCGCCCGGGCCTTTTTCCCTATTTTCTTTTGTCAGTGATTTTCAGCAAAACTTCCGAGGGTGAAGGAGAGGCTTTCCCTTTGCCCTGGCACATACATATGTTTCCCATAAAAGCATGTATACTAGAAAGTTCACAGTAGCATTTTTCAAAATAGCCTCAAACCAGAAATTACCCACATGTTCAGCAAGAGTAGAATAAATTGTAATATATTCATACAATGGAACTTTGTACAACAATGAAAAAGAATGAAGCACTGTACATGCAACATCAGTAAATCTCACAAAGATGTTAAGCAAAAGAATCCAGACACAAAAGTATACTGTATGATTCCACTTATATAAAAAGCACAAAAATAAGCAAAACTAATATAATTTGCACTTTAGAAGTCAGGATAGTGGTTACCCTTGAGGTGGAGGTAGGTGGTAATTAGAAGGGGACATGAGGGGGCTTCTGCAGTGCCCGTAATGATTTGTTTCTTGATCTGGGTGCTGCTCACAGGAATGTGTCTAGTTTGTGAAAATTACTTGACTGGACATTTGTGATGTACATATTTTTCTGTATATATGTTACTATTAAATGTTTTTAAAAACAAAAAGTCAAAAACTCCTTATTATGGTATTAGAGTCCCCTTATGATCAGGACCATCACAGTTTATACCACATAAAATGTTTTGACTCCCTCCAGTACCCCAATGTACCCTGCACTCTATCCCCAACTTTTTCCTGATCCAATTGTAGAAGGCATCCAAAGCCAAGTCTGTTTCTGCTAACGGGTCTTCCAGTGCAATACGTGCTCCCACCTCCCCAGAGGTGCGCATGTTGCTTTCTCCGACCGGGGTATCCTCTCCTCCCTTGCCTCCTTGGAGAATTCCTGCTCAGCCTTCAAGGTATCTCCTCTCTGAGGGTCCGACCCTTATCCCAGCACTCCTCCCTCAGTCAGAGCACCTACTGCAACCTACATATCCTGCACTTTAACAAGGAGCCCATTCTTTTGTAACAATTCATTCATCTCCCCCGAGAAAATCATAAGCTCCTTGAAGACATGGATAGCTTATTTAGTACAATGGCTGGCCTAGAATAGGTTCTCAAAAAAATATGTTGTTGCATGAGTTCCAGGTGATATGTTCAGGGATTTTCCCAATTCCCTTTGAGAAACTCCAGCTCTTCAGTTTAGAGAAGCAGTATGGAATACTAGAAAAAGCAGACACAGAAAAGTAGCAGAGGAAGGTCAAGGAAAAACTGAGCAAAGACTAAGAAGGCAACTCTAAAAAGAAATAACAAGTGGCTAATGGAATAGGAAAGATGCTCAACCTCACCAGTAAAGGAAAAGGCAAATTAAAATGCTAATGAGCTATTTTGGGGGGATTTCATTACACTTATAGAAATATAAAGATAAGACATGTAGAAATATGTTCACAGTAGCATTGCATGCAATGGCAAAATACCAGAAACCACCCAGATGGCCCACTGACAAGAAAACAAATTTTTAAATTATATATTATTTTTGAGACAGGGTCTCACTGTGTTACCCAGGCGGGAGTGCAGTGGCATGATCATGCCTCACTGCAGCCTTGACCTCCCAGGCTCAATTGATCCTCTCATCTCAGCTTCCTAAGCAGCTGGACTACAGGCGTGCACCACCGTGCCTGGCTAATTAGAAAATGAATGAATAAACCCTGACATATTAGTACAATGAACTACTATTCAGCTGTGAAAATAAATGAACTATGAAACATGCATTGACATGAATAAATCTCAAAATAAGTGTTAAGTGAAAAAGCAAGCTGGGGCCAGGTGTGGTGGCTCACGCCTGTAATCCCAGCACTTTGGAAGGCCGAGGCAGGCAGATCACTTGAGGTCTGGAGTTTGAGACCAACCTGGTCAACATGGTGAAACCCCGTCTCCACTGAAAATATAAAAATTAGCTGGGCCTGGTGGTGCATGCTTGTAATCCCAGCTACTCGGGAAACTGAGGTGGGAGAATCGCTTAAACCCAAGGGGCGGAGGCTGCAGTGAGCCAAGATCACGCCATTGCACTCCAGCCTGGGTGACAGAGTGAGACTCTGTCTCAAAAAAACAAACAAACGAAAAAACTATTTGGGCCAGGCACAGTGGCTCACGCCTATAATCCCAGAACTTTGGGAGGCCAAAGCAGGTGGATCACCAGAGGTCAGGAGTTCAAGGCCAGCCTGGCCAACATGGTGAAACCCCGTCTCTACTAAAAATACAAAACACTGGCCAGGTGTGGTGGTGGGCACCTGTAATCCCAGTTGCCTGGGAGGCTGAGGCAGGAGAATCGCTTGAACCTGGGAGGCAGAGGCCCCAGGGAGATAAGGAGAGAGGTGCAGTGAGCCCTGTGACACTCCTATAATAAAACATATAAAGAGAAGGAAAGAAAAAGTACTAAACTTGGCTAGGCATGTTGGCTCACGCCTGTAATCCCAGCACTTTGGGAGGCCCAGGAGGGCAGATCACCTGAGTCCAGGAGTTTGAGACCAGCCTGGGCAACATAATGAGACCCTGTCTCTACAAAAAGTACAAAAATTAGCCTGGTGTGGTGGTGCACACCTGCAGTCCCAGCTACTAGGGAAGCTGAGGTGAGAGGATCAATTGAGCTCATAAGGTCAAGGCGGCAGTGAGCCAAGACTGTGCCATGCACTCCAACCCAGGTGACAGAGCGAGACTCTGTTTCAAAACAAAGTACTAAACTTGAAGTCAGAGGCAGGATGTCTGAGTCCTGATTGATGACCATTAATCCTTGAGCAAATCACTTAATCTCTCTGGGCCTCAGTTTTCTGTCTGTAAAATGAGGGTGATAATTTCACAACCGACATTTTAGGAAGAGTAGATAGATGTGCAAGAATGATGTAAAAGTGATTTGCAAACCATACATCTCTTCACAAGGGTGAAGCAGCATTACTTTCCCAAGTAGCTCTGGAAAGTCTGCAAGGGAAGAGGGTGGATGAGGTAAATTGTCTAATGGAGCTGATGAAAAACTTAGGGCTCTCTCTGGCACCTCATCCTCCAGAACTGGAGAATGCATCTTAGTCAGCAAGGCCACAGACCTCGGCCTGCACCCCCAACCCAGAGTCAAGGAGCAAATCCTGGGGCTCCTCTCTGCCTGGTGCACTTAGTTGTTTTCTAGAGCAGGCTTGCATTTCCTCAGGACTATGAGCAGGCTCCAGGGAGCTTTAGGAACACCCCAAAAATATCCGGCAGGGGGGTCTCTACTGGGTACTCTAAAAGGCAAGATGAGAAGTGGAGCCTTCTTCTCTAGGGAAAAAGGAGCAGTACTAATCACAAGGTAAGCAGCCTCTAACCTCATAAACATTTTTGGGAGAAGCCCAGCTACCTCCAAATTATAGGCAGCCTCACCACTCTGTTCAAACAAATCTCCAACCCTGACTCACTCCTCAAAGCAGGGAGGGGGTAAACACATAGCTGAGGGGTTAGAGATCAAGACGCCACAGCAGAGATAAGGAGATAAACAGGGAGGCCCCAGGGAAATAAGGAGAGAGGTGCAGAGTTCTCACACCACAGGCTCATGTGAATAGGGAAAAGCCTGCGTTCCCCCAGCTCTCACTCCCCAGGTTTTACAGGGGTCACTAGGACTGGGTAGGAGTCAAGTGTAAGGTTCTTTCTAAGAGGAAGTAAAGGAAGTGGAGATTGCCCCTGAGCTGGAAACCAGCAACCTTAATTCATCTTCACCCTGTATCCCACTCTTCCCTCACTTTGCCCCTCAATCCCACCCACTTTCCCACCCCAAGTGTACATGGCCTCTCAAGCTGCTGGAGGAGCAGTCACTTCAGTTTCCCCACTTTGAAAAATGGGAGGCTGGGCACGGAGGCTCAAGCCTGTAATCCCAGCACTTTGGGAGGCCAAGGCAGGCGAATCACGAGGTTAAGAGATTGAGATCATCCTGGCCAACAGGATGAAACCCCATCTCTACTAAAAATACAAAAATTAGCTGGGCGTGGTGGCGCACGCCTGTAGCTCCAGCTACTTGGGAGGCTGAGGCAGGAGAATCACTTGAACCTGGGAGGTGGAGGCTGCAGTGAGCCAAGATTGGGCCACTGTACTCCAGCCTGGTGACAGAGCAAGACTCCGTCTCAAAAAAAAAAAAAAAAGAAAAGAAAAAGAAAAAAGAAAAGTAGGAATAGCCAGCCCCTTGTAACAATGGCACCCAAGTGATCAGGATGAAGGAAGTCCCATAAACTCAAAGAACAGAGCCGGATGGGATAGGTGGGTACCTACCCTCTCTACCCTCTCCTTGAGTGAGGCTCGCACCCGACTCAGCTCATCAGTCTCAGGTACATGGTCCTGCCTTCTGCAGTGCTGCCTAGGCCAGAGATGGCCCTTTGTGGAGTATGACACAAAGAATCACTCCCTTTCTTCCTCCCCAGATTAGCCAACAAAACAGGTGTTTGATTTTTATGTGGCTGCCTACCCAGAGGCATGGGCTGGACAGGCACTATGTAGAGGGCTCACCAGGGTTACTGTGAGGTGAAATGAGAAAAAGGATTTGAGGTGGCACCCTACATGGGGCAGCCTTTCTCATTACTTGGAGCCCTAACAAAGGAAAACACTAGGGCCTAGCAGTGACAGTGTGTCTGTAGAGGGAAGTGAGCTCCTGAACCAACTCTGAAGGAGACACCCACTTGCTAAGCCAGTCTCACTCTAGGACACCTGCCTAGCGACCAGCAAACCTGGAATGAAAGGGCAAGTTCCTCAGTGCCCCCTCTGCATCAAAGGGAGTGGCTCTGCCCTCTCTAGTCTCTGACTACCTGCTTAGTGATTTTTGCTTCTGTGCTCCCAGACCCAAGAAAACCACGTCTCTTTTCTTCCTTCATCGACTCATCCCCTTCTTACCCTATATTGTCTCCTCCACTTCCTGCCTCTGCTGGCCAGGCTTAAATCTGGGCCACCAGCCTTCCTGGCACATACCTATTTCCGCAACTGAACCTTCCCAACCCCTAGAAAACAAAGGTATTTCACAAGCCTCTGCACCTTGACCCAAAGAGGCATGCACCATAATTACTAGCAGGCAAGGAAGCTCATCCCACCTCTCTGAGCACACGTGTCTGGAACTGAAACCATCTGGGTGCACGCCCCCCTCCACCCTGGAGAACTATGGGCAAATGTTAGTGCCAAATGCCTGATGATGAGGTAACTCTCCTCGCTCAGAGGAGATCCCTCCTTCTCTGGCAAAGCCCAGCATTCCCCAAATTCCTGGCAGCCTTGGTGACATCAGAAAAATGCAGTGCTCCTGAAAGTAAGAACCTGGCAATAAATGGGAGAGATGGGATGGTGTGAGGAGAAATTTATGGGCTGAGTTTAGGACAAGTTTCATGAGTAGAAGGAACAGGCAGCCACCAAACTTGAAAGGCTCCTCTGCCCAGCAGTTTTTCCCCACACTCAGATGTCACAGAACCAGGACTTCCACATTTTAGAATACATTCAGTCCTCTGGAGTAAGCAGCAATGGCTACAGATGAATCCTCCTTTAAAATGCAAATATTCTGACCCAGCAATCCCACTCCTAGGTATTCCTCTCCAAGAGAAATGAAAATATATTTCCACACAAAAACTTGTACACCAAAGTTCGTAGCAGCATTATAAATGATAGCCAAAAAGTAGAAAGAACCCAAATGTCCACCAACATTTATCCATGACGAACACAGTTGTAATACATCTAAATAATGGAATATTATTCAGCCATAAAAAGGAATGAAGTACTGATTCACATTACAACATGGATGAACCTTGAAAACATCATTCTAATAAAAGATGCCAGTCACAAAGGATCACATACCGATGATTACATTTATATTAAATATCCACAATAGGTAAATCCATAGAGAAAAAAAGTAGACTGGTGGCTGCCTAGGGCTGAGAGAGATTGGGGGGAAATGGGGAGTGACTGCTAATGGGTCAGGATTTCTTTATAAGGTAAGGAAATGTTCTAAAATTGATTTATTGATGATTGCACAACTCTGTGAATGTACTAAAAACCACTGAGTTACATACTTTAAATGGGGTATATGAATTATATCTCAATAAAGCTGTTCATAAAAAATTATATGAAGCTCATGGTAAGGCTTCAATAAATCACAATTCTAATTTAAAAAATAAAAGAGAGTGAGGCTCTGGAAAGACTTGGCATTAAACTACTTGAGCTTCTGAGGTCCTAAAGGAATGTCACCTATTCCACAGTAAAGACAAGTCTTCAGATTGCAGCTGATAAAAAAATTCCAAGTCCACCCGGGTGTTGGAGAACCTCTCTGGCCAAGACAAATCCAAAAAAAGAAAAAGAAAAAGAGAGAGAGGATGAAAAAAATGCAAATAGTTCCCAATTAATGTAGATAAATTTTAAAATGCATTAAAGTAATGGTAAAGACAATAAAAAGATGCTGTAGAAAAAAAAAAAAAAGAAAAAAATGCAAATATTCGAAAGAAAGATAAAACTGATATATTACTTAAAGAAACCAGAGCAGCAGGGGACACCAGCTGCCTTGGTCATGAGGTCTAAAAAAGAAGAGGAAAGATGCCCAGAGAGAGATGCCAAAATATGAACCCTGACCCATCACCAGTCTAAGACCAGTACTGGCTGAGTCAGGACTAGCAAAGGTTACTCAGGTCTTCACCCTGGGTCTATCTGTAGGCCTTCCTCTCACCCCTGGGACTCTCCACTGGTTGAGGGACCTGGATCATCAAGGAAACGAGAAAGAAACAGGAATAAACAAAAGTCAGCATAATGAGGAGGAGCAAACCTTGCCCAAACCAGAGAGTTCCCAGACTCTTCCTCCATCCCTTGGCTGGTTGCTTATAGGAGGTTAAAACAGTCTAGTCTAAGCCAGTAGAAATAGAAAATAATAGCTAACCTCTGAGTACTTACCACATGCCAGGCACTGTGCTTCATATTTTATGTGTATTATCTAATTTAATCCTCACAACTACCTTATGAGAAGGGTGCAATTATTATCCCAGTTTTACAAGTGAGAAAACTAAGAATGAAGAAATTAAGTAATTTGCCTAAGTGAGCTTGGGCAAAGCAGACATCAAAGCCTGATTAGAGCCCACCTTAGTCAGATTCCCAGAGCCATGCTCTTTTTTTTGTTTGTTTGAGACGGAGTTTCACTCTTGTTGCCCAGGCTGGAGTGCAATGGCGTGATCTCGGCTCACTGCAACCGCCACCTCCTGGGTACATATGATTCTCCTGCCTCAGTCTCCCAAGTAGCTGGGATTATAGGTGCGCACCACCACACCTGGCTAATTTTGTATTTTTAGTAGAGATGGGGTTTTGCCATGTTGGTCAGGCTGGTCTCGAACTCCTGATCTCAGGTGATCCACCTGCCTCAGCCTCCCAAAGTGCTGGGATTACAGACGTGAGCCACTGCACTCAGCCCAGAGCCATGCTCTTGACCACAATGCTATTAACAGAAACTAGTTTATTACATTACCAAAAATTGTAATACAATTACACTGGGAGGATGGGAAGGAAGCATGTCAGGGGTGGGAGTATAGATTTTCCTATAATTCCTACAACAGAAGTCAATAGATGTCTAAAACTGATAAATCAATTAAAATCACTGTAAGCATATTATTTAGAAACATGGAGGTAAACACAAAACAGCTCAAAGAGTAGAAAGTGGTTACTTCCATGGAGCAGAACTTGGAGCAGGGGACTGCTATTTTCTTTTAAAAGCCTTTTGATATTATTGATACTTTGATACTTTAAAATCATGCACATATGTGATTTTAAATGTCCGAGATCACGTCGTTGCACTCCAGCCTGGGCAACAAGAGTGAAACTCCTTTGATAAAAAGTGATTTAAGAGGCCAGGCACGGTGGCTCACGCCTGTAATCCCAGTACTTTGGAAGGCCGAAGCGGGCAGATCATTTGAGGTCAGGAGTTTGAGACCAGCCTGGCCAACATGATGAAACCCCATCTCTAGTAAAAGTACAAAAATTAGCTGGGCATGGTGGCCCATGCCTGTAATCCCAGCTACTCGGGAGGCTGAGGCAGGAGAATTGCTTGAACCAGGGAGATGGAGGTTGCAGTGAGCCAAGATTGTGCCACCGCACCCCAGCCTGGGTGACAGAGTGAGACTCCATCCTCCCCCTCCCACCGCCCAAAAAAAAGGTGATTTAAGGCCAGGTGCAGTGGTGCACACCTGTAATCCCAGCACTTTGAGAGGCCGAGGCAGGAAGATTACTTTAAACCAGGAGTTCAAGACTAGCCTGGGCAACATAGTGAGAACCCATATCTACGAAAAATGAAAAATTAGCTAAACATGTTGAGTATGCCTGTGGTCCCAGCTACTTGGGAGGCTGAGGTGAAAGGATCCCTTGAGTCCAGGAGTTCAAGGCTGCAGTGAGCTATGATCACACCACTGCACTCCAGCCTGGGCAACAGAGTGAGACCCTGTCTCAAAAAAAAAAAAAAAAGTGATTTAAAGAAGGATGGAAAGAAGGAAGAGAGGGAAGGAGGGAAATGAAATCAGAGATCATCCATGGTAAAGTCTAATGTCATAGACATCTGTTCTTTTGCCACGCAGCTTCCATTCCCCTCCACTGATAACAACACTTGGGTCTTTGGAGAATCTCCTTCCATCACTGTAATCTGGGGGGGGCCTATCAGTCAAGGAACCCTGTCCTGCTCTGGACAACTGGGGGCCAAGGGACAATGGTACTCTCTCCCTGGAATCTTGAGCATAATGGTGCAGAGACCTAAAACAGCTGGAACCAATTCACCAATAGTAGTAAGCCTCCATCGTTCCACTTACCCAGGCCCCAGAACATCCTTGGTTAGGGCTTTCTAAGCTTTCCCTTAAATTCTGTGAACTGCTCTATTTCCTTCTAATAATTTCCTCATCTGCTTAGTTTAGCTGGAGTCATTCTCTGTTGTTTATAACCAAAGGAAGTTAATGGAAATATCTAGTAAAAAGGAGTTTGGTGTTTATTTGTTCTTTTATTTGCCAATATAACTTACCACAGTGGCTTGCAAAACTTTTCAATCTCAAAAACATATTTCACATCAAGACCCAGTAAACAAACACGTACATATATAATACACACACACACACACACACACACACACACACATATATATATAACTGAAATAAAAGTTCTACCAAAAATGTCTATCCTCACTAACACTCTAAGAGTGTTAATTCTATTTCTTTTTTAATACTGGTCTGACCTACTAAGTTGATCTCAGACCCACTACTGGTTATGGTCTGCAGTTCTGAAAAACACTGGCTCCTTGTACCTGCTGCATCTGCCTCCAACAATAAAAACATCCCAGAGAGTGTATTGGCCCTATGTCCATGTCCACATGTGATACGCTAAGGCACACTGCCTGGCTAGTGGGGAAACACCAACAGAGTCCCAGGGCCCTCACTCCCAGTAGGATCTCTAATCAGTTCAACTGTCTACATTCTGACTCCGGAAGAAACATCTGTTCATTTATTTATTGACTCACTTTGCACATGAATTGAGCACCCATTCAGTGGTGTGAATATATGACAGATTCCTGGGGGTTGTCCAGAGCCATAAATTCTGTCTGCAAGTTGGCTCAGAGAAGAGGAATCCAGGACAAGGCCTGTGTCCCGACTGTTCACCATCTCCTCCCCTCCCTTAAGGGCCCAGGAATGTCTCCAAGATCAGATCTGGGCAATGATTACTTCATTCCCAGCTCTGGAGTAAAATAAGTCTCAAGTTCAGCCTAGAAAAAAGGAATAAAAGGGAATTTCTGTCTCTCCCTTGCTCTAGAGGTCTCTGGTTAGCTTCAAACTAACCTATGATGGAGACCATCTGAATTCCTTGTCCATTATTTTCTCTTAGTAATTTTTTCTGCCCCACCAGACAAAGAGCAAAAACATCAAGAAAGAGTAAAAGGGGCCAGATGTAGTGGCTCATGCCTGTAATCCCAAGCCTTTGGGAGGCCAAGGTGGGCAGACTGCTTGAGCCCAGGAGTTCGAGACTAGCCTGGGCAACATGGTGAAATCCCATCTCTACCAACAGAAAAAAAAAAAAAAAATTTTAGTCAGGTGTGGTGGCATGTGCCTACAGTCTCAGCTACTTGGGGAGACTGAGGTAGGAGGATCTACTGAAACCAGGAGGTGGAGGTTGCAGTGAGCTGAGATCATGCCATTGCACTCCAGCCTGGGCAACAGAGCAAGGCCCTGTCTCAAAAAAAGAGAAAAGAAAAGAGAAAAGAAAAGAAAGGAAGAAAGAAAAAAAATAGTAGAGGTTAATGATTCATTAACACTGCCAGTGCCAACTTGGTCTTAGACTTCTTTCCGGATCTCTTTTCTATATAGCAAGCAAGCAAAAAGCAGCCCAAACATCCCTCTCCTTTATTTATCTCATACCCTTTTCCCTCAACTATTCCAAAAGAGAGAGCAAGAGCATGGAAGAGAAGCTATAGGTGGTGTGCATCTGAAGTCCCAGCTACTCAGGAGGCTGAGGCAGAAGGATTGAGGCCAGGAGTTCAAGGCTGTGGTGTGCTATGATTGCACCCGTGAAGAGCCACTGTACTGCAGCTCCGGCAACATAGCAAGACACTCGTCGCTTAAAAACAAAGAGCAGGGAGTAGGACTTGTGGCTGACACATAATGGATAGATTTCTTCCATCTCTTCAGAGTCTCATAGCTGGGGATGTGGCAGGCTACAGAAGAATGGGGTTTGGGCAACTGGGGTTGGCCAATAGCAACATCTGTATTTTAATGTGGCAAAAACACTCATAGCCCAGGCAGAAATGGAGAGGGGACTGGGAAAAGAACTAAATGACCATCTGTATTCTAAACCTGAAATGAGTTTGAAGAAGAGCCATAATCTAGCTGCAGTTGGGTTAGCTCTACCTCAAGAGCAGGATGAGGCAGGCAGAGAGTAAGGGAGTCAGATGTGGGAGGGGGGATGATACACAAGTTCCCCATCACCTTAGTTTTCATTTCACTCCCACCCACAATAGCTTGGAAATTGATGAAATAGTACACACCTAATCTGGGTTAAGTTCCCCAAAAGAGCCTAGAAACACTCAGCCACAAATTACCCTCCTCAGCCTCTGGAGAGGAAAAACCATATGGTCAGCTAGGGTGGGGAGAACTGGGACTGGGAGCCAGAGAAAGAGGAGAGAGGGGTAGACCAGCCTGCACTGGAGAACGCCCCCTTTCTCCGCAACCCTCTCCCCGTCCAGAAGCCTTCGCTTGGGTCACTTCCCTCCCCTTCTCGGCCCGGGTTCTGCATCCCCTTCCTCCACTATCCCAGGGCCTGGCGGCTGGAGACGGAAGCAAAACTAACACACCGTCCCAGGAAGCTATCGGCAGGCAGATAGAGGGAGGAAAACAAGAGAACTACAAGGGGGAAGAAGGAGAAATCCAAGACAAGAGGTGACCCCCGGGCGGAAAGCCCTATCCCTTAGCGAAAGGTAGAGTCCCTAGCCAATCTCGGAATAGTTTGAGTCCTACCGTCCCCTACTTGCCCCCCGCCCTCCAGTCCAAGCCCTGTAATTTACTCTACCATTTTTCTTGTTACTGATCATCCAAAGCACCATGATGAAATTCTTTGGAGGGCCTCGGAGGTCACCAGGACCCTCGACCCACGGGAAAGCCTAAGCCTCCTCGGCAGGACACAACGTCCAAAGGCGCTCAGGGACCCAGTCGCTTGAGCTCATTCTCTTATGACCCAATGTGGCTGCCCAAAAGACGCCTGAGACCCGCGGCCCAAGCACGGGCTCGCCGGCGCCGAGTCCCAGGCAGGAGCCGCAGTGTCCTACCAAAGGGCAGGGACGCCCCGAACCCTCCAGCCTCAAAGGAGTCTTCACCCCGCGACTCCCACTGCCCGTCGCAGGCAAAAGAATAAAAAGAGAGAAGCGCCGCGCAGGGCTGACCGCGCGAGCCGGGCACCAGGTGATGTCAGCCAACACGGCGCGGGGCACGGAAGGGGCGGACTTAGAAACCGGGAATACAAAACGGAGAAGACAGCGAGAGCGCTTTTTCTTACCGCCGCCTGGTCCTCTGGGTGCACGTCCACCAGGGTACACCAGTTCCGCGTCCCGTTCATCTTCCCTCGGGGTCGCAGCACACACGCCACTTGTCCACCCCGCTGTCTGGCTCCAACTGGGCGGGCGCGCGCGGAACCGCCCCCTTGTATAGGCCCATCAGGGGCGGGGCTGAAGATAGGCCGCGCCCCCAGTTCGCGGTTTCGCAGAGAACTAACGATAGGCGAGGAGGTGAGGTGGGCGGAGCCAATGGGTCTGGGACATGCCCCATCGGTGCTCGCATAGATTTACACAAAGGTGGGGCTTGGGAGCGACATGGGGCTGCTTTAACTGAACAGCTTTATCTGGAGTATGTGGTTGCACATTCTTCATTAATCTTGTCGCTTTCCATCTTTCCAAGATCAGTGTTGGTCAGAGGGAATCACCCTGCCTGCTCCTAGTGGATGAGGAGTTGGAACCTGCAAAAGCTTCCTTCCATACATGCTCCTCTCCCTATACGTAAGCCACCTGTAGGCTTTGTGGAGCTGAGTAAACCTTTCCTCCACCGCAGAAAGGCAGGCACCAAGGTCCAGCTCACTCAGACTGGCCTAAGCCAGTCTGGCAGGTGCACTTCCTTGGCAAGAGGCCCAGGAGGCCCAGTCAGCTTAGGCTCTGGGTGGGGCTTGTTTTGCAGAAGCTCTTTTACTGACGCTGCCCTTATATAGTTGGGAGAGGCGGGACACATTGCCTTAAAAGGAATTTGTGTTCGTGAGAAAGGATGAGCCTTGACTTTTCCAGTTGCATTTTCTCCCCAAGCCTAGGCTGGGATCTTGAGGGCCTAGAAGAGAGGGTTGGCCAAGCAGGACCCTGGAGCTTCGTCCCCGCCCAGCTGCTCTTGGCAGATGGCTTCTTCACTTGGCTGTGGTCCACAGAGACAGCAGACAGAATACTTTAGGAGGAGGTCTGACCCACTCCTGAAGGGATAGTACTCCTATACCTGGCAATAGGCTCTAGTGAAGGGCCAGCTCCCTCTTCAAGGCAACACTAGGGCAGGAACAGCAGAAATGTCCCTACCTCCCAGTTAGGGACTGGGTCCTATGTCAGTTAGGAATGAATGAGGATTTTTCTACCTGGGAAGTGAATGCTGGGGTTATCACTATGACCCAAGGGAATAAAACCCAGTTCTGGTCTGTTCTACTCTAACCCTCAAAAAGGCATTTACTGCTGGCCAGGCGCAGTGGCTTATGCCTGTAATCCCACCACTTTGGGAGGCCGAGGTGGGCGGATCACAAGGTCAGGAGTTTGAGACCAGCCTGACCAACACAGTGAAACGCCATCTCTACTAAAAATACAAAAATTAGCTGGGTGTGGAGGCACGCGCCTGTAATCCCAGCTACTCAGGAGGCTGAGGCAGGAGAATCGCTTGAACCCGGGAGGCAGAGGTTGCAGTGAGCTGAGATCATGCCATTACACTCCAGCCTGGGTGACAGAGTGAGACTCCGTCTCAAAAAAAAAAAAAAAAAAAAGGCATTTACTGTCCTTGTTCTTCCCAGAAGGTTGTTCAGGAGAGAAGAGAATGGGGCTGCTATAAACATCTCCAGGTTTCGTAGGTCCCATCTGCTCTGTTCTAAAGGGCCTCTGAAAAGTCAGGTGAAGAAAACTCCAGCTTCGGCTCCTAAGCTGTACAGTTAATATGACTTCATAAAATCTGGACCTCCAAATATGCCAAGAAAAAGAATGAGAAGACAAACCAAGGATTTCAATATAAATGTGTAATTTTAATATTTAATTTAAAATAAAACCAAGGCTGGATTGGATTGGGAAAGAACGTTTGATTTGCAGAAGAATATAGGAATTTTTTTAATCACGACATTACAAGTCATTTGTGAAAACAGCCTTCCTCCTGCCACCGGCTCCCTATACAACCTGCTTAGGAAATATGGAGGTGAATCATCCCCCTTACCTCTTCCCTACCAGGGCTTGGTTCTCCCCAAAATCCAAAGGAGAAATAAATGTCTTCCGTTGCCTCTTCCCATTTTTACAGTCAGCTTCTAACCCCTTGCAAAGCCCTGAATCAGAGCCAAGCACCTCAGAAAATGAGGGTCCCTTGGTTCTCTTATTGAAGTTGGGCACATGTGGTCAGAGAAGCCCCAAGGAAGGCCACAGGGACTGACACCTTTACTTTTGGAATTTGTGCAGCCAGTTGTCAGGGCTCCCAGGTGCAACCACCTTATAACCATATCCACAGTCACAGAGGAGGGAGAGGAGGAAGGATGAAAACCCTGAGCAGGACCAGACCCCCGCCACTTTATCATGACCCTACCAAAGTCCCTCTCCCAGGGGTCATTGGCAGAGAAACCCCAACAGCTCTCTCAATCAATCACTGGGGCAGCAGGGAAGGCTGAGGGCCCTGGCTGGGGAAAAGCTGGTCTTTGGAGAGGTATGAATGTGCAGATATAAAAAGCAAGAAGAGCATCCTTATCTCCTTGCCTTGGCTAAGGCACTGACAGGAAAAATGCAAGGTAGGAATGGCAAAGAGGGGAAAGGAAGAAGACAAAAATATAGGAACTGGAGGGGTATGGGGACTACCACATGGGCCCCATACTTGTGCAAAGAAATGGGTAGAGCCATGCCTGCATGTCTGTTACCCATAACATTCCCCTCACCCTGCTCCAGAGTGGAAGGAAAATGAGTTGCAGGAATCCAGGGAGCACAATAACATAGGGTATTTCCCTGAGCCTTAGGGTTAAGGGCTAAAGAATAAAGCTTTATACACATGGCAATTTCTATCCCTTCCTATCCTTCTCAGTCCCCATCAGCCTAATGCTGACCATCCTTCCACTATAAGAGAGATGAGGGAGGTGTCGGCACTTGAGGAAAAGGCTCAGTTGGCTTGAAATGTCCACTCCTACAGTGGAAAGTCCATCTATCAGCTTATTGCTGATGATTTTTTTTTTTTATCACCATCACTCTGACCCCTCCCTGTCTTAGGTCTGAATAATTGGGTCACCCATAGGAATGCAGAACCCAGGGTGGGCAGAGCAGAGCAGCACTTGCTGGGATAGGCCTCGAGCCTGGTTTCTGAGTCCTTGAGGACCACGAGCTAACAGGAGCTGGTCTGTAGGTTGCTCTCCGTAAGCAGTGATGCAATGGACGAGGGATCGTAGACACTGTCGAATTCCTCATCTGAGCTCAGCCCTTCGTTTTTGAGAGCTGACTCAGCAGCTGAGCGGGAAGCTTTGCGCCTGACTCAGAGAGAAGAATAATGGTTGGGGAGGGGAAAATAGAAATATTAAGACAGCCACCCTTTTTGTACAAAGGAAACCCCAATTCTTCTAAGGCCTAAAGTTTATTCACAAAATCCCCAACTAATCAGATTTGGGGAGGTACAGGATGGTGGCTGAGATACTAATAAATAAATATACTGGCTTCCAACCAGAAACAAGTGACTACACAGTACCATGTTAGAGATTCTCCTCCTTATCCAGCACAGGAGAGACCATTCCCTCCCTGCTCTAGTGTCCCTATGGAGCAAGGGCAAAAGGGTAGCCCATACCAGGAGTCCTTCTCCAGAGACTTGATCCGGGCCTGGAGCTGTTCATTGACCTCATGCTGCTCCTCCACCTCACGCTGGGCCTTCTTCCTCAGGCCGTCCAGTCGCTCAATTTCCTCTTCTGCTTCATCCACCTGACGCTTCAAAGCCTTCACCCTCAGGCTTAGCTGGGCAGGATACCAAGTCCACACATCTGAATAGCATCTACTACCATGGCCTGGGACCCTCCCCCATAACAATCTTGACAAGGTATAATTGCCGCTGGAAAAATGTGGCCTTGGGCAAGTTCCTTAACCTCACATGGTTGTCTTAGGGATTAAATGTATTAACACATGTGTAATACTTACAGAACCTAGCACATCATAAGCACTCAATATATACGCTTACCATGACTTCTCTAGTCTAGTCTTTTCAATCTAATCTCTGTCCTTATACAAGGAAAGTCTAAGTTTGGAGGACCTATAGGAGATAAGGGCCTCCCTTGGCTTTCAGGAAAACATATAATATATACCTGCCCCAGGTTGCTTGGCTCCAGGGTGCCATGTCCTCACCTGGTCTTTCTGGTCATTGACATGCTGCCGCTCGTCTTCAATCTGGATGGATAGTTCTTTAACTTTCCGCTCCAGTTTTCGATTGGTAGACTGCAGAACTGTCTTCTCCCTAAGGTGAGGTAGAAGAATGTCTATGAGTGTCCCCATTTCTAAGGGAATCCTAACTTGGCCCCCTACTGTCCCCAAGGACTCCTCTCAGCCATGAGCTCCACCATTAGACTGGGCAGGATCCAGGGCAGATTCAAAGAATGAGGGAGAGTGACGTCATTCACATTTCAGAATTTCTGCAACACTCTTTGCTCTCTATCAGGAGAAAGTGTTCCCTAAAGATCAGGCCAGGCTGGCCATATCTGAGGTGGAAGATGGAGGGAGCCACAGAGGAGAAAAGCCAAGAGGGAGGGAGGAAGAAAAGGAGGGAGGAAGGGAGGAAGGATAGGCTTATGTCACCTCTCTTCAGCCTGTAGCCGCTCCTGCAACAACTGATTCTGGGACTCAAGCTGAGAGAGGCTGGCACTAGGCTTCTGGAAGCCTTCTGAGCTGGCCAACCGGGTCTTCAGGTCCTTGTTCTGAGAGGGACAGGAAGCCTCCACAGTTAGCACTCCACTGGCCATTTTACTCACCTCCTGGGGTCCATCCCTAAGAATCCTCCCCTCCCCCATCACCTGTCTCTCCAAGGAGATTTTGTCACACTCCAGGTCCTGCCGAGCAGACCTTTCCTGCATGAGCTCTGTCCTCAGCTGATCCACCTAGTGGGGATGGGTGAGAGGACCAGACTTGGGGAGGGCTAAGGATGAACCAGCAAGCTGAACAAAGTGAGGCTGAGTCATGGGAGGATGGTCTCTGAACCCTGAATCCAAAAATTCCCAGGCAACTAAAAAATCACAGCCTATTCAAATGGGAGGGGCCAGAGAATGCAAACAGAGCCTCCTTCGTCCCTCCAGGAACTAGTATCCC
The DNA here is from genome assembly GCF_000001405.40 of Homo sapiens. Lineage (NCBI taxonomy): Eukaryota > Metazoa > Chordata > Mammalia > Primates > Hominidae > Homo > Homo sapiens. The sequence continues at coordinate 151,535,391 of NC_000001.11, read as the reverse complement.
TTGTAAACCAAAGAAGCCCCAATTCAGGTCAGAGAACAGCCCAGGCCACCAGGATCCCTTCCTCCATGCAAATCATTGGCTTCTTTCCACCCAAGGAAACTGGCCAACCTTTCCCAAAGCAGACAAAACCCTGAAGGAGACCCAGCCACGCACAGATTCGGCAGCCAGATGATGAAAGATGGGAGGGTAGAGTTGTTTTTGAGAGAACCAAGAGGTGATGCAGTCAGGGGTAAACAGAGATGAGGGGTGGGGGCGGTTACCTGGTCCCGGCCACGATTCACCCGATCTGTTAGCAGCTCCACGGTGTTCTTCTCCTCATCTAACTCTGTTTCCAGCCGTGAGACTTTTTCCTAGGACAGAAGAACAAGTAATTCTGTCCCAAATGCTGGACACCAGAATGCCAAACTCAGACCAGGAGCCTCTCAAACTCCAGCATTAACAGACTTTTCTCTCTTGCACATCCCAGTAACCTTTTGGTACTTGCCTGGACCCAGAGCCACTATGGAGCCAGCGCCCTCTACTGACCAGATGTGGCATCATGGGCAGGTCGGGGCCATGCTCTGGTGACGGCCCTTTGACAGAAAGGCAAACCCCAGAATCTACTCTTCATTGGAAAACCTTATTTCTCTAATGGGAAAAGAGAGAGAAACCCAAGTACCTGGGCCAAGGCTGAGGTGAAGAGACTCAGAAACTGAGGTACTGGAGGCAGTACCACGTAGAGGCTAAGAGTATGTACATGGGACCAGACTGTCCAGTCTGAAAATCAGATTTACCACTTCCTGGCAGTAGACCATGGACAAGTTCATCTCTCTGTGCCTCAGTTTCCTTCATCTGTAAAATGGAGAAAACAAGACTACCTACCCCACAGAGTTATTCTGAGGATTAAGTCTTAAGTGCCTATCACACAGCACAATATGTTTGCTGCTGCTATTATTATTATCAAATATAGCAAACTGAAGAATACTGTTCACTCTAAAGGGGAAACCCACTGCTCAGCTCCAGCCAACTGTTGCCATGCAGACTCAGGACAAGACACTCAGTATTACCATATCTGCCAAATACAAAAGAAACTAGAAATCCAAATTTTTAGGTGACCTCTATAAATTTCTAAACATTGGCAATTGATTCAAAGTTGTTGAAAATACTGCAGCCAAACAAAACTCATCAACTGTGGGCTGTCGGTTTTGACCGCTAGTACAGAAAGAGGCTTGGAAGTCCCACCCTTTTTCCACAGGTCACACCTCAGTGCCCTCACCTCGAGACCCTTCAGCTGCCGGGCCCTGTCGTCCTGGGAACGCTTCTTGTTCTCTGCCTCTTGCTCCAGCCCCTGCAGTCGCTGGGCCAGTAGCTCTTTGTCCAGCCGGGCTGTGTCCCGCTCAGCCTGGGATGCCTGCAGGGCCTGCCGCAGCCTCTGGATCTGGGCAGGGGGTAAAAATGCCACAGCTCAGTGTAGTGAGAAGGTGAGGGTTGAGGGGCAGGAGCAGTCCAGCCCAGTGGGCAGAAACATTTCATCACTGTCACTCTTTAGAATTACCAGTGGCATGATGACAATAAAAAGCAAACTGACTTTTCATCCATTTTCTTTTTTTTTCATTTTTTAGATGGAGTCTCGCTCTGTCGCCCAGGCTGGAGTACAGTGGTGCGATCTCAGCTTACAGCAATCTCCACCTCCCAGGTTCAAGTGATTCTCCTGCCTCGGCCTCCCGAGTAGCTGGGACTACAGGCATGTGCCACCACGCTTGGCTAATTTTTTGTATTTTTAGTAGAGACGGGGTTTCACCGTGTTAGCCAAGATGGTCTCAATCTCCTGACCTCGTGATCTGCCCGCCACAGCCTCCCAAAGTGCTGGGATTACAGGCAAGAGCCACTGCACCTGCCCTCATTAATTTCCTTTATTGTTTTTGTTTTTGTTTTTTGAGATGGAGTCTTGCTCTGTCGCCCAGGCTGGAATGCAGTGGCACAATCGCGGCTCACTGCAACCTCCACCTCCCAGGTTCAAGCAATTCTCCTGCCTCAGCCTCCTGAGTAGCTGGGACTACAGGCATGCACCACCACGCTCAGCTAATTTTTGTATTTTTAGTAAAGACAAGGTTTCACCATGTTGGCCAGGCTGGTCTTGAACACCTGACCTCATGATCTGCCCGCCTCAGCCTCCCAACGTGCTGGGATTACAGGCGTGAGCCACCGTCCTCAGCTTCTTTATTGTTTTTAAAGTCTCTACACAACTTGGAATCACCTGAGGAGTTTTTTTAAATTCTGATCCTGGATCCCATCCCCAGAGATGATGACTGAAGTGGTATGGGATACAGCCTGGGTGTGGGGATTTTTAAAAATCTCCTCAGGTGGCTCTAAGCTACAGAATTTGAAAATCACTGCTCTACAGACAATATATTCCTCCACCCTGCAAGTCATTAGACCTAAACCTGGGCCCCAGGGACCCTTGGCCACAGGTTCAGTTAAGAGGCAAGGACCGGGCTGGGCGCAGTGGCTCATGCCTGTTATCCTAGCATTTTGGGAGGCCGAGGAGGGCGGATCACGAGGTCAGGAGATTGAGACCATCCTGGCTAACACGGTGAAACCCCGTCTCTACTGAAAATATAAAAAATTAGCCAGGCGTGGTGGCAGGCACCTGTAGTCCCAGCTACTTGTGAGGCTGAGGCAGGAGAATGGTGTGAACCCCGGAGGCAGAGCTTGCAGTGAGCCAAGATCGCGCCACTGAACTCCAGCCTGGGCGACAGAGTGAGACTCTGTCTCGGACAAAAAAAAAAAAAAAAAAAAAGAGGCAAGGACCTTCAAACCCAAGGATATTAGACTTCTACCTCATCCTGAAGTCGGCTCAGTCCTCCAGAGGTCTTCTCAGCCTCACTGGCCCAATCCTTGGCCTGGCGCTGGGCATCTGCCACCTCCCGCCGGGCCTTTTCCTTATAATCCTCCAGCTGGGCCTGGAGCTGCTGCAGGGCTTGCTTAGAGTCCTCCCCGATCTTCTCCAACTGAAACACAGAGAAAAGGGTCTTCAGCACTGTACATAAATGACCCTCTCCAGGCCCAGACTCCCAAGACTCTCCCCTAAGGGTCTCCTTCCTGACAAGGCAGCCCTCTCTTGCTCTTTCCTGGGCCTAGGTTCCTAGTATAGCTAATAGTTATATACAGATGTCTGGGTTCAAATCCTGGCTCTACCACTTACTGGTGACCATGTGCAAGTTACTTATCTCTCTGGGTCTCAGTCCCCCATCTGTAAAATGGGATTAAAAATAGTAACTATATCACAAGGTGTTGTGAGAATTACATTAGTTAATTATGTGAAGTTCTGTACTTACAACAGTGCCTGATACAAAGTAAGCCTTAAATGACCATTTCAGCAAACCCAAGGTGCCAATGATTATACGGCGTACCACTAAGAAAAATATGCCAATTAAACTATAACATACCATAAGGTATAAGACACAACTCTATTTCAGAAATGATAAAATGTGCATTTTTCATTGACAAATGATAAGATGTGCATTTTTCATTGACAAATGATAAGATGTGCATTTTTCATTGACAAATGATAAGATGTGCATTTTTCATTGACAAATGATAAAATGTGCACTTTAGAATTGATGTAACATATTACGTGTTTGCTCTTGCTTTACAAAAAGATTGGGAGGAGAACCTTAGCAGCAAAAGCAATTTATTTCCTTTTCTTTTTTCTTTCTTTTCTCCTTCCCCTCACCCAAATTTAAAATTCTACCAATGAAGATTTTTTTTTTTGACAGGCTCTTGCTGTAGCGCAGTGGGGCAGTCACAGCTCACTGCAGCCTCAACCTCCTGGGCTCAAGCAATCCTACGTCAGCCTTCCGAGTAGCTGGGAATACAGATGTCTGGGTTCAAATCCTGGCTCTACCACTAATTAGCAACCATAGGCAAGTTACTTATCTTCTCTGGGTCTCAATTCCCCATCTATAAAGAGAAACTGAGGAACAAGCCACCACAGCAGGCTAATTTTATTTTTAAGTAGAGACAGAGTCTTATTATGTTGCCCAAGCTGGCCATTGAAGATTCTTGTATTTAGGTTTTGTAGACTCCCAAGGGAGAATCCCAGGAGATGTTCTCCAAGAATGAAGACCATAAAGGAATAGGATGTAAGGGAAAGAGCAAAAACATGGAGGGGAGGTAGGAAGGATGCCCCTTCCAGAAGATTTGGTCTTGGTCTTCCTAACAATGAACTTGAGGAAAGCAAACATCACACATTCTTTTTTTTTTTTTCTTAAGACAGAGTCTTGCTCTGTCACCCAGGCTGAAGTGCAGTGGCATGATCTCGCCTCACTGCAACCTCCACCTTCCGGGTGCAAGTGACTCTCCTGCATCACCCTCCTGAGTAGCTGGGACTACAGGCATGAGCCACCAAGCCCGGCTAATTTTTTGTATTTTTAGTAGAGACAGAGTTTTGCTATGTTGGCCAGGCTGGTCTCAAACTCCTGACCTCGGGTATCTGCCTACCTCAGCCTCTCAAAGTGCTGGAATTACAGGAGTGAGTCACCGCACCTGGCCATAATCATCACACATTCTGACTAACCCCTCTCCCCCAAGCCCCTGTCCTCTCAGGCCAGCTTCTGGATGAGCTGGGCCTCTTCCTAAAGGCCCAGAATACCCCATGCCCCACCTCCTTGTTCAGTCGGTCCACAGTCCTGTCCAGCAAACGCTTCTGCTCCTCCAGCTCAGCCTTGCCTCGCCGGAGCACCTCCCGCTGCTTCCCTTCCTCCTCCAGGGCCCGGTTCAGTGTCTGCTGCTCCTGCCCCAGGCGGGCCAGCCCCCGCTGAGCCTCCTCTAGGCGTGCCTCCAGTGCCCGCTTGGCTGCTGCCAGACTCCCCTCCTCTTCCTGGGACGCATTCAGGGCCTCCTCCAGCTGCTGTTTCTCTGCCTGGGAGGTAGGGAAGCAGGGTTGGACTGAGAAAAGGTAAAACTTGGGTTCAAGTCATTTGGAGGTGGGTAGCTGGGCAGGAGAAAGGAGGTATTTATGAAAATGATGTGCAATGAAAACAGGCTCCTAGCAAAGAAATCAGGACACATAGAGCAAGCAAAGGGTGAGAAATAAGAAACAAAACTACCAGTGCAAAGACTGAACATTGGCGCCAAAGTATACACCAGGAAATAAACCCAAGGTTAACAGAGCAGGTTTGGGGAGGCAAAACAGATGCACACTAAGGGCAAAGTGAAACTGATGGCTAACTACTTAGCATAGGAGTATTTCACCAGGGCTGAGCAGAGAGGGCTGGGAGGGCAGAACCACTGACCTCCAGCCGCTGCAGCTTGTCCCGTAGTCGTGCCTCCACCGCTTCCCCACCATCCACCAGACCTCGAGTCTCCTTCAGCTGCTGCTCCAAACCCAGGATGCGCCGGCGGAATTCGTCATTTTCCTCCTGGGTCTCCCGAAGCGTCGTCTCCACTGCGGCCCGCCGCTGCCCCAGCACTGTTGCCTCTGCCTCGGCCACCATCTTAGCCTAAGGACGGTTCAGGGGGTGGCAGCTCAGACCCCAGGGCGTGGCAGCTCAGACCCCAGGGCTTGGGGCCATTGACCACACCCAGGAAAGCCATCCCAAAGACAGCCCATAAGAATGAGGCTTAAAGAGAGCAGCTGCCACCAGCCAGACGCTTCTCTGAGAATCCCACCCCTACACAGATACAGGTATCCTCCCCCTGCCAAATCCTGGCTTCTTTGAACCACATGCCTAGGACCCAGGAGCTGGTCAGTACATACCCATGACAGGTAACTTTCCACACCCTCTGGCTCCTCAGCCCTCCAGACACCCTCAGCCTCCACCTCCTAAGCCCTGTGCCCACTCCCCTTGCCTTGGAAGCCTCTTCACAGTCCTGTCGCAGTTGCTGGAGGGTCTTTTGTAGCTGGAGGTTCTGTTCTTCCAGCTCCCGACCTCGATCAGCCTCGACCCTCAGGACCGCCAGCTGCTTCTCCAACTCCCGGTCCCGGTGTCGCCCAGCCACCTCCTGGCTCTGCCGTTCTGCCTGCAGTTCCTTAAGCTCCTCCTGTGTCCGGAGCAGCTCCTGGAAGGAAACGGGAATGGTGATGGGGCACCCAGAGCCAGACTAAGATACCTGAATGTGGAGAAGCTGAAACTCTCATACACTGCCAAGGGAATAAAAACTGATGTGGCCACTTTGGAAAGTAGTTTGGCAGTTTCTCAAAAAGTTAAACACAGATTTACCATTTATATCACCAGCAATTCCACTCTTAGGTAACCCAAGAGAACCGAAAATATGTGTTCACAAAAAAACTTATACGCGAATGTTCATAGTAGCATTATTCATTATAGCCCAGATGGATACACAACCCAGATGTCCACGAATTGATGACTGGACTAAACACGGTATACCCACAGAGTGGAATGTTATTCAGCCATAAAAAGGAATGAAGTACTCATACTTGCTACCACATGGACAAACCTTGAAAACACTATGCTAGGTGAAAGAAGCCAGACCCTTAAGGCCCATATATTATAGGATTCAATTATATTAAATATCCAGAATAGGTAAATCCAGAGACAAAAAGTAGATTAGTGGTTGCCATTGGGTGGGGGGAATTATTGCTAATGGGTTTGGCGCCTTTGAGGGGGTAATGAAAATGTTCTGTAATTAAATAGTGATGATGGTTGTACAACTTTGTTAATATAATAAAAACCACTGGGGGCCAGGCGCCAGTGGCTCATGCCTGCAGTTTGGGAGGCTGAGGCGGGTGGATCACCTGAGGTCAGGAGTTCAAAACCAGCCTGGACAACATGGTGAAACCCTGTCTCTACCAAAAATACAAAAATTAGCCGGGCGTGGTGGTGTGTGCCTGTAATCCCAGCTGCTTGGGAAGCTGAGGCAGGAGAATGGCTTGAACCAGAAGGCAGAGGTTGCAGTGAGCCGAGATTGTGCCACTGCACTCCAGCTTGGGTAGCAGAGTAAGACTCCATCTCAAAAAGAAAAAAAAAACCCATTGGATTGTACACAAAGATGACTTTTATAGCATGTAAAATATAACTCCATAAAAAAAAAAATACCATGAAGGGAGAGTACATGAAGGTATGGCTAGTAAGGCTGGTTGTTTAAAAAAAATACAGTGTGAGGCTGGGTGCGGTGGCTCACGCCTGTAATCCCGGCACTTTGGGAGGCCAAGGAGGGCGGATCACAAGGTCAGGAGATCAAGACCAACCTGGTTAACACGGTGAAACCATGTTTCACGGTGAAACACTGAGTACGTGTATTTTTTTTGTAAAAATACAAAAAAAATTAGCCGGGCGTGGTGGTGGGCGCCTGTAGTCCCAGCAACTCGGGAGGCTGAGGCAGGAGAACGGCGTGAACCCAGGAGGCGGAGCTTGCAGTGAGCCGAGATCACGCCACTGCATTCCACCCTGGGTGACAGAGTGAGACTCCGTCTCAAAAAAAAAAAAAAAAAAAAAAATATATATATATATATAGTGTGGCCATGGGATCTCCAACTGCATGCAAGAGCAACCTGGAGAGACTTTGACAGAACAGGTCAGCACAATCCCTGCAGCTGCCACTTGTCTTTCGTGTGTGTGTGTGTGTGTGTGTGTGTGTGTATAAAACCAAAATGTGTGACACAATAAATGCTGGCACAGCTCTGATTTCTTTTAAAAAGAAAATTAAAATAGGAGTTCTGGTTCTAATTATTAGCTATTAGCTACTTCTGAAATTCAGAAAGTACCATAATTAGGCTAAAGGGTTATATAATATGTAGTGAATCTTCAATGTAATACCATATACTCTGCTATTTTTCTTTTGCTAATTAGTTTTGTTACATTAGTAACCAGGCCATGCCAACACAAGTATTCCAGTCCATGTGATGATATTTCTCAATGTAAATTAATAAACTGAAATTCTAATGGTAAACATTTTTTCATAAATGTAGTTAGAGACCCCTCTGAAAGACAAAGCAGCTTTTGCCATGCTGACCAAATTAGATTTCTGAGCCTGCAAAAATCATCCTGGAGTTTCACAAATCCACCTAAATGCTGCTACCCATGACGTCTCTTGGGAGTCGGCCAGCAGCCTCTGGCTATACCCCAACCTGGGTTCTGAGAGCACTTTCCATTAGAAACCTCTATGCTCAATGAGGAGACTGGTGCTGCTGTGCTGGAAAGAGATCAAGCTGAGCAGGCAGGATGAGGCCTGGAAACCAAGCACACAGGAGATAGCCCCACTAGCAAGAAGGCCCTCATGGAGAGGTAAGGCAGGTGTTCATCACCCCTACCTACCATTCTGCCCCCCAATTCCCAAATACCTTCTTGAGCACCTCAACCTGGCGAGTATCTCCAGCACTAGCTCGGGCCTGCTCTAATTCCCTCTGCAAGACCTCTATCTTCTCTCCAAGCTCCTCTTCCATCTCCTCCTTCTCCATTCGCAGCTGCAGGAGTCTGAGCCAGGCAAGGTGAAATAAAGGGGAAAGGGAACAGAGTAAGGCCACATGCCTGGGGGAGGTTAGCATGACAATAAAAGCCACCTCTCTGGAGGCCAACACGCTGGGCACCAACTCTCAAGAGGAAGGAAGGTGAACGTGGAAAAGAGCAGTTTGAGAAATGGGAGAGTAAGAGCATACCATAGATAGAAAGGAAGTGGGCCAGGCATGGTGGCTCATGCCTGTAATCCCAGCAATTTGGGAGGCCAAGGCAGATGGATCACTTGAGCCCAGGAGTTCAAGACCAGCCTGGGCAACATAATGAAACCCCGTCTCTACAAAAAATACAAAAATTAGCCAAGTGTGGTGGTGCATGCCTATAGTCCCACCTATTCGGGAGGCTGAGGTGGGAGGATGGCTTGAGCCCAGGAGGTGGAGGTTGCAGTGAGCCCAGACTGTGCCACTGCACTCCAGCCTGGGCAACAGAGCAAGACCCTGTCTCAAAAAAAAGAAGAAAGGGACTGGGTGCAGTGGCTCACGCCTGTAATCCCAGCGTTTTGGGGGGCCGAGGTGGGAGGATCACGAAGTCAGGAGTTCAAGACCAGCCTGGCCAATATGGTGAAACCCCGTCTCTACTAAAAATACAAAAAACCCAGGCCTAGTGGCAGGCGCCTATAATCCCAGCTACTCGGGAGGCTGAGGCAGGAGAATCGCTTGAACCCAGGAGGCGGAGGCTGCAGTGAGCCAAGACTGCACCACTGCACTCTAGCCTGGGCAACAGAGTGTGACTCCATCTCAAAAAAAAAAAAAAAGGAGAAAGGGGGCCAGGCGCAGCGGCTCACACCCGTAATCCCAGTGCTTTGGGAGGCAAGGTGGACAGATCACCTGAGGTCAGGAGTTCGAGACTGGCCTGGCCAACATGGTAAAACCTCATCTCTACTAAAAATACAAAAATTAGCTGGGCGTAGTGGCATGCGCCTGTAATCCCAGCTACTTGGGAGGCTGAGGCAGGAGAATCTGTTCAACTCAGGAGGCAGAGGTTGCAGTGAGCCAAGATCGTGCCATGACACTCCAGCCTGGGAAACAAGAGCGAAACTCTGTCCCAAAAAATAAATTAAAATTAAAATTAAAATTAAAAATTAAAAAAAAGAAAGGAAGTGGCATATGAATCATGGGTATTTCTGAGAGGGCCAATGTCCTTACTCCTGCTTGGTGGCTCTAAGATCCTCCTTGTTCTTCTGGAACATACTCTGCCAATGCCCTGTCTCCTCTGAAGTCTCCTCCAGCTCCCTCTGCAGCCCTCGCACAAGGGCTGACATCTTCTGCCTCTCGGCCTCCAGCACTGCATGGTCCTAGAGAAGGGGAGAGTTGGACACCAGAAGGCTCAGAGGGAAGAGGTCACTTCAAATCAAAGTGTGAGTGTGTACAAGGAAAGGCTTAGACCCAGAGGGCACCATGCCAGGTGCACCCCCTGACACTCTTGTGGTACCTGGTACAATGCTAGCAGAGATTCTCTCCTCAAGTCACAGTCCACCCCTCTATCATCTACAGGAAACCTCCCCAGTTATTTCCCCTTGGGACTTTTTATTTTTAGGGGGACAGAGTCTCGCTGTGTTGCCCAGGGTGAAGTGCAATGGCATGATCTCGGCTCACTGCAACCTCCGCTTCCTTGGTTCAAGCGATTCTCCTGCCTTAGCCTCCCAAGTAGCTAGGACTACAAGTACGCATCACTACACCCAGCTAAGTTTTTGTATTTTTGGCAGAGATGGGGTTTCTCCATGTTACCCAGGCTGGTCTCTAACTTCCTGAGCTCAAGCAGTCCACCCGCCTCAGCCTCCCAAAGTGCTGGGATTACATGCATGAGCTACCGCACCCAGTCCCCCTTGGGACTTTTGTCACACAACCTCAAGGTACTTCTGGCCTGTACTCCCTCCCTCTGCCCCTATAGTTTTCCTGCCCAAGGTTTTCAGCAGATCTCACTGTGTCCTTTAGGAGGAGAGGGGGAGTTCCCAGTTGCAACCATGAAAAGTCCAAAAGTCCAAGATCCCAAGGCAGCCTTGTTCTCCAGCAGTGCCCTCCTCTCTCAGACCCTGCTCTTGTCACATGCCTGGGTTGCATCTTGCATGCTCCTGCGGAGCTGCTCTGTGTCTCGCTGGTACTGCTGCCGGACATGTTCCACCTCCTGGTCACGGGAGGCTACCTCCTCTTTCAGGGCCCCCTTCAGGGCTGTCAACTCCCGCTCCCGCAGCCTCAGCTGCTCCTCTACTCGCTGTTTCCCCTCCAAGACCTCTTCCAGAAGTTCCCGGGTCTCTAACAGGTCCTGGAGAAAATAAAGGAAGAAGTACAGGGGTGACCATATTAGAATCCATCTGTTTATCAATTCACTGAGTCAAAAAATATTTATCGTATTAGGCACAGTACCAGGTGCTCTAGTACCAGTACTGGAGCCCAGAATGATAGGTTTCCTTTATCCTAACTCTAGTCCCAACACACCATTGAATCTACCTGAAAGCACACTGAGTACCTGTAATCAGCCACCCACTCCTCATACTTTGGGGAAACCATGGATGAGCAGACTTGAGGATGCTCCAACTGAGAAAAAGCAGAGGCTGGGGCATATGACCCCAGACCCTACCTTCAGTAACACCTCCTTAGCAGGCTCAGGACCCTGGACATGTTTCAGCTTGTTCTGCAGCTCCATCACCTGGGTCTCCAGCCCATGTCGTAAATCTTCACCCTGGTCCAAGAGGCGCTTCATGTTCTGGAGCCTAATAATAGATAACATTATTGCACACTATGTGTCAGGCAGTTCTCTAAACGCATCATATATTTTAATTCATATTTATTAATGCATTTAAACTTCCTTCCTTCAAATCTTGATGAGGCCTCCCCTGATTTTTGCAACCTGCCCCGCTACAACCTGGCCCTCCTGATCTGCCTTACCCTGTTGTATTTACTGCCTTCTCGTGTGTTACAAATTTACTTGCAAAATATGTTTGTTTACTGTCTGTTCCCTCTCAGTAGAAACTAAGCTTCTGGAGAGCGAGCCCTTCATCTATAGGGTTCACTGATGTGTCTTGGGAACCTAGATTAATGCCTGTCACAGCATTCTTGATGAAACATCTGCTGAATGGATGACTGAATCCTTACAATGATCCTGTGAGGTAGGTACTATTATTAAGTCTATTTTATAGCTTAAGAATCTGAGACAGAGGCAAACCCAGGTAGCTTAACTCCAAATCATGCACTACCACCATTATTGATAAAGAAGGTAGAGAGAAAGGCCCTATCCTGTCCTTAAACCAACACTGCCCCTTTCAGCTTCTGGAGATTTCCTTCTGTCTCCTTCAACCCTAGGGGCAAAGAGGGAGTGGCCTCTAAACCTGGCCTAGGCCCCCAAGCAGCCCGAGGTGCGCCACCAGCTGCACTCACTCCTTGTTGCTCTGCTGGGCCTCCCCCTTCCTCCTCTCCAGCAGCTCCTGCAGTCGGCTGCACTCTTCTGTTTTCTCCTCCAGCTGCCGCTCCAGCCCAACTTGGGATGGCTCTAGCTTCTGCCGCTTCTGTAAAAGGGAATGAGAGTACAGCAGGTAGAGGGTAGGGAAAGCCTCTCAGAAAGACTCAGAATAATGGGAATGTCTAACACTCATTGGACACTTGCTGTATGATAGACACTATACTTAGGACCTTATGTGTATTATCCACATCTAATCCTCATAACTAGCCTTGGTACTTGTGATGATGTAAAATATGTTCACAAATTATCTGACATTTCTTTCAAAAGATAAAGCCTAATTCTGTTTGCCTCGAGCACGGGCTTGACTTAGGGGCTTCCTTCTAACAAACAGAAAAAGGAGGACGTGATGAGTAAATTCTGATGTTAGGTCATAAAAAGGCATTGCAGCTTTTCTCTTGGATCCCTCACTCTGGGAAAAAAATAGCTGTTATATTGTGAGGATACTCAAAAGTAGCTCTGTGAGGAAGGCCAAACAGCCAGGAACTGAGGTTTACAACCAACAGCCATTTGATTAAGCTGGGTTTTTATTATTTTTATTGATTTTTTTTTTTTCTTGGTGTTTTGTTTTGAGATGGAGTTTTGCTCTTGCCTAGGCTGGAGTGCAATGGCGAGATCTCAGCTCACCGCAACCTCCACCTCCCGGGTTCAAGCAATTCTCGTGCCTCAGCCTCCTAAGTAGCTGGGATTACAGGCATGCATCACCTCACCTGGCTAATTTTTGTATTATTAGTAGAGACAGGGTTTCTCCATGTTGGTCAGGCTGGTCTCAAACTCCCGACCTCAGGTAATCTGTCCACCTCAGCCTCCCACAGCGCCCGGCCTGGTTTTTTGTTTTTTTTGTTTGTTTGTTTTTTGAGATGGAGTCTCGCTCTGTTGCCCAAGCTGGAGTGCAGTGGCGCAATCTCGGCTCATGGCAACCTCTGCCTCCCAGGTTCAAGCAAGTCTCCCTGCCTCAGCCTCCCAAGCAGCAGGGATTACAGATGCCTGCCACCATGCCCAACTAATTTTTGTATTTTCAGTAGAGACAGGGTTTCACCATGTTGGCCAGGCTGGTCTCAAACTCCTGACCTCAGGTGATCCACCCACCTCAGCCTCCCAAAGGGCTGGGATTATGGGTGTGAGCCATTGCACCCAGCCAATTAAGCTGGTTTTGTCTATCTTATTCATTAAACTGGTTTTGTTTGCTTCATTCACTTATTTATATTTTTTTGAGACAGGGTCTTGCTCTGGCACCCAGGCTGGAGTGCAGCAGTGCAATCACAGCTCACTGCAGTCTTAACCTCCTGGGCTCAAAAAATCCTCCCACTTCAGTCTCCTAAGTAGCTGGAACTACAGGCACATGCCATCACATCTGGCTAATTTTTTGTAGAGGCGGGTTCTCACTATGTTGCCCAGGCTGGTCTCAAACTCCTGGGTTCAAGTGGTCCTCCCACCTTGCCCTCCCAAAGTGCTGGGATTATAGGCGTAAGCCACCATGCCTGGCCCTGAGTAAGCCATTTTAGAAGCAGATCCTCCAATTTACTTCTTTTGGCCACAGCCAGAAGCTGGACTGGAACCTTATAACAGGCTCAGAGCCACAATTACCCTGTTAAGCTGATCCCAGGTTCTTCATCCTCAGACTCTGGGAAATGCTTTTTTTTTGAGAAAGAGTTTCACTCTTGTTGCCCAGGCTGGAGTGCAATGGCAGGATCTCAGCTCACCACAACCTCCACCTCCCGGGTGCAAGTAATTCTCCTGCCTCAGCCTCCCAAGTAGCTGGGATTACAGGCATGTGCCACCATACCAGGCTAATTTTGTATTTTTAGTAGAGACAGGATTTCTCCATGTTGGTCAGGCTGGTCTCAAACTCCCAACCTCAGGTGATCTGCCTGCCTCAGCCTCCCAAAGGATTACAGGTGTGAGCCACTGCGCCCGGCTGGGAAATGTTTGTTTAAAGCTATTGAGTTTTGGGTAATTTGTTACACAGCAATAGTTAATTAATATAGTACTATCATAATCCCCACTTTACAATTTAGGAAACAGAGGCTTAGAACATTTAAAGAACTTGCCCAAGGTCAGTTACACAGCCAACAAGTAACAGAACCAGGATTTGAACCCAGTTAGTTTGGCTCCACAGCCAATCACTTAATCATTACACTACAGTGATTTCCAAAAGACAAGGGAAGTTACAATCCAACATTTATTGAGCACCAACTACACACAAACCAATATGATGAAAGGCAGAAGACATGTTTTTAAAAAGGGTACACTGGCTTTAGAATAAGACTGACCCGGATTTTTTCATTCCTCTCTGCAACTTACTACCATAGGCAATTTACTTAGCCTCTCTGATCTTCAGTTTTCTCATCAGAAAAGGGTCCAGAATAGGTATTCACAGGGTAACTATAATGATTACAGTACCCAGGACAGTACATACTACCAAAATTATACTCAATAAATGATAGCTACTACTATTGCCATTATTATGATAATGATAAAAAAAAATTGAGGCACAGAGAATGTAAGTAATTTTCTTAAGTTTTATATAGCTAGTAAGGGGCAGAGCCAGGATGGGAACTCCCAAAGGGAGTGGAATGGAAGGTAGGTAGATTCCTAATGTGCTCTGCCTCCCTAACCCCCACAGAACCCCAGAAGTCCTTCCTGGAATTAGTACACATTCTTGTCTCTTGTCTCATAAGACACAAACATGCTTGTTCCATTGCTTAGAAGGGTCAGCTCAGCCCATCTCCAGGCCAAGGCTTTTTCCCTGTTTTCCTTCATGCCTCCGGCACCTCTAACCTTTCCTTACCTTCACCTCTTCATCCAGCTTTCGCTGTAGCTCCTCCACTTTTCGGGTAAGCTCACCCTGCCCTGCCACGGCCTTAGTAGAACCAGAAGAAACCATCTGCCAGAGATATGGGGGGTGTGGGGGAAGGGAGTGAGTCCAAGTCTGGATCCCCTGAGGCCCTCAAAGCTCTAACCTTGACCCTTGCTCCCATCCAGAGAAGGCCACTCACCACTAGAGGCTGCATCTTCTCCAGCACCAAACTAACCTTCCTCCTCACAGAGGTTTCACTTTCTGAGCTTCTAGAGGATAAAAGGATAGAAGCAAGGGTTAGGGGAGGAAAGAGGTAGCAGAGATCAGGAAAGGGTAAAATCAGGGAAGATGGGAAACAAAGCTAGAAGAAAAAGAAGGAGGGGTATGCCTCTGTTGTTGGGGGGGCCCCCACTCACCCCTCCCTCAGGATGCCATAGATGGTGGCCTTCATATGGTCCACACTGCCTGGTGGGGCTGCCTCCTGCTGGTCTCGAAGGAGGTCTGGAGTTGATTTGAACTGTTAAAAAAAAAGAAAAAGAAAAAAAAAAGAAAGAAAGAAAGAAATAGGAAGATTAGGCCAGAAGCATGCGTGGGGTTCAGATGGAGGAGAAGTGGCAGTCTCAGGTCAAGTCCCTTCAAGCATGATGAACAATCCTGAAATGCAGCAAGGAAAACATGCTGTGGAGGCCTGAGCAACAGGCCAGGGAGAGGCCAACACAGGATGCACCTCTGCACTGTTGCTGTAAACCAGATTTTCCTCAACAAACATCTCAACCAGCTGCAAACTGTGCCACAAGTGATTTGTCACTAATGGTAGTTAACATGCTAGAGTTTATAAATAATTTACTTTTAAAACAGACTTACGTTTCTCTCAAAGTAAAGTCACTCCCTCACTTACTTACATTCCTGAGTAGGAGAGAAAGGTGTGGAATTTTGGCAAGAGCACCAAGGAAACTGCTCTTATCCTCCAAGCCCGCCTTACATATTCTGCAGACCTTGCAAATGCTGGTGACTGAGCCATAGTTAATGGTTGTGGCAATGACAACTAGGTCCAAACTTGTGAATAGTGATTTTATAGCTTGCTCCATTTTCTTTAGAATTTTACCCATGGAAATATCCTGTGCATGTGAATATCACCTATTTTGTGGACAGATACAGTAGAGAACAAAAGGCAGAGAGTTTCTGCCTAGGCTATTTGAATTAGCAAGGAGGCTCATGGCTGGTGGGTAAAAGCTGATGAGAAGGGAGAAGGGGCTGACATTTAGAAGTCAGGGAGGGGCTGGGTCTGACCTGCAGCATGGTGGGGTCCTGTGCACTCCTCCGCGGCTCCTCAAAACTCTGAAGGACCCAGTCCTGAGTCTGACGAGAACGGCTAAAGCCACTGAGAGGACTCAGGTTCTGGCTCTGGGCTGGCTGCTTCGAAGTGCCCACATGGTTGTCATATTTTGTGCTAGAGGTCCAGTGGTTGGTGGACTGGCGCTCCCGTTCCTCAAAGGTGTCCCGTGGGAGGCGGCTGTCCAGGCTCTTGCTCCGTTTGCGCTGTTCAGGGGGTAGCATCCGTGTTCGGCGGCCAGTCCGACCCCGGGCCTGGCCTCCAAGTTGACTGTCAAACTTGTTGATGAGTGAGTCCACTGAAGACAGGGGAGCAGTGTCAATGGTGCTACCTGGGGAAGCCACTTTCGGGGCTAGCTCCAGCATGCTGTTGCTTCTGTTACTAGGATCCACTGGGCCAGGGCCTGCCAGTGAGGCCTGGGAGTGGGAACGGAGTAGCTTTCCATTCCAGTAGGCCCCAGGCTCCTCATCAGATGTGCTGCTCTGCGAGGGGGCAGGAAATCCCTTGACCTGAGAGTAGGGGTTCTCAGGGAGTTCCAAATCTGAGCTCAGAGCTCCTGAGGCCCCTTGGTCATTGGCCCCCTTGATTTGGACCCCAAAGGAGTCACCGCCTTTCTCCCCACTGTTGAGCACCACAAAGGGCTGCCCAGCGATTCCCTGCACACGCACAGCAACCCCGTAGGTACTGGCTCTTGCATCCTTAGCTGGGCGTCGTCCACCTCGACGTAGAGTGCCCATCTCTGCACCACTCACTGGCTCTGTGATGAAGCGAATCTGGACTCCATGGTCTACGGGGCCCCGGGGCTCAGCCATGTTGGGTGCCTGCTCCATAAATAGGAGGAGTCCTAGAAGATGAAGAAATGAGTTTAGGCTGAGAGACTTCACTAGAAACTATGAAACTTCTACCTGCGGGCTGACTTCCCTGTCAGTTCCTACTAGATAAACCACTGATTCTCAGACTAACAGAAGGCCCCTGGAGAGCCTTTTAACATACCGGTTGCTGGACCTAACCTCCAGAGCTTCTGATTCAGTAGGTCTGGGTTAGGACTTGAGAATTTGCATTTCTAACCAAGTTCCCCAGGTGATACTGATGCTACTGGTCCAGGTACCACACTTTGAGACTCACTAACCTAAAAGAATCCACTTCCTCTGATACAGCCCTGGGGAGCTAGGCTTTGTTAAAAGTTTAAAGATTTTGCTTGATGGCCAGGAGCAGTGGCTCACACCTGTAATCCCACCACTTTGGAAGGCCAAGGCGGGTGGACTGCTTGAGCTCAGGAGTTCAAGACCAGTCCGGGCAACATGGTGAAACCCCATCTCTACAAAAAATACAAAAATAAACTGGGCCTGGTGGTGCACACCTGTAATCCCAGCTACTTGGGAGGCTGAGGTGGGAGGATCACTTGAGCTTGAGAGAGGCTGCAGTGAGCAGTGATTATGCCACTGTTCTCCAGCCTGGGTGACAGAGTGAGACCCTGTCTCAAAAAAAAAAAAAAAGATTTTACTTGATCTTCATACATACATATAATACCACCATGTGGCCAGGTACAGTGGCTCATGCCTATAATCCCAGCACTTTGGGAGGCTGAGGCAGGTGGATCACCTGAGGTCAGGAGTTCAAGACCAGCCTGACCAACACGGTGAAACCTTGTCTCTACTAATAATACAAAAACTTAGCTAGGCGTGGTGGCGCATGCCTGTAATCCCAGCTACTCAGGAGGCTGAAGCAGAAGAATTGCTTGAACCCGGGAGGTGGAGGTTGCAGTGAGCCGAGATTGCGCCACTGCACTCCAGCTTGGGTGACAAAAGCAAAACTCTATCTCCAAAAAAAAAAAAAAAAAACACTGTGTGCCTTCTTCCCTTCCTCCCACCAAGGGAAGGCAGAACCCACACCCTGCTGAGCAGATACCTCCATCTCACTGGAGAAAAGGGGGCCTTCTCTCCCAGAGCTCATTTAAAATATAGAAGACCTCAAAGTATATCATCCCACTTCTGGAAAGAAACTTAAAAACACTGATAGCAGTGATGCCTTTGAGGTGGAGGAACTGAGGACTAGGAACAGGGATGGGAGAGTTTCTATTCTCTGGAAGAGCAGAAAGGAGTGGACATTCTACTGTATATCTCTTATGTCCCTTTTGAATTTGGAACCACGTAGATGTATTATCTATTCAAGAAAAGGTTGTGTTTTTTTTGAGACAGAGTTTTGCTCTTGTTGCCCAGGCTGAAGTGCAATGGCGTGATCTTGGTTCACTGCAACCTCTGCCTCCCGAGTTTAAGCAATTCTCCTGCCTCAGCCTCCCGAGTAGCTGGGATTACAGGCACCTGCCACCATGCCCGGCTAATTTTTGTTTTTAGTAGAGATGGGGTTTCACCATATTGGCCAGGCTGGTCTCAAACTCCTGACCTCAGGTGATCTGCCCGCCTCAGCCTCCCAAAGTGCTGGGATTACAGGCATGAGCCACGCACCCAGCCAAAAATATTTAAATGTGGTTTAAAAACTGTGCCACTCGGCCGGGCATGGTGGCTCACGCCTGTAATCCCAGCATTTTCAGAGGCCAAGGCGTGTGGATCACCTGAGGTCAGGAGTTTGAGACCAGCCTGACCAACATGGTGAAACCCTGTCTCTACTAAAAATACAAAATCAGCCGGGCGTGGTAGCGGGGGCCTGTAATCCCAGCTGCTCGGGAGGCTGAGGCAGGAGAATCGCTTGAACCTGGGAGACGGAGGTTACAGTGACCCAAGATCACGCCATTGCACTCCAGCCTGGGCAACAAGAGTGAAACTCTATCTCAAAAAAAAAAAAAAAAAGTGCCACTTTAAGGGGCCCCAGGTCAGGTAAACTTGTCTCAGCTGAGAGCCAGAGCCAACACCATCCATAGGCCAGCTTCCCAGGTCCACATTGCTAAAGCTCAGAGTCAGCAAATGGAATGTATTCCAGGTATGCTCTGGCTCCAGGAACTTGGGGGAGAGATTGTCTTCCAAGCAAATAAAAAAATTCAGCTTCCCCACCCCTTCTGCTAGTCTCCACCAGAGCCTAGCACCAAACTGGAGGATGAGCCTCTAACGTGCCAGACAGAAACACAAACATACCCAACTCAACCTCCCCATGGAGTTCTGGGCCAAGGAAACTTGGCAAGGCCCCTTTCAGGGACTGTAAAGTGCTAGCAAGCCAGGGTGAGATGAGAAGGGAGGGGAAGGGATGGGAGAGGCAGAGCTACAGGTGACAAAGGGCTTGGTGGGGAAGGTCTATCTGAAGAAGAGCATTCTTAGAATTCCCAGCAATTCTCAAGAGAAAGGAACAGGGAGAGAAGAGCCCTTTATTAGGAATTGTTCTTCATCTTTTTGGCCCTGGGACTCCATGAGAAAATGATGAAAGCAATACACTCTCCCTGAGGAGACAGCACATCCAAACTTTTATCACCCCATCTTAAAAGGCTTGTGAAGGCAGACAGGTAAAGTAGTTCTCCAAACCACTCATCCAGTAGAAGAAAATGCACTGGGCTAGAGTCAGGATCTGGTCTGGAATCCTGTCTCTGCTCTTCACCTGATGTATGCAACCTGAGGCAAATCACAACTTTTCTGGTGTGGTGGCTCACGCCTGTAATCCCAGCATTTTGGGAGGCCAAGGTGTGTGGATCACTTGAACTCGGGAGTTTGAGACCAGCCTGAGCAATATGGCAAAACCCCATCTCTACAAAAAATACAAAAAACTAGCCGAGTATGGTGGTACACACCTGTAGTCCCAGCGACTTAGGAGGCTGAGGCAGGAGGATCACCTGAGCCCAGGAGGTTGAAGCTGCAGTGAGCTGTAATTGCACCACTGCACTCCAGCTTGGGCAATAGAGTAAGACTCTGTCTCAAAAACAACAACGACAACAAAAAACCCACAACTTTTCTGTGCCTCAGTTTCCTCATCTGTAAAATGGGTATAATGATAATACCCCACAAGGTTATTATCTGTGAGAATGAGATAATAAATAATTATATGGGCATATACAATGATAAAAAAGTACCAAGTTATACCCTTAAGATCTTTGTACTTTATTTAGGCCAGGCGCAGTGGCTCATGCCTGTAATCCCAACACTTTGGGAGGCTGAGATAGGCAGATCACCTGAAGTCAGAAGTTCAATAACAGCCCGGCCAACATGGTGAAACCCCACGTCTACTAAAAATACAAAAATTAGCTGTGCGTGGTGGTGCACGCCTGGAATCCCAGCTACTGGGGAGGCCGAGGCAGGAGAATTGCTTAAACCTGAGAGGCACAGGCTGCAGTGAGCCGAGATCCGCCAGCCTGGGTCACAGAGCAGGACTCCATCTCAAAAAAAAAAAAAAAGATGTTTGTACTTTATTGAACTTGGGTTCTAATTTAATAAAAAGGAGAGAAAAACAAGATATTAAACATGAAAACATTTAGCATGTGACTATCACAAAGCTGACAACAAATATCATCCTTCACACATGCTACTTTGTCCAACAGGCACTTTTGGCTTCACCTGGTTCATAGAAAGATGTCACTTCTTCAGAGAAGCCTTCCCTGACCACCACTCCCACAAACAAGGTCAGTTCTCACAAATCAGCCTCCCACAAACCAGGTCAGATCCACGTTATACGCTCTATAGTTGTCCTTCAGCAGGTTTACTCCAGTTTATATTTATACATTTATTGGAGTAATTATTTCCTGTCTGTCTCCCCTACGAGATAATAAGCTCCTGGAGGGCAAAGACCATGGCTAGCAGCTAACCACTGTGTCCCCAGGTGTTTGGACACGTGGTAGATGTCAACAAATATTTGTTAAAGGCTGTATCCTGAACTAAAGCCCACTTGCACAGCAGTGGGGAGATTTGCCCAGGACAAATCTACTTTGCCTCAGTAACAGGACCTCTTAGCAACAGGACCTCCTCCTGGTCCAGACTTGCTGCCCTATGTAGTCATGATCTTAGAACCAGAAGTGCCTAGATTGCCAGCTCTCAGAAGCCATATGATTTATTCATGATGCAGTCTACCCTGTCAGTACATCTACTGATCTTCCAGATCCAGGTCAAGGAGTTCCCAGCCTAGGCCCAGCAGAGGGCACAGACCCTTGAGCAACAGCACTAAATTATTCAGAGGCAGTGTTGAACACTCCCCCAGGTCCCAGGTTAGGTTAACTCCCTAACCTCAATCACCTTCAGTCCAAGGACATGTGGATCAGGGGCCAGGAGGGCTGAAGGGATCTTTGGGGTGGGTCAGAAAGCAGGGCTCTAAATGATTCAACATGGAAAACCCGAAACCTACCCGCCTTTGGTTACAGAGGACAGTGGGGCGGGACCAAGGCAGCAGGGCAGCTCTGAGGCCTTGCGTAAGCCCCAGAGACAGGCAGGTAAACAGTGATCAAGGGCCAGGCAACATGGAGTCCAGGGCCTGCGCCCTCACCAATGCCTGACCCTACTTTTCTCTCCCCTATCACATGTCCAGGGCTCTCCTCACCAACTGTACTCCAGGAAGAGACCAGACCACAAGTTGATTCAGGTGCATCTGTCTGCTTCTGCCTTTCCTGCCTGCAAGGAGTGGGAGAACACTCTACACCTGTACCAGACAGCCACTTCTCCCTGAGTTACTCATTAGCCTGCCCTGCCCCAATTCCATCACCTCTGGCCCAGCCATATGCATCTGGTTTCCAACTAGGAGTGACAGGGTATCTGGACTTCTGGCAGGAAGTGGGGGTGGGGTGGTTTCGGGTGTGTGGAGGAAGGACTGATTCACATAGGGCCAGGCAATATGCTTGATGCTAAATAATTGGCAGATTTAGAAAACGGGAGAACTTGAGGTATAGAGATTAGAATCCCCTCAGAGGAAACAAGGAAAGCAAATGGTCGAAATAGAAAAGGACAGCTCAGTGACCTTGATGATTTGGCACCCTTTTTCTCATAGTTAGAGATAAGAAGGTTCCCCGTGGATCCAAAAAGAATCCCCCAAGTGGACTCCTGCCCAGGTCCGCTGAAAGAGCAGAAACCTGAGAGCCAGGCTACAGCTGCTTGGCCAGTAGGGAAAAAAACACAATGAGGAACTGGGCCCCTGCAAACTGGCTGGACTGGTTTGAGAGGCAAGGGGAAGGGGAGGGCCGGGGAAACTACACTGGCAGCTTGTAAAGCAGACCAGAGAAATTCCACACCACGGAGGAGGCAGAGGGGCAAGACCACAGGCAGGGGCTCTCCAGCCTTGATGGCAAAGCCAAAGCTCTGAAGGAGAGGACAGAGGGCAGGGAGGGAACAGGCAGGAGGAGCAGATGAACAGGAACCTGGTGACAGGCCAGTATGTGACAGGGAGACTTTGTCTCCCTCCACCCCTCCCTTTGAGGTTCCCAAAGTTGCATTCCTGATCCCACACTTGCTTTGGCCACCTCCCTGGTCCTCAGTCCGCCCCTCCCTGGCACAAAGAGAAGAGCCCTACACCCCCATCACCTCCCACAAGGGGAATGGCATGCAGGCCAGCCTGGGAAACACAGGAAGGGTTCTAGGAAGCCAGAATCCTCTTAGAGTCGGGCAAATCTCTGGATTAGCAGTCCCCCAGAGCCAGCCCCCAGACTCCCAAACATCCAGGATGAAAGAAGAGATGCATAGGCATGTGTAGGCAGCCCATCTACAAACATAGCGGTTGCTAATTATTTCCCAATTACAACAACCTTCCTCAGGCAGGGCTTCAAAGGGGCCAAGCTAAGGTTGACTCTAGTTCCTTTACCTGCCTAAGGCAAAGAAATTTGCCTCCAGTCTTGTCTGGGCCCCAAGGTGCACCTTTCATCTGTCCTGGGGATTTGGAGTTGTAATTTCCCTAGTCTCGTGGTCTCCTGATGAGTCCTGCCTATTTCCTGCCCCAATAGTGCCTGCTGCCATTCTGACAGCCACCGCAGTTCAGGAGTCAGGGATGCCTGGAGGGCGTTCAGGGAGTAATGGGGATTCCTCCAGACATCAAGGAAATTGGTTGGGCTCCCAAACCTCATCCAATGGTCCCCATCTAGAACCACAGAAAAAATATGTGGGTACTTGGAGAAAGGGTTTGACATCCGCCCCCAGAAAGGGGCCTCCTGAGAAATAAGTATTAATATTTATCAATATTTTGCAGGACCAGGCAGGGCTCTTTGCTTCCTCATATCCCTCTCTTGGGGAGTACTCTCTCTCTCTCTCAAGAGGAAGAAGGAACGATTCTCCCTGGCACGAAAGCAAAGGACACAAAGTGAAAGCCTAATGGTTGTACACCTGGTGAAGAGATGAGGGTGCCCTCTCATCTGCCCCTCAGTGTCTCTGATTCGCAACTGCCTTCGGCCGGAGGTGAAGGGCTGGGGAAAAAATCCCACACCTCAGAGTCATCTCAAAGCCACCAGGGTGCTGACAACGGCCAGCTGAGACCGCAGGACGCAGGAAAGACCCTCAGGCGAGCAGCACCTGCAGATGCCCTCCCCTGGCGAGTCTGCACCTCAGGCAGCAGCAGTTCCCGACTCAGCTGGAACTAACTCCTTCCCCGCGCCACCGCTGTCTCCAAGAGAAATTCTGCCCCTAGGGCTGGCGTCTGACCTCCAGAGACATCTGGCGCTGAAACGCTTTCATGCGCTGGGAACAGCCTTCGCCCCAGGTGCCCCTCGCCTGGCACCTTCCTAGCCACCTGCATCTGGCACCTCAGGGTAGGGGTCGGCTCTTAATCAGTACCCCACCCCGCCCCAATCTCCCCTCCTCCCGTCTCCCACTCGGCACCGGTGCCCTGGAGAGGGGCATCTCACACCGCCTCGATGCCTGCCCCTCAAAGGTACCCCTGAAGGCTCGCTTTCCTCTCGGGTGCCCTGGCCCGCACCGGGTCCACTCACCCTAGCCGGGCTCCGCGCTCCCAGGCTTGCGTTCGGGCTCGGGCTCGGGCTCGGGCTCGGGCTCGGGCTCGGGCTCGGGCAAAGCAGCACGCGCAGCTCCGGCCCTCCCCCTCGTCCTCGGAGCTCCCTCCTTTCTCTCCCTCCCACCAACCTGTTACTCCGCTGCGGAGCTCCACCCCCGCGGGCCGTCAGTGCCCGCCCCGCCTTTCCCCGCTCCGGTTGGTCCGCTTCCCGTAGGGGGCGGGGCCTCCGGTGCGGGGACCGGGACCCGGGGTCTCCAGCCGCGAAGGGCGGGCCAGGTCACGTGGACCCACGGGCTGCGGAGCGTCGGGGCGGGGCGGCGAGGGGCGCGGAGGCCATTTTGGGGGCGTCGCGGATGGTCGCGAGTGACCGCCGGCCAAGATCCCGGGAGCCGTCGGCCAGAGCATCTTCTGGGCTCTGCTAGAAAACAGCCTCCTGCCTCCCGTTTACTCCAAGGGAATCGCCGGCCAGGGCCCTTTCTGTCCTTCACCTACCTCTGCAGGAACCAGAATGCTCTTTCGTCACTTTCTGCAGAAAATATCTCCGTTGTCCCCCGACGTCAGAGCCTCCTGCACCTCAGCTCGTCTCCCTTTTCCCTGACCCGAACCAGAACCCTGATCTTGGATTCTCTTTTATCTTGTGGCCTCCGCAATCATTTTGCAGCCTGACATCTTTTTCTATGTAATATTTATCACCTTCTAGTTAATAACATAATTTTAAAAATCATTTTCATCATTTTGCCTCCCGTCCTACGATAAGCTTCACCAGAGCAAGGATCTCTTGTTCTGTGCCTTGCTTCACCCCAAACGCCTACAACAGGGACTGGTACATACTACATGCTTAATAAATATTTGTTGACTGAATGAATGGAAACCGGGGACGCAAATTTACCAAAATAGGAATGACCTTCGTTCTAAACTGAAAGGGACTCAGTTGTAAATTTACCTCAGAGTTAGCCTCTCAAAAAGTAGGGATGCTGATCCCAGTTCCTAGAAAAGAGTAAAAACTAGGGGCTCTGCAAACTGCAGGACCGCTCATACCAGCTGCAGTTAAAACAACATTAAAGCTGGCATCCTAGCTGTTAACCGTTGAGATATGTAAAAAAGAGATTGACTTCGTTTACGTTGCTGGGCTCCGGATTTTGTTCTCATTTAGTTACAACAAATATTTACCCTGTATCTATTGGAGTAGAAGAGGAATCTTCGATGCAGCACAGATTCCGGTGTATTCTCGGGAGCTGGTTTCCGCCCCTCCCCAAGCCTTCAAAAGCTAGGTGTGGGTCCTACAGAGTAAAGTCCACTTACCAGCTCCTCAGCTGGGATGCAAAGTCTCTGCATTCCAGAGCAAGCTGTATATAAGGATTAGGGCCATCAAACCGGCCTGTTCCCTGGGGAGGAACAGCAAAAAACATGTAGTGGGGGTGGGGACAGAAGAGGAAATGTCCTTCCAGGAGCGCACCTCCTGAACACTGGGTGGCTTTTAAAAGACTTTTTTTTAAAAAATTTTTTCTTATTTTTCTTTTATTGTGCAGCCTCCTGAACCAGAATAGGTTCAGAGACACTCCCATGGGATGGTTTTTGGTTTGGGTTTTTTTTGTTGTTTTTTTTTTTTAAGACGGAGTCTTGCTCTATCGCCCAGGCTAAAGTCCAGTGGCGCAATCTCGGCTCACTGCAACCTCCGCCTCCCAGATTCAATTGATTTCCGGCTAATATTTTGTATTTTTTAATAAAGACAGGGTTTCACCAGGCTGGTCTTGAACTCCTGTCCTTAAGTGATCTGCCCACCTTGGCCTCCCAAAGGGCTAGGATTACAGGCGTGAGCCACCACACCCAGCCTGTTTTGGGTTTTTTTGTTTTTGTTTTTGCTTTAGTTTTGTTTTTTTCATTGAGACGGAGTCTCACTCTGTCACCCGGGCTGGAGTGCAGTGGTGCAATCTCTGCTTACTGCAGCCTCAGCCTCCAAAGCTCAAGCGATCCTCCCACCTCAGCCTCCTGAGTGGCTGGAACTTCAGGCGCCCACCACCACACCGGGCTAATTTTGGCATTTTTAGTAGAGATGGGGTTTCCATGTTGTCCAGGCTGGTCTTGAACTCCTGAACTCAAGCGAACCGCCTGCCTCGACCTCTCAAAGTACTGGGACTACAGGAGTGAGCCACCACGCTCGCCCCCACCAAGTGTTTGTAAGGAGATTTTTTTTTTTAATGTGGGATATTAAATTGACTCAGATATTGGAAAGGCGGAAGCGCCTAAACTCCCCTAGATAACACCTTAGCAATTAGGATACTTAGTATATTTGTAGTAAATACCAATTTGGGTGGTTACCCAGCACCATGAACACGAATTACAAGGATAAGTGGGAGCCTCTGAGTCACCGCCTTCGTCATCTGTTCTTCAAGGAAGCACTCAGTCTGAGAGGTACATCCAGGCACAAGTGACAAAGGCGACACCCTGGTCTTTTTCCAGAGTTCAGAAGACAGGTGATCCCTCTCCTTAAGAAATGCTACAGGGCCAGGCGTGATGACTCATGCCTCTAATCCCAGCACTTTGGGAGGCCAAAACAGGAGGATAGCTTGAGCCCTGGAGTTGGATCGCTTGAACCCAGGAATTCAAGACCAGCCTGGGCAACACAGTGAGACCCCATCTTTATAAAAAATAATAATAATAAAATTTTTTCAAAAAAGAAATGGCAAAATTGGCCAGTTTATAAATACAGCAAAAACAGAATTTATAGCAAATATAATACCCAGAAAGAAGAAATAACACTGATAGATGTTAAAGAGAGAAGTTTTATTTTATGAAATGGGATAATAGAGAAAGTTTTAGGTAAATTGCAGGTTTCATCAAAGAAGTGGATTTGCCATCCTCGCTAACATGGTGAAACCCCGTCTCTACTAAAAATACAAAAAATTAGCTGGGTGTGGTGGTGGGCGCCTGTAGTCCCAGCTACTTGGGAGGCTGAGGCAGGAGAATGGCCTGAACCCAGGAGGCGGAGCTTGCAGTGAGCTGAGATCTAGCCACAGCACTCCAGCCTGGGCGACAGAGCGAGACTCCATCTCAAAAAAAAAAAAAAAAAAAAGTGGATTTGGAACCAAATTCCTCTCCTGCAATTCTTTCCTGAATTCTCCAAGATTCACTGATACCACTAGCAACTCTACTGAATTGTTCTCTCAAAGATCACCCGTTTAAGGCCGGGCACGGTGGCTCATGCCTGTAATCCCAGCATTTTGGGAGGCCAAGACAGGCGGATCACGTGAGGTCAGGAGTTCGAGACCAGCCTGGCCAACATGGTGAAACCCTGTCTCTACTAAAAATACAAAAATTAGCCGGGCATGGTGGTACATGCTTGTAATCCCAGCTACTCGGGAGGCTGAGGCAGGAGAATCGCTTGAACCCAGGAGGCTGAGGTTTCAATGAGCCGAGATTGTGCCATTGCACTCCAGCCTGGGCAACAAGAGTGAAACTCTGTCTCGAAATAATAATAATAATAATAATAATGGAAATGAGGTGATGCCACTAGCTGAAATGGAAAGGACAAGAGACAGGAAGGATTTGAGGAGGACCTAGAAGAAGAGTATGATAAATTAACTCTGGAACCTGATATTTTAAAGAAGCATGTGATGCCGGGCGCGGTGGCTCACGCCTGTAATCCCAGCACTTTGGGAGGCTGAGGCGGGCGGATCAACAGAGGTCAGGAGTTCAAGACCAGCCTGACCAACATGGAGAAACCCTGTCTCTACTAAAAATACAAAAATTAGCCGGGCGTGGTGGCACACGCCTATAATCCCAGCTACTCGGGAGGCTGAGGCAGGAGAATCACTTGAACCCGGAAGGCAGGGATTGCGGTGAACAGAGATCACGCCACTGTGCTCCAGCCTGGTCAACCAGAGCAAAACTCCGTCTCAAAAAAAATTTTAAAAAAGCATGTGGTAAATCCACACACACATACAAATGTCTAGCAAACAACTGGAAATGAAGCCTAGAAAAGAAATCAGGGCTAGAGACAGAGCTAAGAATCATCCTCATAGATGAAAGTTTGCTAAGAGGACTACAGAACAAACTGTGAGAAATAAAGGACAGATGAGGAGTAAAAACGGGATCATTGTGGGGTTATTGAGAAAGGTAAGTAAAGAAGTTCATGCAAGAGAGGTATTCAAGTAGGAGAAGAGACTGGAATTTGGCATTTCGAAGTTATGGGTGATCTTCCAGACGTCAGTTTCAGCAGTGTGATAGGCTTTCAACTCAGAATGCAATATAAGAAGTGTATCAATAAAAAGGAAAGAGAGAGGGTACCTTGACTTAAAGGAAAACAGGGTAAAAGAAAGGGCAACTTCTATGTTTGGTTTTGGGGTTTTGTGGGGAGACTGGTGGGGGGGTGTTTGGTTTTTTTTGAGACAGGGTCTCACTGTCACGCAGGCTGGAGTGTAGTGGTGCAGTCACGGCTCACTGCAGCCTCAACTCCTTGGGCTCAAGCGATCCTCCCACCTCAGCCTCCTGAGTAGTTGGGACTACAGGTGCACATCACCACACCCAGCTAATTTTTGTATTTTTTGTAGAGAAGGGGTTTTGCCATATTGTCCAGGCTGGTCTTGAACTCCTGAGCTCAAGTGATCCACCCGCCTCGGCCTCCAAAGTGTTGGGATTACAGGCATTTGCCACTGTGCCCAGCTGGTTTCATTTTTAAGAGGGAGAGACTGGCTGGGCGCAGTGGCTGACACCTGTAATCCCAGCATTTTGGAAGGCCAAGACGGGCAGATCACGTGAGGTCAGGAGTTCAAGACCAGTCTGGCCAACATGGTAAAACCCCGCCTCTACTAAAAATACAAAAATTAGCTGAGTGTGGTGGCACATACCTGTAATCCTAGCTGCTTGGGAGGCTGAGGTAGGATAATTGCTTGAACCTGGAAGGCGGAAGTTTCAGCGAACCGAGATTGTGCCATTGCACTCCAGCCTGGGCAACAAGAGCGAAACTCCATCTCAAAAAAAAGAAAGGAGAAGAAGAAGAGACTTGGTTATGTTTTAATAAGAAGCTAGAAAAGGAGACAAGATTCAAGAACTAAGATGAGATGGGAGAAAGAGGAAAAGAGAAAAAGAGAACAGCCAAATAGTCAAAACTTGGAACTTAGAGGAGAAGGTGAAGTCTCTGTTCTGGAACTTAAATTGGAAGAACAGATGTGAAAGAGTGAGGAGTTGAGAAAGTTGAGGCAGGTAACTAGTTCACCAGATTACTGGACCTGCCAAAGAGAAGTGATTCTCAGGGCTGGAGAATTTGTTAAAAGGTTTTGGAACTGCTGGTATTATCTACAAGCCTAAGGAAGAATATGATAAATGCCAAATCAATGGCACAAATGAAGTGTTACTGGAAAGCTTCCCTTTCAACTAGAATAGAGTGATTTATAATCTGGGCCTTGAAAAAACAGGCAGGGGAAAGGAAGGAAGAAAGACAGCAAGAAAACGTGCAAAGGCCCTAGGGGCAGAAAAGCATCATGTCAGTTTAGCGAACTGGAAGGTTAGCCTGTAGAGCAAAGGGACAGAGAATAGTGGTAAATAAGATGATAGGTAAATTCTGGGGTAGATTGTATAAAGCCTAGAATATCAGAATAAGAAATGTGGGCTTTCGGCTGGGCTCGGTGGCTCACACCTGTAATCCTAGCACTTTGGGAAGCTGAGGCAGGTGGATCACCTGAGATCAGGAGTTCAAGACCAGTCTGGCCAACATGGTGAAACTCTGTCTCTACAAAAATACAAAAAAATTAGCCAGGCATGATGGCGGGTGCCTGTAATCCCAGCTACTCAGGAGGCTGAAGCAGGAGAATCGCTTGAACCCGGGAGGCAGAGGTTGCTGTGAGCTGACATCGCTCCATTGCACCATTGCACTCCAGCCTGGGTGACAAAGAGAAAAGAAAAGAAATGTGGGCTTTCACAGTATTCTAGCCTGAGCAACAGAGCTACACTATGTTTCTTTAAGAAAAAAAAAAAAGAAAGAAGTAAAAAGAAATGTGGGCTTTATTGGTAGGTAATGGAGAGCTATTAAATGTTCTTGAGCAGGAAAGAGGCAGTACTTCAGAAAGTCTCTATGATAAATGCAATGGTAAGGCTTGATTGAGGTAAACCCTAAAAACCACAGTGGTGGCCGGGCGCAGTGGTTCACATCTGTAACCCCAGCCCTTTGGGAGGCTGAGGCAGGCAGATTACCTGAGGTCAGGAGTTCAACAACATGGTGGCCTGGCCAACATGGTGAAACCCCGTCTCTACTAAAAATACAAAAAATAGCTGGGCATGGTGGTGGGCGCCTGTAATCCCAGCTACTCGGGAGGCTGAGGCAGGAGAATCGTTTGAACCCAGGAGGCGGAGGTTGCAGTGAGCCAAGGTCGTGCCATTGCACTCCAGCCTGGGCAACAGGGCAAGACTCTGTCTCAAAAAAAAAAAAAAAAACCACAGTGGTGGCAAAAGGAGGGAAAAGCAAGGACCACTCACCCTGATGCTCTTTTAGCGTATTACTCATCATTTCTCTCTTGAGCTTTGTTTACAAATACTTTGCTCTTCAACAGCAATAATAATATGTAATTATACTAACACTTGGGGCTTTTCCTGGCTAAGTACAATTTCTATTCTGGTTAGGGAAGATAAGAAATGGTCACTGCATATACTCACTTTATATACATGTCCAATCTTTGAGTACAGGACTTCCAAGAGTCCCCAAAAGATATTTCATTCTTTGTGACCCATGTCGTCCACTCTTTTCTCAGTTTGACTAGGGAGGCAGAGCTACAGAGATTTCATGAATGGACATCACTGAGGTAGCGTACCAAGTCAGGAGTCAAGATATCTGTATTCTAATTTTACTTCTGGGAAAGCTGTACTCCTAGCCAAGTCTTCAAAATATTTGGGGCTCTGTTTTCTCTGAGAATTATGAAGATGATCCCAGATTTCATAACTGTATTGTTTCCTTTGGGTTTCTTGAAGAGGAAAAAGTCATGTTCTGCCTCCCACCTCTTCCTTTTGTTATCAGCTAGGAACGTGAGTAAGTGTAGCCAAATCTAGTACATAAAGGATAATTGTTTGGGACAAAGCATTCCAAGCAACTTTTTTCAGTTTAATCAGAGTCACTCCCCGACAAGGGAAAGACTCATTTCCAAGTTCCTTGTATCTCACCACACCCTGTAGCCCCTATTGTCCTAGCTGCGCATCTCTAACTCTCTGAGCAGCTAAATTCCAGTAAGTTCAAAGTCTCTAGTATATATTCATTTTTTTGTTTGTTTTTTAAATAGTAGAAATGGGGTTTCCCTATGTTGGCCAGGCTGCTCCTGAACTCCTGGGATCAAGCAATCCACCCACCTTGGCCTCCCAAGATGCTGGAATTACAGGCGTGAGCCATAGCACCTGGCCTTCAGTCTACATTCAAAATAAGAATATCATTTAAAAGGAAAAAAAAAAAAAGAGCAAGACAGGCCATATATTTCCAATTCCCAGGCCAGGCATGGTGGCTCAAGCCTGTAATCCTAGCACTTTGGGAGGCTGAGGCAGGTGGATCACCTGAAGTCAGGAGTTCGAGACCAGCCTGGCCAACATGGTGAAATCTCGTCTCTACTAAAAATAAAGAAAAAAAATTAGCTGGGCATGGTGGCATGTGCCTGTAATCCCAGCTACTTGGGAGGCTGAGGCACGAGAATCGCTTGAATCCGGGAGGCAGAGGTTGCTGTGAGCCGAGATCGCACCACTGCACTCCAGCCTGGTCAACAGAGCAAGACACCATCTCAAAAAACAACAACAAAAAAAGAAATTAAAAGGAACAGATTCCTTCGTGTAATTCTTTTTCTGGGTTGTTAAAACGCCATTCTGAGGAGAGAGCCAGTTTTCCTCCACACACCCAAACAACAGCTGATTCTACTTCCCATCTCGCTTTCCTCCTCTCATCAATGAAGGGGACAGAAGCTTGGCAGCTCAAACCTATACACACATCCCGCAAGCCCTGAGACTCCTCCAGTTCTCTCACAGTCCACTGTGGCAAAGAGTTTTAGCAGAATCCCATTAATTGCTGATTTGCTCAGGTTTTTTATCTGAATCTTTTTCAAAGTATAAGTCTCATAATACAGAGGCAAAATGACATATGGAAATAGCACTGAACTCCAAGACAAAAATACCTGATGTGGCAGCCATGACATCCCTTAGAAAGAATCTGCCATTCAACTGCCAGAAAGCAATTCACTGTCAGCCCACAGCTGCATCACCTTTGGGATCCACTACCATGTCAGAGCTAAGGCCACACTCTTCCTGAACAGCCCCAAGCCAATGACTGACAGTGTGGTTACTGGGACCTGGCCGTTTCTGCCCACTGTTGATTTCTCTATGTGATAACCTTTGCCCTGGTGCTTTCCACTGGGTAGACTGCCACTTGGAAGGATCTGCACCACAGCTTGAGGTTTTTCTTGCCCGATTTTGCTTCTGCCTTCCTTTACTTTATCAGGATAGGGAAGCCTATCCAAAGTCTTTCTCTGCCCATTCCTGCCTCCTTCTTTATCTTTCACAGGTGTTGCCAGCCAGTAAGCCTCTTGCACTCCTAACTTTGTCTCAGTATCTGCTCCCCAGACCACCTGAACTGACTCAGGTGACCACTCCAGAAGTGGTCTGAAAAAGCGAGCAGTAAGATAGGTTTAGGGAACTGCAGTACTCACT
This sequence comes from Homo sapiens, assembly GCF_000001405.40. Taxonomy (NCBI): domain Eukaryota; kingdom Metazoa; phylum Chordata; class Mammalia; order Primates; family Hominidae; genus Homo; species Homo sapiens. Next base: position 151,502,822 of record NC_000001.11, on the reverse strand, counting down.
GCCTGGCTGGCAACAAGAACCCCTCCTGGATGTTGTGGGGTACAGGTAGTCTCTGGAACAAGATGGTAGCCAAGTTGCTAAATTTTCACTGATGTGAAATGAGAGAATGCTCCTGTGGTGGAACAGTTCAGGCATAGGGGGTAGGCGGAGGGACAGCAGTGAGTATAGGGACAATGGAATTGGCTGGCTGTTATTAAGTTGCACTGGGCCCTGCCAGGAGAAAATGAAAAGCTGAGAGTAGTTAACAAACGTTGGAAATTAACTGTGAAGGTCAGAGGGCCTTTCTGATGGCTTACAAAGAGGCCCTTATCTATAGCAGTGAGAGAGCAAAAAAATCTGAAGACCAAACTCGAGGACTTCAATAGAGCTCCCAGAGGCAGATCTGCAATCAAGGTCAGGACTCTGCTTGGGAAAACCTGGGACCCTAATACGTGGAATAGAAATATCTGGGCAGGTCCCCCCAAAGATTCTGGCTTTCTGCACTCCTCTGAACCCTCAGAGCCTTAAGACACTGCAGAGGCCTCTCCCCTCCCATGATCTCCTGACTGTGAAGATCTTAATCTTAAACTCTCATGGGTTAAATTACAGCATAGTCTGGTAGCTAAGGACATACTAGGCCTAATAAGGAAAGAAAGGGACTATAACCCAAAGTATCCTGCAAGAACTGGCCAACGTTTAGTGGTAAGAGTAGGGAAGTACCCATGGGATTGGATTTTGACAGTGCTTAATCAAGGGGATGAAATATAAAAGTGGATTAAGGGCAAGTTTTTTAACTTGGGGACCACTTTCTTGGGATAGAATATAACTTCCTGGCCGGGCACCGTGGCTCACACCTGTAATCCTAGCACTTTGGGAGGCCGAGGTGGGCGGACCACCTGAGGTCGGGAGTTCGAGACCAGCCTGACTCACATGGAGAAACCCCGTCTCTACTAAAAGTACAAAATTAGCCAGGTGTGGTGGCGCATGCCTGTAATCCCAGCTACTCAGGAGGCTGAGGCAGGAGAATTGCTTGAACCCGGGAGGCGGAGGTTGCGGTGAGCCAAGATCGTGCCATTGCAGTCCAACCTGAGCAACGAGAATGAAACTCCGTCTCAAAAAAAATAAAAATAAAAAGGAATTTAACTTCCTGGTAAGGACCTGCCCCTAGTGGCTCCTAGGAGCATGGAGGAAATGATAATGGTTGCTGAGTGAAGGTCAAATGTCTGTATTGCCAGAGCAACTGGGGGAAGAAAAGATTAAATGGCTCAGCAAAACGGGCATGATAGAGTGAATTCTAAGAATGCTCCATAGAAGGCCCGGAGGAATCCCTTTTTTTTTGAGATGGAGTCTCGCTCTGTCACCCAGGTTGGAGTGCAGTGGTGCAATCTCAGCTCACTGTAACCTCTGCCTCCCGCGTTCAAGTGATTCTCCTGCTTCACCCTCCCCAGTAGCTGGGATTACATACGCCACCACGCCCGGCTAATTTTTGTATTATTATTATTATTATTTTTGAGATGGAGTCTCGCTCTGTCACCCAGGCTGGAGTGTAGTGGCGCCATCTTGGCTCACTGCAACCTCCGCCTCCCAGGTTCAAGCAATTCTCCTGTCTCAGCCTCCCGAGTAGCTAGGACTACAGGCGCATGCCACCACGCCCGGCTAATTTTTTTTTTTTTGTATTTTTAGTAGAGACAGGGTTTCACTGTGTTAGCCAGGATGGTCTCGATCTCCTGACCTCATGATCCACCTGTCTCAGCCTCCCAAAGTGCTGGGATTACAGGCATGAGCCACCGCGCCCGGCCTAATTTTGTATTTTTAGTAGAGACAGGGTTTCACCATGTTTGCCAGGCTGGACTCAAACTCCTGACCTCAGGTGATCTGCCTGCCTTGGCCTTCAAAGTGCTGGGATTACAGGTGTGAGCCACTGCACCAGCCAGGAATCCCATTTACCAAGGCCATCAAAAATGTGCTGGTGAAAGTGCCAGCATCACACAGAAGCTTAGTTGTGGCTTTCTTCTACAAGCCAGTGCTAACAGGAGGAGACACTGTCACAAGCTTGGCTCTGTTATAGTGACAAGGATGATGGGTGTACTGAGGTAGTAGAGGCTGGTGGCAGCACTTAATTGCCAGAAGCCGTGGGATGGGGGTTACAAGTATCAGAGAGACTGGCAAGGGGCTTGACATGAAGAGTTGTATCGATGGTTAATAAAACATGCTATCCTTAGGGGGCAAAATGGATGTGCAGTCAAAACAAGGATATTGCTGAAGATGTGTAATTAACAGAGAGCAAGAATGGATGAGCAGGAACCTGAGGATGGAGCTCTCAGTTAAAAAGCATGCTCCTTTGTCTGGTTCCAGAACCTAAGTCAGTTTTCAGACCCAAAACTCATTGACTATAGAGGTACACTGGTCCCCAAAGACTGGCAACACCATGGTAATTATATACTATAATGATTCCCCAGTCCTTCCAAAAGGGGACTTGTAAGTATTTATTCAGGTGACTGTGCACAGATGACTGTTGGGCACAGGATCTGAACTGACATTGAAACATAGTCCCAAAGTGTCATCTTCACTCCCCTATTGGAGTGGGAGCTTATAAGAGCTGGATAAAAGAGTACTAGCCAAAGTCCAGCTTACAGTGGATCCACCCCATCTAGTCAGAAGCAATCTAGACTGTTCAGACATCCTGCAGAACATCACTTTGATCCATTATATCAATGACATCATGCCTGTCAGTCAGGATGAGCAAGAGTAGCTAGCATACTAGAGGCTTTGGTAAGACACATGTCCTCCAGATCATGGAAGAGATCCCTAAGATTCAGAGGATGATCACCTCAGTCGGTGTTTTAGGAGTTTGGTGTTTAAGGGACATGCCAGGACATCCTTTCTAAAGTAAAAGACAAATTGCTGCATCTTGCATCCCCTACCACAAAGACGGAATCGAAGTACCTGGCAGGTCTCTTCAGGTTCTGAAGGCAACACTTTCCACACTAGAAACACTGCTTAGACTCATATACTAGGTGGCACGAAAGACTGCCTGCTCTGAGTGACATCTGGAGCAGAAAAAGTATAGCCCCACTTATCATCGCTCTCAGTAACCCACTGAGGGACTTTATGCTTCCTATTCTGCAGCTCTGGGCTCCGCATGGTGAGACATTCTGATCCCCAAAGGGCCATACTCTTCCAGGAAAGGTCACATTAAGTTACATGGTATGGCTACCACTTGTGCACTTTGAACTCCTTGTATTCAGGAATCACCAAGTAAGAAGAGAAATTATCATTATCATATTGCCAGTGTAATTGACCCTGATCAGGGAAGAGGTGGGGCTGCTGTTTTACAATTGGGGCAGGGAAGAATATGTGTGGTGACTCACTTGGGCATTTCTTTCTTCTTTTTTTTTTTTTAGATGGAGTTTCACTCTTGTTGCCCAGACCGGAGTGCAATGGCGCCATTTGGCTCACTGCAACCTCCGCCTCCCAGGTTCAAGTGATTCTCCTGCCTCAGCCTCCCAAATAGCTGGGATTACGGGCATGCGCCACTACACCCTGCTAATTTTTTGTATTTAGTAGAGATGGGGTTTCACCATGTTGGTCAGGCTGGTCTCGAACTCCTGACCTCAGGTCATCCGTCCGCCTCAGCCTCTCAAAGGGCTGAGATTACAGGCATGCGCCACTGCGACTTGGGCATTTCTTGGTACTCCTTTGCTTAGTTATGACTATGAATGATAAATGCAGCAACCCTGGCCTGAGAAAGGGGCCTCAGACCCCTGAGGAATTAGGGTTTGGGCCACAGCATCAGTAAGCCACTGAGACTAGTAGAAGTGATAGCTGAGGGCAAGAGGGATTTAGAGTAGAAGAAGGAAACAATGAGTACCTGTTGCACCTCCAAGAACAACTGCAGCAATGGGGGCTGTATATTATTCCACTAATCACGCTCATCTAAGTTTTTCACAGGAAGAGAAGCCCTGCCCAATTATGTCTGGAGAAGTGAATCCACATGATACAAAGGGTAGACTGGAGCAGCCATGGAGGTACCCCATTTGGATTCCTTTCACAAAAGAACTTTCTGTTCAGCTGTAGGAGTGCAGTTATCTCACAGCTTCCAGCTACAGCAACTTCAGGATTCACGATCATGTTCATGTTAAGACCACACTCTTCCCAGGCAGCCTCCAGACAACGATTGAGCATGGTGTGCATGCTAAAGCCTGGCCATTTCTGCCCAACTTTGCCCCTCGTCTCCCGCGGAGTTGACTGAGACTTTGTCAGATCCGCATCATGACTTGAGGCTCTCCCTATCCATCCTGCTTCCTCTCCCTATATCCTTCACAGGCATTACCCCCAATAAACCTCTTCTGCTCCTAACTTTGAGCATCTCCTTCTCAGAGAATCCAAACCAATGTACTGGGTGATAAAATAATATTGAACAGAGAAAATGAAAACTGTATATATATGCACATATAAGGTTTCTGTAGTTTATATATAGTTATATATATGCATATATTTACACATACACCATATAGTTATAATTTTTTTTTTTTTTTTTTGAGATGGAGTCTCACCTTGTCACCCAGGCTGGTGTGCAATGGTGCGATCTCGGCTCACCGCAACCTCTGCCTCCCAGGTTCAAGCGATTCTCCCGCCTCAACCTCCTGAGTAGCTGGGACTACAGGTGAGTGCCACCACACCCGGCTAATTTTTAAATTTTTAGTAGAGATGGGGGTTCACTATGTTGGCCAGGCTGGTCTCGAACTCTTGACCTCGTGATCTGCCCACCTCGGCCTCCCAGAGTGCTGGGATTACAGGCATGAGCCACTGCACCTGGCCATATTTTTTTTTTTTTAAGACGGCGTCTCACTCTGTCGCCCAGGCTGGAATGCAGTGGCACCATCTCGGCTCACTGCAGGCTCTGCCCCCCGGGTTCACGCCATTCTCCTGCCTCAACCTCCCGAGTAGCTAGGACTACAGGTGTCCGCCACCCAGCAAATTTTTTGTATTTTTAGTAGAGACGGCGTTTCACTGTGTTAGCCAGGATGGTCTCGATCTCCTGACCTCATGATCTGCCTGCCTCCGCCTCCCAGAGAGCTGGGATTACAGGCATGAGCCACTGCGCCTGGCCCCTTTTTTTTTTTTTTTTTTTTTTTTGAGACGGAGTCTTGCTCTGTCACCCAGGCTAGAGTACAGTGGCGCAATCTCAGCTCACTGCAACCTCCACCTCCCTGGTTCAAGCAATTCTCCTGCCTCAGCCTCCCAAGTAGCTGGGACTACAGGCACCCACCACCACACTCGGCTAATTTTTGTATTTTTAGTAGAGACGGGGTTTCACCATGTTGGCCAGGCTGGTCTTGAACTCCTGACCTAAGGTGATCCGCCTGCCTCAGCCTCCCAAAGTGCTGGGATTACAGGCATGAGCCACCGCACCTGGCATAAATTTTTTTTTTTTTTTTTTTTTTTGAGACGGAGTCTCGCTCTCTCGCCCAGGCTGGAGTGCAGTGGCGCGATCTCAGCTCACTGCAAGCTCCGCCTCCCAGGTTCATGCCATTCTCCTGCCTCAGCCTCCTGAGTAGCTGGGACTACAGGCGCCCGCCACCATGCCCGGCTAATTTTTATTGTATTTTTAGTAGAGATGGGGTTTCACGGTGTTAGCCAGGATGGTCTCCATCTCCTGACCTCGTGATCCACCCGTCTTGGCCTCCCAAAGTGCTGGGATTACAGGCGTGAGCCACCGCACCTGGCCTGGCATAAATATTTTTAATGTGTATTTGTATGGATGAGACCTTGAAGACATGGAAAAATAAAACTGGTTGATCTATTAAATAGAGTCAAAGGATTGTGAGTGATTTTTTTTACATGTCATTTATTGTTGACACAATGTCATTAAAAGAGAAAACTAGGATGTCAGTTCTAAATCTACTTTTTGCTTCTTAAAATATATGGGATTTCAGCCGGGAGTGGTGGCTCACATCTGTAATCCCAGCACTTTGGGAGGCCAAGGCGGGTGGATCACCTGAGGTCAGGAGTTCAAGGTCAGCCTGGCTAACATGGTGAAACCCCATCCCTACTGAAAATAACAAAAATTAGCTGGGCATGGTGGCTGGCACCTGTAATCCCAGCTACTTGGGAGGCTGAGGCAGGAGAATCACTTGGACCCAGGAGGCAGAGGTTGCAGTGAGCTAAGATCATGCCACTGTACTCCAGCCTGGGTGACAGAGCGAGACTGTCTCAAAAAAAAAAAAAAAAAAATACATATATATATATATATATATATATATATATATATATATATATATATATGACTTTGGGCAATTGATTTTCCATTTCCTTATCTATAAAGTAAGGCTAATAAGTGTGACAACAAAATGAGATTAAGAATTTAAACACATTTTGCTATTGTGAAGGTTTTTAGTTTTTTGTGTGTGTGTTTTGTTTTTTTTTTTGAGATGGAGTCTCACTCTGTCGCCCAGGCTGGGGTGCAGTGGCACGATCTCGGCTCACTGAAACCTCTGCCTCCTGGGTTCAAGCAATTCTCCTGCCTCAGCCTCCCAAGTAGCTGGGACTACAGGCGCCCGCCACCATGTCCAGCTAATTTTTTGTAATTATAGTAGATATGGGGTTTCACCCTGTTAGCCAGGATGGTCTGCTTCTCCTGACCTCGTGATCCACCCGCCTTGGCCTCCCAAAGTGCTGGGATTACAGGCGTGAGCCACTGCTCCTGGCGTGAAGTATTATTTTTATTATTGGCTGAAGTACCAGATATAAGTTGGTCAAGTAACAAATGCTTATTGATTATCTACTGTGTGTCAGGTAACGTTTGTATTAGTTTCTATGGCTGCTATAACAAAGTACCACAAATTTAGTGGCTTAAAAAACACAAATTTATGCCTGAGTGCAGTGGCTCATGCATGTAATCCCAGAACTTGGGAGGTCAAGGTGCAGGGATTGCTTAAGGTCAGGAGTTTAAGACCATTCTGGGCAACGTAGTGAGACCCCATCTCTACAAAAAGTACAAAAAGTAGCCGGGCATGGTGGCATGTGCCTGTATCATTTTAGAATAAGGGAGTTGAGAGACTTGATAGATTTGTGTCTCTCAAGTTTTGTAGCACATCAGGGGGACTAAGAAATAGAAGCCTCGGGCCAGCAGAGTGGCAGAACAACTGGCTTCCCTAGGAGAAAGTTGTCTTTCTCTCTATAGGAGAGGGAGGATTTCCTGTAGATTGAAGCGGAGAAGGAAAGGCTGGTCTCAAGGAGAAAGTCAACTAGATAAACAAAGAATTACAAAAAGCTTACAAAAGAATGCAACATTCTCACTCCAGCTAAGCAAAGACTTTTTCCTCATTTCTCCCCTCAGGAGTGGGAGAGGCTAGTTTATTCTGGTGTGTGGCTAGAAATTCTACAATGACACTCTTTGTATCTAGTCTCCCTAGGCTGTCCTTTGTTTTCCCCAAAATGATTATTCAGTTTTTTTTTTTCTAGAAATGACTTTCTCTTTGACTGCAAAGATGAATTAGATAAATTTATATGTGCAAGTTAATAAATTAAGTATCCAAACTCTGTGATTATAAAAAGTTTACATATAAGATTTTTCCTTTTCATAAACAGCCCTACTGAGGTGTAACTGACAAACAGTAAACTGCACAAATGTAAAGTGTGCAATTTGATAGTTCTGACATATGTATGCATCCATGAAATTTTTACCACAATCAAGATAATGAGCATATCCATCTACCAGAAACTGGGTGTTGGAGAGTGGGGGTGGATATGTTCTCCTTAGGTTTTGACCTCTTATTACCAGCTCACAAATTTGTACTCTGAGTAATGAGACAAGATGAGTCATTCATAAAAAATTTTTTCTACAGAAGTGGGCAGAAAAAAAAAAAAACTTCCCACCCACTTGGCAGGTGATCAGTAGCTCATTAACCTAAATCATGTCACCACACTGTCACTCTTTCTTCATTGTATACAGGCTGGAATGCAAACGGCTGGGAAAAGCACCCAGCTGGTGTCCCAGGCCAGCTCTTGGCTGCCTATATGGAAGCAGGAGGGGATTTCTGACCTCAGTCCCCTAACAGGCCTGCCCTCCAATAGTCTAAACTCACTGGGTACCATAGCATTCAGCCCAGAGCTAGCAGGCCTAAGTCTCTTCCTTACCTCTAGCTCATAAATCTTCCTCATGGTCTAAAAGAAAGAGATACTTATCCCTAATTCTATTTTTTAAAAATATATTTGCCAGATGTGGTGGCTTATGCCTGTAATCCCAGCACTTTGGGAGGCTGAGGCAGGTGGATCACTTGAGGTCAGGAGTTCGAGACCAGCCTGGCCAACATGGCAAAACCCTGTATACTAAAACTACAAAAATTAGCTGGACATGGTGGCGTGCACCTGTAATCCCAGCTACTCAGGAGGCTGAGGTGGGAGAATCACCTGAACTCGGAGGCAGAGGTTGCAGTGAGCCAAGATCGTGCCACTGCACAACAGAGTGAGACTCTATTTCAAAAAAAAGAAAATTATATAGATAAAAAATGTTTTTAGTTTTTTTGTTTTTTTTTTGGTACAGATGGGGGCTCATTATGTTGCTCAGGCTGATCCCGAACTCCTGGCCTTAAGTGATCTTCCCACCTCGGCCTCCCAAAGTGCTAGGATTACAGGTATGAGCCACCACACCCAGTGTATCCTTATTCTACAGCCAGCCTCTCTTCCTAGTGTCTAGACTTAATTCCTGAGCTCTATTATTCAGCAATATTTATCGAACACCTACCAGGTACCAGGCACTGTTCTAGGCTCTTGGAATATAGCAGAAGTCAACAATAGGCAGCAATCCCTGCCTTCATGAGCTTACTTCCTACTGAGTGAGGAAACTAAAGGCCAACATCTTAATTCCACCTTCTGGAAGTAACATCTGAGTTACCTTCTGCCCTCAAAAAGGTGTAGAGAAGAATCTTATCCTTATCCTAACCCTTTTGCAACTTGTAACTTGTAGCTGCTCTGCTTTTTTTTTTTTTTTTTTTTTTTTTTTTTGAGACAGAGTCTTGCTCCGTCGCCCAGGCTGGAGTGCAGTGGCGCAATCTTGGCCCACCTCCTGGGTTCAAGAGATTCTCCTACCTCAGCCTCCCAAGTAGCTGGGACTACAGGTGTGTGCCATCACACCCGGCTAACTTTTGTATTTTTGGTAGAGATGATGTTTCATCATGTTGTCCAGGCTGGTCTTGAACTCCTGACCTCAGGAGATCTGCCCGCCTCAGCCTCCCAAAGTGCCGGAATTACAGGTGTGAGTCACCGCACCTGGCCATATTTCTTTCCTTTCTATTCACCATCTTCAAGCAGTTTATATGCAGTAATTCCAAGTTCCCTTGTCCCTCACCTGCAGTTGAGCTTGGAAACTGAAGGCTTTTCTGAGTCCTCCTTCTACCGGATGTCTCTTGTGCTTCTGCTCCCTATTTTTTCACACTCTTTTCTCCTTGGATTTCTATACCACTGCTCTATTATTTTCTACAGCTCTAGCCCTCCCCTGTCCCTGTGGGTACTTTTTTCCTTTCTCAGCTATTCCCCATAGCTGTGAAAAAGCTCTTTCCTTTCCTCTGCCCTCCACTCTTCCCCTTCAGTGGCTCATTCACTCTCATGCTTTCTCCTGCCACCTCCAAAAGCAGACAACTTTCAAATCTCCATTTTAAACACCGACCTCTCATCCATGTACTGAATCAGTATTTAACTTTCTCCAGAACTTTTGCACTTGTACGTCTCATCTCTACTTAGGACACAGACAAACCAAGCAAAGTAACTTCCCCCGTATACCAGCACTCCTTCTCAAATTCCCTGTCTTTACTTTTTGCAGCCCCCAATATATATATATATTTTTGAGACGCAGTCTCACTCTGTTGCCCAGGCTGGAGTGCAGTGGCGTGATCTCGGCTCACTGCAAGCTCCACCTCCCGGGTTCACACCATCCTCCTGCCTCAGCCTCCTGAGTAGCTGGGACTACAGGCACCCACCACCACGCCTGGCTAATTTTTTGTATTTTTAGTAGAGACGGGGTTTCACCGTGTTAGCAGGATGGTCTCATTCTCCTGACCTTGTGATCTGCCCGCCTTGGCCTCCCAAAGTGTTGGGATTACAGGCGTGAGCCACCGCGCCCGGCCTGCAGTCCCCAGTATTAGAAGGAGCAACTTCTTGCTTAGAGTTGCACTGGAGACTCGGTACTAATAATACCTGCCAGCTACCCTAAATAGGAAAGAAATTTAAATAAATTAATAGATACAAAACAAGTTTATGGCCATAGGTGGGGGTAATCTCAACCTTTGGCAAGCAAGGCTAGAAAGTAGCATCAGACTTCAAAGAAAACTTACCATTGTTAGGTTCAAGTCAGAGGGCAAAGAAGGAAAGTGCAGGACACTGGAGGGGATATAGGAGGTGGGAGGGCATCTGAGAACCTCAGAGAAGGAAGACTGAAGCAGGAGGGAGAATGGAGATAGGGATCTTGTGTGTGGGAAAACACACAAACTCAGAGTGTTTGTTCCTGTTATCTCACTCAACAGTAACAATCAACACAGACAGAAGACTCCTGTGACCAAATATGGAGGATTTCTCCCCACCAGCAAACAAGCAATCAGTTCTGCAGCAGACACCAGCTGGGTGTCCTCTAATTCGATTCTGACACCATCTACCAAGAGGCCACAGGTTGAGGGCTCAAACCCCAAAACTGCCCCCACCCACCCCATTCAGACACCAGTCAAAACCCAAGACTCCAGAATTTCTGACCCAGCAGATTCAAGTTGGGGCTCCTACAGCCCCCTCTTTGGACTCAATTCATTTGCTAGAGCAGCTCACAGAACTAAGGGAGACACTTCGTTTACCAGCTTATTAGAAAGGATATGACAGAGGATGTGAATGGAGAGATGCATGTCTGTTAGATTCTTCTTGGTCTCTCTATGCAGCCTTCCTTCCTCCAGGCTACGGGGTAGGACCCTCTCTGCAATCAGGGTCTTATGACTCACAATCAGATTAGAGTCCTGCATCTGGCAGGTGCAATGAGAACAGGAAGGCCCGGTGTGGTGGCTCATGCCTGTAATTCCCACACTTTGGAAGGCCGAAGCAGGTGGATTGCTTGAGCTCATGAGTTTAAGACCAGCCTGGGCAACATAGGGAGAGTGTCTCTACAAAAAATAAAAAATTAGCCGGACATGGTGGTGCACACTTGTAGTCCCAGCTACTCAGGAGCCTGAGGTGGGAGGATTGATTGAGTACAGGAGATCAAAGCTGCAGTGAGCAGTGATTACACCAATGCACTTCAACCTGGGCAACAGAGTGAGACATTATCTCAAAACATAAATAAATGAATAAATAAATAAGAGCGGGAGAAAGTCAGATAGCAAGAAAGTCTGCTTTCTGAGGCCGGCCTCTGAATCCTAAAGTGTCCTAACATTATAACAAAAGACTGTAGGCCGGGCACGGTGGCTCACGCCTGTAATCCCAGCACTTTGGGAGGCCAAGGCAGGTGGATCACCTGAGGTCGGGAGTTCAAGACCAGCCTGACCAACATGGAGAAACCCCGTCTCTACTAAAAATACAAAATTAGCCGGGCGTGGTGACGTATGTCTGTAATCCCAGCTACTTGGGAGGCTGAGGCAGGAGAATCACTTGAACCCAGGAGGCGGAGGTTGCAGTGAGCCAAGATTGCGTCATTGCACTCCAGCCTGGGCAACAAAAGTGAAACTCCATCTCAAAAAAAAAAAAAAAAAGAAAAAGAAAAAGAAAAAAAAAAAGACTGTAACAGGGGCATTGAGAGATATGAGCCAGGAGCTGTGGCCACATAGACTTCACATATCTACACTTAACTATTAATATTTGCTGATTCTGTATACTGTGCATGGTTAGCTCAGATAGAGTTTTGCTCCCATTAGTCAGTGAATTGACGTGGGATGACGATGATAAAAAGCGGAAACAACTGCTACAGTCAAGAAGAGCCTAAGAAGACACTATGAATAAATATAATGTGGTGTATCCTGGATGGGATCCTGGAATAGAAAAAGGATACGAAATTTAAAACTAAGGAAATCTGATAAAGTATGGTCTTCAGTTAATAATAATGTGTCGTTACTGGTTCATTAACTGTGACAAATGTACCACACTAATGTAAGATGTTAATAATAGGAGAAACTGGTCGGACACGGTGGCTTACACCTGTAATCCCAGCACTTTGGGAGGCTGAGACAGGTGGATCACCTGAGGTCAGGAGTTCAAGACCAGCCTGCTCAACATGGTGAAACCCTGTCTCTACTAAAAATACAAAAATTAGCCAGGCGTGGTGGCGGGTGCCTGTAATCCTAGCTACTTGGGAAGCTGAGGCAGGAGAATTGCTTGAACCTGGAAGGCGGAGGTTGCATTTAGCTGAGATCACACCATTCCACTCCAGCCTGAGAAACAAGAGCAAAACCCCATCTAAAAACGAAAACAAAGTAATAGGCGAAACTGGGTTCTGGGTATATGAGAACCCTCTGGACTATCTGTGCAACTTTTCTGTAAATCTGAAACTATTTTTTTTTTTTTTTGAGACAAAGTCTCTGTCGCCCAGGCTGGAGTGCAGTGGCGTGATCTTGGCTCACTGCAACCTCCGCCTCCCAGGTTCAAGCAATTCTCCTGCCTCAGCCTCCCAAGTAGCTGAGTTTACAGACGTGCATCACCACACCTGGCTAATTTTTGCATTTTTAGTAGAGATGGGATTTCACCATGTTGACCAGGCTGGTCTCAGACTCTCGACCTCAGGTGATCCACCCGCCTCGGCCTCCCAAAGTGCTGGGATTACAGGCGTGAGCTGCCTGAAACTATTATTTTTTTTTTTTTTGAGATGGAGTTTCACTCTTGTTGTGCAATGGCACGATCTTGGCTCATTGCAACCTCCACCTCCCAGGTTCAAGCGATTCTCCTGCCTCAGCCTCCCGAGTAGCTGGGATTACAGGCACGCACCACCAAAGCCAGCTAATTTTTTGTATTTTTAGTAGAGACGGGGTTTCACCATGGCCAGGCTGGTCTTGAACTCCTGACCTCAGGTGATCCTCCTGCCTCGGCCTCCCAGAGTGCTGGGATTACAGGTGTGAGCCACCACGCCCAGCCCTGAAACTATTCTTAAATCATTCATTAAAACCTGCAGGCATGATGGCCCACTCCTGTAGTCCCAGCTACTTGGGAAGCTGAGGCAGGACCATCCCTCGAACACCAGTGTTCCAGGCTGTAGTGAGCTATTAGCATGACTGTGAATAGCCACTGCACTCCACGCTGGGCAACATAGTGAGACCCTGTCTCTAAAAATAAATACATAAATAAATAAGCAATAAACAGTAATGAATTATTGATTCTGAAACTTTGGCTCCCTAAACTCACCAGGAAGGACCTATCACTGGGAGGATCCCTGCTGGAGAAGCCTTGTAAGGACACTACTATTATTCCCTAGAAACCTTGGGGTTCCTTTTGATGACTTCCTCTCCCAGGTCCTCTATATCTAAGCTGTCATTAAGGGCTGTTGATTGAAATTTAAAATATCGTTCATCTAGAGTTTTCAGTTTATAAACCTAAAAGCTTGTTTTCTTTTTTTTTTTTTTTTTTTTTTGAGATGGATTCTCGCTCTGTCGCCCAGGCTGGAGTGCAGTGGTGCGATCTCGGCTCACTGTAACATCTGCCTCCCAGGTTCAAGTGATTATCCTGCCTCAGCCTCCGGAATAGCTGAGATTACAGGCGCGTGCCACTGCACCCAGCTAATTTTTTGTATTTTTAGTAGAGACAGGGTTTCCCTATGTTGGCAAGGCTGGTCTTGAACTCCTGACCTCAAGTGATCTGCTTGCCTCAGCCTCCCAAAGTGCTGGGATTACAGGCGTGAGCCAACACGCCTGGCCTAAAAGCTTTATTTCTGTATAGGAAAAAATGCTGCAAATAAAATCAAAAGATTCATAAATTGTGGGTATTATTTATAACTCATATGATAAGCATAGGGCTAATTGCATTAATTTATGTAAAGAAATATTAGGACCAGGCGTAGTGGCTCACATCTATAATCCCTATGCTCCAGGAGGTCAAGGAGCTCAAGACCAGCCTGGGCAACATAGTGAGACCCCGTCTCTACAAAATAAAATGCTTTTAATAAGCTGGCATAGTGGTGAGCACCTGTAGTTCTAGCTACTTGGAAGGCTGAACTGGAAGGATCACTTGAACCCAGAACTTGAGGTTACAGTGAGCTATAACTACATCACTGCACTCCAGCCCGGGCAACAGAGCAAGACCGTCTCCAAAAATAAAAATGAAAAAAGAAATAGTAAAGACAAACAACCTAATAAGGAAATGAACAAAGGATAGAAACAGGCAGTTCACAAAAAGAAAACAAGAAAATGACCAAATACATAGGGAAAATGTTCACACATACTAAATAGATGCAAATTAAATAGATGTAAATTATAGGCCGGGGGCAGTGGCTCAAGCCTGTAACCCCAGCACTTTGGGAGGCTGAGGCAGGAGGATCACTTGAACCCAGGAGTTCAAGACCAGCCTGGGCAACATAGCAAGACTCTACAAAAAGTTTTAAAATTAGCCAGATATGGTGGTGCATACCTGTAGTTCCAGCTACTTGGGAGGCTGAGGTGAGAGGCTCCCTTGAGCCTGGGAGGTCAAGGCTGCAGTGAACCATGATTGTGCCACTGCACTCCAGCCTGGGAGACAGACAAAGACTCTGTCTCAAAACAAAGCAAAAAATTAAAATGACTACAAGATATCATTTTTTGCCTATCAGACTGGCAAATTTTTTAAGGTTTGGAAATTCCTGGAGTTGACACCTGTGAGAAAATAGGCACTCTCAAATATTCTTTATAGGAGCAAAAATCAGTACAAACTTTTTGGAGAGCAACTATGCAGTAACTATTATTTGAAATACAATTATCAGCCAGGCACGGTGGCTCACACCTGTAATCCCAGCACTTTGGGAGGCTGAGGTGGGCAGATCACGAGGTCAAGAGATCGAGATCATCATAGCCAACTTGGTGAAACCCTGTCTCTACTAAAAATACAAAAATTAGCCGGGCGTGGTGGCGGGCACCTGTAATCCCAGGTACTCAGGAGGCTGAGGCAGGAGAATCGCTTGAACCCAGGAGGTGGAGCTTGCCGTGAACTGAGATCACTCCACTGCACTCCCGCCTGGACAACAGAGTGAGACTCCATCTCAAAAACAAACAAACAAACAAAACAAAACAAAAAAACAGATATCCTGGCTAGGCTCAGTGGCTCACGCCTGTAATCCTAGGACTTTGGGAGGCCAAAGCAGGTGGATTGCTTGAGCTCAGGAGTTGGAGATCAGCCTGGGCAATGTGGTGAAATCCTGTCTCTACAAAAAATATAAAAATTAGCCAAGTGTGGTGGCATGCATTTGTAGTCCCAGCTATTCAGGAGGCTGAGGTAGGAGGATCACTTGAGCCTGGAAGGTTGAGGCTGCAGTAAGCAAAGATCACGCCACTATACTCCATCCTGGATGACAAAGTGAGACCCTGCCCAAAAAAAAAAAAAAAAAGAAAGAAAGAAAGGAAGGAGGGAAGGAAGAAAGAAAAGAAAAGAAAAGAAAAGAGGGAGGGAAGGAGGGAGGGAGGGAGGTAAGGGAGGAAGGAGGGAGGGAGGGAGGGAAAGAGAAAGGAAGGAAGGAAGGAGAGAGAGAAAGGAAGGAAGGAAGGAAGGAAAAAAATAAAAGAATACTCAAGGTGCTTTCATGGTCATCCACAGACATGCAGAGAGCAGCAAAAGAAATTTTGCTGGGACTACAGGCACGTGCCAAAACACCTGGCTAATTTTTGTATTTTTTGTAGAGATGGGATTTTGCCATGTAGCCCAGGCTGGCCTTGAACTCCTGGACTCAAGCAATCCATTCGCTTCGGCCTTCCAAAGTACTGGGATTACAAGTGTGAGCCACTGTGACCACCCAAAACTTCCCTTTCATCATGTCATTTCCCTCTGGAAAATCTCAACAATTCTCCATTGCCTATTACAGCAAATCTAACTTTCAAAGTCTTACATAATCAGGTCTCCACCTATGTCTCCCTACTCTCCAATTCCAGTCCTATTGGCTAGCATTCCTTCTCACTCTCCACCTTATCTGGCCCCAGCCATGCCAGTTGCTGCCTCCATACTTTTGCCTGTTGATCCCCAGATCTAGGCCACACCTCTGTGGCTACTCAAATCCTACCAATTGCTCAGTTTCACTACTTCAGTGAAACCCTTCTTGATTTCTTTTTTTCTATAATTTTTTCCAATTATAAATTCTTATGAGGCTAAACCACAAGATGAATGTTTCACTTATATGTTATTTATAAATTATAACTGTAAATTTATAATTGTTTTGTATATATTTATTTAAAAGCACTTTAGCACTTACTATTACTATTTTAATTACTTTACAAATATTACCTCATTTGATTTTCATAATGACCTTATGAAGTATTATCATTTCCATTTTAAGTGAGGAAATCAAAGTGCAGAGATGTTAAGTAACTTGCCCAAGGTCATACAGTAAGTAGCAGGATTCACACCCTGACAGTCTGACTCTAGAATCATGCTTATAGTCATGCATGTAATAAGAATATACAGTTCTGCCTTTTGATTGCTTAAATGGATTAATTATATGATGAGGTCCTTGGGAGGGGATTCCCATTTCTTCTCTTGAGAGCCTCATATCATGTACTTAAAAGTCTTATCAACTGCCTGGAGTTTTCTAGGTTTCATTTTCATGGGAGGCTGATACTTCTAGCTCTGGGAATGGACTTGCGATTAGGATGCTGGGCATTAAGCCAAGCATGGTTCCCTTGAATTTGCTAGCTGTCTCCTTTCTATTTGAATTCCCCATCTTTCTTCCATAGATGGGCCATGCCAAGCCCTTTGCTCCCCTCTGGCTTCCCTCACTGATTGCCAGGAGCTCACAGTGAGTCCTATGGCCATGAGAGGGCGAGATGGACCTCAGCGCCTCCATTGGGAAGACTCACCGAGTTACACAGGAGCAAAAGGCAGTATTTCATTTACCCATCCCAGCTCTAGTCCCTCCACCCTGCAGTTGACCCACATTGAGTCCTTCACAGGTACAATGGGGAAATGCACAGTTTTAAAAGTCAGACGGCTCTGGGTTTGAATCTTGGCCCTACCACTTAGTATGTCACCACTTAAACAAATTACTAAAGCTTTCTGAGCTATAATAGGCCTCTGAATATCATTGCGTTATTGCAAATACAATAATGGCTAACACTGAGCACTTACCATGTGGCAAACACAATTCTGAATACTTTACCTACATGAACTTGTCCAATCTTCACAGTTCTAGAGGAGATGCTATATTGTCTTCATTTTACAGATGGGGAAATAGAGGCACAGAAAGGTGAAGTAACTTACCTAATGACACATAGCTAGCAAGGTGTAATCTGGCCAATTTTTGTAGCACTGTCATGAAGATAAAAAGCAGTATATGTATAAAATACCTAAAATATGGAGTTACTCTGTTAATATTCCCCTTGTATTAATTAGGATTTGGTTTGGCTTCATAAAACAGAAAATTTGGCTGGGCACGGGGGCTCATGCTTGTAATCCCAGCACTTTGGGAGGCTGAGGCAGGTGGATCACTTGAGGTCAGGAGTTCAAGACCAGCCTGACCAACATGGTGAAACCCCATCTTCACACACACACAAAAAAATAGCCGGGCATGGTGGTATACACCTGTTGTCCCAGCCACAGGGGAGGCTGAGGCAGGAGGATCCCTTGAGCCCAGGAGGTCAAAACTGTTCACACCACTCTACTCCAGCTTATATTTCTCGCCGTTAGACTATGAGCAAATGAGGCCTGAGAACATTTTCTTTTTTCTTTTTTTTTTTTTTTTTTTGAGACAGAGTCTCACCCTGCCGCCCAGGCTGGAGTGCAATGGTGTGATCTCAGCTCACTGCAACCTCCACCTCCCAGGTTCAAGCAATTCTCGTGCCTCAGCCTCCCGAATAGCTGGGATTACAGGCCCACACCACCATGCTCAGCTAATTTTTTGTATTTTTAGTAGAGAAGGGATTTCGCCATGTTGCCCAGGCTAGCCTTGAACTCCTGAGCTCAGACAATCCGCCTGCCTTGGCCTCCCAAAGTGCTAGGATTACAGGAGTGAGCCACCGTGCCCAGCCTGAAGACATGTTTTTTTATTGGTGTATCTCAAGTGTGTCATGTGGTTTCTGGCCAATAATTGATACTCAGTGAATAGT
Source organism: Homo sapiens (assembly GCF_000001405.40). NCBI lineage: Eukaryota > Metazoa > Chordata > Mammalia > Primates > Hominidae > Homo > Homo sapiens. Next base: position 151,484,607 of record NC_000001.11, on the reverse strand, counting down.
TGTCAGGTAATAAATGAATTGTTTTCAACTTTTAGACTATCAGGAGAGTAGAGACTTTCTTTCTTGTCTATCCCCTGACAATAAAAGGTTTGAGAAAGGCTGGCGCAGTGGCTCATGCCTGTAATCTCAGCACTTTGGGAGGCCAAGATGGGCCCAAACTCCTGGGCCCAAGTGATCCTCCCGCCTTAGCCTCCCAAAGTGCTGGGATTACAGGCATGATCCACTGTGCCCAGCCTAGAGATAGCTATTCTTTACCCAACAATTATGATGCTTGTGGAGGAAGGGGTGCTTCACCAAACAAAGGAGAATCAAGAAAGCTTTCACAAATGAAGAAACATTAAATGGAGAGCTAAAAGACTAGTGGGAATAAATCCAGTGAGGACTCACAAGTCCAAAGCAAGGAAGCATGGCAGTGCATGGAGTGCTAAGGGGGTGGTGAGGAGGTCTGCAAGACTAGGGCATGGGATGCCAATGGCACAGTGGGGAGGCGAGGCCTAGGAGGTGGCAAGGGACTAGATTGTGAATGGTCTTACAGGCTTTCTATGACAAAAGTTTAACTCAATCCTGTAAGTGATATGGAACTATTGAAGAGTAACATGGTGAGAGTCACAGGCTACATGGAGGTGGATGATGTGAAGTTAACGGTAGGGTCCCCTGTTATGAGGCTACTTTGATGCTTAAGTAGGAAATGGTAAACTAAGGCATGGTGGGGAGGATAGAAAGAAAAGCCAGAATGTGAGAGAAATGAGCACAGTAAATACAGACAACATTTGTCCTCCTGGCTTTTGCAGCCAAAGCCTTCTGGACGGTAACTAATACCAGCAGCTGGCAATCTTCTCCAGGCTGGATGAAAGTAGCATGGATATACCTCCTGCAGCTCAACCTCCCCTTGGGCACTTAGTCCTCTCTCTTCCATTTCACACATTATGCTGTGCTTGTGAGTGTGCAACCTAAGCATGCCAGAGACTTCTAGCGTTCACCAAGTTCTGTGTTCTTCTCTTTTCCCATTGCATATAGCTAGATCACATTTCCAGTTTCTGCTACAGTTAGATGTGACCATGAGATTGAGTTCTAGCAGAACAAATATGAAGGAATGTAACATATACTAGTGCTTCTCAAACCGTATGTGGTGAGGAACAAGATTTTTTTCCTTGTAATGCATTATGGGCCAACATTTTTGTAAAATACGCAAAAATTAGTTACTAGAACTACAAAATAAAATAAAATAAAATAAAGACATTAAAAAACAAAGCCCAAATTGCTTTTTCAATTTTTTTTTTTTTTTTTTTTTTTTAGACAGGGTCTTGCTCTGTCACCCAGGCTGGAGTGTAGTGGTGTGATCTCAGCTTACTGCAACCTCTGCCTCCCAGGCTTAAGCCTCTGGAGTAGCTGGGACTATAGGCATGTGCCACCATGCCTGGCTGATTTTTTTTTTTTTTTTTTTTTTGAGACAGAGTCTCGCTTTGTCACTCAGGTTGGAGTGCAATGGTGTGATCTTGGCTCATTGTTTTGTTTTTTTTTTTTTTTTTGAGACGGAGTTTCACTCTGTCACCCAGCCTGGAGTGCAGTGGCACGATCTCGGCTCACTGCAACCTCCACCCTCCGGGTTCAAATGATTCTCCTTCCTCAGCCTCCTGAGTGGCTGGGACTACAGACGCCTGCCACTGCGCCCAGCTAATTTTTTGTATTTTTTTTTAGTAGAGATGGGGGTTTCACCATCTTGGCCAGGCTGGTCTTGAACTTCTGACCTCGTGATCCGCCCGCCTCGGCCTCCCAAAGTGCTGGGATTACAGGCGTGAGCCACTGCGCCTGGCCGATCTTGACTCATCGTAACCTCTGCTTCCCGTGTTCAAGCCATTCTCCTGCCTCACCCTCCCAAGTAGCTGGGATTACAGGTGCTTGCCACCATGCCCGGCTAATTTTTGTATTTTTAGTAGAGACTGGGTTTCACCATGTTGGTCAGGCTGGTCTCTAACTTCCTGAACTCAAGCAATGCACCCGCCTCAGCCTCCCAAAGTGCTGGGATTACAGGCATGAACCACCGCGCCTGGACAGAGCCACCGCGCCCGGTCAGAGCCACCGCGCCCAGCCAAAATGTTTATATTTTTTGTAGAGATGGGGTTTTGCCATGTTGTCCAGGCTGGTCTTGAACTCCTGAGCTCAGGTGATCTGCCCTCCTTGGCCTCCCAACGTGCTAGGATTACAAGCATGAGCCACTGCACCCAACCAAGAATTTTTAGTGAAGAATTTCTGAAATTGAGACTTTGGTAGAAGAGAAATCAAGGTAGCAGGGCCCTGTCCCACTAGCCAGATGGCTTTGGTGACCAAGAAGATCTAAACTCCTGATAGTCATCTCCTATCGAGTAGTAGCAGGATACTTAGCAGTGTTGGGGTTAAACCTTCCTTGCCTTCAAGTTTGTTCTCTCCAATGTTAGCAGGCTCAACTTAGTCTTCAGTGATTTGAAATAGCATCTCTGACATCCTTTTTCAGAAACAGTAATGGGGGAAATATTTTGGACCAAGCTGAGGTACTGTCCATAGGAAAGTAAAAAATTTTTTCAGACTAAGGCAGGCCTGAATCAATTTCTTTTTTTTTTTTTTTTTTTTTTGCCCACTCCCCTTTTTTTTCTTTTTAAAGTCAGGGTCTCACCATGTTTCTCAGGCTGGCCTTGAATTCCTGGACTTAAGCAATCCTCTTGCCTCGGCCTCCCAAAGTGTTGGGATTACAGGTGTGACCCACCATGCCCATCCAATTAACTACTTTTAAATAAAATTGTAAAATGATGCTGAATTAGATAGAAACAATGTTGAAAATCCTATAATTTAGAACAGTAAAAAGTGTCTTTTGATTATCTGACTTTTTTTTTTTTTTGAGAAAGAGTCTCATTCTGTTACCCAGGCTGGAGTGCAGTGGTGCAATCTTGGCTCACTGCAACCTCCGCATCCTGGATTCAAAAGATTCTCCTGCTTTAGTCTCCCGAGTAGCTGGGATTACAGGTGCTTGTCACCATGCCCAGCTAATTTTTGTATTTTTAATAGAGACGCGGTTTTCACCATGTTGGCCAGGTTGGTCTCAAACTCCTGACCTTAGGTGATCTGCCCACCTCAGCCTCCCAAAGTGCTGGGATTACAAGCATGAGCCACCACACCTAGTCAAGATTACCTGACTTTTTAAGCTGAATGATGAAGAATCATAAACAGAGAAAAAGAAAAAAGGAAATTTAATTGACTTTTTACATTACCATAGGGAAAAAAATTACCCTGTTTACAGAGTTGGTCCTGTGGCCAGATCATATTTAAGGGAAGAGTGAGTTATTTATTTATTTATTTATTTGAGTTGGAGTCACACTCTGTCGCCCAGGCTGGAGTGCAATGATGCAATCTCGGCTCACTGCAACCTCCACCTCCGAGGTTCAAGCAATTCTCCTGCCTCAGCCTCCCGAGTAGCTGGGATTACAGGCACCCACCACCACGCCTGGCTAGTTTTTGTATTTTTAGGAGAGACAGGCTTTCACCATATTGGCCAGGCTGGTCTCTTGGCCAGGCTGGTCTCAAACTCCTGACCTTGTGATTTACCCACCTCAGCCTCCCAAAGTGCTGGGATTATAGGCATGAGCCACCATGCCCGGCGGGAAGAGTTATTTAATATAATGTTCTCTTAGTCCCTGCTTTCCAAGTTGTACTTAATTTCCAGGCCCCTTCCAAGAAAAAGGTGATGAATTTTGGGTAGGGTGGTTGCCCTCATCTCTTAAAATTGTCAATGCTGTTCTCTGTGCTGCTCCTGTCTTTTCCTCTGATTGCACTGTTTGTTAACACAGTTTGAAACATTTCATCTATCATCTTTGCCTCATTTCTGGGGGTTCTGAATCAGAGTTTTTTAGTGCTGGTTCCTGAGAACTAAAGGTCTTTTAAATTCTTGTTGTCTTCTTAATATCAGGGCATCTATTTCCTTTGTCATAAAAACTTTATGACCCTTTACCAATGGTGAGTTCAATTTTTTTTCCTTATATTCTTACAGTCCAAAGGCAGTGAGTTCAGTTTTTTTATATTTTTTTAAAATATAAAATGTTAATTATAAAAAAAAAAGAAAATTAAGCCATATATATAAAGTCTCACTCTGTCACCCAGGCTGGAGTGCAGTGGCATGATCTCAGCTCACTGCAACCTCCACCTCCTGGGTTCACTGTCTCAGCCTCTTGAGTAGCTGGGATTACAGGTGGCTACCACCATGCCCAGCTAATTTTTGTAATTTTAGTAGAGACGAGGTTTCACCATGTTGGCCAAGCTGGTCTCGAACTCCTGGCCTCAAGTGATCTGCCTTCCTCGGCCTCCTAAAGTGCTGGGATTACAGGCATGAGCCACCGCACCCAGCCCCAATTTTTAAATTTTAGATTCAACAGATAATTACTGTATCAAAATTGCTATAAAACTTTTTTTTTTTTTGAGGCGAAGTTTTGATATTGTTGCCCAGGCTGGAGTACAGTGGAGTGATCTTGGCTCACTGCAACCTGCGTCTCCTGGGTTCAAAGCGATTCTCCTGCCTCAGCCTCCTGAGTACCTGGTACTATAGGCGCACACCACCATGCCCGGCTAATTTTGTATTTTTAGTAGAGACGGGGTTTCACCATGTTGGCCAGGCTGGTCTTGAACTCCTGACCTCAAGTGATCCGCCTGCCTCGGCCTCCCAAAGTGCTGGGATTACAGGCATGAGCCACCGCGCCTGGCCCCAGATTGCTATAAAGCTTTCTAAAGGTTTACTTTCCATTTCTATTCTTATATTGTCAAGTACCAGTAACAAACTATTTGCAAACCAACACCAATCTGTGGAGCCCATTTCGACGGATATACCCTACTTCTAGGCCCATAAAATTTTCCCACATATGCTCTTCCATGCCTTTTGCATGGCAGGCCTTCATATCCTGAATTCCTGAAATAGCTGTATGGAGGAGAAGTGCCCTGCCACCCAAAGGGCAAGAAATAAATGTCTATTGTATCTGAGTCATTATTCTTTTTTCTTTTTTTAGAAACAGAGTCTTGCTCTGTCACCTAGACTGGAGTGCAGTGGCGCGATCTCAGCTCACTGTAACCTCAACCTCCTGGGTTCAAGTGATTCTCCTGCCTCAGTTTCCCGAGTAGCTGGGATTACAGGTGCCAGCCACCATGCCAGCTATTTTTTTTGGATTTTTAGTAGAGATGGGGGTTTCACCATACTGGCCAGGCTGTTCTCAAACTCCTGACCTCAAGTGATCCTCCCACCTTGGCTTCCCAAAGTGCTGGGATTACAGGCGTGAGCCACCACACCTGGGCAAGCCATTATTCTTATTTGGGTCTATGTGTTATAGCAATTAGTCTATCCTAACTAATATAACATGCTGCTACTGTTTCTTTCACAAGAGTAATTCTATTCAGAAAGAGCTCAGTAAATCTCTGAAGTGAGAGATTAAGAACAAGCTGTTGGAATGGAATGTGGTAAACAGGCTCTGGATGTTCACAGAGCAATGGTCAAAGCTAGGAAAAATGTTTCAGCGTGGGTGGCACCTTAATACTAAAGTGTTTCTGTAGTTGGTTTAAGTCTACAGAGTCTCATTTCAAGATAAGACTTCATTTGGGAAAACATTGGAAGGCTTCTCTTAGATTAAAATGGTATAGAAGAAGATGTATATGGAGCTGTCTTGTATGCAGTATCTGCTCAACAAATGTTAGTGGATTCTGAATGTGAACGCCCAAGCCTTACCGGAGGGAGGCCCTCCTTTGGGCCAGACCTGGGATGGGGGGGCGGGGGGGGTCTTTTTTCCACAGAGACATATTTTCTAGGCTAAAATCCTCCCTCATTTGTTTTGTATTGGTGCTACTGTGCCTTGGCAGCAAGAAGTCCTTCTTGAATTGTAACTTCCTTTCTTCCTTCTGTAATTTCAGGATGTCTCCTTGCTTTCAGTGGAGGTAGGAGTGCTGGCACCTGGCAGAGTTGTCTATGTCAGAGACAGAAACAGAAAGATGAGTACACAGAGGGTCATAAATCCACCTTCTCAGAACTAGAAGGAAACAGCCCATATGGCTAGATTGGCTGTTCTTTCAAGGAAGAGAACTGGTCCTCCAAAGGAAATGTGTTAAGTTAAGGAAACTGCCTGCTCTCAGCACTCCAAAAATTTATTTAATTAGGTATTTCATTTATTTATTGACCTCCACAAACACTGAATAATTAACTTGCCTCACTGCTCTACTGCCAGGAGGCAGAAATTTGCCTAAGAGAGGAAGGGCTGTGGCGAGAGCCTGGGTTCTTCTGACTTGTTTCAAATCACCACCACATGACCCTTTCTAAGTGACTGCACCATTTTCTCCCTATAAAATGTGAAGGGGATTGCTTTCCTCCTTCTGGGAAACTATATGCATTTTTCTAAAGAAGCTCTCCAACCTACAAAAAAAATTAACTGAAGACCATGCTGAAGTAAAAAGCATCTTAATTTAATCCTGATAAAAGGTCAAGTTTTTTGTTTGTTTGTTTGTTTGTTTGTTTGTTTGTTTGTTTTTGACAGAGTCTCACTCTGTCACTCAGGCTGGAGTGCAGTGGTGTGATCTTGGCTCACTGCAACCTCTGCCTCCCAGGTTCAAGTGATTCTCCTGCCTCAGCCTCCTCAGTAGCTGGGACTACAGGTGTGCACCACCACACCTGGCTAATTTTTGTATTTTTAGTGGAAACGGGTTTTCACCACGTTAGCCAGGCCAGTCTGGTCTTGAACTCCTGACCTCAAGTGATCCACCCACCTTGGCCTCCCAAAATGCTGGAATTATAGGTGTGACCCACCACACCTGGCCAAGCTCTTTTTATTATTTTTATTTTTATTTATGTATTTATTTATTTTGAAACGGAGTCTCGCTCTTGTCCCCCAGGCTGGAGTGCAATGGTGCAATCTCGGCTCACTGCAACCGCCACCTCCTGGGTTCAAGCGATTCTCCTGCCTCAGCCTCCTGAGTAGCTGGGATTACAGGCCCCTGCCACCACGCCTGGCTAATTTTTGTATTTTAAGTAGAGACAGGTTTTCACCATGTTGGCCAAGCTGGTCTCGAACTCCTGACCTCAGGTGATCCGCCCACCTCGGCCTCCCAAAGTGCTGGGATTACAGGCGTGAGCCACAGTGCCCAGTACTCTTTTGATTTTTAAATGAAGAGCTTGGAACTCAGAAGTAAATAATTAAAGAATGAATTTCTAAATCTATTTAAATTCTATATTAAAATAAACTAAAGCAGAAAGGAGAGAAAGTAAAGATGGAAGAAAAAAATGGAAAGCAAGTGAGAAGGAAGAAAGAAAAAAGAAATTCAGATGATAAGAGACTGATAGGTGATAAGAGGAAGGAGCTGGGGAGGAAAGTAAGAGGAAGAAAAAAGAGAGTGAAAGGAAGAAACGAGGAGAACTAAACTCAGTGAGCAGAACCTTTGGGCTGGGCGCTTTATGTACATCATCTCACACTTGTCCAATGTGTTCATCATATATTTAAGGTTTTAAACAGAGGAATGACATGATCTGATGGGCGTTTTTAAAAGCTCACTTTATCTGCAAACAGGGGCAGGGATAGATGCAGGTAGACAATTTCGGAAGCTGTTGTGCAAGTCTAGGAGAGAGATAATCTGGCTTAGATTAGAGTCGTGGCAGGCAGGATGCAGAGAAGCAGAGAGAATTATGAGATTTTAGGAGGAAAAACTGGAGGAACTAAGCCCCTTTTCTATGCTTTCATTGTATGATGAGTGTACTTTTCTCATCATAGCCTTTATTACATTTAATTAAAATTATCTAGTCTGGGTAACATGATGAAAACCTATCTCTATAAAAATTAGTTGGACATGGTGGTACCCACCTGTAGTCCCAGCTGCTGGGGTGGGGAGTTGGGGAGGTTAGCTGGGAGGATCGCTTGAGCCCAGGGGGTGGAGGCTGCACTGAGCCTCTGCACTCCGGCCTGGGAGAGTGAGAATTTGTCTCAAAAAAAAAAGAAAAATAGAAAAAGAAAAGAAATTATCTGTTTACCTGTTTACAAATTACACATCTGTATTTCTCTCTAGACATGGACTGCCCAGTATGGTAACCATTAATCACATGTAGTTTTTTAGTACCTGAAATGTGGCTAGTGCAATGTGAGATTTGCTGTAAGTAAATTCGAGAAACTTAATTCAAAACGAAGAATGTAAAATAATTTGTTAATAATTTCTAGTGGCTCATGCCTGTAATCCCTGCACTTCAGGAGACCAAGGCGGGTGGATCGCGTGAGCCCAGGAGTTGGAGACCAGCCTGGGCAACATGGGAAATCCTGTCTCTACAAAAAAATACAAAAAATTAGCTGGTGGCAAATGCCTGTGGTCTCAGCTACTCACGAGGCTGAGGTGGGAGGAGCATCTGAGCCCAGAAGGTTGAGGCTGCAATGAACCATGATTGTGTCACTGCACTCCAGCCTGGGTGACAGAGTGAGACCCTGTCCCCAAAAAAAAAAAAAAAACAAAAAAAAAAAACCAATAAAAGTATATTAATTACATATTAGGATAATATTTTAGATATATTTTTAGATATATTTGGTGAAATAAAATATATTAATATTAACATTAATTTTATCAGTTTCTTTTTAATTTTTTAATGTGGCTACTAGAAAATTGTAAATTATATATGTGGCTCTCATTACATTCCTATGGAATGGCACTGTTACAGACTATAAGAACTGAGGAAACTCTAAGGCCTTGTACTCAATAAATACGCATTAAGTGAATAAATAAATTGCAATCAGCCAGGGCACATTCAATTTCTGACTACATGTATACATTAATGATATCTTTTCACTTCAATGTTGCTATTTTCATAAAACAGAATGTACTTTCTGTACCAGCTAGACTCAAACATTCCCCAAAATCTGGCCAAAAATTTTAGAGTACTTCCACAATTCATCTACAAATGTCTCTACAGGGATATTTGTTTTCTTATAGGTATAGTCACTTTCAGCTAAGTTACTTGCTCTAGAAATGGCGTGGCATAGATATAGCATGATAACTGAGAACCATCTTAAGGCATGCATTCTAAAAGCAACAGCTAAAACGTGAAACAATACCTACACATCAAAATCAGTGAAGCTCTTCCAAAATTGTGACTTCATTTTCACCAAGTAGTTCAGCACCTTGTGAAAGTCTGTGCTTCTACTGAGCTCATGGTGCTTAAGCAAAAGGAAATGAGTCCAGTGCCTGGCTGACTCAGTTGTCATGGCCAGTTCTCATCTGAACACCTGCATGTCTTAGAACACATCAGCACTGCTCTTGTATTACTCCCCAGCAGTTTCACATATACTGTGCTCAGCTATCACATCATATCAGTAAGAAAGTACACTCTTAGAGTCAGTAGGGGTCTGGCATGTTGTATCTCTCAGAACCCTGTTAATTAATTCTCTAAAGTCTTCAATCTAAGGAAACAGCTCAGTAAATCTCTTCAACAAGTTTCCACCATTTAGCTGTCTGACAGCATTAAAATAAACTAGATCTTCATGTTCTGCTTCAGCCTTTTCCAAACATACTAAAAACTGAATATGGCCAAGGGCAGACACACAAGAAACCCAGTCTCAATGCCTCCATCAAATCATGTGATTTGCAGAGCTCCCAGCACACATTTTCCTAATGAATGATGTAATGGAAGCTGGGGCCCCCTAATCGCTTTTGACGTGAATAACTTGAATAACATGCAGAAATCTTTCTTCCCGTGATCTGTGTCAAGTGAGCTTAGCTTTTCCATACTTAGACAAACTTCTCAAGTTCCATCTTGACAAGAGGTTAGGCCCTACTAGCTAATTAGGCACACTTTTTCCCCTGAAAATTTTAAGTGGTCCACAATCCAAGGTCAAGGGAGCCTGCATCTGGTAAAAGGGCTGCAGGAGGGACACTTCCACACAAAGCTTCACTGATGAAATGAAATCACTGTGCTAGTGTCCCCATCCTGGTCTTTTCTCTGTGTATATCACAGTATGGGCATGGCACCTTCATTCATTCAACCAATATTTCTTAGTGTTAGCCATGTGCAAAGCCCTTTGGAAGATACCAAGATAAATAATACTAACAGCTATCATTTAATGAGCCTCTTACATCCGAGATCCTTCTAAATGCACAACACCAAAAGATTAACTCCCTTTCGCTGAAGAATAAAACTGGGTCCCTATATTTAAGGAGTTTATATTTACAAAGATTTCTGATATATAGCATGGTACAGACTATATGTATATGAAATCCTAACTGCTGTTTGTAATGAAATTAACAAGTACATCAGATTGTTTAATTTGTAGTACTCAACAGCATTCTGATCTAAGCACTTCTCAAATGTTTGTTGACAGGGCCAACTAGGAGACAGTGACAGGTTGTTTTCTATCTACACTAGGAACACAGCAAAAAAATACTTAAAATGCATGCGCAATAAAGCAAAATTTCCTAAATCTTAATAAAGAGAAGCTCGTAAATTACTTGCCACTGAAATTTTTTAAATAATCTGAATTAAACCTGGGCTGAGCTAGGTATAATTTTACCCACTTGAAGCAGGGACATGTATTAGAATGAAGTAAAACAAAAACTCCACGTCATCACCTACAGAAATGTTCATCATGCACCACGGTGATGTTTTGGGGAGTAGGCCTCCATTTGGCAAAATTACTAGCACACCAAAATCTTATTCTGGTGTCAAGTGAGACCAGCAGCCAGAGCCTAGGAGCCTGATGTTGGGCCCTGTTAAAATGTTATTTACATCTAAATTAATTTGAGAGAGAAAAAGAAAGTAGGAAAAACTATATTTTAAATATCACATTTTTTTTTCCTCCACTTCATTTTCTGCACTCCTACTATGGCTCCCTTAACTCAGTCTGAGGCCAAGAGATTATGATGACAAAAGAGAAATGATCAATAAGAAAAGGCGGCTCCTGAAAACCCAAGCCCACTCGAGGGTTCAGACCTCGAATCCCACCCTTCGGAGCCTCGCCGCTCCCTCCCGGGTTGCGGGCGCCAGCAGAGGAGCGCAGGGCGGACACTGCCCTTTTCTGGACTTCGGTGCTCTTCACCCCGCTTCCCAGTGCCTCCTGCCGCCCCGCGGCCTCCACACCCACGCGCCGCGGGCCCCCGCGCCTTCGCGGCTCCAGCTGTCCCCTCCCGGTATACCCACCCACCCGCACGTCCAACGCCCTTTTTTCCCCCCCCGAAAACTTTCTAGACGGTAGGGACTATTTTCTTCTAATGTAACCTTCCACCAAACTGGAGGGAAAAGTTACCCGAGGCCAGAGAAGGGCTGGGGACGTGGGAGGGACTCACAAGATCCCTGGTTCTAAAAACAGAGGTCTCTTTCCATGAAAGTGAGTAACTGGGCCCCCAAGCCAGAGTTTTGTTTGTTGGATTAATTGGTCAAGGTGCACGTTGAAGCTAAATATCTTAAATGGAGATTTTTAAAAAATGGATATAAAATAGACTCCACTAGACAAATGGTTCTTGTCTTCAGACCTTGCAGTTCTTTCTATTGATTCTCATGTTATCTGTCCCTCCCTACCCCGGGCTCCCACGTCATGAGGTTCACGTATAGGGAAATCCAGGTCACTTCAGTATGATGACTTCATAAACCCTAGAGGAAGAAGTCAAATCTAGAAACTGCTCTTTGAGGCAGTTTGCTGAATTCTATTCTGTATTCTGGAAAGGTAAGCTAACCTGCAGAAATAGTTAATGATTGGGATAATCCTCTAGACCTTCTTTTTCAAACTGGGTGGCAAAATCAGTTTGACAAGCAGTATTAAGAAGGAAGGAGAGGACGGAATGATGGAAGAAAGGGCTGGGCACAGTGGCCCAAGCTGTAATCCCTGCACTTTGGGAGGCCGAGGCAGGGGGAACACTTGAGGCCCCAGGTTGGAGACCAGACTGGGCAACATAGGGAGATCCCATCTCTACAAATAAAAATAAAACTAGCCGGGTGTGGTGGTGCACTTCTGTGGTCCCAGCTACTCCAGAGGCTGAGGCAGGAGGATTGCATGAGCCCAGGAGTTCAAGGCTGCAGTGAGCCATGTTTTATAAGCCACTGCACTCCAGCTTGGGCAACGGAGCAAGACACTGTCTCAAAAAAAAAAAAAAAAAAAAAAGAGGTGTAATAAAAGAGAATAGAAAGCTATCACATAGTGAATATCAGTAGTCTTTCATACAATCTGAATCATGAAAAGTACTGTGTGTTTGTGTGTAGCCAGTCAAGATGTAGAATATGCTTTTTACTGTGGGTGGCTGTCAAAAAATGTTTAAAAACCACTGTGCTAGACAGTGGAACTTTTTAAGGATGCTTAGATTGGAAAGGTTGAAAAGTCATCTAATTTATTCCTCTATACTTAGACAGTATTTCATTTTAAGAATAGTACAGACTTTAATTACCTTTCTTGCTTATCATCTCATCTCAACATTTCCTACTAATGATTTGTGAATAATTTGTCTCTTTAAAGCTATTATTTCAGTAAAGAAAGCTATAACTTTCTTTACTGAAAGAAAGTTATACAAAGGCAATTCTGCCAAGTTCCCTTTTTTTCTATGGCTCTTCTATCCTGTCCCCTGGGCAGTGGACATATTACAAATGTGCCTGAAAGATCTGTCTCCAGTGGAGTCCCAGAGAAATCTGAGTTGCTGGAATATCATGTCATCAGATACCCCCATGGATCTATTTTACTTTATTTTAAAATTTGAATTTTTATTTATCTTTTTTCCCCTTATTATTTATTTCTAAAATTTCATCCACCCATATAGGTTATATGAAAGCCTGAAGGTCTTTGTTTGTTTGTTTGTTTGTTTTGAGATGGAGTCTTGCTCTGTTGCCCAGGCTGGAGTGCAGTGGCGCAATCTCAGCTCACTGCAACCTCTGCGTCCTGGGTTCAAGCAATCCTCCTGTCTCAGACTCCTTAGTAGCTGGATTTACAGGCGCACACCACCACGCCCGGCTAATTTTTGTATTTTCAGTAGAGACGGGGTTTCACCATTTTGGTCAAGCTGTTCTCGAACTCCTGATCTCAGGTGATCCACCTGCCTTGGCCTCCCAAAGTGTTGAGATTATAGGCATGAGCCACCGCATCCAGCCAGAAAGCCCAAAGGTCTTGAATTGACTTTGTCCCTTCTCAAGTAGGGGAGCTCTCTGTCATGCTAACAAGTTTGTGACTGAAACTTTCTATCTTTACACCCATTTCTTCCCCCCATTACACACACTCCAATCTGGCCACTTTCAGTAGCTTAACGTTTGGATTAAAACGCCCAAATTGGGCCCGGTGCGGTGGCTCATGCCAGTAATCCCAGCACTTTGGGAGGCCGAGGCAGGTGGATCACTTGAGGTCAGGAGTTCAAGACCAGCCTGGCCAACATGGCAAAAGGGGTTTAATACAGATGGGGTCTCTATTAAAAGTAAAAAAGTTAGCTAGGCGTGGTGGTGGGCACTTGTAATCCTAGCTACTGGGTACTCGGGAGGCTGAGGCAGGAGAATCACTTGAACCTGGGAGGCAGAGGTTGCAGTGAGCCGAGATGGTGCCATTGCACTCCAGCCTGGGTAATGAGCGAAACTCCATCTTAAAAAAAAAAAAAAAAGTAGCCCAAGTGTATGTGTGGGTGAGAGTGTTGATGGTTGGGAAACACTCCCCATTGTCAATAGCGGCCCACTTACCCACTAAGGATATTAATAATAACAAAAATGATAAAACAATAATAATATAACTAAAATAATAATTATTGACAGTTCTTTTTCTTTTTTTTTGAGATGGAGTTTTGCTCTTGTTGCCCAGGCTGGAGCGCAATGGTGCGATCTTCGCTCACCACAACCTCTGCCTCCTGGGTTCAAGCAATTCTCCTGCCTCAGTCTTCCGAGTAGCTGGGATTACAGGCATGCGCCACCACTCCTGGTGGCATGCGCCACCACACTAGGCATGCCTTGTACCCTCCTGTGGCGCAGCACATCAGATAAAAGTGTGAGTGAACTACAGTCTGGCAGAAGGGGACCCTGAGGCCCCGCTTTCCTGGGGTGCTATGAGGGAGAGCCACAGTGGCTGAGAAGCTTGCTGGAGGAGGCAGCCTTAGTAGGGCAAGGTGACACTGCAGTGAGGACTGCAGAGTGAACCACCCCAAGTTCAGGGCCAAAGGGGCCCCTCAGACAAACTTAGAGGGACCCGTAGAGCCAGAGAGTTGAAAGGAGGTTGAGGGAGAGCCACGAGGCCTGGGCAACCTGGGTGGGACCAGCTCACAAGTTGTACCCACACGGTCTTGAACCACAAATTTCAACCGCGAACACCAGTAGGGCAAGCAGTGGGCAGATGGAGAAGGGGCATTGTCCCAGAGGCCAGAAGAGTTAAAGAACATTCCACTTGGGGTCTCTGGATTCTTCTTCTTTATTTTTTTATTTTTATTATTATGTTTTAAGATGGAGTTTCACTCTTGTTGCCCAGGCTGGAGTGCAATAGCAGGATCTGGGCTCATTGCAACCTCCACCTCCCAGGTTCAAGCGATTCTCCTGCCTCAGCCTCCCAAGTAGCTGGGACTACAGGTGCGCTCCACCATGCCCAGCTAATTTTGTATTTTTAGTAGAGATGGGGTTTCACCATGTTGGACAGGCTGGTCTCGAACTCCTAACCTCATATGATCCACCCGCCTCAGCCTCCCAAAGTGCTGGGATTACAGACGTGAGCCACCACACTCGGCCCTCTGGATTCTTCTTTATCATAATGTTGCACAAGCCATGCTTGTCGCCAATACAATTGGACACCACACTGGAGAAAAGCTAGAGAAAAGGATGAATGTCTGAGGATGTTGAGAAAACCAGGTGTTATTTTCCTGATGAGAATAAGCATTACGTAAAGAGATTGTTTAAATTATTTGATGAGACTTAACTCTTTTTTTGCTAATGTTTAAATTATTTTAAAAAGATGATTATGAAATATTTAAAACCACAAGAAAATTAAGAATATAAGGAATCTATAAACCTACCACTCAGTATAAAAAATAAAACATTACCAATACGGTTGAAACTTCCAGAGTATCACTCCGCAAATGCTGCTTTTATTAGGTCAAATGATATGAAACTGCTGATATTAGATTGTTTTTGACCCACAAAAAAAACCAGTAATTTTTCTTGATTCAATCTAATATTTTAGGTGTTTTTTTTTTATTTTTTTGTTTTTTTCTGAAACAGAGTCTCTTTCTGTTGCCCAGGCTAGGGTGCAGTGGCACAATCTCAGCTCACTGCAACCTCTGCCTCCCGGATTCAAGTGATTCTCCTCCCTCAGCCTCCCGAGTAGCTGAGATTACAGGCGCACACCACTATGCCTCGCTAATTTTTGTATTTTTAGTAGAAACAGGGTTTCACCATGTTAGCCAGGCTGGTCTTGAACTCCCGACCTCGTGATCCGCCCACCTTGGCCTCCCAAAGTGCTGGGATTACAGGCGTGAGCCACCACATCCGGCCTCTTTGTTGGTTTTATCAGTAACTTTATTAATCTGCTGCCCACGTGGAATGCCTTTCTTCTTTTCCCTCATTTATCTACATCCTGCCCCTTCTTTAAGACAAGGTCTGAGCCCACTCCTTTCAAGAATTTTTCACCGAAGACTTGAGCCTGCACAGATCTTTCCTATCTCTTGCCAGAAGGTACTGTCTGTCTCATACATTTAACATCATTTTATATGTCATATTCTTTAATTGCCTGGGCCACACAAATTAACACTTGGCAATATTACGTTACCTATTTTGTTAATTAACATGTGGAAGAAATAGTAGGGTTTTACTAAATGCTTGACTGATTAAGAACAATAACTACGTATTTCTTGGAAGTTATTACTTCAAGCAATTTTATAAAAGATGCTTGAGCCCAAGACCCAAAGTATTTAGAAGAGATACCTTAAGGTAAGAAATCTCGGGAAGAATCAGAATAGGGAGCCTGTCATCCATGAGTATAGTCAAATGTTATCATGTCCCATAAAATATTTATATCTTAAGAATTATTGGTAAAAACTATCATTTATGGAGTAACTACTGTAAAGTATTGGCCTAGACATTTTATATATTATATCTCTAATATAACAACCCTGCAATGTAACTAATATCAGGCTCTATCCAGTTCACCATGTTGTCTCTCATTCTTTTTTGTTGTGTTTTGTTTTGTTTAGAGACAGGTCTCACACTGCCACCCAGGCTGGAGTGCAATGGCACAATCGTAGCTCACTGCAGCCTCAAAATCCTGGGCTCCAGCAGCCTTCCCGCCTCAGCCTCTCCAGTGGCTGGGACTACAGGCACGCACTACCACACCCAACTAACTTTTTACTTTTTGTAGAGATAGGGTTTCATTACGTTGCCCAGGCTGCTCTTGAACTTTTGGACTCAAACAATCCTCCCTCCTTGGCCTCCCAAAGTTCTGGGATTACAGGCGTGAGCTACTGCACCTGGCCTTGTCTCACATTCTTAACCATAAAAGTGTCCTGGGAACTTCTTATTTTTTCAGTCCAACCTTTATACCCGTTTATTAGTCAGTATAATTAGGCTATCCTACATTAACAAATTAATCCTGGAATCTCAGTGATTTAGCACAATAAATTTTTTTTGTTGTTATTCTGGTAAAGTCTGATGTATTCTGGGCAACTCACTAGTTCAACTCTACTTCATGGGGTGACTCAGGAATCTAGGATGCTTCCATACTCTGGTTCTACCATCCCATTTGATGGGAAAAGAGGAGGCATGTCAACCTTTAAATTGAAGGGCAATTGATGGATTACTTCTGGCCCAGAACATTCTTGAGGTCAGGAGTTCGAGACCAGCCTGGCCAATATGGTGAAACCCCATTTCTACTAAAAAATGCAAAAAAAAGGTTAAGAGATCACGAGGTCAGGAGATCGAGACCATCCTGGCTAACATGGTGAAAACCCGTCTCTACTAAAAATACAAAAAATTAGCCGGATGTGGTGGCGGGCTGAAATCACACCACTGCACTCCAGCCTGGGTGACAGAGAGAGACTTTGTCTCATAAAAAAAAAAAAAAAAAAAAAGGTTAAGATTCACTTTCTAGGCTAGGAATAACATTCTGGGCCAGAAGTAATCCATCAATTGCACTTACATTCCCATTTACAAGGACTCAATCTTGAGGCCCTGATACAGCTACAAGAGAGGCTGGGAAATGAGAGTACATGAATATTCAGTGAGCCACAGTCAATATAGTAAAGGCAGGCATCCCAGGAGAGCCACTATTCTTGCAAGGTTGGAGAATCAAAATAACCTCCTTAATGCCAATTATATCAACTCAACTGGCTGAAGTAACTAGACTATCTGATCATCTATGGGGTTCTAGAGGTTCCTGGACTTTCCTACATGTCGAAGAACATCTTGGGCAAAGATAAAGGAAGAAGTAAAATAATAATAATAATGGCCGGGTACAGTGGCTCACGCCTGTAATCCCAGCACTTTAGGAGGCCAAGGCGGGCGGATCATGAGGTCAGGGCTTCGAGACCAGCCTGGCCACTATGGTGAAACCCCGTCTCTACTAAAAATACAAAAATTAGCCAGGTGTGGTGGCACGCGGGTGTAGTCCCAGCTACTCAGGAGGCTGAGGCAGAAAAATTGCCTGAACCCAGGAGGCGGAGGTTGCAGTGAGCTGAGATCGTACCACTGCACTCCAACCTGGGTAACACAGTGAGACTCCATCTCAAAAATAATAATAATAACAGTAATATAGTAATAGTAATATAATAATAGTAAGCCACATGTTAGAGTGAGAAGAAACTCTAGTTCTTTGGGCACATATGTTCATATAGGATTATTGAGAAATGTATCATTTCTCTAGGAAGATAGGGAATGAAGCATAACTTTTTTTTTTTTTTTTTTTCTCGAGACAGAGTCTTGCTCTGTCACCCAGGGAGGAGCGCAGTGGCACAATCTCAGCTCACTGCAACCTTCGCCTCCCATGCTTCAGCCTCAGGAGTAGCTGGAATTACAGACCTGCACCCCCATGCCCGGCTAATTTTTGTATTTTTAGTAGAGATGGGATTTCGCCATATTGGCCACGCTAGTCTTGAACTCCTGACCTCAAGTGATCCACCCACCTTGGCCTCCCAAAGTGCTGGGATTACAGGTGTGATCCACCATGACTGGCCAGAAGCATCTTGTCCACTGGGGTTCATGAACAAGCCCAGAAACAGGATTCAAGTCTGAAAGTGCTTGCAAAATGTTGTGTATATGTACAAATGTGCATTTTTCTGGGGGAGATAATTCATAGCTTTTATAGAGATTTTTGAGGGGGTCATGATGCAGAAAAGTTTAAGACTCACTTTTCTAGGCTAGGAATAAGATCTCTGAATAGGAGAAACAGAGATCAGAGCCTGCCAGGAAGCAAGGTTCGTAGGAAAGAGAAAACTCTTATTCACACCTGATGCACAGCACTTATACACACAGCTACATTTATGTGAAAGCTGAGAAATAAGAATTATTTCCTGAATGAATGAAAGTTAAATCATTTTCCTCCTATAAAATGATTTTAAACTGGTGAATCGTGGCACTCTCACGTTGTCAGATTTTATTACCTCTATGTTTCAGGTAACAGAAAAGTCATTAAAAATGGATGATCTTTTGCTGTCATGGGAGATGGCCCCTTTGCCACCTCTAACTCCTATTGTACATATTCAGTAATAAGAGAAGACCCAAACGGACCTGACCACTTATCTACACCAGAAACCTTTAAAAAATTTAATCCTGGCCAACATGGTGAAACCCTAGCTCTACTAAAAATACAAAAATTAGCCAGGCATGGTGGCGGGCACCTGTAATCCCAGCTACTCGGGAGGCCGAGGCAGCAGAATCACTTGAACTGGGGAGACGGAGGCTGCAGTGACCCGAGATTGCACCACTGCACTCCAGCCTGGGCAACAAAGCAAGACTCTGCCTGAAAAAAAAAAATTAATTCTGAATGATACCTCAGTCTTCTCATCTGTAAAACAATGATATTAATCATCATGTCCTTCAAAAATATGAATTGGAAAAGCTATTTACTGTCCACAGTTGCATTCTGAAAATTATGCATGACTATAATAAAATATAAACACTGCTAAATTTAAAAAGAATGTATGCTAGAGGAAAAGGAATTTTTACTACATTTTACTCTGCAATCCATTATCAGGAACAAGTCATATATCAAGCATACCTATAAAATAGTCCAATTTATTTTGTCATGAAGCTTTATGGAGTCAATTTAATTACTTGATAATCATACCTGGTCAACTCCATAGCAACAACCTAGATTAGACAAGTATAGCTTTGCTTCTGGGTATCTCTTTAAAATATTAATTTAATTCGAAGTTAAACTACATCATTACCTCCTAGGAAACCATGCAGCAACTCACAGTGAGCTCTTGATGATGATAACACTGCTGCTCATGCATTTCTTATGAAATATATTTTGAAGACAGAGATCTTAATTGCTTCTTACTGAAAGCTAATGGGAATTCTTCCTTTAGAAACCCAGGCTGAGAACTTCCTCAGGCTTTTTCTCACCTCCTGTGTCTCTAGGAAAGTCCCCAACTCTTCTAAACATAAGAAGGTAGCAAATAATATTCCTAAATAAAATCCGGCCACAGCTGTTAACTTCCCCATTTTTTAATTTGACATTGGTCAAATGTAGATCTCCACTTGCCCTTTATTTCATGGCAATTTGCCTGTCAAGTTAAGCACCTCAATGTTTTCCTTCCACCACACATGCTGACTTATACACATGCTGAATCCCAGGCTCAGTGCAATCAGCTATCCATCTTTTCCACCTGGGAGCTGCTCAGATGGTAAAAATGTCTCTACTGTTTTTCTCTTACGTTTTCTGAAATGAGTAGCTCTCTTTGAGGTTCCAGCTTTGACAATCCTGAGTGTGCATTACAGAGAGTGGGATACCCATTTCTTTCTTTCTTTTTTTTTTTTTTTTTTGAGACGAAGTCTCACACTGTGGCCCGGGATGCTATGCAGTGGCGTGATCTCGGCTTGCTGCAGCCTTCGCTTCCCAGGTTCAAGCAATTCTCCTGTCTCAGCCTCCCAGGTAGCTGGGATTACAGGCATGCACTACCACACCCGGCTAATTTTTTGTATTTTTAGTAGAGACGGGGTTTCACTATTTTGGTCAGGCTGGTCTGAAACTCCTGACCTTGTGATCTGCCCACCTCCGCCTCCCAAAGTGTTGGGATTACAGGCGTGAGCCATCGTGTTCGGCTGTTACCCATTTCTTAAAGAAATCTGGCATTATCTCCCACGAAGCTTATTTCTGCCTGGACTAACCTCACCATCTGAGCCTCCCTACTCCCCGCCCAAACACATACCAGTCAACCTCACGCTGAACCTGAACAATAAGTGATTAGGTCTGCATTTTAGCAAAATGATGCCACCGAGGGCATCCATGACTCAATGCTTTTGAAGACATGCTGAAATCATTTGTCTCTCTTCTTTAACATTCTCCAAGCTACAGGTGGTTCCAATTTTCTTTTGTATGTTTTGTTGTTGTTGTTTGTTTGTTTGTTTTTTGATGGAGTTTCACTCTTCTTGCCCAGGCTGGAGTGCAATGGTGCAATCCTGGCTCGGTGCAATCCTGGCTCACTGCAGCCTCCACCTCCTGGGTTCAAGTGATTCTCCTGCTTCAGCCTCCCAAATAGCTGAGATTACAGGCGCGTTCCACCACGCCTGGCTAATTTTTTGTATTTTTAGTAGAGATGGGGTTTCACCATCTCTACTAAAGACCTTTGGCCAGGCTGGTCTTGAACTCCAGACCTCAGGTGATCTGCCTGCCTTGGCCTCCCAAAGTGCTGGGATTACAGGCATGAGCCACCGTGCCCAGCCCCAATTTTCAACTTGTGGCAGAAACCGTAAGTCAAGGAAGCAAGTAAGTATTTCCATAAACTGTAGAAAAGAAACACTCTCCAGCTATGTAACTGAAAAGCTCAGCTTGGGACATCCATTAACCTTTGACTTTCTTTCTTAGAAAAAGTTTCTAAGTTGGCTACTGAAGACTGGAATAATTTTTAGGAGTACCACTATTAGGATCAAATTTCTTCAACATATCAGACTGGATTGGCTTTCAGATTCCTCCCCAGTATGTTACAGAGGCACATACGAGTTGATTTCTAAGGATCTGATTCAGGTTATTTGTTCTACTACTTGGGTTTCCCATCATCATCAAGATGGTTCAAACCATTATCCAGATGGTCCAAAAGAGAGACCAAAGCTATCAGTTCTGTTACTTCACTCTGGAAACCTGTGTTTTAGCTGAAGAAGCAAAATGTTCCAACACTGTCCAAATTAATATGAGCATTCTCTCTTTAGCACAAGGAATACGTTTCTGGAAATAGCAGTGTTAACTGTATAGTCTCTTTTGAAGTGCTGCACCAGTGTTGTAATGTAAGGTGGCAGAGTTTCCTTGAAATCTTCTGAAGGTATAAAATGTCTTTGCTCATCATTTCCTTTTTTTTTTTTTTTCTTTGAGATGGAGTCTCACTCTGTCACCCAGGCTGGAGTGATGTGGTGTGATCTCGGCTCACTGCAACCTCCACCTCCCGGGTTCAAGCGATTCTCCTGCCTCAGCCTCCTGAGTAGCTAGGACTACAGGCATGTGCCACCACGCCTGGCTAATTTTTGTATTTTTAGTAGAGATGGGGTTTCACCATGTTGGCCAGGCTGGTCTCAAACTCCTGATCTTGTAATCCACCCACCTCGGCCTCCCAAAGTGCTGGGATTACAGGCATGAGCCACCACACCTGGCCAGGATACCTTTTACAACGTCAAAAGACACTCCATTCCCTAATTGCCTGTTGATCTTTACCCTCTGTTTCCTCACCCATTTCCTCAAAGGTGCCTCCAGATCCTGCAAAACTCCCACTTTTACATTTAGCATGATAGACTTTCTGTATTCTTGGTGGCAGGCATAGCACCATCACTCATTTTATTGGGCATTATGGGTCAAAACTGTCTCCCAGGGCACAAACTAAATGACAGAAAAATAGAGAGGAGTAAGTAACACACCACAGAACTCAATCACCTGAAGCAGCAGCTTCACAACTCCCATCCTGGTCCAAGCTACCATCAACTCTCACCTGGATTATTGCAATAGCCTTCTATCTGGTCTCCCTGCATCTGCCCTTGCCTCTATTAGTTATTCTTCACAAGCAGCCACAGTGATCCTTTAAAAACGTGAGTCAGGCCGTGTCACTACTTGCTTTATGATCCTCCAGCAGCTTCATTTTCACTACAGGTAAAACCTAAACTTTGCTTCACTTTCTTCAGGTCTTTGCCCAAATGTCACCTTAACAAGGACTTCTCCAATCACCCCACATAAAATAGCAAATTCTCCACCCCCATGTCTGCACCACACTCCTAATTCCCCTATCCTGCCCTTTACCCTTCATAGCACCTATCACCATTTCATATAATCCATATTTATTTACATAATGTATATCAGATTGCATTTTCCAAGATGGCCACAAGATTTCCCTTTCCGCACACTTTCTTACAATGTGACATTTCCACTATTCCCGTTGAGAGATGGGGATCTATGCTCTCCATCCTGTAACTGTAATGGAAGTAACACTATATGACCTCTGAGACTAGGTCACGATCTCTGTCTGGTCCTTTTGGGGCACTCAGTCTTGGAACTCAGCCACTATGATATGAGGAAGCCCAGGCTACATGGAGAAGCCACTTGTAAATGGTCTGCCAACAACCCCAGCTGCGGTCCAAGCCAACAGTCAACCTCAACTTCCAGACATGTAAGGAAGCTTTTGAGATTACTTCAGCCCTAGCCACTGCATACGAGACTCCCAAGTGAGAACTGTTTAGCTGAGCCTAATTACCTCCCAGAACCATGAGAGGTAATGAAATTGTTGTTTTAAGCCACTAAGTTCGGGGTCATTTGTTATTTAACAATAGACAATAGAACAATTTGTTTATGTGTATATTTTATGTCTCTTTCCTTCTAGAGTATAAATCCCACAGATTCAGGTATTTGTTGTTGTTGTTGCTGCTGTATTCCCAGCACCTAAAACAGTGCCTAGTACATGTGCTCAATAATTTTTTTTTTTTTTTTGAGACAGGATCTTGCTCTGTCCCTCCCAGGCTAGAGTGCAAGTAGTGTCATCATAGCTCACTGCAGTCTCAAACTCCTGGCCTCAAGTGATCCTCCCAAGTCTTCCAAGTATCTAGGAATACCACAACCAGCTAATGAAAAAAATTTTTTGGGGCCAGGCACGGTGGCTCACGCCTGTAATCCCAGCGCTTTGGGAGGCGGAGGCGGGCAGATCACGAGGTCAGGAGTTCGAGACCAGCCTGCTTGGTGAAACCCCGTCTCTACTAAAAACAGAAAAAATTAGCCAGGCATCGTGGCGCACGCCTGTAGTCCCAGCTACTCAGGAGGCTGAGGCAGGAGAATTGCACCCAGCAGGCGGAGGTTGCAGTGAGCCGAGATCGCGCCACTTCACTCCAGCCTGGGGGAGAGAGCGAGACTCTGTTTAAAAAAAAAAAATTTTTTTTTGTAGAGATGGGATGTTGCTAAGTTGCCCAGGCTGCCCTCAGACTGCTGTGATCCTCCTCCCTTGGCCTTCCAAAGTGTTGGGATTACAGGTGTTAGCCACCATGCCCAGCCCCCAATAAATATTCATTGAATGAATGAATGGATGCATGATCCATTTTCAATAAAGCATGCTAACAGTTACTGGTCAACGGTATATGGCATAGTCTGCGCTAGATCTCATTGGCTGGGAGAATAAATTGACAGGGCATGGGGAAATATGTTGGAATTTTTCAAAGGTTAATAACGTAATATACATAATGTAAATATAACATATATAATGAATTATACTAATTACACGACAGTATAAAATAGGATTTGAGTTTCATGTAGTCTTTTGGTGATTGATCCCATAATCCTAATATGGGCTTCTCCAGATCAGGTCTGGAAAGTCTTCAGAAGTATTTTCAGAAGGATTTAGTGATTCTTCTCATTCAAATAATGAAGTCCTTCCTAAGCATCCTACACTAGTGGAAATCACTCACATGGTTTTGGTATGAAATGGAATGAAACTGGGTGGTGGCAGTGTGTGTATGTGTATGCACATGTGCACACTCACACGGGCAGGTGCATACAATTTGGAATGCCTACTTCCACTGCCTATTTTCAGTCTGGTGGTTTGAATGGAGTGTGTATATAAAGAGCACAAATAAACATAGTTCTGGATTTCCCCTTTCTGCACCAAGTACCTTGATTTCACATTTGGTTTGAAGCAAATATTTGTGTATTGCTTAAATAGCAAACATTTTCAAATATTCAAGGAAAATATTACATTTTTATAATCTCAGAAGGCAATAAAGGACAAAATTTCTTAGCTACCTGAAAAGAGGTAGTTTTTGTCTGGGGAAGAATAAACAGGTGGATGGTCGTTTGAGTGGACTAACCAATTTCTTTGAGCCAACCCATCTCAGCCTTGATTGGAGCAAAAAGCATAAGGATGTGGAGTGTGTGTGGTTTCTTGGAACTGGGGATCTCTGCTGAATCTACTCACAATGGGAGCAAAGCAGTTTCCATCACAATAATCGCTTTAACAATCGTGTGCCACTTCTTTCCAGGATCCAGAAGGGCTTGAGGATCAAAATGGCTTTTAAAAGTTCTTCACTTAAACAAGGCCGCAGCCACAAGGTTACTTGGCCGAGTGTCTCTTGAGAAAGAGTGAGTGCCATTTTGTTCTTTGTTCCAATGACAGTTGTTGGTGCCACTGGGCCTCACCACCTGGCCTGTGTCATGAAGTCTCCCTCTTGACTGGGTCTAAGCCTTGAGTGGAAAGTGGGGGAGCCTCCCAACACTTCCTTGGAAACTCTTGGCAAGTAAATTGGGGAATATTTTCTTTGGAAGTCTCATTTTTCTCACCAAAATTTAGATATAGCTTCTGAAGCTAATTATTCTTTTTTCATTACAAAAAATGTTTTCCTTTATTTATTTATTTGCAGGCCCAGCCAAACTTGACTAGAAAAGAAGCCCGGGCAGGGGTTTGGATGAGCCCATGACGTGCAGCGCGCTCCGACCAATTGGGAGGCCGTGAAAAAGGGGAGGGCGGAAGTGACGAGCCGTATCCCTCCGCGGGGCGAGAGGGTCGGTGGGGGGAGTCGGCGTCTCTCTCCCCCGCGCCAGCTCCCGTACACGGAGCCGCATTCCTTGGCCCCCCCACCCCC
Organism: Homo sapiens; assembly: GCF_000001405.40. Classification (NCBI taxonomy): domain Eukaryota; kingdom Metazoa; phylum Chordata; class Mammalia; order Primates; family Hominidae; genus Homo; species Homo sapiens. The sequence goes on along the minus strand of NC_000001.11, from coordinate 151,459,391 downwards.
CTCCCTCGGGGCCCCCCCGCCCCCCTCGGGAAAAAAATCCACCCCGAATCACTCGAACCCGAGGGAGGCTTCCTTTCACCCTTGGGGAGACGAGCTTTCAACGGTTACCTCTTCTTCGTCTCCCCCCAAGCCCCCGTCCCCTCCCCCTGCTCCCACCCCCTTCTGGCGCCGGGTGTAAGGTCCCTTTAAGGCGACGGCGCCTTCCTCGGGTCAGACTACCGGCGGCGACGACCACAGGAGGTGAGTGAGCGAGCGAGCCTTCTCTCTCCCCACCCCCTGCTCCCGGGGGTTCCGTTATCTTTTCGCTCGGCGAGGCGTTCAGAGGCGAGACAATGAGAGGGGGATGGGGCCGGTACGCGCGGGGGTGGGGGCGGGGGGCCGGCGGTGCGCGCCCCCGCCCACCGCGAGTGGCGGCGCGGCCCGCGGCAGGGGCGGCCGCGGGGTGCGGCGCGCGAGCGCGAGTGTGTGTGCGTGCGCCCCGGGCCGCGGGAGCCGCGCGAAGGGCCGGCGGCGGAGGTCCCTGCCTGCCGGCTGGCCGGCCGCCCCCGCCCCCCGGCGCCCGCCGCGGCGCGCGCGCGCGCACTCGCGCCCCACGGCCCCGCACACAGCCCGACGTCCACACGCACGCTCGGCGCGAGGCGTCTCGGAGGAGTGGGCGGCGCGGGCGCGGGCGGTGGCCCGCTGGGGAAGGGGCGGGGGCGGGGGCGCGGGCGGTGGCGAGACGGCGGGGCGCGGCGGGAGGGGCCGGCGAGGGGGCGAGGCCGTGCGGCGGAGGGGCGGGCGGCGGCGGAGCGGCCCCTGGGGGTGGGGGTGCGCGGCCCTCCCCGCCCCATTCCCGCTCCGAGAAGGAGTGGGGCGCTCGTTTTGAGCGGGAGGAGGAAAATGAGTGATTGCTGAGCCGATCCCTTGTGTTATGTAATCTCTGCTTGGTCTAATAGTACATCCTAAGCCTTAGTGCACTGCAGCTAGTTTACGAAGTCTCCTCCCTCGGTCCCCAAATTTCTTTTGGGATGGCGCCGTGATTTATAAAATGGAATGAGGCGGGGAATCTTTATTTTCTGGTGATTATGTCCTGCCGCGGTGGGCGCCATGTTTATCCCGGGGACTATTTTATTTAGATTCTTGGCACCTTTTGCAAAGGAGTACTGTCATTGATCTATTTGTTTTCCGTCTTTCTGCGTGTTGTTCTTATTTCCTTCCTCTCCAGATGTGGGATTCTCTCAAACTGCTAGTAGCACTTGTCTTAGACATTCTTAGTTCAGAAAAAGGTAGTGCTGATGAGTCCTTAGAGTCATTTAGTGGCCAGTCTCATTTTCGAAATGGAAACTAAGATGCAGTTGGACTATCTCACAGCAGCCGCCGTCTTGATGCAAGCGGTGTAGCCCGTCCTTCCAAGCCCGTAGACACCTCTTACCGCCGCTCAAAACTCCACAGAAATGGGGTTTTACTTTTTTTTTTTTTTTTGAGACGAAGTTTCACTCTTGTCGCCCAGGCTGGTGTGCAGTGGCACGATCTCTGCTCACTGCAACCTCCGCCTGCCGGGTTCCAGTGATTCTCCTGCCTCAGCCTTCCTAGTAGCTGGGATTACAGGCATGTGCTACCACGCCCGGCTAATTTTTGTATTTTTAGTAGGGACGAGGTTTCACCATGTTGGCCAGGCTGGTCTTGAACGCCTGACCTCAGGTGATCCGCCCGCCTTGGCCTCCCAAAGTGCTGGGATTACAGGCGTCAGCCACCGCGCCCGGCCGGGTTTTACTTCTGTAGGCATTTACCCAACTAGAGGAAAGGGAAACGGAGGGGGCAGGGAGGGCTGCTCGTTGGCAAACGATTAATTTTGAGACACTATTGCTCAGGGTCTGAGAGCTTGAACTCTGAATTCGAACTGTTAGCACAATCGTTCTCAACTTCGGGGTGCATAAAAAGTAACTTGAAGGTGGTTAAACGTACAATTTGGGGGGCCTCATCCCCCAAATTTATTTGAATGGAGCAGAGGGGGGTTGTCATCTTTACATTTTCAAATGAGCAGTCCTGGGGCTGAGACTGATTAATGTAACCACTACATTGAGAATTACTGGTCTAACATAAAAGTGTTCAAGATGTTGAAACAAGTGACACCTTGTGCCGTTGATTTCCTTCCCTTTTCCAGAGCTGTGTTGGTGGTGTATCTCAAACTAAAGGAGGTAACAGAATGGACTCTTGGGACGAACCTGATTTAGTTAGAGTTTCCACTCCCATCTTGAACTAGTGGTATAATGTAGGAAAGCAGTTCTCAAAGTGTGGACAGATGACCCATGGGGATCTCCTCTTACCCTTTCAGGGTAGCCTCAAGGTCATAACTATTTTCAAAATAATAGTAAGATGCTATTTATTGTTTTCACTGATACACTGATGGTTCAAAAGCAAGGCTGGGTAAAACTACTGGCGGTACCTTAGCACAAAGCAAGTCAGGGGCACCAAACTACTTGAGAATGCCCTTGAAGCAGTAAAATTTATTATTCTATTTTTATTTTTTTGAGGCGGAGTTTTGCTCTGTCGCCCAGGGTGGAGTGCAGTGGCACTATCTCGGCTCACTGCAATCTCTTCCTCCCTGGTTGTATTTTTAGTAGAGACAGTGTTTCGCCATGTTGGCCAGGCTGGTCTCGAACTCCGGACCTCAGGCGATCCACCTGCCTCGGCGTCCCAAAGTGCTGGGATTACAGGCATGAGCCACCGTGCCCGGCCTATTATTATTAAGTCTTAGCTTTTGACTACATGTCTTTTTAATTTTTAAGAATTTGTGATTAAATAAACATGGATAAAGCATTTATGCTGCCTAGGGAGGTGTGATTGTTGTCATGAAGGAAAAGCATTTGTGAGATTGGGTTGTGAATGAATGGCTTATTTCATGGAGTAGCATTTTTACTTGAAAGAACGACTAGCAGACTATGGTTTTTCACACTTAGTATTTGGCAGATATTTCTTGAAAATGAAGTGAGCTTGTCACTTTTAGGAAAACAACTGACAGTATTTATTACCAGTGATAAAATTTGGGTGAAAATTAGAATTTTTAAAAAGTTGACAGCTGGAGTTTGACAGCTTCCTAGTACTTAAAAGACTTTCCTTATGATATCAGTGGTTAAGGACTGCAATATTTTAAAATGTTGTTTAATGAAATATGTTATTTGGAAGATGGGCATAACTCAGTAAATCTAGGCTTTGCAAATGACCAATGCATGATGTTGCAAAATCAAGCAAAGGCAAAAGATCCTTTGAAAATTCCAGACATAGCAATGGATTTTAACAGTAAAAAAGTGGATTGATGTGGTTTCAGATTCCAAAATGTTAACTGTCCTTTAAGAAACTACTATTTGGCCTAGCGTGGTGGCTCACTCCTGTAATCCCAGCACTTTGGGAGGCCAAGGTGGAAGGATTGTGTGAGCCCAGGAGTTGGAGTTGAGCCTGGTCAGCATAGTGAGACCCTGTCTCTATTTATTAAAAAAAAAAAAAAAAAAAAAAAAGAAAGAAACTACCGTTTGTTGAGTTTTAGTATTTACCAAACACAGTTATCTGAAAAGGTTATTAAAATACTTCTCCCTTTTCCGACTAGATTTTCATTATATACTTAACCAAAGCTACATATAGCAACAGACTGAATGCAGAAGTAACTGTGAGAATCCAACCATCTTTTATCAAGTTAGACATAAAAGAGATTTGCAAAATGCAAAACAACGTTACTTTTCTCACTTTTTGGAGGGAAAGTATTTTTTGTTGAAATGTTATTTATGTTAACTTATAATGGGCTTGTCTTAAAATACATTGATAAATACTACATTTTAAAAATTTGTGGTAAATGTGGAAAGATAAAATTCACATAAACAAAAGATCTTTGGCGTCTTCAATAATTTTAAGAGTCAAAAAAATGAGAATCATTCAGTCAGTCCTATGTTTCTGCTCTTTACATCATTCAAATCTAACTCCCTTGGGGAACTTGGGAGAATTTATAAATAGTTGAAGTTGATGGAAGAGGCAGTGACCTGGGGAAGAATTCTAAAGCAAAAAAAGCTTGCTTTGAATCCTAACTGGGATATTTACTAACTGTAACCTTGAGGAAGTTACTTCGTCTCTCTAAACCACTGTTTTGACCTTATCTGTAAAATAAAAACTTTAGAGCTGGTTGATTACAAATCCTAGAGCTGGTTAATGCCTTTGCCATAATATCAATATGGTAACATTTTGATAGATTCTTTGGTATTCTTGTTTGTGATATTAAGCCATATTCACAAAAACTTGTCTTTTTTTTTTTTTTGAGATGGAGTCTCGCTCTATTGCCCAGGCTGGAGCGTAATGGCGCAATCTCGGCTCACTGCACCCTCCGCCTCCTGGGTTCAAGCGATTCTCCTCCTTCAGCTTCCTCAGTAGCTGGGATTACAGGCACGCGCCACCACACCTGGGTAATTTTTGTATTTTTCTAGAGATGGGGTTTCACCATATTGATCAGGCTGGTCTCAAACTCCTGACCTCTTGATCGACCCGCCTTGGCCTCCCAAAGTGCTGGGATTACAGGCGTGAGCCACCACGCCCAACTGAAAAACGTATTTTTATATGTAACCAAGGGGAGGAGAGCAGAAAAGAGACACTAACCTATTGCTAGGTGTTAGCAGAGTTAAAAGAAATTGAAAGCATAGAAATGGAATTTAGGCAACACACAGCTGTCATTGAAGAAAAGTTTTCCATCATAGTATAGATATTTTTCTTGGGAAAGGGACTCCTGAATATTGAACCCCTTTAAAGAAGAGAACTTGTTGCTTACTTGTTTTAGTAAAGAGCACAGAACTAAATATTTGGGTGTTTCTTGATACAGGATTGGCTACCAGACAAGAGGAAAGTATTTTGAGTTTGGAAATTTTAGGTTATTAAGACTACTTAAAACCCTTATGATTCTTACATATGAGGTACTATAACAGATGTTGTGAGGGACAAAATGGGCTGTGCAAAAGACTGGATAAATAAAAGCTTATTACATGTTTAACTATAGTTTTATACACAGATTAAGTATTCAGCCCTATAGGTTTTCTGGTATTAGTCCTTTTTAGAGCCAAAAATTGAGGTAACTTGAAAACATAATTACCAGTTATGTTGAGGATTATCATTGTTTATTTTTCACCCTGGAACAAGAAAGTGGTATTCTTAAAATGTTTGTTTTCTGTAAAATATTTTTCCTGTTCCAAATGTTCTTTTTATGTTGATTTTTGGGCAGGTATGTACTGGCAGTAAGTTGAAAACGTTAGATACCAAATTCTTCATTTCTGAATTCTTCATTCTTCATTTCTGGACTTTACAGCTATGAAAGAACAAGACAAAGGAATTCAGAGCTTTCAAGAACCAAGTATGTCAGGATAGTTGTGGAAAACAGATCTTTTTCTCATTTTCTTTGAGATGAAGATAGGCAACATTTGCTGCCCATTAAATACCTTAAAAGTATACAGGTGTATCTGCAGGATTCTTTTTGCTGCTTTTAAATAGTATATTGTTTTAAAAGGTCTGTTTTTATCTTGCCTTTACAATTATATAGACTTTTATTGACTAGCTGATCATATAGGGCCTTAGTATAGACTACCATATTCGCCAGCATTTAAGAAATAGTCCCCTTCCCTCCAGGAGAGTATTTATCTGGTACTCCCATATTATGGATTGAAGGATGAGACAAGAGACTGAGTATTGCTAATAGTTCTGTGTGAGCCTGCAGTGTTAAGTAAAACCTATTGAGTGCACAAAAAAATCATGTTACAATTACTACAAAATAGAGAAACCACCTAGGTTACCAAGATGTCAAATAATGGATTAATGGAAGAAAGTAATGTACCTCCTTGGTAGCCTACATAATCCACCTTAATTTGTTATTTCTTATTTAACTATTTTGCTATGTCTTAAGAAATGTATATTAAGTGAAAATGGATGCATAAAAATAAAAAAAGAGAAATGTATATATACAAGCTACATGAAAATTGGTCCTGGGAATAAATCAAGAAATTCAACCAACAAGGCTACCAGTTATTTAGTAAATACCAAAGAGATAGGTGGAATGTAGCAGTACAGAATATCACAGCTAAGATATGAGTAGGTAGTTCCACTCCCTCCTACCCCACCTCAGTTTTTATTAAGAAAATTTCACGCATGCGAAAAGGGAGAAAGAGGCTGGGCGCAGTGGCTCACACCTGTAACCGAAGCACTTTGGGAGGCCAAGATGGGCGGATCACAAGGTCAGGAGTTCAAGACCAGCCTGACCAACATGGTGAAACCTGTCTCTACTAAAAATACAAAAATTAGCTGGGCGTTGTGGCGCATGCATGTAATCCCAGCTACTCAGGAGGCTGAGGCAGGAAAATCACTTGAACCTGGGAGGTGGAGGTTGCAGTGAGCCAAGATCACTCCAGCCTGGGCAACTGAGCGAGACTCCATCACAAAAAGAAGAAAAAAGAAAAGGGTGAAAGAATTCTACAAGGAACACTTAAACTATCCACCACCTAGACAGAGTGACTTTTTTTTTTTAAGACAGAGTCTCGCTCTGTTGCCTAGACTAGAGTGCAGTGGCACAATCTTGGCTCACTGCAACCTCTGCCTCCCGAATTCAAGCGATTATCCTGCCTCAGCCTTCCGAGTAGCTGGGACTGCAGGCACCAGCCACCACGCATGGCTAATTTTTGTATTTTTAGTAGAGACGGGGTTTCACTGTGTTGGCCAGGCTGGTCTCGAACTCCTGTCCTTGTGATCCGCCTGCATTGGCCTCCCAAAGTGCTGGGATTACAGGCGTGAGCCACTGCGCCTGGTGACAGGATGATTTTTAATGTTTTGGCCCATGCCAAATATTTTTTGAAAGTTGGCATACTAGTATCTATAAGAAAATATCAAAATAGCCCACCTGTAGTGACAACTACTTGGGAGGCTGAGGCAGGAGGATCACCTGAGCCCAGGAGGTTGAGGCTGCAATAAGCCGTGATTGTGCCACTGCACTCCAGCCTGGGGGATAGAATGACACCCTGTCTCAAAAAAAAAAGCCAAATATCTATGTATTTGCTTAACCCCTTGAAAGTCACTTTCAAGATATTTCTATTAAATATTTTGTGCATTTCCTAGGAATAAATACATTCTCCTACATGAATATAATATGATTATCCTTTCTGTTTAAAAATTTTTTAGAGGGATCGGTTCTGTTTCCCAGATTGGTCTTGAACTCCTGACCTTAAGCAATCCTACCACCTTGGCCTGCCACCATGCCCGGCCAACATTGACTTTTTTTTTTTTTTTTTTTTTTTTTGAGACGGAGTCTTGCTCTTGTTGCCCAGGCTGGAGTGCAATTGCACCATCTCGGCTCACTGCAACCTCCACCTCCCGGGTTCAAGCAATTCTCCTGTCTCAGCCTCCTGAGTAGCTGGGATTACAGGTGCCCACCACCACGCCCGGCTAATTTTTGTATTTTTAGTAGAGACTGGGTTTCATCATATTGGTCAGGCTGGTCTCGAACTCCTGATCTGAGGTGATCCACCTGCCTTGGCCTCCCAAAGTGCTGGGATTACAGGCGTGAGCCACCGCGTCCAGCCGAACATTGACATTTTTAAAGAGACTTCTATTAGTTTTATAGAATGTTCCATATTCTGCATTTGATTATTTCCTTCTAGAATGTCCCACCTTCTGGATTTATCTCATTATTTCTTTGTGGTGATACTTAATTTGTTCTTTTATTGCTGTATTTCTTGTAAACGCAAAGTTACATTTAAATAATGGATTTGGGCCAGGCGCGGTGCCTCACACCTGTAATCCCAGCACTTTGGGAGACTGAGGCGGGTGGATCACCTGAGGTCAGGAGTTGAAGACCAGCCTGACCAACATGATGAAACCCCATCTCTACTAAAAGTACAAAATGAGCCAGGCATGGTAACGCATGCCTGTAATTACAGCTCCTTGAGAGGCTGAAGCAAGAGAATCGCTTGCACCCAGGAGGTGAAGGTTGCAGTGAGCTGAGATCGCGCCATTGGGCTCCAGCCTGGGCAACAAGAGTGAAACTCCATCTCAAAAAATTTAAAAAAAAATAAAATAAATAAATAATTGATTTGATTCAGGTTAAATATTATTGTCAGTAATACTTCATACATTGTTTTTGGCTTTTCTTGTGTATTTGTTTGCAAAAAAATGCCATAGACAAAACAGCTGATAACTAATGTGAATTATTAGTCAGTAGTTTATTGGTTAATGTTTTTCTTTTTTCTTTCCCTTTGAGGCAGTCTCCTGTCTCAGCCTCCTGAATAGCTGGGATTACAGGCGTGTGCCACCACACCTGGCTAATTTTTGTATTTTTTTTTTTTAGTAGAGACGGGGTTTCACCACATCTCTGGTCATGGTCATGGCCAGGCTGGTTTTGAACTCCTGACCTCAAGTGATCCACCCACCTCGGCCTCCCAAAGTGCTGGGATTACAGGCGTGAGCCACTGCACCGGTCCTGGCTAAGGTTTTTCTATTTAAACATATTACAATCATAACCTTTGGCTTTTGAGATACAGAGCTACTGTAACTTTTAAGTTCAACCATAAATAAGATTTTTGAGGAAGAACATAGAAATAGGTTTCCATTTTGTCACTTTGAGGCATTGCCCTCTGCAAAAATGATTTGAAAGTTGAAGAAGCTAGAAGAGTTTATATGTAGCAAAAGTAACCTGTAGAGGAATTGTAAAGGGGCCACAACAAGAAAAAATTTAGAACTGGGGAGGCTGGGCACGACTGCTCATGCCTGTAAAACCCAGCACTTTGGGAGACCAAGGCAAGCAGATCACTTGAGTCCTGAAGTTCAAGACCAGCCTGGGCAATATGGCAAAACTCTAGCTTTATAGAAAATACAAAAATTAACCAGGCGTGGTAGCACATGCCTGTAGTCCCAGCTACTTGGGAGGCTGAGACGGGAGGATTGCTTGAGCCCAAGAGGTCGAGGCTGCAGTGAGTTGAGATCGCGCCACTGCACTACAGCCCAGGCGACAAAGACCCTGTGACCTAAAAGTTGTCAGATGAATATGAAGATAAAATCAAGTTCCTGGCTGGGTGCTGTGGCTCATACTTGTAATCCCAGCACTTTGGGGAGGCCAAGGCAGGTGGATCACCTGAGGTCAGGAGTTCAAGACCAGCCTGGCCAATATGGTGAAAACCCATCTCTACTAAAAATACAAAAACTAGCCAGCCGTGGTGGTGGGCACCTGTAGTCCCAGCTACTTGGGAGACTGAAACAGGAGAATTACTTGTACCCGGTAGGCGGAGGTTGCAGTGAGCCGAGATCGTGCCTCTGCGCTGCAGCCTGGGTGACAGAGCAAGACTCCGTCTCAAAAAAAAAAAAAAAAAAAAAAAAAATCAAGTTTCACAGGTAGGTGATTATAGGATGAAACAGACTAGATATATATGGATTTTATAAAAAAATTTTTAACATACAAGATATAACCATTTGAATAATTCATAAGAACCTTGTTCTGCTCTCTTGCAGAGTTTTTGAGACGGAGTCTCGCACTGTCTCCCAGGCTGGAGTGCAGTGGTGCAGTCTGCAAGCTGCATCTCCCAGGTTCATGCCATTCTCCTGCCCCAGCCTCCCGAGTAGCTGGGATTACAGGCGGCCGCCACCACGCCTGGCTAATTTTTTGTATTTTTAATAGAGACGGGGTTTCACCGTGTTAGCCAGGATGGTCTTGATCTCCTGACCTCGTGATCCGCCCACCTCGGCCTCCCAAAGTGCTGGGATTACAGGCGTGAGCCACTGTGCCTGGCCTGAGAGGACAAATATTTTTAAAAAGAAATGATAGTTCTTTATGTATAGAATGTGGGATGATTTTTTTTTAATTGCCCTCGTTTTCAGAACATGTATTCAGTTTGATCAGTGATTTTCAGTCTTGGCACTATTGACATTTAGGGTCGGATAATCTCCAGGCTATCCTATGCATTGTAGGATGTTCTGTAGCACTCCTGGCCACTACCCACTAGATAGGTCAGTAACACCTCTCCTCACCCCCACCCTGATTGTGACTACCAAAAATGTCTCTAGACATTGCCAAATGCCCTCTGGGGGGCAAACGTGACCTCTGATAAAATTCACTGTCACTTATGAAGATTCCTTAATTATTTATTTATGCCTTTTATGAACTAGGGTTCCCTTGATGTAAGCTAGGTACAGGTGTTGAATGAATCCCTTCTGCAGATGTAGTGTATAGCTTGGGCGGTGCCTGATATATGTTGGAGAACACTGGAATATGATGAAATATTTTAGCACTATTGGGAATTTAATTGAAGGTTCGAAATGAGCTCTTGTTTTGAAAGTAAAGGTGTAGGCTTTCTGCTGTATCTAAATCTCTGTTTTCCACCTCTGCCACCACCCCCTCATGCATTTGCTTGAAAAAGATCCTTACTAGCTTAGGAATAGTTGAGAATTTCGTTTGAAATGTTTGACATGATCTGTCTATATCTTGTGTTCAAGGAAAGATAGTTTTGTTTGTTTGCGTGTTTGTTTGTTTGTTTGTTTTTGAGAACAGGGTCTTGCTCTGTTGCCCAGGTTGGAGTGCAGTGGCTCGATCACAGCTCACTTCAGCCTCCACCTCCTGGACTTAAGAGATTCTCCCACCTCAGCCTGTTGAGTAGCTGGGACTACAGATGTGCATGCCACCAACACTCTGCTAATTTTTCTACTTTTTATAGAGATGAGATTTCACCAAGTTGCCCAGGCTGGTCTCGAACCTCTGGGCTCAAAGAATTAGGGCTCAAGCAGTTCTCCCACCTCAGCCTCCTGAAGTGGTGGGATTACAGGCAAAGAAAAGATAGTCTGGAAAAGTTACTTGCTAAAAGGCTTGATTAAACTAAATGTGTCCTCTTTGTTAACCTTTGATTGTTTGATTATATTTTTCTTAAAATTTATCTTTTTAAAATAATTTTTTAAAAATTTTAATAGATATGAGGTCTCTCTCTGTTGCACAAGCTGGTCTCGAACTCCTGAACTCAGGTAATCCTCTCACCTCAGCCTCCCGAAGTGCTAGGATTGCAGATGTGAGCCACCACACCCAGCCAAAATTTCTTAACTACATATAAATTATCTTAATGATCTAGGTATTTTGTTAGGGGAATACATACAGTCAGGATAGGATAAGAGGGGAAGTAATGAGTGGTTTACTAAATATATAAGACAAACATTTCAAGTAAAAATTTCAGGAGAAAATTTTTTTTTAGGTTTCTAAGAAATATATTTGTGGATGTGGAATTTTTCTGTCAGATGACGTAAGAGCAAAGTTGAAGATAGCTAATACTTGGGGATTCATATGGAGGTAATTTTTTATTTAAAATGAGCAAGAAGGACCCTAGCCTTTTATTGTGGTCTTGGAAACTCATTCCCCACCAGTATCATTCCTTGAAGAAATGGTTGGTTCTAGGTCTGGGGCAGGAAATATATGAGATAAGCTGAAACATCTTGACTATCAGCAAAGATTTTATCAAACGATGCTAGGGTTGTGTCAGAAGGACTCAGCAGCCAACTGAAGACGTTCCCACTGGCCAAAATAGGGCACATTGAGTATCTGTAAAGATAACTGCATGGATCAAAACACATCAAAAGCTGGGCACAGTGGCTCATACCTATAATCCCAGCACTTTGGGAATCTGAGGCAGGTGTGTTGCTTGAGTCCAGGAGTTTGAGACCAGCCTGGGAAACATGGTAAGACCCCCTCTCTACCAAAAAAAAAAAAAAAAAAAAAAAAAAATTAGCCAGACATGGTGGCTCTTGGTTATCCCAAGAGTTAGTTAGCTCTTTGTCCCAAGAGTTACTCAAGAGGTTGAGGTGGGAGGATTTCTTGAGCCTGGGAGGTGGAGGTTGCAGTGAGCTGAGATTGTGCCACTGTACTCCAGCCTGGATGAGACCACATCTCACAAAAAAAGAAGAGAAAAAAGAAATTGGGATAATGACTAGATATTTGATATTAAGGGATTATCAGTTTTTTAGGCATGTAATGGTAATACAATTTTTTTGTTTTTAAGATGGAGTCTTGCTCTGTTGTCCAAGCTGGAGTGCAGTGGCACAATCTCGGTTCACTGCAACCTCCGCCTCCTGGGTTCAAGCAATTCTCCTGTTTCAGCCTCCTGAGTAGCTGGAATTACACACCTGGCTAATTTTTGTATTTTTAGTAGAGACAGGGTTTCACCGTGTTGGCCAGGCTGGTCTCAAACTCCTCACCTCATGTGATCCGCCCGCCTTAGCCTCCCGAAGTGCTAGGATTACAGGCTTGAGCCACCGCGCCCAGCCATACAATTTTTTTAAACTATAGTCTTTTAAAGTCCTTATCTTTTAGACCTACATACCAAAATATTTATGAATATGATGTTTTAGAGATTTGTTTCAATATAATACAGGGAAGTGGGGGCATAAATGAAGGAATCCATTTTGAGTTGATAATTTTTGAAACTGAGTGACGAATACATGTCTAACTTTTTTATTCAATTAAAATTTGTATCATTAAAATTAGCAGAAAAGGAACCACTACAATTTTGATTCAGAGACTCGTATGAAAATTTGCCTGTTCACTTGTTGCAGTATGATTCCCAAATTTACTGCCCATCCAAGTTTTCCTTTTTTTTTTTTTTTTTTTTTTTTGAGATGGAGTCTTGCTCTATCGCCCAGGCTAGAGTGCAGTGGCACGATCTCAGCTCACTGCGACCTCCACCTCTCAGGTTCAAGCGATTCTCCTGCCTCAGCTTCCTGAGTAGCTGGGATTACAGGCGTGTGCCACCACACCTGGCTAATTTTTGTATTTTTAGTAGAGATGGGGTTTCACTATGTTAGCCAGGCTAGTCTCGAACTCTCAACCTCAGGTGATCCCCCCGCCTCGGCCTCCCAAAGTGTTGGGATTACAGGCGTGAGCAACCGCGCCCGGCCGTTTTCCTCTTGATGTAGCACTGTATTCACTATGGGCTGGCTTTAAATATCTGAAATTCGCATTTCTGTTTGGCAGTTTTGAAATAAAAAATGAGAAATTAAAATGCCCCTTAAGGATTACATTTCAGCATAATTTTTTTAGTGTGATAAGTATCCAATCCTTCATAGCAAGAAATTAGGGAAGAGGGAATAAAATTCGTTTTTTTTTTTTTTTTTTTTCCTTATGAGAAAGATTTGGTATGGAAGGAGGTTAAATGTGTGGAATGATAGTTTGGGAAGATCTTTTTTTTTTTTTTGAGGGCACATTTTCAGAATCTGGATATACATGTTAACACTGCATATTTAGTAATTACTGTCTTCTTTGTTCAAAAACAGTTGAAAGGCTGCCCTTGCCCATGATCGGGGCTAAAAAAAAAAAAAAAAAAAAGTTGAAAGACGGTATGCCATGGATCACTTGAAAGACCACAGAGAATGGTGGTGTTTCTTGAGAATCTTGGTAGAAATATTAAATACTGCATTTTATTATGTTAGTATAAGATTTCCTTTTGATAACTAGAAAACTACAAGAAGGATCTAAATATGAATTTTCTATTTTTGGTTTGCTGAATATTTATATTAGGTTGATATATCTCTGTTGTATCTTTTAGACCCTGAGTTATAGATGCTGAAAGTGAAAGGAATTGATCACATCCTGAGATAGCAGAGTGTAGGTCAAAATCAAGGACAGTTTTGAAAAATTTGGCTTCAGTGTCTTTCAGAGATGCTTTGTGTATAAGTCTGTGAAATATGTTCAGTCAGCAGACCTAATATTTTCTGAGTTGACAAACCTTATTAGCTAACTCCATCTTCTATGTTGTTTAAAAAAAAATGAAAAATATTTCCCCATAAGTTGGATTTTCTTTTTTTTCTTTCTTTTTTGTCTCTTTCTTTTTTTCTTTTTTTTTTTTTTTTGAGACAGAGTCTGGCTTCTGTTGCCCAGGCTGGAGTGCAGTGGCGTGATCTTGGCTCACTGCAACCTCTGCCTCCTGGGTTCAAGCGATTCTCCTGCCTCAGCTTCCTGAGTAACTGGGATTACAGGCGTGTGCCACCATGTCCGGCTAATTTTTGTATTTTTAGTAGAGGTGGGGTTTCACCATGTTGGCCAGGCTGGTCTGGAACTCCTGACCTCAAATGATCCACCCTTCTCAGCATCCCAAAGTGTTGAGATTACAGATGTGAGCCACTGTGTCCAGCCAAGTTGGATTTTCTTTTCATTTTGAGTCTTTTAATTTACATTGGATATCTTGGCAGTACTCATACCTAAGGAGAAGAGATATTTTTCTCACTTGATTAAAAAGTAGTTAGGACATAAACATCTTTCTTTGCCATCTTTTCAGATCTACCCTTTTTGGTTATTTCCATTTGTTTTTTATTTTATTTTGTAGGGATGGAGTATTGCTCTCCAGCTCTCCAGCTCAGGCTGGAGTGCAGTGGCACCACTGCAGTTACTGTAACCTCGAGCTCACTGTAACCTCGAACTCCTGGGCTCAGGCGATCCTCAATCCTCCTACCTCATCCTCCCTGGTAGCTGGGACCACTGGTGTGTGCTGCACGCCTGGCTAATTTTTAAAAAAAAATTTGTAGAGATGGAGTCTTGCTGTGCTACCCAAGCTGGAGTTCTTTCCATTTCTCTCAGAAGGTCAAATGGAAGAAATTTCAATATTCTTATTAAAATTCATTGCTTTATAAAATAAAGAACTGAAACTCTTAAGGTATTGTAAATACTTAAGATAAAAGAACACCCTTTTGGGTATGCTATTAAAATAACCACAGGCATGACATTGAAAACCACAATTTGTATTCTGATAGCTCTTCATATTCCAAATCAAAGTTTTCATATGTGTGGAGAGTTTGCTTGTAAGTGGTCAGGACAAAAGTAGGTCCTTGAAAACCATCGGCAGAGGTTATTGTCCACAGTTTATATTCATTCTGCTGGGTGTTGGATATTTGCGCATTAATTATCTGTTGACTAAGCTCTCAGAAAGTTATACAGCAAAGAACAATGGAATAAAATTAAGTATTTAAGGAAAAAGTTTTTGAAAATATATTTTGTAGTGGAATTAGACTGGAAAACAAAGGCATGTGTTGTCTTTGTCTCAAAGAATACCTGTGATATGGATTTGATTTCTTTTTAATTCAGTTTCTGGCTAGTATTGTCTTCATATAATTAAGCCTGAAAATAAGAGAATTTAAGTAAGTTGATCCCTTAGATCTTTTTCTTTCCTCACCCCCTTTGTGGCTTTGGTTTAGAAAGACAGAAATAATTAAAATAGAAGATTAAAGACCAGTTAGAATCCAGTTAAGCACTTTACCCATTAAAACCCAGAGTGCCCCTGGCTATAGCTGACTCACTGGGGCACTGCAAGATTGTTTTCAATTTTCAAGCGAAACAATGCCATCTGTTGGGCTTCTTGCAAACTGCTACTGTCAGGATGTATAGCCCTAACTAAATACTCAATAAACAGAATGGTTAGGTTGGTTGTTTGGTTTTGGTTTTCGCTTATGGATGTAGCAGCAGAATTACTAAGACACTAAGGACACTTAGAGCCTTACAGTAAAGGCTTTGTTTGAACATTGAGCAGTAATAGTACTCCCGTTCCAACACAGAGAAACTGACCCTTAGTAAACTGTTATTGGAGGGCAGAATAGCATTAACTCTTTGTTTGCAATGCAGAGATACAGACTTTATTTATTTGTTTTTATTTATTTTTATTTTTTTTGAGATGGACTTTCGCTGTTGTTGCCCAGGCTGGAGTGCAGTGGCGTGAATTGTGGCTCATTGCAACCTCCACTCCCATGTTCAAGCGATTCTCCAGCCTCAGCCTCCCGAGTAGCCGGGATTACAGGCATGCACCACCACGCCCGGCTAATTTTATGTTTTTAGTAGAGATGGGTTTTCTCCATGTTGGTCAGGCTGATCTCAAACTCCCGATCTCAGGTGATCCGACCTCAGGTGATCCGCCCACCTCGGCCTCCCAAAGTGCTGGGATTACAGGCGTGAGCCACTGCACCCGGCTCAGACTTTAATTTTTTAAAGGGACATGTAATTTAGGCAGTGTTTTCAAATTAAGGGTTGACTCCGAAATCACAGTGGAATGGCCTCCAGGATTTCCTAGACTAGACGTACAAGGTAGTAGTAGGACTGGGACTAGAGTATGACAAGTAAGGTTCTCATCTTAGATGCAAAATTTAAAGGAGTACAGAGAGGTTCAGTAATCATAATAAATGCATTTTAATGCATCATTTTAAAAGATCAATATTAATGCAGAACAATCCATAATGAACAGAATATCTATTTTAAATAAAGACTGAATCCGATCCTGCACTTGCTTGACTCACCTCACTGTCCTCATCCTAACCCTGGCCCTGGGTATTACACATTAAACTTTTTGTTGTTGTTGTTGTTTTTGAGACGGAGTCTCTATTGCCCAGGCTGGAGTGCAGTGGTGCGATCTTGGCTCACTGCAACCTCTGCTGCCCGGGGTTCAAGCAATTCTCCTGCCTCAGCCTCCCAAGTAGCTGGGATTACAGGCGCCTGCCAGCGTGCCCGGCTAATTGTTGTGTTTTTAGTAGAGATGGGGTTTCACCATGTTGGCCAGGCTGGTCTTGAACTCGTGACCTCGTGATCCACCCACTTCAGCCTACCAAAATGCCGGGATTACAAGCATAAGCCACTGTGCCTGGCCTAAACTTTTATAATCCTAATTTTTTTTTTTTTTTTTTTGAGACAGAGTCTCACTCTGTCCCCCAGGCTGGAGTGCAGTGTTGTGATCTTGACCCCCTGCAACCTCTGCCTCCTGGATTCAAACGATTCTCGTGCCTCAGCCTCCCAAGTAGCTGGAATTACAGGGGTGCACCGCCACGCCTGGCTAATTTTTGTATTTTGAGTAAAGACAGGGTTTTGCCATGTTGGCCAGTCTGGTTCTCTAACTCCCAACCTCAGGTGATCCACCTCCCTCGGCTTCCCAAAATGTTGGGATTACAGGTGGGAGCCACCATGCCCGGCCTGTAACCCTAATTATTAAATAATTTGCTGTGGAATGGATTCTAATATTCAATAATAGAAGTTGTAATTCTGAACCCTTGGAAATGGAGGAAGGCTAGAGGATATGATAAAGGAGTCCAAGGAGGTAGGTTACCAATGGAGTCAAAGTTCTGATTTCATATTTGGTATAAAGCAATATCTCCTATTCTTAGGCCCATATCTTATTTGAATGTTTTTCTTATAGCATGGCGGACACCGACCTGTTCATGGAATGTGAGGAGGAGGAGTTGGAGCCATGGCAGAAAATCAGTGATGTCATTGAGGACTCTGTAGTTGAAGATTATAATTCAGTGGATAAAACTACCACAGGTAACAAAAGCTCTTCTGATCTTAGATGGTTTAAATTAATTAAATTGAATGGTATTTTGGTTAACAAAGTGTGAGATGGAAAAGGACTTGAAGAATCCAGGGAGACCTCGTTGTGGCACTCACTGGTGCTGCCTTTTTTCCCATGCTCTAGTCTGTGAAAACCTCAGTTTCCTCATCCATATAGCTAGAAACTATATATTTAATTCATCGAAAACATTGGAAGGTTGGATTAACCAGTGTTTATCAAATATCTAGCAGTCTTCTTACTAAAAGATGTATGAACAAGAATTCAAAGTGGTGGTGTGTGTGTGTCAGTGCTCATTTATGTACCCAGTCAAAAATAGGTTCCCATAGTCTTGTTTTTTTTGTTTTATTTTGTTTTACTTGAACTTGGTTTCCTTTGTGAGTGGAGTAGAAATTGCCTTGTGTCTGCCTTCATGGACAGTTTACAAATTTAGGCTTGTTAGCTTTTCTTTCATAAAGGTGATACTGCTGGGTCAAATTCTAGATTGCCCTGAATTCAGAAAATGGGTGGTAGTTCTTTTGCTCCCCTAAATTGTACCAGTTGCTCTATATTTTTATCTTTCCTGTCTTGAGACCTGAAGATGGCATTGGTTTGGGCTGAAATAGGGCACAGTTCAGGGTCTTTTGGATGGCTTAATATGCATGATTATGAATACCACTAGTGGTAATAATAAACCTTTGAGTCCTAGAGGTTTGCTAGTGCTATGTAAGCAAAGATTAAAATCCCAGTTCAGTGGGCTCCGTGATGTAACTTAATTAACCAGGAGATGTGAGACGAAGAAGGGATTGTGTTTAAATGGTGGACTAAGGGTTAAGTAGGAGGAGAAATCACATGAACAGTTGGATTTATGAAACAGGAAACTTTTTGGCTATAGAGACCCACAATAAGATGGAAAGGGAAGATTAGAGCAGTATCCTTTAGTGTCATCTGTCCCTGTCTCCAAGTGACTATGCCTCCCCTTCCCCACAGTTTCTGTGAGCCAGCAGCCAGTCTCGGCTCCAGTGCCCATCGCTGCCCATGCTTCTGTTGCTGGGCACCTCTCTACATCCACCACCGTTAGTAGCAGCGGGGCACAGAACAGCGACAGTACAAAGAAGACTCTTGTCACACTAATTGCCAACAACAATGGTAAGTGGGATTATTGGGAAATAATAATCCTGGGCTAGAGGGGTGAAAGAATAAAAAAGGTCTCAGGGACAGCCCTACCTGTTTAGTTAGGTACAGATGTGGTTCTACTAGTTGGAAAATGAATTTAGTAATGATTCTCTGATACGGAAGTGATTTCTGTAGATGGTGCTATTCCTTCTAAGTTAGTGCTGACTCGGTACTGGTGTTTCAAGTGAGAGAGCAGTAGATTCTTGCTATTGATAATTTCTTGGAGAGAAAATGTCAACCCAAAATTCCTGTTAAGATTTTTTTGTTTGGTTGGTTGGTTGTTTTTGTTTCTTTAATGAGAAAAATTCCATTAGTTTGGTAAGAATTTTCCCAGGGCAGTTCTGTATTTTCTCTGGCAGATTCATTTGTTTATTGGTTCCTGAGTATGGAAGATAGGATAGGGTTGTTGTCTACATGAAAGAAATGGTGAAAGACTAGTGTTTTTAGTGTATTTTATTTTATTTTTTTTAATAGAAAGGCTATATAGTATTGGTTTCTATTTAATTTCTAATGTCTATTTCTACACTCCTAAGATGAGTTGTTGACCAGTTATGTCTCAAGATTCATAACTGAAGTAGGCACTTTCATAGAGTCATTGCATCGCTGCGAGGGACTTTATTTTTTAATTATTTTATTTCCTTTAAAACTAAAACAGCTTTAGTACTACAAAAATAATATATGCATTGTAGAAAAACTATAAAGTGAAAAAAAAAAGGAACAAAAAAATGTTTAACCATAATCCCACCACCTGAAGATAACTGATGGTTACTTTTATTCTGTACATATATTTATTTTTTATTTTTATATACATCTATATGTTATATGTGGTGATTTTCATTTGACAAAAAAAGATTATACAAGTTGTACATTACTCTGCCTGCCTTTTCCCCTTAATAGTGAATATCTTATTTTAATAGTCATCTATAACATTTTTGATGACTGACTGTATTTCCCATTATTTGATTAACTTATTAACAATGGGTTGTAAGAGGGTATATTGCTATTTTTAAGAGCTTCAGTGAACATTCCTATCTCTGTATCTTTTCTCGCATTGTTAATTAGTTCTGCAAATATATTTCTGAAACAAATTGTTGGCTCAAAGGTCATCACAGTTTTTAAGAATTGTGATCAGTATTGTTCCTGGATTGGCCATCTAGAAATGTTGTGTCAGTTTATATTGCTGATAGAAGAGAGTATGGTTTTTAGTTTGGGAATATAACCATTTATATGTGCATTCCCCATTGTTGAACATTTATTAGGGTCCCCATCCTTTGTGATTACAAATGATGCTGTGGTGAATGTTTTCAGGCATGTGTCCTTGCCTACTGTGTAAAACGTATTTGCAATATAAAGTCTTAGAGGTGAGATTTGCTGGATCAGGTGTTTATAATTTGATAGACGTTGTCAAGTTGTCCTAATAGGTTGCTCTAAATAAGTGCCCGCCAGTAGCTCTTTCCCCGCATTGTTGCCAACTTTAGGTATTATCAAACTTTAAAACCTCCATGATTTCCAAAGGTTTTCAGTATTTGGGTACTGAAAATATGATGATTTTATGGGGAATCTTTAGACTTCTAAAAAACTTATAAATGGGATCCCTTGTATGTATAAAGATGGGGAACCATTTATGTAAAGATTTCTATTATTTTACAGATGTGGAAACTGAGGCCTAGAGAGTCTAAATAATTTGCTTTTGTTATAAGTAATAATAGTTGCTAAGTGACTAAACTGTATTTGCATTTTCTGGACTTCAAAGCTTTCGGGATTTCCACTGTATTATATTGCTTTCCTGTGTATTTCTTTTTTTTTTAAGCCAGTCAAATTTAGCAGTGGGGGAGTTGTATACCAACTTTAGTGACACTAATGTTTATAAGTTCTGATAACCCACTACCACAGGACTAGTCCTATGTGTCTCTCAAACTGTTAAAGTTCTGTTAGCAACCAGCTTACCTAACCTTTTCTTTGATCCCAGGGTTCCAAGGCCCATACTGAGATGGCTGTGCATCTTCTTTTTTTTTTTTCTCCCTGAGACGGGATCTCACTTTGTCACCCACGCTGGAGTGCAGTGGCGTGAACACAGCTCACTGCAGCCTCAACCTCTGTGGCTCAGCAATCCTGCCATCTCAGCCCCGCAAGTAGCTAGGACTACAGGCACATGCCACCATGCCTGGCTAACTTTTATAATGTTTGTAGAGACAGGGTTTCACCATGTTGCCCAGGCTGGTCTCAAACTCCCAAGCTCAAGCGATCCTCCCTCCTTGGCCTCCCAAAGTGCTGGGATTACAGGCGTGAGTGAGCCACCATGCCAGGCCAGCTGAGCATCTTGTGACATGCTGAGATGACCTAGTCTCCTTGACTCCTTGAATGTACCCTTGATTCTTGAGCCTGCCTATGGCCAGTGTACTAATTTTTTCTAAAAAATATAAATTGACTTTATTTACTTCAAAAGCCTCTAATATTTAAATTAAAATGTTAACCCATAACCCATGTTCATGAAAAAAAAGAAGACAGTGGGTATAGACTGGTAAGTAACCACAGTCTTGTGTATTCCAAAAAAAAATTCATCCATAGATAAGCATAAATTAATTGCAGTTGTCTAATTTATTTTACTTTATATATCTATATAAAAAATACATACAGTTCTGTAACTTTTTTCATCAGATACTCTTGTTTTTTCTTTTTTGTTTTTTTTTGAGATGGAGTCTCCCTCTGTCACTCAGGCTGGAGTGCAGTGATGTGATCTTGGCCCACTGCAACCTCCACTTCCCGGGTTCAAGTAATTCTCTTGCCTCAGCCTCCTGAGTAGCTGGGATTACAGGCATGCACCACCATGCCTGGCTGTGTTTTTTGTGATTTTAGTAGAGATGGAGTTTCACAGTGTTGACCAGGCTGGTCTCGAACTCCTGACCTCAGGTGATTTGCCCACCTCGGCCTCCCAAAGTGCTGGGATTACAGGCGTGAGCTACTGCGCCCAGCCTAGGAACTCTTGAAATGCTAGTCCAACTTTAAGGATATGGCTTCAGAATAAAGTGAATGAGAAATACTGCCTCATACAACCCAGTTTCCCTTTAAGCCTTCAGTTTAATTGTATTGATATATTATCTGCTTACTACATTAGTAACATAGCAAATGAGAATAACGTTTGTTTTTTTGAGACAGAGTCTTACTCCATCACCCAGGCTGGAGTGCAGTGGCGCAGTCTCGGCTCACTGCAACCTCTGTCTCCCTGGTTCAAGCGATTCTCATGCCTCACCCACCCCAGTAGCTGGGATTACAGGCATGCGCTGCCATGCTCGGCTAATTTCTGTATTTTTAGTAGAGATGGGGTTTCACCATGTTGGCCAGGCTGGTCTCAATTTCCTGACCTCAAGTGATCCACCCACCACGGCTTCTCAACGTTCTGGGATTACAGGCATGAGCCACTGCTCCCCACCAGCAAATGAGAATAATTTTTAAACAATTCAGTATTGTTTCACTTAGTGTACTTTAAAAAGTTTAGAAATTTAAAATTAAAAAAAAATTTGTGGTCTCAGAAGAGGGAAAGATTTCTTAAACCAAATACAAAAACAGAGCTAACCATAAAGGGTAAAATTGATAAATAGAACTACATTAAAGATGTGATTAAAAAAAAACACACACGGAGAAGACAAACCACAAACTGGAAGGTGTTTGTGGCATGTATTACTTTTTTTTTTTTTTGAGACGGAGTCTGCACTCCAGCCTGCTTTGTTGCCCAGGCTGGAGTACAGTGGCGCAATCTCGGCTCACTGCAGCCTCTGCCTCCCAAGTTCAAATGATTCTCGTACCTCAGTCTCCCAAGTAGCTGGGACTGCAGGTGCCTGCCACCACACCCGGCTAACTTTTGTATTTTTAGCAGAGACAGTGTGTCACCATGTTGGCTAGGCTGGTCTCAAACTCCTGACCTCAAGTAATCTGCCTGTCTTGGCCTACCAAAGTGCTGAGATTACAGACATGAGCCGCCTCACCTGGCCCTCGAAAAGTTAAACATAGAGTTACCATATAACCCAGCAGTTCTACTCCTAGCTGTATACCCAAGAGAATGGAAAACGTATGTTCACATAAAAACTTGTGCACTAATGTTCATAGCAGTATCATTTGTTATAGCTAAAAGTAAAAACAACCTGTGTCCATAAATTGATGGATAAACAAAATGTAATATATGTACACAATGGAATATTATTTGCCCATAAAAAGGAATGAAATACTGATACATTCTATAACATAGATGAACCTTGAAAACATAATGCTGAGAAAGAAGCCAGACATACAAAATTAGCCAGGTGTGGTGGTGCATGCCTGCAATCCCAGCTATTAGGGAGGCTGAGGCAGGAGAATCGTTTGCACTCGGGAGGCGGAGGTTGCTGTGAGCTGAGATCGCACCACTGCACTCCAGCCTGGGCAACAAGAGGAAAACTCTGTCTCAAAAAAAAGAAAGAAAAAAGAAGCCAGACACAAAAGGTCACATATTATATGATTCCATCTATATGAAATGTCTTGAATAGGCAAGTCCACAGAGAGAGAAATTAGATTCGTGGTTGCCAGGGGCTGGGAAGAGAAAAGAATGGGGAATAATTGCTAGGGGAAATGAGGTTTCTTTTGAGGGCGATGAATATGTTCTGGATCTAGGCCAGGCGCGGTGGCTCACGCCCGTAATCCTAGCACTTTGGGAAGCCAAGGCAGGCGGATCACCTGAGGTCAGGAGTTCGAGACCAGCCTGGCTAACATAGTGAAACCCTGTTTCTACTAAAAATATAAAAAACTAGCCGGGCATGGTGGCATGTGCCTGTAATCCCAGCTACTCGGGAGGCTGAAGCAGGAGAATTGCTTGAACCTGGGAGGCGGAGGTTACAGTGAGCCGAGATCACGCCACTGCACTCCAGCCTGGGCAACAAGAGCGAAACTCCATCTCAAAAAAAAAAAAAAAGAAAAGAAAATGTTCTGGAACTAAATAATGATGATGATGGTTGCACAGCCTTGGGAATATAAAAAAAAATCACTGAATTGTGTATTTTAAATGGGCAGTATGTGGATTATATCTCAAAGCTGGGTTTGGTTTTTTGTGTGTGTTTTGTTTTTAAGAAAGTATCAAGGCCAGGTGTGTGGCTTACACCTGTAATCCCAGCACTTTGGGAGGCCGAGGTGAGCAGAACATTTGAGGTCAGGAGTTCAAGACCAGCCTGACCAACATGGTGAAACCCCATCTCTACTAAAAATACAAAAAAATTAGGCGAGTGTGGTGGCATTTACCTGTAGTCCCAGCTACTTGGGAGGCTGAGGCAGGAGAATCGCTTGAACCTGAGAGGTGGAGGTTGCAGTGAGCTGAGATCACGTTACTGCACTCCAACTTGGGCTACAGAGCAAGACTCCATCTCAAAAAAAAAAAAGGAAAGTATCAGGAATAAAATTTTGGAATATTTTTACTATTCTGTTTGATGTTCTTTAGAATTTACTACTCAGTATTTTAAAATTATTCCTGTAGTTCTGACTCATCTTATGTTTGCACAGGAAAGAAACATTATGAGGTGAAATAAACTATTGCTTAATTCTGAGCTGTGAATGATGTGAATTTAATGTTATAAATTTCTTACAGTATAACTAATTATGGTTTTCAGTTCCTATTGTATTTAGCCCTCTATTTCTGGGCTTTAAGGGTATGGAAGTAAACTTAAAAGAATGAAGGAAGGCTGGGCGCAGTGGCTCACGCCTATAATCCTAGCACTTTGGGAGGCTTGAGGCGGGCAGATCGCCTGAGGTCAGAAGTTTGAGACTAGCATGGCCAAATAGTGAAACCCTGTCTCTGTTAAAAACTACAAAAATTAGCTGGGCATGGTGGTGGGCATCTGTATTCCTAGCTACTTGGGAGGCTGAGCAGAAGAACCACTTGAACCTAGGAGGCAGAGGTTGCAGTGAGCTGAGGTCATGCCATTCCAGCCTGGGTGACAGAGCAAAACTCCTTGTGAAAAAAAAAAAGAAAGAATGAAGGAAAAAAATCAAGAGAGAGCAAACTTAGAGGGAGAAAGTTAGTTGCATAATTCTTTGATTTATGTGCAAGGTGGGCAGATCACAAGGTCAGGAGATCAAGACCATCCTGGCCAACATGGTAAAACCCCGTCTCTACTAAAATACAAAAAAATGAGCTGGGCATGGTGGCATGTGCCTGTAGTCCCAGCTACTTGGGAGGCTGAGGCAGGGGAATCACTTGAACCCAGGAGGCAGAGGTTGCAGTGAGCCAAGATTGCACCATTGCACTCCACCCTGGTGACAGAGCAAGACTCTGTCTCAAAAAATAATGTGCTTGATACCATGTGATGTCTGAAGTATAGAAGAAAACTCATGGAATTAATTGTCACTGAGGTGGATTGTTTTATTTCATTTGTTTCTTAGGTTTTCTTTGTTTTGTTCAAGATGGGGTCTCACTTTGTCACCCAGGCTGGAGTGCAGTAGTGGCACGAACACAGCTGGCTCACTGCACCCTCCACCTCCCAGGCTCAAACGATCCTCCCACCTCGGCCCCCCAAGTAGCTGGGACTACAGGCACACACCACCATGCCTAGCTATTTTTCATTTTTTATTTTTGAGACTGAGACTCACACTGTTGCCCAGACTGGAGTGCAGTGGCACAATCTTGGCTCACTGAAGACCCCACCTGGGTTCAAGCAATTGTCATGCCTCAGTCACTCAGGTAGCTGGGATTACAGGTATATGCCACCATGCCCAGCTAACTTTTGTATTTTTAGTAGAGATGGGGGTTTCACCATGATGGCCAGGCTGGTCTCAAACTCTTGACCTCAAGTGATCTGCCTGCCTCGGCCTCCCAAAGTGCTGACATTATAGGCGTAAGCCACCACGCCTGGCCTTGTTTTGTTTTTGAGATGGGGGTCTCACTGTGTTGTCCAGGCTGGACTCGAACTCCTAGGCTCAAGTGATCCACCTGCTTCAGCCTCTCAAATAGCTGGGACTACGGGTGCATACCACTGCCCTAGTTTGGATAATCCTTTTAAAGGCTTTTTTTTTAAAGCACCAGAATTGTGATTGCCTGTTTCATCCTCTGGAAATAGAACCTTGTAAGACACTTGAATTGTCAGAATTCCTTTGAGCAAAGATTGCAGAAATCATTAAAATGCTTCTAAATAAGTAAGTATAATTTACCTAGTATGACTTTCCATAGTCTGGCTTTTGCTTTCCATTGCATTGTGAATCTAATCTGGTCTTAGAAAACCACTTTTTGATTGTACCATATTTTTGGGAAAATTCTTTTTTTTTTTTTTTTTTTTTTGAGACGGAATTTCGCTTATTGCTCAGACTGGAGTGCAGTGGCGCGATCTCGGCTCAATGCAACCTCTGCCTCCTGGGTTCAAGCAATACTCTTGCCTCAGCCTCCCGAGTAGCTGGGATTACAGGCATGCGCCACTACGCCTGGCTAGTTTTGTTATTTTTAGTAGAGACGGGATTTCTCCGTGTTGGTCAGGCTGGTCTCAAACTCCTGACTTCAGGTGATCCACCCACCTCAGCCTCCCAAAATGCTGGGATTACAGGCATGAGCCACCTTGCCCAGCCTTTTTGGAAAAATTCTAACAATCCACCAAAATTTAAACTTGACCCTGATATAAGAGAAAATATTTGCAGAAAATGCTGTTAAAATTCTTTATAATGGTATTTACGGGTTTCATGGAAACCTGGTCTGTCTTTAAGAGACTTGCTAATGCTGACTGATTTCCCATAAATGCAAAAAGCCTCCATCTTTCCCTTCTTGTATTTAATTGGGATGTTGAGCTAGTAATTATCTTAAGAATTTTTAGAATTAGGATAAATAAGAGATAATTTATTTTCTTTTGTCCTAGCAGTTAAAATAATGACTAAAAAATATAGACTTTTGCTTAGTCAATATTTTTCAACCATAAATTTCAAAAGGATAGAAAGAGATGGTTGGGGAACCTATAGATTAAAAGAGTTAGTTCATCAGTTGCACTTTGCAAACATTTTGTAACTGGATTCAGACAAATTACTTAAAAAATACAAGTAAATTTGAATTTTGACTGGGTATTTGATATTGAATAATTATTATAATGTTCAGGAGTTATGTTGGTATGATTCTTTTATCTTTTTTTGAAGTTCTTATGTAGAAGGTATATTTTGAAATACTTATAGATGATATGATCTAGAACTTGCTTTAAAGTGATATGGGAACTAGTAAGTATGTAGAAGGTATAGATGAAATAAGACTTGCCATACATTGATAATTATTGAAGCAGGGTGGTGGTTGCATAGGGGTTCACTATAGCGTTCCCTTTTTATGTATGTTTTAACTTCTCCATAATAAAACATTTAAAAATTTAAAAAACCCACCATAGATAAATTGCCAGTATAGTTTAACATGGATAGAACTTGCTGGAATTTTCTGTTTTATTTATCTATCTGCCTCTACAATCACTGGTCTTCTGGCTCAGTAACTGAGGGTCTAGTCTACTGATGAGCTCTCAGTTTCTGAGAGAGTATAAGATAAGCCACTGCTGGCCCATTAGTAGCCACCTACATACCTATTCCTTTGGTGGTCTAGCTTTGTAGTTAACTGTGGTGATATAACCTGCCAAGTGGAACATACATTTCAGAGGGGCCCATCCCATTCTGGTGATTTTGGGTAAAAAGTTGAGGCCATATTTTGCTTGACTCTTTGGTTTTTTGTTTCTTGTTGTTGTTGCTGTTGTTGTTGTTTTGAGACAGAGCCTTGCTCTGTCGCCCAGGCTGGAGTGCAGTGGCACAATGTTGGCTCACTGCAACCTCCGCCTCCCTGGTTCAAGCAATTCTCCTGCCTCAGCTTCCCAAGTAGCTGGAATTACAGGGATGCGCCACCATGCCTGGCTAATTGTTGTATTTTTAGTGGAGACAGCGTTTTGCTGTGTTGGCCAGGCTGGTCTTGAGCTCCTGGCCTCAAGTGATGTGCCTGCCTTGGCCTCCCAAAGTACTGGGATTAGAGGTGTGAGCCACCATGCCTGGCCTGCTTGACTCTTTGGCTTAGGTATATTGGCTCTCTGAAATTTTCTATCTGGTTTTGAGTATACTTTGTAAATCAGGAAACTTAGTATTGGTTTTTTCACCAAATGTCATGAAATAGGGGACTTAAAAATATTTATAAAATTTTTCACAAATGAAAAGAATTTAAGATATTTCAATAATAGCCCAGTTTATTAATATTTATTCATGAATGAATCATTATCTTCTGAAATCATGTCATTTTTACTTGGTGTGGGTTAGTTTTTGTCCAGGTCTTCTGATTATCACCCCTGATGACATAAAGAGAGGGCTACGGTAGGTAGCCTGTCAGTCTCTGGGTTCCCAGTGGTTGCTTAAAGAATCTTGCATTTCTCAGATTTAACTCACTAGGAAGAGAAACCATTCCTTAGATTCTGTGTGCTTGCTGAATTAATGTTTGTTGATGAATATTCTTTTTAAAAAATTAAGGGGGATTAGCTAACAAATTATCTTCTAATAAAATAGGTTTTACCTAGTTAAAATATGGAAAAAGACTTAACATATTTTGTTCTGCTGATTTGGTGGGGGAGATTATGTGTGGTCACTTAAATCATGAGAGTCAGGGTGCTAGCCACATAGAATTCTAATGTGTCTTTCATCCCCAGTGAAGACATATGGGTGAAGTGTTAGTGAACCTCCCCTACCCATCTGTTTTTCTGTTAGTTGTAGATTTGGGTGAAACTTAAATTTTTGGTGAGTTTGGTCACATTAAACCTGAGATGAGTGGCAGTCTTGGATATTTTGGCATATAGGACACCATTTCTGTTTCTAATAAAATGTGGATTTGTACTTGGGAGGCTGAGGTGGAAGAATCACCTGAGCCCAGGAACTTGAGGCTGCAGTGAGCCGTGACTGTGCCACTGTGCTCCAGCCTGGGTGACAGAGTGTGAGACCCTGTATCAAATAAAATAAAATAAAATAAAATAAAATAAAATAAAATAAAATAAAGTAAAATGTGGGTTTAACATTGTTTCTAACATTCCTTTTTTTTTTTCTTCCTTTACCCTTTAGCTGGCAATCCTTTGGTCCAGCAAGGTGGACAGCCACTCATCCTGACCCAGAATCCAGCCCCAGGTCTGGGCACAATGGTTACTCAACCAGTATTGAGGCCTGTTCAGGTCATGCAGAATGCCAATCATGTGACTAGTTCCCCTGTGGCCTCACAACCAATATTTATCACTACGCAGGTGAGTAGGACTCTGAATTCCAAGGTTGCTAGAGGAGAGAAAGACTATAAACCTCTGAAAACTCTGACTTAGGGTCTTTGGCGTCATTAGAAGTGGTTCTAAGTCTTGTCTTTTGACCTGGCTTTCTCTTTTACTGTTCTGTAATTTGATGCCAACTGTGGAAAGCCCAGCATAGTATGGCTGGGTAATATCTTCTTTAAACCCCTTAGAAGTTTATTAAGTGATTTGATTAAAGTCTAGGCAGAAATAGTGGGAAAACTTGAATTAGGAAGCCTTAACGCTTGGCTCTTGAGGCTTTTCACCCTTTGCGTGGACTGCTCCTCTTCACATGGGATGAATTAGTTAACTTTTGGAGATGTATGTATGTAATTGGTGGAGTTCATGGAGACCTTTGGGAGACAAGGAAGATGACTTATTTGATATATAATGTGTTGAATTGAAGTTGAAAGCCTAATTCTGAATATGGATTCTAAAGGCAAATGCTTCTCTTTGCCTGTGGCTTCCTGAGTTGTAAATTCTTATGAATTTGCCAAAGGTTTATGGCCTTTGAAGTAGACTTTGGGAACAATTTTTTAGGATTGTTTGTATGTTGAATCACTCCAGTGAACATTGCTCTTCCCCCTGCCCCCCACCCCCACTTCTGTTCATTTAGCACTTTAGGGAGCCAGTCTGTTGATGAGGTTTTTTTAAGCCGATGCTCTCTTAAGTCAGGAAATAGGTTTTCATTTTTGCTCATGTGTACCAAAGCTTGTTCTCTAATTTTGATATTTTGTCTCTCAAAAGTTTGCCAGAATTTCCTAAATTTTTCCCTCTCAGTCATTTGAAACCTCTAATTCTAGAGAAAGAACCATTAAGTAAGAGTATGGGAATTTTTTTTTGGATGTAGGTCATACTGCAATCTTTGTCAGTGTTAATTGGTCTCCATGTTAAAGATCATTTTGCTTTTTAATACAGGGATTTCCTGTAAGGAATGTCCGGCCTGTACAAAATGCAATGAATCAGGTTGGGATTGTGCTGAACGTACAGCAAGGCCAAACGGTTAGACCAATTACACTAGTTCCAGGTAAGGAAAAATGTCTATCCATTTGGAATAAACTGGCATCCAGAAGATTTGTTTTTATTGTTCTAAATATCCTAAGTCATTTAGTAAGTACATTTAAAGAAAATCTAAAAATATAAAAATATTAATGATTTAAGCCCAATTTTAAAAAATCTGCTTCTAACCTTTGGCCAGGGTGGTGGTTTTATTTATTTCTGTTTAGCTTTTCACCACCCTTCATCAAGTAGTAAAACAGAGTTTACAGTCATTTTTCTGTAACTGGTATTTAGTCAGCTATTAAGACTATGTTATTAATGCAAACTCATAAATTCTACACTCCTTACACATCTCCTCATTTGCACGGTGGGATTATAAACTTTGTTTTAATTTTATAGCATAGATTTTAGATATAAACAAATGACATTCCTTTTATGGATAAATACTGTCAATGACTAGATAGTTTTTTTTTTTAAGATTCTGCTAGATAGTTTTTTTTTTTTTTAAGATTCTGAGAAGGATAATTTTTTTAAAATCTTAGAATTTTCCATTGCTCTATTTAGCATGTATAAGTTTACTACAATTCAGACCAAAAAAGAGTATCTTAATTTAGCTATTTGTAAGGGTACCTCTGTAGCTTGTCTTCCTAAGGTTTTGTTTTTTGTTCTCGTAGCCCATAGGGGTTTAAGTCTGACCAGCTTACCCTGGCATTTCTTTATTTTTCTCAGTGGAATTGTCTACAGTTGAGCCAGGAGACATTCCTCTTTGGGACATCCTAGTAGAATGGCATAGTCTGTCTTCTGAGTTGATAGAAGAGGATGGAAGACTCCTTTAGTACTCTGAGAAAGACTGATTTCTTTTTTCAGGACCAGGTTTGCCATTTGGCCTATATACACCCATATTGCTTCCCACTCTTTTCTTCCAGTACCGAGGTCAAGCCACTGATTGTATTCTTAGAATTAAAAAGGCAGTGTGATAAGGTGTTTTAGGAGGAGTTGATGGGAGTCTTATTTAACTTAATGTTTTTAGGCTGCCCAGGTTATTTTGTCAACATGGACACCTTGTGCTTTCTTAGTCTTTAGAATCTATACTCCTCTTGGAAACCTCTGATGATCATCCATCAGTTTGGGGAAATAATCTTTCCAGTAAAGGCAGGGAGAATGTGTTATAGGTGAGCTCACTGACCAAGATCTGGTACTTTGTCTCTCTTTTAAAGCCCCAGGTACCCAGTTTGTTAAGCCGACAGTTGGAGTTCCACAAGTGTTCTCCCAGATGACCCCTGTGAGGCCAGGCTCCACAATGCCTGTGAGGCCCACCACCAACACCTTCACCACCGTCATCCCGGCCACTCTTACCATTCGAAGCACCGTCCCACAGTCCCAGTCCCAGCAGACCAAGTCCACTCCCAGCACTTCTACCACTCCCACTGCCACACAGCCAACCTCACTGGGGCAACTAGCTGTTCAGTCTCCAGGCCAGTCAAACCAGACCACGAATCCCAAGCTAGGTAAGGCTTCGGAAGAGGAGATGGCAGAGCCAGGTTGGGATGGTGGGTGGAGAACAGATGATTATCACTTGGTCACCGTAGCTCCCTCCTTCCCCTCTCCACCTGCAGTGAGCATTGCCAGCTTTGTCACTGTGAAGCGACCTGGTGTTACAGGCGAAAATAGCAATGAAGTGGCCAAATTGGTGAATACCCTTAACACCATCCCTTCCCTGGGCCAGAGTCCTGGGCCAGTGGTGGTGTCCAACAACAGCTCTGCTCATGGCTCTCAAAGAACCAGCGGACCTGAGTCTTCAATGAAAGGTACAATAACCTGAAAGACTCTGAGCAGCCAGTCATTCAAAAACATTAATAAAGTGTTTGTTGTATCAGAGCTTTATACTCAGAAATAGAAAAATAAAATAAAATACAGCTGCTGTAGTTTGTTCTTACAGAAACTTTAGTAAGGAGAAAGCCACTTACAAAAAGTGTAACTGAATCAGCTCCAAGAAATTATGTGTGTAATTGTGCTTTGGAGATTAGTGAAATTGATTGATTAAAGATGGGTGAGATAATGAAAGATAACTTCATGGAAGAGATGGATTTCTGAGCAAGGTTTTAAAGTTAGGATTTGGTAGAGAGATCTTCAGGTTGAGAATGATGAGCATGAGGGTTTTCAGTGGTCTAGAGCAGGGGTCGGCAAATGTTTTCTGTAAAGGGCCTAGTAGTAAAGTTGTAGGCTTTGTGCACAATATATAGCCTCTGTTGCAGCTATTAACTGTGCTGTTGTGGTGGGGAAGCAGCCACAGATACATAAACGAATGAGCATGGCTGTGCTCCACTAAAAACTATTTATGGACTCTGAAATTTAAGTTTCATAAAATTTTCATGTGTCGAAAAGTTTTATTCTTTTATTTCAACCATTTAAAAATAAAAACCGCAAGGTATAGTGGCTCACACCTCATCCCAGCATTATGGGAGGCCAAGACGGGAGGATCACTTGAGCCTAGGAGTTTGAGACCAGCCTGGGCAACATGGTGAGATCCCATCTCTACAAAAAAAAAAAAAAAAAAGATTAGCCAGGCGTGGTGGTGTATGTCTGCAGTCCTCGCTACTCAGAAGTCTGAGGTGAGAGGATGGCTTGGGCTTGAACCCAGAAGGTTGAGCCTGCAGTGAGCCATGAGCATGCCACTGCAACAGAACGACACCCTGTCTCAAAAAAAGTAAAAACCTTTAAAACATGGTGTTGGGAAAACTAGATATCCATGTCCAAAAGAAGTTGGATCTTACCTTACAATAAATACAAAAATTAACTCAAAATGGATCAAAGACCTAAATGAACTAAAACTATAAGACTCTTAGAAAAATTATAGGACAAAAAGCTTCATGATACTGGATTTGACAGTGATTACTATTTCTTGGATATGACACCAAAAGCATACGCAAGAAAAGAAAAAATGAGTAAATTAAATTATATCAAAATTTAAAACTTTTGTGCAGGACGTTGTCAACACAGTGAAAAGGGAAGCCACAGAATGGGAGAAAATATTTGCAAATTATGTATCTAATAAGGGGTTAATATCCAGAATATATAAAGAATTTGTGCAGTTCAACAACAAAAAAACTCCCAAACAACCTTTTTAAAAAATAGACAAAGGACTCGCTGGTCGTGGTGGTTCATGCCTGTAATCCCAGCACTTTGAGAGGCCAAGGCAGGTGGATCACGAGGTCAGGAGTCCAAGACCAGCCTGACCAATAATGGTGAAACCCCGTCTATACTAAAAATACAAAAATTAGCCAGGCGTGGTGGTGTGTGCCTGTATTCCCAGCTGCTCGGGAGGCTGAGACACAAGAATTGCTTGAACCTGGAAGGCAGAGGTTGTGGTGAGTCGAGATTGTGCCACTGCACTCCAGTCTGGGCAACAGAGAAAGACCCCATCTCAAAAAAAAAAAAAAAAGTAGGAAAGTAGGCAAAGGACTGAATAGACCTTTCTCCAAAGAAAGTTATTGCCAATAAGCTCATGAAAAGGTGCTCAGTGTTATTAATCATTATGGAAATGCAAATCAAAACCACAATGAGGTACCGTCTCACTCCCATTAGGATGGCTACTATCAAAGAACCATAAAATAACAAATATTGTTGAGGATGTGGAGAAAGCAGAACCCTTACGCACTGTTGGTGGAAATGTAAAATTATGCAGCCACTTTGGAAACAGTATGGTGGTTCCTCAAAAAGTTAAAAATGATAGAATTGTTGTATGCTCCAGGAATTCCATTCTATACCCAAAAGAATTGAAAGCAGGGACTAGAACAGGTATTTGTACACCTATGTTCATTGCAACATTATTCACAATAGCTGAAAGGTGAAAGCAACACAGAGGTCCATCAACTGATAAAGGGATAAATAAAATGTGGTATTCACATACAATGGTATATTGTTCAGGCTTAAGAAAGGAAATTCTGCTACAACATGTGCTGCAACATGGTTGAACCTTGAGGACATTATGTTAAAGTGAAATAGGCTAGTCACAAAAGGACAAGTACCATATGATTCCACTTACTTGAGGTACCTAGAGTAGTCAAATTCATAGAGACAAAGTTGAATTGTGGTTGCCGGGGTGGAGGCGAGGGGAGAATGGTGAGGAGGTTTTTATTGGATATAGCTTCAGTTCTGCAAGATTAAAAAAAACAAAAACCTTAACAAAAAAATCACATACAAATTATTCTTAGCTTATGGGCCAAACAGAAACTGGTAGCTGGGCTGGATTTGATCTGTGTGCTGTGGTTTGCTGACCCCTGGCCTAGAGTTAGAACAGTAAAAGGAAGCCTCAAACATAGTGATCTTGAGCCCAGGGAGGTCAAGGCTGCAGTGAGCTGTGGTCGTGCCACTGCACTCCAGCCTGGGCAACAGACTGAGAGACCGTGTCTCAAAAAAAACAAAAACAAACAAAAACCATAGTGATCTCTCATGCTTGCTTACCCTTTTATATACTTCTCAGGGAGTGTTTGACTTTTTCCCAAAAGGTCAGTAATCTTTTTCCAGTGTCATTGTATTAATCTTATCAATTCTTCTCACTTCTTTCAGTGACCTCTTCCATCCCAGTATTTGACCTCCAGGATGGTGGACGGAAAATATGTCCACGATGTAATGCTCAATTTCGTGTTACTGAAGCTTTGAGAGGTCACATGTGTGTAAGTGATATCACCTGTGATCCAGCTTAAGTGGCTTCTGCCATTTACCTTCATTAATATTGGAAGCTTGTAAGCAGGGGCTCTAAAATGACTGAAGCTTTTTAAAGGGTTACTGTTTCTCTTGGTCTGTTTTTAGAAGAGCTGTGTACTTTGGAATGTGATGGGATACATTTAAAGACCCTCAAATAGATCAGAACATATGTGATCTTACTTTCTTAGTGTGGTAGATTTTGAAACCACACAGGAGAACAGGTTTATAGATAATAAGGACTCAAACCATATTGGCCTCAGTTCATTTTTGTTAATTGTGTCATTGGATGAATCGGGAGCTCTTACTTCCATTTTTTAGCTTTTCATTTTTTGGTATTAGTCCAGATAAAAAGGTTGGAACTTCTTCTTTGCCAGGGAGCTCAGAGCCAAGTTATACTAATGATTAAGGGACCTAAGACAGGCAGGAGGGAGAAATACAAAGTATAGCGCTTGGGTGGCATATGTGGATATACTCTAGAAAAGGAGTAAAACTTGGAAACGCTAAAAAAAACTGAAGGGTGAAAGCTGAATGAGAATACCTGAAACCAAACCGTTAACAAGGAATGGTAGTGAAGTTAAGGAGTTAGCACATTCTAGCCCCCAGGATAACCAGAATGATCAGATGTCTTTCTTTATAGTACTGTTGCCCAGAAATGGTTGAATACCAGAAGAAAGGAAAGTCCCTGGATTCAGAACCCAGTGTCCCATCAGCAGCAAAGCCCCCATCCCCTGAGAAAACAGCTCCTGTTGCTTCCACACCCTCTTCTACACCTATTCCTGCTCTGTCACCGCCTACCAAAGTACCAGAACCAAATGAGAACGTGGGCGATGCCGTCCAGACCAAACTCATTATGCTTGTAGATGACTTCTACTATGGACGGGATGGTGGCAAAGTAGCCCAGCTCACAAATTTCCCTAAGGTCGCCACATCTTTCCGATGCCCACATTGTACCAAAAGGCTAAAAAACAATATTCGGTAAGTGTTTAAGAGCCTTGGAAGTTACCTTGAACAAGAGAAGACTTACATTTTCTTATATATTTTAAGTCTTTCTCTTTGGAGAATGGACCTAACTACTATGCAGTCTTGCTGGGGTTATCATTAAATCAATAACTAGGACTATAGAAGGAGATATTGTGGTAATAAACAAAAGGTAACTGGATCGAGTAAGGGAAAGCAGTATGTCTCCTTTCCCAGAACTCTCTTAGTTTCAAGAACTCATTATCTTTCTGGGCTCAGAAAAGGATATCCCAAACAGGAAGTCTGGGGAATGGAGGGGAGCAGATAATGTTTGTTCTGTGATTTTACCATTATATTTCTAAAAGGCTACCAATTTTTTATGTTTTCTGTACTTTCTCTTTGTGCTTTATTACAGATTCATGAACCATATGAAACACCACGTAGAACTCGATCAGCAGAACGGTGAGGTAGATGGTCACACTATCTGCCAGCACTGTTACCGCCAGTTTTCCACTCCCTTCCAGCTTCAGTGCCACTTGGAAAATGTTCATAGTCCCTATGAATCTACTAGTAAGTTTGGAAACTCTTAAACTCAAGGGGAATATACCTTGCTGTTCACTCATTGAATGGCGCTGGGGGGAGCCCATTATATTTATTTACATGTGGGTAACAGTGTAGAGGAAGTACTTTTCATATTTGTAGCCAGTTCTTTACTTCATTCACCTTGTTTTTTTTTACAAGCCTGACTTTTATTTTGTTCAAGCATGGATTGAGTTCAGTGTTAGATCCTGAATTGTTAGGGGCGTTGATTCAGAACCACTGTAGAAAAACAAATGTAATTAATTTATTTCTTAGGTCTCTTTATAGAAGGAACAGTCATCTATTTGCTCTTCCACTTTAGTTAAACCCTGATAGGTTTTATGTAGGCTAAAAGATAATATTGTGAAGTACTTTATCATTAAGACATTGCTTTCAATGAAATATAAGATGAGCTGGAGTGTTTTCTACACTGTATATTTTATACATGTAGGCTGGACATAAGCTCAAAGAAATTAAGTAGGATAAAAGATAATATGGCCGGGCACGGTGGCTCACGCCTGTAATCCCAACACTTTGGGAGGCCGAAGCAGGCAGATCACCTGAAGTCAGGAATTCGAGACCAGCCCGGCCAACATGGCGAAGCCCCATCTCTACTAAAAATGCAAAAATTAGCTGGGTGTGGTGGCGGGCACCTGTAATCCCAGCTACTCGGGAGGCTGAGACAGGAGAATCGCTTGAACCCGGGAGGCGGAGGTTGCAGTGAGCTGAGATCATGCCATTGCACTCCAGTCTGGGCAACAAGAGCAAAACTCCATCTCCAAAAAAAAAAAGATAATATTATGAAGTACTTTATCATTAAGACAGTGCTTTCAGTGAAATATAAGGTAAGCTGGAATGTTTTTCTACACTGTACATTTTATAGATAGATGTAGGCTGAACATAAGCTCAAAGAAATTGAGTCATTTGCTTATGAGCGTACACCTCTAAATACACCTCTACTGGGGATACATAGTGAGGATTTAAGCCCAGTATTGAGAATACTTCTCATGTCCTTTACGGGATTTCCAGTTTTGTTGTAAAGACAAAAATTATGTAAATATAGGAAAATGTGAGAACAAGATAGTATATTATAAACATAGACATTTTAAGATATCATTGATAGGTGAAATACTTCAGAGAAGGGAAAAAATCCTTGTGGCTAGGTTTCCAAGAAAGTCGTGCTTAAATTTAAGAAAGGTTTAGATGGATGGAGAGTAGTAAGAAAAGCTTTTAGGTGATTGAAAACAGCATGATCAAAAGCATAGAAGACATATGCATATTATCTGGATGCATTTGCTACAAGTAAAAATCCTTAACTAAAAATGAATTAAACAATAAGGACTGGGTGTGGTGGCTCACACCTGTAATCCCAGCACTTTGGGAGGCTTAGGTGGGTGGATCAGTTGAGGCCAGGGGAGACCAGTCTGGCCAACATGGCAAAACCACATCTCTACTAAAAATACAAAAATTCGCTGGCTGTGGTGGTGTGCGCAGGTAATCCCAACTACTCAGGAAGCCAAGGCATGAGAATCACTTGATCCCAGGAGGTAGAGGTTGCAGTGAGCTGAGATCGCACCACTGCACTCCAGCCTGGATGACAGAGCGAGTCTCTGTCTCAAAACAAAAGAAAACAATAAGAATATCTGTTATATCATTTAACTGAGAGATACAGAAATGGATGCTTCAGCCTAGAATTTGACTGCCCTGCTGGTTTTCAACAATTCTCTTGTCTCTGGCTCATAGCAGGGTGGCTGTATAAGTGTCAGGCACTATGTCCAGATAAAAAATTGTTAGACAAAGAAGAGATCTTATCTTCCCATCTTTCTTTCTTGAATCTGTTTTCTTATGAGTGAGAATTGCTTTCCTTTTATATCTCTTTGACCATTTATTGGCAAGGGAAGTGGGATTGACATTAATGGCTTACAGTAACACTAGGCAGTAGAAATACGCAAGCTTCATGAGTAATTTTAATTTTTTTCACTTTAAATACAGTAGCGCTCCCTTATCCTCAATTTTTCTTTCTTGAATCTGTTTTCTTATGAGTGAGAATTGCTTTCCTTTTATATCTCTGACCATTTATTGGCAAGGGAAGTGGGATTGACATTAATGGCTTACAGTAACACTAGGCAGTAGAAATATGCAAGCTTCATGAGTAATTTTAATTTTTTTCACTTTAAATACAGTAGCGCTCCCTTATCCTCAATTTTAGTCTCAATCACAGTCCAAAACTAGGTGAGTGCAGTACAATAAGATTATTGAGAGAGACACCACATTCACATAACTTTTATTACAGTATATTGTTATAATTATCCTTTTATATATTATATATTTTTAATTGTTAATCTCTTTGCCTAATTTATAAATTAAACTTTATCATAGGTATATATATATATATATATGAAAAAACACGGTATGTATAGGGTTCAATACTATCTGAGGTTTCATGTATGCACTGGGGGTCTTGGAACGTATATTTCCCATTGGCAAAGGGCGTCTACTGTAAAGTTTAAAAAAACAGGCAAAATTAATTTTAACAGCATATTTTATTCAGTATATTAAAAATATTTCAACATGAACTCAAAATTTAAAATTAATGAGATATTCGTCATTCTTTTTTCCTCCATTAAAAAACAGATCTTTTGAAATACAAATCTAAATTGGGTTTGAGCTTACCACATTTTAAGTGTTCACTAGATACATGTTGCTGGTGCCACCATATTAGACAGTGAAACTTTGGACTAATCATTTGGGAGTAGAATGTATATTAGAATCAACCGGGCCAGGTGCAGTGGTTCACACCTGTAATCTCAGCACTTTGAGAGGCCGAGGCAGGCAGATTGAGCTTAGGAGTTCAAGACCAGCCTGGGCAGCATGGAGAAACCCCGTCTCTACAAAAAAAATACAAAAATTGGGTGTGGTGGCGCACGCCTATAGTCGTAGCTACTCAGGAGGTAGAGGTGGGAGGATTGCTTGAGCCCAGTAGGTCAAGGCTAGAGTGAACCATGATCACGCCACTGCACTCCAGCTTGGATAACAGAGCAAGACTCTGTCTCAAAAAACAAAGAATCAATGGTAACACTGCAGTGTAGTGCCAGGGTAGCCAGCTTGGTCTAGAATAGGACTCACGATTCTTCACTGTCAGTAATGTGAAGCCAGAGTAACTCATCCATACCTCTTAGTGAAAACACCAGTTTTTTGAGACAACAGGGTCTTGCTCTGCCACCCAGGCTGGGGTGCAGTGACGCAATCTTAGCTCACTGCAGCCTCGAACCCCTGGGCTCAAGCAGTCCTCCCACCTCAGCCTCCTGAGTAGCTGGGACTGTAGGCATATGCCACCACACCCAGCTAATTTATTCCTTTTCTTGGGGGTAGAGACAGGGTCTTGCTGTGTTGCCCAGTCTGGGCACCTAACTCATTTTTACGCGTAATATGGGGGGTGGGTTTTGTTATTCCGAAGTTCCACAAATAATAAAATTACACAGAGGGAAGATAAGTTTTTCCTTATGGAAAAGAAACAATGTAGACCCTCATTGATCTTTTTTCTCTTGGTTTCCCTGACTTAATTTTTGAGTCTCTTATGACAAGATTTTATGCTTACCAAAATCACCTTTCCTTAGCATATATCAATTTTATTCTTGCAGTCTTTCGTAATTTCCTTTTTTGCACCCTTGACAGATCTGGCATGAAAGTAGTTTTTTTTTTTTTTTTTTTTTTTTTTTGAGACAGGGTCTCACTCTGTTAGCCAAGCTGGAGTGCAGTGGCACAATCTTGGCTTACTGCAATCTCCACTTCCCAGGCTAAGATGATCCTCCCAACTCAGCCTCCTGAATAGCTGGTACTACAGACACATGCCACTATGCCCAGCTAATTTTGGGGGGTTTTTTGTTTTGGGGGGTGTTTTTTGTAGAGATAGGGTTTTGCCATGCTGCCCAGGCTGGTCTCAAATTATTGAGCTCGAGCAATCCACCCACCTCAGCCTCAAAGTGCTGTGATTACTGGTGTGAGCCACCGTGCTCAGCTTTTTTTTTGGGAGACAATCGCTCTGTCACCTAGGCTGGAGTGCAGTGGCGCAGTCTTGGCTCTCTGCAACCTCTACCTCCTAGGTTCAAGCAATTATTGTGCCTCAGTCTCCCAAGTTCCTGGGATTACATGCATGTGCCACCATGCCCAGTTAATTTTTTTGTTTGTTTATTTTTAGTAGAGATGGGGTTTCGCCGTGTCGTTCAGGCTGGTCTCAAACTCCTGGCCTTAAATGATATACCTGCATCGGCCTCCCAAAGTGCTGGGATTATAGGCATGAGCCAGCATGCCCGGTCGAAAGTAACTTTTTTTCTTTTTTTCTTTTTTTTTTTTTTTTTTTTTTGAGACAGAGCTTCATTCTTTCACCCATGCTGGAGTACGGTGGCACAATCTCAGCTCACTACAACCTCCACCTTCTGGTTTCAAGCGATTCTCCTGCCTCAGCTTCCCAAGTAGCTGGGATTACAGGCGCCCACCACCATGCCCGGCTAATTTTTTGTATTTTTAGTAGAGACGGGGTTTCAGCATGTTAGCCAGGCTGGTCTCAAACTCCTGACCTCGTGATCCACCCACCTTAGCTTCCCAAAGTGCTAGGATTACAGGCATGAGCCACCGTGCCCAGCCCAAAAGTAGCTTTTTCAAAAAAAAGAATTGATGCATAATAGGTGTACATGGTTTAGGGATGCATGTGATAATCTAATATACATTTATATAATCTGTAAATATTAAATCAGTGTACTTGGAATATTCATCACTCTATGTGTTTATGCTAGAAACATTCAAATTATTCTCTTCTAGCTATTTTAAAATTTACAACAGGTTATTGTAAACTATAGTCACCCTACTGATCTACTAGGTCTTATTTCTTCTTTCAAACCATATATTTGTACCTGTTGATCAGCTTCTCTTCAACTCTCTACTCCCCTACTCTTCCCAGCCTCTGGTAACCACCATTCTACTCTCTCTCCATGAGATCTACTTTTTTTTTTAGCTCCCACATATGAGTGGGAACATGTGATATTTGTCTTTTTGTGCTTGGCTTACTTCACTTAGGGACTTCCAGTTCTAACCATGTGCTGCATGACAGAATTTCATTCTTTTTTGTGGCTATAATATTCCACTGGGTATATATACCACATCTTTTTTTTTTTTGAGAAGGAGTCTTGCTATGTCGCTCAGGCTGAGGTGCGGTAGTGCAATCTTGGCTCACCACAACCTCCACCTCCTGGGTTAAAGTGATTCTCCTGCCTTAGCCTCCTGAGTAGCTGGGATTACAGGCACACGCCACCACGCCCGGCTAATTTTTTTGTATTTTTTAGTGGAGACGGGGTTTTACCATGTTGGTCAGGCTGGTCTCAAACTCCTGACCTCATGAGCCACTGTGCCCAGCCACCACATCTTCTTTATTCATTCATCTGTTGGTGGGCACTTAGGTTGATTCTATATTTTGCCTATTGTGAACTGTGCAGCAATAAACATGGGAGTGCAGATACCTTTTCAAAAAGTAGCTTATTTTTACATGCTAATATTTTGGGGGATTTTTTTCCTTTTATTTTCTGAATTGTTTGTTAATTGTAGACATCATGATATTTTTCTCCTAAATATTTTAATATGTAGCTCTAAAAAATAAGGCCTTTTGTGTGTGTGTGTGTGTGTGTGTGTGTGTGTGTGTGTGTGTGGCCACAGTACCTTTGTTAAGATCTAATAGGCCGGCGCAGTGGCTCACGCCTGTACTCCCAGCACTTTGGGAGGCTGAGGCGGACGGATCACCTAAGGTCAGAAGTTCAAGACCAGCCTGGCCAACGTGGTGAAACCCTGTCTGTACTAAAAATACAAAAAATTAGTTGGGCATGGTGGTGCACACTTGTAATCCCAGCTGCTTGGGAAGCTGAGGCAGGAGAATTGCTTGAACCCGGGAGGCGGAGGTTGCAGTAAGCTGAGATCACACCATTGCACTACAGCTTGGGCAGCAAGAGTGAAACGCTGTCTCAAAAAAAAAAAAAGAGGGCCGGGCGCGGAGCCTCATGCATGTAATCCCAGCACTTTGGGAGGCCGAGGCGGGTGGATCACGAGGTCAGGATATCGAGACCATCCCAGACAACATGGTGAAACTCCATCTCTACTAAAATACAAAAAGTTAGCCGTGTGTGGTGGCACGCGCCTCTAATCCCAGCTATTCGGGAGGCTTAGGCAGGAGAATTACTTGAACCCGGGAGGCGAAGGTTGCAGTGAGCTGAGATCGCACCATTGCACTCCACCCTGGCGACAGAGCAAGACTCCGTCTCAAAAAAAAAAAAAAGATCTAACAGAATTAATCAGAAATCCTTAATAACATTCAATACCTACTTTATTTAAAAATTTTCTGAGTTGTCCCCAGAATATCAGTGGATCATTATATTTAATTGTGATAACAGTATCATCTTAATAACATTACAGGCCAAGGCATGGTGACTCATGCCTCTAATCCTAGCACTTTGGGAGGCCAAGGCGTGAGGATTGCTTGAGCCCAGGAGTTTGAGAACAGCCTGGCGAATATAGTGAGACCTTATCTCTCTCTGTTTTTGTATTTTTTTTTAATTAGCCAGGTGTGGTGGCTTGTGCCTGTAGCCCCAGCTGCTCAAGAGGCTGAGGTGGGAGGATTGTTTGAGCCCAGCAAGTCGAGCCAGCAGTGAGATATGATCACACCACTGCTCTCCAGCCTGGGTGACAGAGTAAGGCCCTATCTCAAAAAAAAAAAAAAAACCCAAAAAGTAGTATTACATTTTTATTCACACTTGTTTAAGAGCAGTGCAGTGACTTGAAGGAGCTTGTATGGCCCTAGGGTTCTTTTCATAAGTTTGTCTAATGCTGATTCTTAGTCTTTTTTGAGACAGAATCTCACCCTGTCACACAGGCTGGAATGCAGTGACGCAATCACAGCTCAGTGCAACTTAAGCCTCCTGGGTTCAGGCAGTTCTCCTGCCTCATCCTTCCAAGTAGCTGGGACTACAGGCATGTTGGCCAGGCTGGTCTCTAACTCCTAGCCTCAAGTGAGCCACCCGCTTTGGCCTCCCAGAGTGCTGGGATTACAGGCGTGAGCCACCGCACTCTGTCTGATTCATAGTCTTTTTTTTTTTCTTTTCTTTCTTTTTCTTTTTTTTTTTTTTTTTTTTTTTTTGAGATGGAGTTTCACTCTTGTCACCCAGGCTGGTGTGTGCAGTGGC
The DNA here is from genome assembly GCF_000001405.40 of Homo sapiens. NCBI lineage: Eukaryota > Metazoa > Chordata > Mammalia > Primates > Hominidae > Homo > Homo sapiens. Next base: position 151,416,164 of record NC_000001.11, on the reverse strand, counting down.
ACAGTCTCAGCTCACTGCAACCTCCGCGTCACAGGTTCAAGCAATTCTTCTGCCTCAGCCTCCCGAGTAGCTGGGATTACAGGCGTGCACCACCACACCCGGCTAATTTTTGTATTAGAGGCGGGGTTTCGCCATGTTGGCCAGGCTGGTCTTGAACTCCTGACTTCAGATGATCCGCCTGCCTCTGCCTCCCAAAGCTCTGAGATTACAGGCGTGAGCCAGTGCACCCGGCCCTGATTCATAGTCTTTTAATATTTATGTCTAATACAGAAATCTTAACCTGCTTGGTGGTGAGGTGTCCTGTGAGCCCCTTGAAATTACATATAAACTTTGCCTGTGTGTGTGCATTTTTCAAGGGAGAGGTTGCATAGCTTTTGTTAGTGTGAGATTTGGGACTAAAAAATGGTTAAGACTGTTAGTTATTATTCCTGTTTTCCATAGTGGCTATCTTAAGGTACATTTCTTCAAATATTCTTTTTTTTTTTTTTTTTTTTGAGACGGAGTCTCGCTCTTTTGCCCAGGCTGGAGTGCAGTGGTGCGATCTCGGCTCACTGCAAGCTCTGTCTCCTGGGTTCACGCCATTCTTCTGCCTCAGCCTCCCGAGTAGCTGGGACTACAGGCACCCACCACCACGCCCGGCTAATTTTTTTGCATTTTTAGTAGAGACGGGGTTTCATCGTGTTAGCCAGGATAGAATGGTCTCGATCTCCTGAACTCGTGATCCACCGGCCTCGGCCTCCCAAAGTGCTGGGATTACAGGCGTGAGCCACCACACCCGGCCCATTTCTTCAAATATTATAACATTTTTCTTCCTGGCATTGTTACCTCCACTTCCTGAGCATCTCATTAAAGGTAACAGATGTAGGTTATTCTAATCTTTCAAAAAATCTTGTGTTAGTGGAAAGGAGAAAGTTTGAGGAAGAAATAGGATTGAGAGAAGGATGCTTTAAGGAGCTTAACCATGTTTAGGAGTCGGAGCCTGTCGGGGTTGGGGAAGATTGAAGACAGGGAAAACAAATTGACAAAATCTTGGAATACATGGCATGATGAGGTTGGATGAGCCTTAGGAAGGTACAAGAGATCTATCCTTCCATAATTTGGAAAACAAGCAGCAGAAGTTACAGTTGTTCATGCCTATTTCCTCAAAGTAGGAGATTGTGTTAGGTGTTAAGGAGGGTGATGGTGCTCAGAGGGACAGTTAGGACAGCCACCATGGAGAATCAATTCATTTTCCCTCTTGAATCTTTTTCTGTATTAGCTCCTTCCCCTGTAGAACTGATGTGTCAAAGGTTACCAGAGATCTCTTAAATCCCCTTATATTTGAGTTCCTACCTCACTAGTTTTCTTGAGATAACACAATGTAAATCTTTTTTTTCTTTTTTTTGAGGGAGTTTCGCTCTTGTTGCCCAGGCTGGAGTGTAGTGGCGCCATCTTGGCTCACCGCAGCCTCTGCCTCCCAGCTTCAAGCGATTCTCTTGCCTCAGCCTCCCAAGTAGCTGGGACTACAGACATGCATTACTGTGCCCGGCTGATTTTGTATTTTTAGTAGAGACAGGGTTTCTCCATGTTGGTCAGGCTTGTCTTGAACTCCCAACCTCAGGTGATCCGCCTGCCTTGGCCTCCCAAAGTGTTGGGATTACAGGCATGAGCCACCGTGCCCAGCCAACACATGTAAATCTTAACCTGATGCTTGTACATTAGAAATTGCTTAATAAGTGTTTTTATTATTGATGTTGCATGACAGCTGTGAAAATAGAGCTGATAAATAGGTTATAGGAGAAAGAGTGAATGAGATTGCCCAGGGAAAACATAGACTAAGAAAGGCCTGGACAAAATATTGCTTAAAGGTGTTCTAGAAGAGAAAAATGAGAGAGGTAAACAAATCGGGGGGTGAGTGGAAAAGAGATAATATCGTTATGTTGCTAGTTAACTGTTTCCCAAACATGTGGTTAACTTTCATACCTACTTGCCTTTCCTCCTGCTTTTCTCTTGGTCCTCTCTCTGGCTGGCTGAGCCCCATTCTTTGACAATTCAGCTTTTATATGTTGTTATAGCTTTTCCTCATTCCTTTATGCAGAATTTCTTATTTATCCATGTCCTCATAGCACCTAATGTACCTGTAGACAGTGTTTCTAAATGGAGTTGCAGACCTCTTTGAGAATAAATATGAAATGTTTGAATCCTCTTCCTAGAAAAATCTACATTTTACTCTTTTGCAAATAATTTCAGAGAAAGCCTGGATTCCTAGAGGCCTGTTCCATAGACCCCAGATTAAGAACCCCTGGCTTTTGTTTGTTTGTTTTACTTTAAAAAATTACTTGGCTAGGCACAGTGGCTCATACCTGTAATTCTGGTACTTTGGGAGGCTGAGATGGGAGGATTGCTTGAGCTTGGGAGGTCAGGGTTGCAGTGAGCCATGATTGAGCCACTGCGCTCTAGCGTGCGAGACAGAACGAGACTCTGTCTCAAAACAAAAATCCAGGGTTCTCGGTAGTTAAAAAAAGAAAAAAGAATTATTTCAACTTTATTCATATTTCTTTGGCTGGGGTGTAGGGGGCTGGGGGCGGGGGGAGGTTAGACATTGTCCAGTAAATGCCCAAGGCTTTAAGCTTCCAGTTTTCATATTTGCAAAAACTTGAAACTAATTCCATTAAAGTGACAAAAATGTAAATAATCTCTCTCTTTTTGCCATACTGTATAATTAAAAATATGTAGCAGTTAAAAGTCTTACCAAAATTGGCCGGTGCACTGGCTCACACCTGTAATTCTAGCACTTTGGGAGACTGAAGTGGATTGACAAAAGGATTGCTTGAGGCCAGGAGTTTCCGACCAGCCTGGGCAACATGGCGAGACCCTGTCCCTACAAAAAAAAATTTTTTTTAATTACTTGGGCATGGTGGTGCACCACTGTAGTCCTAGCTACTTGGGAGGCTGAAACAGGAGGCTCGCTTGAGCTCAAAGGATAGTCCTAGCTACTCAGGAGGCTGCGGTGAGCTATGATCATGCTCCAGCCTGAGCAACAGTGAGATTCTGTCTCTTAAAAAAAAAAAAAAAAAAAAAAGCCCAGGCACGGTGGCTCACACCTATAATCCCAGCACTTTGGGAGGCTGGGACAGGTAGATCACCTGAGGTCAGGAGTTCGAGACCAACCTGGCCAACATGAAATTACCAAAAATTGTCTCAGAAGTTTGACAAAATTGTTCATTTGTGTCATAAAATTTTGTCAAAATTTTTTCTCATAAGCTTGACAAAATGGACAATTTCAAAGAGAGTAGGAGGTATTGGAGGCCAGCTGATTAGCAGTGGGAAATCATATGGGCTAGTACCAAGTTTTTGCCTTATTATAAGTATAGAGAAGTGACAGTTCCTACATGCAGTTTGAAATAATGGTGACAGAATGCAGGGTTTGGAATCCGAGATAGTGCCTAAATTTTGAGCTCAGGAAGAAATGGGGAAAGGAAAAAGGGAAACAGTGGTAAGACAGGAGGATGCTGAATTAGGTTAGAGTTGACGATAGAATAACCAATTTAAAATGTCTTATAGATAAAATCTAGAATGAAGCTTTGGTAAGAAGTCTGAGCTACGTACATAAGATTATCAGCAACATATATGTTAAGGTGGAGCCATTTAAAGAAAGAACAGAAGGGACCTATGATTTACTGATTGTTGAAAATCAAAATAAAGGAGGCAGAGAAAATAAAGATTGTGAGTCAGCAGGACTTTTGTCTTATTTTCAAGTGGATTTATTGATTACTTTTCTTCTTACAGCCAAGTGCAAGATCTGTGAATGGGCGTTTGAAAGTGAGCCACTATTTCTCCAGCATATGAAGGATACTCATAAGCCTGGAGAGATGCCTTATGTTTGCCAGGTATTGCCTTTTTCTCCAGGGAGTTTTAGCAGTTTTGCCCTCAGGAAGAATACAAAGAATTTACTAATGAATATTGTTGACCACCTACTGCATACACTCAGTTTAGGAACTCTGAGTAGGTACAGAAGAAATAGTAAACACAGTTTATCTTCAGGGTTTCCATGCAGGAGAAAAACATAAAAGAACATGTCCACAAGTAGACTAGCCGGGAACATGTGCATATTCTAAGGGAGTGTCTGTCTCCTGAACGTGCCCTTTGGAAATTGACAGAAAAGGCTTTATTTTTCTTAGTTAGAGAACATGGATTATTCTTAGACTTTCTGTCCCTTCCTATTTTTAAAGTAATAGCTAAACCTATCACAAACATAGCCCAGCATTACAAAGTCAGGAAAATAATTTGATTTCTATGCATTTGAGAAAACTTTTTTTTTTTAATTTAAAAATTTTTGTTGCTACCTTTTTTTTTAAGGCCTCTCAGTTGTTCACTTCATTCTTAGCCTTATTTTCCCTCCTATGTGACTCAGGTGTGTCAATATCGCTCCTCACTCTACTCTGAGGTAGATGTCCATTTTCGGATGATCCATGAGGATACCCGGCATCTGCTCTGCCCTTATTGCCTGAAGGTCTTCAAAAATGGCAATGCATTCCAACAGCATTACATGAGGCACCAGGTACTAGGCACCAAGCAATTCCCATATTCTCTTGTTTTTTTTTTTTTTAAACATGGATGCTGGGGCCAGGGCTGAGCTAGGCAAATAATTTGGGCAGAGATTATAATATGCATATGTTTGCAGAAATTTATTGAATTCACTTAATGTGCCATGTACTAGTCTAGATGCTAGAGATTTAGTAGTAAACAAGGCAAACAATACAATAAAACATGAAGAGTACTGTGTTGGGGAAATTATAGGATATAGAAAATCACATAGCTATTCTGGGTGCCTAGTAAGGCTTCCAGAAAGAAGTGTTGTTCAATACCTGAGGGATGAATAAGAATGAGCCAGATGAAATAAGACGAAGAACAGTGTGCCCAAGGCACAAAGCAAAATTGTGGAGGTTCAAGAAATTGAGAGAGATTCAGTGTAGGGTGTAAGAGACAGAGGGGTTGGAAGTTAGGCAGGGACAGATCATGGAGGATCTTTTAAGCCATGAAAAGAATTCACTGGGAAGCCACTAAAGGGGTTTTAAGCCCTGGAGTGATGTGTTCAGCTTTAGTTAAGGCTTTATACTGCCTGCACTGCAGAGAATGGATTAAAGGAGATTGAGACTACAGTTAGGGAAACTAGCTAGAAGGCCTTTTTCAGTAGTTTAGGTGAGAGATGATAGTGGCTATTGGCTTTTGAAATAAAAAGAGGGTAGAGTTGAGAGATATTCAGAAGATTTGTGATATTTATGATGTAGAGATGGATTAGGTGAAGGTAGCAATGCAGTAGTTAAGAATAGTGCCTAAGATTCTGTCTTGGGCAGTTGGGTGAATGAGGGAACTATTTGCTGAAATAGAAACAATAGAGAAAGTATATTTGTGAGGGGGGAGATCATGAGCTTGGATATTGTAAGTTAGCAGTATCTGTGGATGTCAAGTGTAGCTGTTGGATAATAGATCTCAAGCCTGTGAGAGAACTCTGGGTTGTAGAAAAGATTTAGGAATCAGCGTTATATAAATCCTATAGATTTTAAACTTAAATACCATGGGCCCCCCAACCCTGTTGAGAATAAGAGAAGGCTTAGGATATTTGAAGTCCCTTATCTATAAAGCAACCACCATAGTACTAGGAGGAAAACCAGAAGAGTCTTAACCTTAAGGAAACTGGGGAGAAGAAAGTGTTTTAAAGAAAAGGGTGTGATCAAAATGTCATATGTTACAGGAAGGTGTCAAGCAACATAGAGACTTAGAAACAGGCCTTTAATTTAGCAACATTGATGAGAGCCATTTTGTTGGTTGGTAGGGTGGAAGTCACATTTCAGCAGAACAAATGAATGAGAGGTAAGGAAATGAAGACGATGTATTTAAAGAAGTTTATTTATAAAAAGGGAGGACCCAGGGTAGGTAAATCCAGAGGAAGAAGTGGCAAAGAAGAGTTTTTTATTGCTTTTATTTTCCTTATAAGATGAAAAGCTATGACTTCGTTTTAAAATACTACAAGAAGAGAGCCACTAGAGGAGAGTGAAAGGTATATAGTATATAAGAGAGGATTCAAAATGGAGAATAAGATGAGTGCATGTGTGCTTAATAGTCACATACATATGCACACAAACATATGTACCCTATTACACTCATAGTCTCCTTTGCACAGTAGTGACTGCTGATTGTCTACCACAACTGTATTTCCAAATAGGGGCATGGAAATTGTCTCTTAGCCTAAGCTTACAGAGCTTTGTTATCCTACTAAAGAAAATCATAGACATGGGTTCTATTTTTGAAGGACTTCAATACTAGGCAGACTGAATCCTCAAAGTGGTCTCACCAGGAGACATATCTGTATATACTGATGTGTTAAGTGAGAAAACAGCAAGGTATAGACAAGTGCTATCATTTGTGTTAAAAGGAGAAAAAGAAGAGGGCTGAGGTGGGAGGATCACTTGAGCCCAGGAGGTGGAGTCCAGCCTGGGCAACATGGTGAGACAACATCTCTACAAAAAGGAAAGGGAAAAAAGTAAGGGCCAGGCACAGTGATGCACGCCTGTAATCCCAACACTTTGGGAGGCCAAGGCAGGTAGATCACTTGAACCCAGGAGTTGAAGACCAGCCTGGGCAACATGGTGACACCCCGTCTCTACAAAAAAATACAAAAAGTAGCCGGGCGTGGTGGCACGTGCCTGTAGTCCCAGCTACTTGGGACGTGCAGTGAGCTATGAACATGCCACTGCACTCCAGCCTGGGCTACAGAGAGAGACCCTGTCTCAAAAAAAGGGGGCGAGGCAGGTAATGATTGGATATGAATGTATTTGTGATACAGTTATATGTGTAGACTGCCCACGAAAGCATACTCAGGAAACTGGTAATAAGTTGTTTGTATGGAAGGGGACTGAGTGTTGGAGTTGAAAGCAAAGTTGGAAGAGTATAGAAAAAAAAGTATGACTTTAGTTTACTATGTACATTGTCCTTTTTTAAAAAAAGAAGAATGAAGAATGTCCAGAAGAATGTCCAGTTGTCAGCAGTGTAAAGATATAATACAAATAAAGGTTACATCACTCATTCAAATTGTTAAAACAAGTCAGGAAAGGATGATTTGAGAACTTAGTCATCCTGGACTAGAATCCATCTTTCTTTGATATCATGGGAGGTGATGATTCTCAATGGTAGGTTTTGTGGTCATGTTGCATATTTCTTTCTTACTCTCTTAAATTATCAACAGAAAGGTGGGAAGAATGATATGGTTGACATTGATCTGCTTTCTCCTCAAAAAAGAAAATTTATTAGGAACCTTTAAGGGATTTTGTCTCTTTTTTTCCCTCCCCCACTTCAGAAGAGAAATGTTTATCACTGCAACAAATGCCGGCTGCAGTTTCTCTTTGCCAAGGACAAAATTGAACACAAGCTTCAACACCATAAAACCTTCCGTAAACCCAAGCAGCTGGAGGGCTTGAAACCAGGCACCAAGGTAAAGAGTTTGCCAGTGTCTTTTATAGGCCCAGGGAGGGAGGAATAGAGATTTTCAGTATTCTGAAATTTAGTGTGGGTGATGTCTCATTGTTACTTCCCTTGGTTCTCAGGTGACAATCCGGGCTTCCCGAGGGCAGCCACGAACTGTTCCTGTATCCTCTAATGATACACCTCCCAGCGCCTTGCAGGAGGCAGCACCGCTGACCTCCTCAATGGACCCTCTGCCTGTCTTCCTTTATCCCCCTGTCCAGCGCAGCATCCAGAAGAGAGCTGTTAGGAAAATGTCAGCGCCTTCTTCTAAGTGCTGGGCGGGTGGGGACTGGGTGGCCAGGATTATTCCTGATACACAGTGCAATCTGGTAGCTTTTTAGCAGGGTTTGTTGTCTGAAAATCCTACATTTTGGGGACCCATGAGGCAGTAATGAGAATTCTTTTTTTTTTTCCCCCACAGGAGTGTCATGGGCCGGCAGACATGCCTGGAGTGCAGCTTCGAGATCCCAGACTTCCCTAATCATTTCCCTACTTACGTACACTGCTCTCTGTGTCGCTATAGCACCTGCTGTTCTCGAGCTTATGCCAACCACATGATCAAGTAAGTTGGTTTTTAACCAGTGTTTTAGCTTGAGAGTTCAGATTCTTTTTTTCTTCTTCTTCTTCTTCTTTTTTTTTTTTTTTTTTTGAAGACAGGGTCTCACTCTGTCCCCTAGGCTGGAGTGCAATAGCATGATCTTGGCTCACTGCAACCTCTGCCTCCTGGGTTCAAGTGATTCTCCTGTCTCAGCCTCCCAAGTAGCTGGGATTATAGGTGTGCACCACCATGCCTGGCTGATTTTTTTGTATTTTTAGTAGAGACGGGGTTTCACCTTGTTGGCCAGGCTGGTCTCAAACTCCTGAGCTCAGGTGATCCACCTGCCTCGGCCTCCCTAAAGTGCTGGGATTACAGACATGAGCCACTGCGCCCGGCCCCAGCCAGATTCTTGAGCACTCATTTCATTTTCTCCCCTGCTTCTAATATGTTTCCTCCTTCAACTCTTAGAGCTATTTGTTCTTCTCTCCTAGCAGAGTGAGAGGCTCTGTTTTTTCGGTTTTGATGGTCTGTGCTCTAATTTCATAGGGCCTTGCTATTCAAGTACCAGTAGTATTAGGTGGGAGCTTGTTAGAAATGCTGACTCTCAGCCCCGCCCTAGGCCTACTGAACCAGAATGTGAATTTTAATAGATCCTCAGTGACTTGTATGCATATTAAAGTTTAAGAAGCATGGTGACAGGAAAACTGGCTTAGGTTGAGATTAGGGTGCACTGAAGAAGTGTCTCTTTTGTTGGGGGCATTGTCACTGGCTGGTGATCTCTAGCTTAGCCAGCAGAACTCCGTAACTCATACCACTTCTTTGTCTTTCTCAGCAATCATGTTCCACGGAAGAGCCCCAAGTATTTGGCTTTGTTTAAAAATTCTGTGAGGTAAGAAAAAACTTATTGGCAGCATCTTAATTTTTCAGGTTTTTACATTAATTTTCAGGTTTTTCATTATTTGGAGAGGTGGTTATGTGAATTAATTTCAGAAAAAGGAGAAAGTGGGAGGGCATTCCTTTTCTTTCTTAAGCCTCAAAGCTTAATGGTCTCAAGTGTCACTGCTGTGTTTGTCTTACATAGTCTCAATTCTCTTTTTTAGTGGAATCAAGCTGGCCTGCACTTCATGTACCTTTGTTACCTCTGTGGGCGATGCTATGGCCAAGCATTTGGTATTCAACCCCTCTCACAGATCCAGCAGCATCCTGCCACGGGGTAAGTAGGAGAGAAGGGGATTAGTTGAGCAAGGGGAGGAAAAAAGATACAGGTTCGTACTGTATGCATCAGGAGCATACCTACTTGGCCTCACTCATTCACTGTTGAGATGTGCTGGACCTAATTAGAAACCTTCCGACCTGAAGTTTATATAAAACTGGGAAAGCTGGTCACTGCGAACAGCGTATTTGTATGTAGTAAGTTGAATCCCAGGGCACTGTCTTTGGAGGGCTTATTTTTTCACTGAGCTAACTATTTTTGTTGTTTCATTTTCCATAGGACTCACTTGGATAGCTCACTCAAGGTAACAAAAACTCACCTCACAATTTAATTTCTGGTTTGCAGTGTGTTTACTCTGTTATTATTATTATTATTATCATATTATTGTTTCAATTTCCTAGTTGAACTGAGATTTCTCCTCTTCTCTTTGCTCCTCACCCCTTTAGGCATGGCCAGACTCGTGACCGAGTGCATGACCGGAACGTGAAGAATATGTACCCTCCTCCTTCCTTCCCCACTAACAAAGCTGCCACTGTGAAATCTGCGGGGGCCACCCCAGCTGAGCCTGAAGAGCTACTAACTCCCTTAGCCCCAGCACTCCCATCACCAGCCTCAACTGCAACCCCACCACCAACCCCCACTCACCCGCAGGCTTTAGCCCTTCCACCGCTGGCTACAGAGGGAGCCGAATGTCTGAATGTTGATGATCAGGATGAAGGGAGCCCAGTCACCCAAGAACCTGAGCTAGCATCAGGTGGTGGTGGTAGTGGTGGAGTTGGCAAAAAGGAGCAGCTGTCTGTGAAGAAGCTTCGAGTAGTACTGTTTGCTCTATGCTGCAATACAGAACAGGCAGCTGAACACTTCCGAAATCCCCAGCGACGTATTCGCCGTTGGCTTCGACGTTTCCAGGCCTCCCAGGGGGAGAATCTAGAGGGCAAATATCTGAGCTTTGAGGCAGAAGAGAAACTGGCTGAGTGGGTGCTAACCCAGCGCGAACAACAGCTACCTGTAAATGAGGAGACCTTGTTCCAGAAGGCCACCAAAATAGGACGTTCTTTGGAAGGGGGGTTTAAGATCTCCTATGAGTGGGCTGTGCGTTTCATGCTGCGGCACCACCTGACTCCCCATGCCCGGCGAGCTGTGGCCCACACCCTACCTAAGGATGTAGCAGAGAATGCAGGACTCTTCATTGATTTTGTACAACGGCAGATTCACAACCAGGACTTACCCTTGTCTATGATTGTGGCTATTGATGAGATCTCTTTGTTCCTGGATACAGAGGTGCTGAGCAGTGATGATCGAAAGGAGAATGCCCTGCAGACAGTGGGCACAGGGGAACCTTGGTGTGATGTAGTCCTAGCCATTCTGGCAGATGGCACTGTCCTTCCCACCCTGGTTTTCTACAGAGGGCAGATGGATCAGCCTGCTAACATGCCAGACTCCATATTGCTAGAGGCAAAGGAGAGTGGCTACAGTGATGACGAGATCATGGAGCTGTGGTCAACTCGAGTGTGGCAGAAGCACACAGCTTGCCAGCGCAGCAAAGGCATGCTTGTGATGGACTGTCATCGCACTCACTTGTCAGAAGAGGTACTGGCTATGCTTAGTGCCTCTAGCACTTTGCCTGCAGTGGTCCCAGCAGGCTGTAGCTCCAAAATTCAGCCATTAGATGTATGCATCAAAAGAACTGTCAAGAACTTCCTGCATAAAAAATGGAAGGAACAGGCTCGGGAAATGGCAGATACTGCATGTGATTCTGATGTCCTGCTTCAGCTGGTGCTTGTCTGGCTGGGTGAAGTGCTAGGTGTCATTGGGGACTGTCCAGAGCTAGTTCAGCGCTCCTTCCTGGTGGCTAGTGTTCTGCCTGGCCCCGATGGCAACATTAACTCACCTACAAGAAATGCTGACATGCAGGAGGAGCTAATTGCCTCCCTAGAGGAGCAACTGAAGCTGAGTGGGGAACATTCTGAGTCTTCCACTCCACGACCCAGATCATCTCCTGAAGAGACAATTGAGCCTGAAAGTCTTCACCAGCTCTTTGAGGGTGAAAGTGAGACCGAGTCTTTCTATGGCTTTGAAGAAGCTGACCTAGATCTGATGGAGATTTGAGTGTTGGGGTCATGAGGGGGTGTGGAGTGAGGGTGGGAACATGTGAGGGAGGGTAAAGGGGCTTAGGGAAAAGGGGGCATACCAGGTGGGGTATTTGGTTTCTATTTTTTAATTTTATACCACCACTCCCCCCTGAAGTTGACTTACACTTCCCTGTGGATTTGTGGATTAATTAGGAAAACCAATAGTAATCACGTCTGAGCCAAGGAGCTGGCCCATTGGTCATTCACTTCTGCTAAAAACAGGTTTTTGTGACTTTTTTTTTTTTTAAATTTAAATCACTGTGTTTGGTATTTTTCTGACAAAATTAAGAAAAAGAAAAAAAATTATTTGTGGGCAAATGTTAAATTTTTTTGTTTCCCCTTTTACCTCAATTGTATCATAGTACTGGGTTTTTTTGTTTGTTTTATTGTGTGGCCAATGTCTTTGGGCATGATGCTATCTAATCATTGTTAATGTGAGAACATTTCTGAAGATGGGAAAGACAAATTATGTAGCTCACAAACTGGTTTATTATATATATGGATAAAAAACTTTTTTCATTGTGGTCTTAACACTTTTATATAAAAATGAAAATGGAAAAAAAGTCCCACTGAACTCTCTCTTCCTTCTCCTTTTCTTTCCTTCCCTCTCCAGAGATGTTGGTTTCTACAGCAACCCTAGATATAAAATTGTGGCTTTAAAAATGCATGAAACCACCTTTAATTATCCAGAATGAATAGATTTGTCTTTTCCTCACCACCTTCCCTCCAAAACATGACATAAACAATATTTTTTGCACTTGTGATCCTTGGCCCCTTTCCCCATTCTCAACACCATCCATCCCTCTGGACAAAGGATCATACAGGTGTTATTAGCAAGCAAGAGATACTGAAGCGATCAAACAGTTTTAGGGTGGAAGCCATTCCCAGTTTGAGTCTTCATCCTGTAAGCCCCCAGGGGCAGTCCCTGCTTTACTGAACTTCATCCTGTTAGATGGAGAGCATGCCTGTTTAAGGGATTACTGGTCCTACAGCCAGGAGCTAATTGTTCAAGAAGTGTTGAACTTTAAAAAGACAAGACCACTTGTTGAAATCCAGCGTGCTCTGTGGCTTTCCCCTATTTCTCTTAATACTTAGGGAAGAATCTGACAGGAAGAAGCGCACAGGGGTGTGCACAAAGAAAATGACATGAATCTTTATTTTTCACTGCCAGCTTCAAGGAAAGAAAATTTTTTCTACAATTTGCATGAGGGATTTTTTTAATTGTATGTACTCATGGTTGTAAACCAAAACGTACTGTACCGTACAGAGAAAAGGAGCAAAAAACCAAGTCTTCTGTTTATCCTGAGGCTTTCCACAATGTTCCCCTCCTGTGAGCCAAGGAGGCAAACTGCACAAGCTTGTAAATGGTTCGTCTTTAAAATGTACATAAGTGGAACATTTAATAAAATGAGGGGAAATGGATTTATAAACTTGTTTTTTTTCTAGGTGACCCTGTTTAATAGGCTTTCACAGACTGGGGAATGCTCAAGATGTGATGGGCCTGGTGGTACAGGTGTGACATTTGTTACCACCCATTTCTCCCACCCCACCCTGCTTTTTTGTTTGTTTGTTTTTTCATCCCCCAGCACACTATAATATAGTGAACTGGAAAAGTCCCTTCCAGAAACAGCTTGGCCAGCTTTGTGAACCTTTGACATCTGAAAACAACCAAGGATCCATCTGGGCTTCTCTTCCCCAGCTTTTTGCCTGATGCCATTTTATTGACAGACAATGGACTTTGAAGTCAGCCTTTGCCTTTGAGAAAGTTCAAGAACTATGGTTGGTCACGTCTATCTACAACCTAATCCTACTCTTTGGTAGTCTCTGCAGCAGCCACAGCCTTAGCAGAGCTGGGGTTCCTGTCTTCTGCACACGATTGACTTTCTTGATGGGTAATTTTTTTTAAGATTATACCAACAGTGGATCAGCTGGGTTTTGGCCAGGAAGTTGTCTTTGTGGACTCTGCCTGCATGGCTTAGTAGTAGAAGGAAATTTTTTTTTGGTTTTGTTTTTTATAATTCAGTTTAATCAATAAACATGTATTTATTGACTGTTTCCTGTGTTGAGACTGAATGTGTGGAGGTTTCAGATTGAAAGCTCATTGTTTGGCTTTACAAGTTTGTTGTTAACGGACAATGCAAATGGAGGGATGGTTTTATTTTTTCCTTCAGTTCTCACTGAATTTCTGTACTTTGAATTTGCTGCCTATATTTTCTTTCTCAAGAAGTTTGGAGAGGATTTGTGTCAGAATCGCCTACAGTGTTCATTTTAAAAATTCAAGCTGGGCATGATGGCTCATGCCAGTAATCCCAGCACTTGGGAGGCTGAGGCAGGAGGTTGCTTGAGCTCAGAAATTCAAGGCTGTAGTAGGCTATGATCATGCCACTGCACGCCAGCCTGGGCAACAGAATGAGACTTTTGTCTCTAAAATATTCAGGTTTAGAACCATTCCAGGGATGGCTGATGCCCCAGCTGACTTGAGGGCAACCTGATGCAGAATAGTTCTACTAGATTATTTTTAAAGTGGTATTTTAATGAAAATCACAGCCAACATTAAGAAATCTGTATTTGATAATCCAGTGCAGTGGAGGAAGATTTGGGAGGGGAATTTGAACACAAAAGCCAGTTAGCACACAAAAATTAAGTCTGGCTTCTACAGGAAGCTCTGCTTCTAATACAGCTCCAAATGACGCTAGTGTGTCTTTCTGTGTTGTGCAGAGAGAATTTCTGTGTGTGCTGCAAGACCACAAGGGTTCTCCGACCAGGGAGGGAGATGGCACATGGCAGTACTCAGCAGTTTTGCACTTGGTGTGACCCAGTCAGACAAAAACCACTCAGCAAGCATTTTGAAGAATTTATTTACTTTACAAAAGAAGAGTCTATCTTTGAACTAGCCAAGTTCAAAGTTAAAAGTAGGGCAACTTCAGTTCTGGATAATGCATCTGTATTTCATTCAAAGCCACTAAAAAAGGAAGACAGAATAATAAAATTGTGAAGCATAAAGGGATCAATTCCTAAAAATAGCTGTACTGTCCAACCAAAACTTTCCACCCAGAAAATTTTCCTGGGTGAGCCTCCCAGAAAAGCCCAGCTTAGTGTAAGCCAAAGACCTCCCAAGTCTGTCACCAATTTTTTCCCTATTACTCACCTGATCATGTGGGCAATATCCCAGTTGGTCTCTGTAGACAATGGTCCCTCTATTTCAACACCTTTTTCGGTGACAGTGGCGATTTGAAACTGGAAGAAAGCAGAGCATTCAATAATGCCCACGCCTTAAGTCCTTAAATGAAAGGTCAGGTGGAGGTCTTCCCCAATGTGAAAATAGGAGTCACACAAGTAAGGCAATCTGTTCTTCAAAGCATAGAGACCCAGGGATTGCAAGTAGCCAGAGCCCGCCAATTAGGTTCCCAGCACATCCCTCACCCGGTTGTAAGAACGGGCATCTCGGTAGTACAGCACTCGCATGCAGCGTTCTACTAAGTCGCGGGCCTCGGTCTGGCTTAGCACTGGCTGCTTCTCCAGAACTTCTCGCAGCAGAGGCTAGGGAGATTGGGGGAAAACCATGGGGGGATATTGGGCTGAATAACAGGCTAGTTGTCTCAAATCTATGGTATAAAAAGCATTAGAGTGAAAGATGACATTCTACTTCTTGCCTCACCAGAATGAACTCTGCTTAGAAAATAAGCTAAGAGCCACTTCAGGAAGAAGTTCTAGGGTGTCCTCTCTTTGCATGTCTACTGACTCCCAGTCATGTCATCTTGTCACTGGAATCAGTGTCAACACCTACAGCCCCCAGACTACAAAGAAAACCATCTGCCCAGTAATAGCGATCCCAGCCCATCCCTCATATCAGAATTTCAGGAGAAAAGCAGACAACCACTAATCCATTTCCTTTTGTCTTCCCTTTCCCCCACCTCTAGACTTACTACTTACCTGAGCCAAGTATGCACCATAACCAGTGGCCAGCGAAGGGGCTTCATAGGCTACACCAAGCATGTCCACATAACCGAGGAAGCTAACAGGACACAATGGGTCAAAACTCATTTCACCTTAGATTCATCTTAGCTGAAGAAGGGGACCATGGGGTCTGAGTTAAAGTGGGATTCACTTGGGGAGAAGAGACAGAAGAGATACTACACAGGTACTAGGTTGGGTGGTAAAGGAAATAAGTTATTTGTATTCATATGAACCTCTCTCCATCAGCATAGCCTCCGATGACCATGGTGTTCCACAAAGGGTTCATCTTCGAGCGCCGGCTGTACATGGCCCTGGTCAGCCATGAATGAATAGCTCTAGGACTATAGCTGTGTCCATCTCCCAGAAGCTCCTCATCAATCCTTAAAAGGAATTGGTTGTGAGAAAAGGGAGAGAATTAAGTCGGGGTCTCCACCCATCCCCAAAAGAAGTTACCACACCTTCCCCCATTTTACACCTAATGCCAAAAACTTTATTGCAAACACAGATCGCCCACCTCCAACAACTCTTCCAGTCCCCCGCTGCAACAAGTCCCCCCATCCCATCGAAGGGAATAAAAAACAGGGGACTCCCCTCTCTACTTGGGAACCACTCTCCTGTTCTCTGGATGACTTACACCATCTGGCCGAGAACTTGCTTCAAATACTGGAAATCAGCGTAGTCGCCAGAGGCACCCAGCATGGTACTGTTGTTGACTCGCATAATGCGAGAGATGTTGCGGAAACGAGCCAAGGAGCCGTAGGATCCCAGCATGTCTGCGGCAATCACCACTCCGCCCTCGAACTTAACGCCGAGGACTGAGGTCCCGGTCACCATGGGGTTCCTAAAGAGTGAGAACGGTGGGAGCTGAGAGGGGGGATGGACTGCGCCCTCTTTCCGCGCACTGAGCTGCGCTTCTGATTTTCTATAATTCCTTCCAATTATTCTGCATTCTCCAGGACTCCGCGCCCTGAGCTCCCCTGCCGTTCGCGCGCCCCCGGGGTCCCCGCCTCACCTTCCCGGGCTCTCAAAACCAGCCGGCAGCACCAGGCCCCACGGTCCCTCCCGCTACGCAAACGAAAGCGCCGAGAACTTACTGGGTCCGCGTGATTGGACCTCTGTAAAGTGCAGACGCCGGATCCATGAAGGAATCGGGAGTGGACGGAATGCGGTAAAACTGTCCTGGGGCCGGACCCCCCGCCCAAAGTCCGGACCGCGACCCCAAAAACGCTTCCATCTTAGTCACGGTAGCAGAAAAAATGAAAGCGCTTGCGCCAACGGAAGCGGAAGTGATCCTTCAGTGTCATTTCTTTCTTTTTCCTGTAGACGACTTCCAGCAGCCATGTTGATGAGGTCGTAGCTGAACATGCAGTAATCCTAGGTGGCGACCGAGACAGGGAGTTGAAATTGCCCAACATCGCTTCGCATCGCATCGCATCTCCGTGGAGTTTGGACCAGATCACAGCGTTCTAACACACGATTCAAGGAGGAGGGAGGCATGAAGGTGGGGTGGGGAGGTGGCCACTTAAAGACGCTGATCCTGAGTGAGACGTCACAATTTTTTATTTTATTTTTTATTTTTTTGAGACGGAGTCTCGCTCTGGCCCCCAGGCTGGAATGCAGTGGCGCGATCTCGGCTCACTGCAACCTCCGCCTCCCAGATTCAAGCGATTCTCGTGCCTTAGCCTCCCGAGTAGCTGGGATTACAGGCGCCTGCCACCACGCCTGGCTAATTTTTTGTATTTTTGCTAGAGATGGGGTTTCACCATGTTGGCCAGGCTGGTCTCGAACTCCGGATCTCAGGTGATCCGCCTGCCTCGGACTCCCAAAGTGCTGGGATTACAGGAGTAAGCCGCCTCGCCCGGCCTAGAAGTCACAGTTCTCATGTTCCTTTTGTATCATTATCAAAAAGCCCACATGAAAATATCAGTGAACACAGGATCTCTTACATCTGTACTCCTCAGAGCAGCCCCATGTGGCAGGCATTATTCGACCCATTTGGTAAATAGGAAACCGAGGCTTGCGGTGTAGTGATTTACCCAGTCACACAGCCGATAACGGTAGAACTGAATCTTGAAGCTAGAATAAAAAAAGGAATCAGGGCCGGGTGCGGTGGCTCATGCCTGTAATCCCAGAACTTTGGGAGGCCAAGACGGGAGGATCACTTGAACCCAGGAATTCAAGACCAGCCTTGGCAACATGGTGAGACCTCACCTCTACAAAACAAAACAAAACAAAAAATTAGCCAGGCCTGTAATTCCAGCTACTTGGGAGGGTGAGGTGGGAGAATCGCCTGAACCCGAGGGAGGTTGCAGTGAGCCAAGGTGGCGCCACTGCACTCCAGCCTGGGCAACAGAGCGAGACCCTGTCACAAAAAAAAAAAAAAAAAAAAAAAAAAAAAGAATACACTTGTGTATACCCTGTGGGGTGTGATAGCTCAGGTGGATCAAGCACTCTCTGTGGGACCTTAGACAAGTCTGAAAGTTTCCTTATTGTCAAGGGCCCTTGCCCACCTCTAAAGAAACAGAAAAATTCCATTGGAAGTGTAGGGGTGAAACTAAATTCCAGGGGTTTCCTTCTCAGTGTAACTCCATAGCAGGGGCTGGAAACTGTCTTGAATCAAACTGGTGAATTTTGTCAAAGATAAACAAAGCCGGACACTAAAGTGGAAAGGACAGATTTCAATCAGTAATAACTACTACAATAAGGAAAAACAGTTCAGCATGAACTGAACTCAACTGCAATTTGTATGCAAGTAATGGGTATTTTATAGGGAAAATGAGGTTAGGGGACAGTGAGACAGAGGGTCAGTAGAGTCAGGGAAGTGAACATTTACAGAATTAGTCAATGTAAATGTGCTTAGGTCAATGATGTCTGCTAGCTGGCATTTATGGAAGTTAGGATTCCATCCTCCCACAGAGACTGGTGAGGATACCATCCTCAACACTGTCCTTAGGTGTCTTTTGTTTGTTTGTTTTTTGAGACAAGGTCTGGCTCTGTCACCCAGGCTGGAGTGCAGTGGCATGATCTCGGCTCACTGCGACCCTTGCCTCCCCGGCTCCAGCGATCCTCCAGCTGCAACCTCTCGAGTAGCTGGGGACTACAGATGCCACACCCGGCTAATTTTTGTTTTTGTTTTTTTTCTTTTTTTCTTATTTTGAGAGGGAGTCTTGCTCTGTTGCACAGGCTGGAGTGCAGTGGCACGATCTCAACTCAAAGCAGCCTCCGCCTCCCTGGTTCAAGCGATTCTCCAGCCTCAGCCTCCTCAGTAGCTGGGATTACAGGGGTGCACAACCATGCCCAGCTAATTTTTTTTTTGTTGTTGTTGTTGTATTTTTAGTAGAGATGGGGTTTCATCACACTGGCCAGGTTGGTCTCAAACTCCTGACCTCAGGTAATCCTCTCACCCCAGCCTCCCAAAGTGATGGAATTACAGGCGTGAGACACCACGACCGGCCTAATTTTTGTATTTTTTTGTAGAGACCAGGAGAGATCTCACCATGTTGCCCAGGCTAGTTTCAAACTCCTGAGCTCAAGAAATCTGCCCACCTCAGGCCGGGCGCGGTGGCTCATGCCTGTAATCCCAGGACTTTGGGAGACTTAGATGGGCGGATCACCTGAGGTCAGGAATTCAAGACCAGCATGGCCAACGTGATGAAACCCCATCTCTACAAAAAATACAAAAATTAGCCGGGTGTGGTGGCACACGCCTGTAATCCCAGGTACTTGGGAGGTTGAGGCAGGAGATTTGTTTGAACCCAGGAGACAGAGGTTGCAGTGAGCCAAGATTGCACCACTGCACTCCAGCCTGAGTGACAGAACTAACGAAACGCTGTCTCAAAAAAAGGAAAGAAAAGAAAGGAAAGAAGGAAAGGAAAGGAAGGAAGGAAAGAAAGAAAGGAAAGAGAGACAGACAGAAAGAAAAAGAAAGGAAGAAAGAAAGGAAGGGAAAGGAAAGGAAGGAAAAGGAAAGGAAGGAAGGAAGAGAAGAGAGAGAGGGAGGGAGGGAAAGGAAAGGAAGGAAAGGAAGAACGAAAGAGAGAGAAAGAAAGCTGCCCACCCAAAGTGCTGGGATTACAGGCGTGAGCCACTGCCCCTGGCCTATTCTCAGGTATTGGCTGGAACAAAGTAAATTATTTTGGCAGCCTTGAGTTTTCTCAGGCAGACACTTTAAGGCAGGAGAGGGTCACCTCAGGGATGTGACCCTGAGCTTTTAGAAGCTATGTTACCGGTGGGGTAATATAGCTATATATTTTATCTATATATAAAATAATTTTTTAAATGAGAGGATCCAGAGTCATCCCTCCTGAGAGTAGGATGTCAGAGAAAGCAAACTGCTAACTACTGATGATGCAATATTCAAAAGAACGTGAGAACCGTGAGAACAAGACATAAGACATCTTGGCCCACTGCAACCTCCACCTCCCGGGTTCAAGCAATTCTCCTGCCTCAGCCTCCTGAGTAGCTGGGATTATAGGTGCCCACCACCATGCCTGGCTAATTTTTGTATTTTTGGTAGAGATGGAGTTTCACCATGTTGGCCAAGCTGGTCTCGAACTCCTGACTTCAGGTGATCTGCCCGCCTTGGCCTCCCAAAGTGCTGGGATTACAGGCGTCAGCCAACGTGCCCGGGCCACTACTCCACTTTTTAAGAGAATGGGATTTGAACCTTCAACTCCAATACAGTTAAGGATTCTTTCTTGACCTACGCAAGGTCTGTCCCAAGGGACTAGAACAGAAAGATGAGAAAGAAAACATATCCAATGTATCCATGGCTGCACTAGTATGTGAGTCCCCCTTGAGGATCCCCTGAGGATTTTTGAAGTTTTATATCCTCTGTAATTCAATTCTATAACACCTCTCATAGCATTCGTCATAACTTGAAAGACTGCCTTACTAAGCTAAAAGTTCCATAAAGGCAGGAACTGAGTTTGTCTTGCAAAGTGTCCTTTGATGCACAAAAGCTTTTAATTTTGATGTAGTCCTATTTATTTTCTTTTCTTGTCCTGACTTTGGTGTCATTTCCAGAAATCGTTGCCAAATGCAATGTCATGAAGCTTTTCCCGTGTTCTAACAGTTCAGTTTTAGCTGTTAGTTTAAATCTTTGATTCATTTCCAATTAATTTTTGTATTGCTGTAACTTCATTCTTGTGCATGTGGATATCCAGTTTTCCCACTACTGTTTGTTGAAAAGACTCTACTTTCCCCATTGAATGGTCTTGGCTCCCTTGCCAAAACTCATTTGAGGCTGGGTGTAATGGTTCACATCTGTAATTCCAGCACATTGGGGGGCCAAGGTAGGAGGATTGCTTGGGCTCAAGAATTCAAGACCAGCCTGGGCAATCTAATGAGACCCTATATCTACAAAAACATTAAAAATTAGCCGGGTGTGGTGGCATGTGCCTGTAGTCCCAGCTACTTGGGAGGCTGAGACAGGAGGATTGCTTGAGCTCAAGAGTTCAAGGCTGCAATAAGCTATGATTGCACCACTGCATTCCAGCCTGAGCAACAGAGTGAGACCCTGTCTCAAAAAAAAAAAAAAAAAAAAGCCCAAAACTCATTTGATCATGTATGTGAATGTTTATTTCTGGGCTCTCTATTCTATTCCATTGGTCTGTATGTCTGTCTTTTTTTTTTTTTTTTTTTTGAGACGGAGTCTCGCTCTTTTGCCCAGGCTGGAGTGCAGTGGTGCGATCTCGGCTCACTGCAAGCTCTGCCTCCCGGGGTTCACGCCATTCTCCTGCCTCAGCCTCCCGAGTAGCTAGGACTACAGGCGCCCACCACCACGCCTGGCTGATTTTTTGTATTTTTTAGTAGAGACAGGGTTTCACCATGTTAGCCAGGATGGTCTTGATCTCCTGACCTCATGATCCTCCCAGTTTGGCTTCCCAAAGTGCTGGGATTATAGGCGTGAGCCACCGCGCCTGGCCAGTGTGTCTGTCTTTATGACAGTACCACACTGTTTTGATTACTGTAGCTTTGTCATAAGTTTTGAAATCAGGAAATGTGAGACCTATAACTTTGTTCTTCTTCAAGATTGTTTTGGTAAAAGTGTCTTTCTTAAACTTTTATTTTTGTAGCATTTATCCTTTGGCACAGGTTGATAGTTATTTTCTTTTGGAGCTTTAAATGTGTTATTTCATTGTCTCCTGGCTTCCATTGGTTTTTTGTTTGTTTGTTTTTCGGTTTTTGTTTTGTTTTGTTTTCTTTTTTGAGACAAAGTCTTACTCTATTGCCCAGGCTGGAGTGCAGTGGTGCAATCTCAGCTTACTGCAACCTCTACCTCCTGGGTTCAAGCGATTCTCCTGCCTCAGCCTCCCAAGTAGCTGGGTTTACAGGTATGTGCCACCACGCCCAGCTGATTTTTCAATTTTTAGTAGAGAAGGGTTTTCATAATATTGGCCAGACTGGTCTCAAACTCCTGACCTCAGGTGATCTGCCTGCCTCAACCTCCCAAAGTACTAGGACTACAGGTGTGAGCCACTGCACCCAGCAAACTTCTGTTGTTTTTGTTGAAAAGTTACCTGTTAGTCATATTGTTTCTTTGAAGGTAATGTGGCTTTTTTTCCTCTGACTTCTTTAAGATGTTTAATAGTTTTTTTTGTTTGTTTGTTTTTTGTGTTTTTTTTTTTTTTTTTTTTTTTTTTTTTTTTTTGAGATGGAGTTTTGCTCTGTTGCCCAGGCTGGAGTGCAATGACATGATCTTGGCTCAATGCAACCTCTGCCTCCCGGGTTCAAGCGATTCTCCTGCCTCTGCCTGCCCAGGTAGCTGGGATTACAGGCACACACCACTATGACCGACTAATTTTTGTATTTTTAGTAGAGATGGGGTTCATGTTGGCCAGGCTGGTGTTGAACTCCTGACCTCAGGTAATCCATCTACCTCAGCCTCCCAAAGTGCTGGGATTACAGGCATAAGCCACCATGCCTGGCCAGTGTTTAATAGCATTACTAGTATATTCTTAGGAATTGTTTTGTTTGTATCTGCCCTGCTTGGGTTTGCTGAGCTTCTTGACTCTGTGAGTTGATATCTTTCATCAGTTTGGAAAATTATCTGGCCTCAGGGGCTATAAAAGGAAGATAAGAAAGAAAACATGTCCAGTTTATCCATGGCTGCACTACTGTTTTTATCTCTTCCAATATTGCTTTTGCCCAATAATCTTTCTTCTCTCCTTTTGAGACTCCAGATGTATGTATGGTAGATATTTTAGCTTACCCCTAATCTTCCTCCTTTCTTTTTCTTTTTTATTCTTTTTTAAATCTCTGTCCTTCAGTTTGAGTATTTTCTACTGACCTGTCTTCAAGTTCACTAATCTTATGTTCTGCTGTACCCAATCTGCTATTAAACCTGTACACTGAGTTCTTAATTTCAGATTTTTTTTCAGTTTTAATATGTTCATTTGACTTTTTTTATAGATTCTATTTCTCTGTTTAAATGATCCGTATTTTCATCTATATATTCATCATTTTCTCTATTTTCCTTTACATGTTAATTGTAGTTATTTTACATTCTTGAATGCTAACTCTAATATCTGGATCATCTGTGGGTCTGCTTCCATTATCTTTTTTTTTTCTTTAATTTTGGTCACGTTTACTTTTGACTTTGCAAGTTTTACAATTTTGTATTGTTTGCCAGAAATTATGAGTAAATATAGAGGAGCCATATCATATCATCTTCTACCAAAGAGAGTTTTCCCTTTTTTCTATCAGGCAGATAGAGTAAGGATCTGATCACTTCAATTCAATCTGGGATTAGACTGTGACAGGACTGGGTTGCTGTTTCAGCCTGGTTCATCCCCCTTCTCACAACCTTTTGTTGTTGTTTTGAGATGGCCTTGCTCTGTTACCCAGACTAGAGTGCAGTGGTGCAATCATGGCTCACTGAAACCTCCATCTCCTGGGCTCAGGTGATCATCCCACCTCAGCTTCCCTAGTAGCTGGGACCACAGGTGCGTGCCACCATGCCTGGCTAATTTTTCTTTTCTTTTCTTTTTCTTTTTTTTTTTAAGAGATGGGGGTCTTACTATGTTGCCCAGGCTGGTTTTGAACTCCTAGACTCAAGCCATCCATCCACCTCAGCCTCCCAAAGTGCTGGGATTACAGATGTGAGCTACTGTGCCCGGCCTCTCACAACCTTTGATTGAAAACTGGACAGGTATTCATCCTCTCTGCCCTGAAATACGGAATGATATTGAGCTAGCTCTCCAGGCTTCTACTTCATGCAGACTCAAAATCTGGCAAATATCTTGAGGAGGAGAAGACCAGTTGAGTAATTGAGGCTCTTCTCCCTGCTCTGCCTCAGCAGATCTTCATTTTTTAATCAATAATTCCAGACCATAGGAGATTCAGTCTGCCTTTTAGGAGCTTTTAGCCTGACTCTCCAGGCTCCTGCACATTCCCAGTGTTCAGCAAATATTCCATAGGTAAAACTGGCCATAGTTAGAGGCCCCTTAAGTTTCCAACTTGCTTTGCATGGCCACCAGAAACTTTTGATGGTCTTCCCAAGGAGAGGCATTCTGTCTAGGTTAAACCCAATCCTAAGTATATACTCAACTCACCTCAGAAAAGTTCTCCCCTCTCTGAAATTTTAGTTCATCTAGTCTTCATTCCTTCCTCAGCCCTTTGGTGGCATTGCTTAAAATAAGGCCAGGCACAGTAGCTCACGCCTATAATCCCAGCACTTTGGGAGACCAAGGCTGGCAGATCACTTGATCCCAGCAGTTCAAGTTCAAGGCCAACATAATGGGACCTTATCTCTACAAAAAAAAATTTTTTTTAATTAGCCAGACCTGGTGGTGTGCACCTGCAGTCCCAGCTACTCAGGAGACTGAGGTGGGAGACTGGCGTGCACTCAGGATGCCGAGGCTGCAGTGAGCCATGATGGTGCCATTGCACTCCAGCCTGGGTGGCAGAGAGAGACTCTGTCTCAAAAATAAGGAATAAAAATAAGGCCAGGCACGGTGACTAACACCTGTAATTCCAGCACTTTGGGAGGCCGAGGCGGGCAGATCATGAGGTCAAGAGATCGAGACCATCCTGGCCAATATGGTGAAAACCCATCTCTATTAAAAATAGAAAAATTAGCTGGGCATGGTGGTGGGCGCTTGTAATCCCAGCAACTCGGGAGGCTGAGGCAGGAGAATCGCTGGAACCAGGGAGGTGGAGGTTGCAGTGGGCAGAGATCACGCCACTGCACTCCAGCCTGGCAACAGAGTGAGACTCCATCTCAAAACAAATAAACAAATAAATAAATAAATAAAAATAATAAAGTTGAAAAGAATAAACACACATTCAGAACACGTTATTCCCCTGAACCACTAGGCCTGGCCCACCCCGTTCTGAGCACCTCTCATACTGGGAAAGCTCACAACCAGGAATGCCCAGAAGATCAACAGTTTACACATTCAGTTCTGTACCCTCTGTTCCTCTGATGTTCTACCTTCAAGGGTTCACTGAACTGTGTAACTCCCAAGTTCTGGAATAGGGAGAGGAAATTTTGTGCTCAACCTCCACACCCTTCTCAGACCAGTGAACCTGTCTGATTATGGATATTCAGATTTTCCCCTAATCTGTGCTAAATCAAACAAATAAAATCAGAGACTGGCAATGAGAAGGGCAGTTCTAACATGCTTCCTGCCAAGATTATGCTCCAGAGTCATAGTCCTTTAGTCGGGGTAGATTAGAGTCAAGGTTTACACCTCTAGGCAAAGGTCACTGAGGTTTGAGGCAATGTTTAAGGCTTTGTGCAGTGGCTCATGCCTATAATCTCAGCACTTTGGGAGGCCAAGGCGGGTGGATCACCTGAGGTCATGAGTTCGAAACCAGCCTGGCCAACATGATGAAATCTCGTCTGTACTAAAAATACAAAAATTAGCCGGGTATGATGGCGGGTGCCTGTAATCCCAGCTACTTAGGAGGCTGAGGCAGGAGAATCACTTGAACCCGGGAGGTGGAGGTTGCGGTGAGCCAAGATTGTGCCATTGCACTCCGGCCTGGGGAACAAGAGTGAAACTCTGTCTCAAAAAAAAAAAAAAAAAAAAACTTGATAGCACCTAATAAAACTGAAAATTACACATGCTAAATTACCCAATAAACCTATAACATAGAGACACTCACATGTACACGTTAGGAAACATTCAAGAATGTTCATCAGAGCATTGTTCGTAATAGCAAAAAAATAGAAACAGTCTAAATGCTCATCAAGGGGGAGTAGATAAAATGCAGTATATTATTACAAAAGAATACTACAAGGTAGCTTAAAGGAAAGAACCTAACATATCAAACACATTGTTGAGTGAACCAGATAAACCACAGAATGACATATATGATATGGTACCATCTGCGCTAATTTAAACACACAAAACAACACTAAGAATGTGGGCAGGCGAGGGTGGGGGATGCGCGCGCATGTGTGTAAAATTGAGTCATAGTGGCAGTTGAAAATGAGTTTTATATAGTCTTACTTATAATGACACTCTGGGAAAAAAGTAAGGAACTTCTGAAACATTTTCCAGCAATAAAAAATAAATGAAAGCGGCCGGGCGTGGTGGCTCATGCTTGTAATCCCGGCACTTTGGGAGGCCAAGGCGGGCGGATCACGAGGTCAGGAGATCGAGACCATCCTGGCTAACACGGTGAAACCCCGTCTCTACTAAAAATACAAAAAATTAGTCGGCGTGGTGGCGGGCGCCTGTAATCCCAGCTACTCGGGAGGCTGGGGCAGGAGAATGGCGAGAACACGGGAGGCGGAGCTTGCAGTGAGCCGAGATCACGCCACTGCACTCCAGCCTGGGCGACAGAGCGAGACTCCGTCTCAAAATAAATAAATAAAAATAAATGAAATCTGCCAATTATAATGGAATTAAAGCAGGAAGTAGGCTTTCCTGGGGAAAGGGGAGGAAGGGAGTAACTTGGTCCCTGGAAAGGGAAATGGTGGGTTGAGAGAGGTTATAATACGATTTTAGATTTCAGCATTACTATAAAATTTTTTTTTGACAGATGAGTTCTCACTATGTTGCCCAAGCTGGAGAGCAGTGGCTATTCACAGGCAAGATCCTTATGCCACTACAAATGGCTTTGAGACTTTGAGAGAGACTCTGTTTGTTTGGAAGAAAATACAAGAAGAGAATAGGAATTTCTACCTGGTAATCCAGAGAATTATTTTGGCTCTTATTCAGGACCACCAAGGTGGTACTCTATGAGGCTGCAGGGACCACAGCATTACTGAGCTTGGGGTGCCGCCTAATGCAGAGACAGCTTAGATGACAACACCTAAGTCCCTTCAAATACCTGGAAAGCCTTCCCAAGAAGGACAGGTACGGCCGAGCGCGGTGGCTCACGCCTGTAATCCCAGCACTTTGGGAGGCTGAGGCGGACAGATCACGATGTCAGGAGTTCAAGACCACCCTGGCCAACATAGTGAAACCCCGTCTCTACTAAAAATAAAAAAATAAAAAAATTAGCCAGGCGTGGTGGCGGGCGCCTGTAGTCCCAGCTACTTGGGAGCCTGAGGCAGGAGAATCGTTTGAACCCAGAAGGTGGAGGTTGCAGTGAGCCGAGATTGCACCACTGCACTCCAGCCTGGGCTACCCAGCGAGACTTTGTCTCAAAAAATAAAATAAAATAAAATAATAATAATAATAATAATAATAATAATAATAATAATAAGGCTGGGCGTGGTGGCTCATGCCTGTAATTCCAGTATTTTGGTAGGCCGAGGTGGGCAGATCACCTGAGGTCAGGAGTTTGAGACCAGCCTGGCCAACATGGTGAAACTCCGTCTCTACTAAAAATACAAAAATTAGCCGGGCGTGGTGGCAGGTGCTTGTAATCCCAGCTACTTGGTAGGCTGAGGCAGGAGAATCGCTTGAACCTGGGAGGCAGAAGTTGCAGTGAGCCGAGATAGCGCCATTGCACTCCAGCCTGGGCAACAAGAGCAAAACTCTCCCAAATAAATAAATATACAAAGTAAAAATTACCCAACTTCACTCTTTTCCCAAGTAACCTTCATTTTTATCTTGTGTCTTTCTAGACTGTTTTTATCCACATGCAAACAGAATTATTTTTTGGAATGGAATCGTGTTATATACAGTTTGGCAGCCTGCTTTTTGCTCTCAAATGTCTTGGCCCTCCTCCCCTGTATAGTCTACTTAACTTGTTGTAATTGCTTCACAATATTCCACAGCACAGATATATTATGAACTATTTAACCATTTTTTTTCTTTTTGAGACAGGGTCTCACTCTGTCACCCAGGCTGGAGTGTAGTGGTGCAATCCATGGCTCACTGCAGCCTCAACCTCCCGGGCTGAAGTGATCCTCCTGCCTCAGCCTACTGAGTAGCTGGGACCACAGGCTCGCATCACCATGCCTGGCTAATTTTTATTTATTTTATTTTATTTATTTATTTATTTATTTTTGAGATGGAGTTTCGCTCTTGTTGCTCAGGCCGGAATGCAATAGCGCGATCTCAGCTCATTGCAACCTTCGCCTCCCAGGTTCAAGCAATTCTCCTGCCTCAGCCTCCTGAGTAGCTGGGATTACAGGCATGCGCCACCACGCCCAGCTAATTTTGTATTTTTTAGTAGAGACGGGGTTTCTCCATGTTGGTCAGGCTGGTCTCAAACTCCTGATTCAGGTGATCCGCCCACCTCGGCCTCCCAAAGTGCTGGGATTACAGGTGTGAGCCACTGCACCTGGCCTATTTTATTTTATTTTTGAGACAGGGTCTGGCTCTGTTGGCCATGCTGCAGTGCAGTGGTGGGTCACGGCTCACTGCAGTCTCCGCCTCCCAGAGGTTCAAGCCATCCTCCCACTTCAGCCTCCCCAGTTCCTGGGACTACAGGCGCCCACCAGCCAGCTAATTTTTATATCTTTTGCAGACATGGAGTCTCACCATTTTTCTCAGGCTGGTCTCAAATTCCTGAGCTCAGGCAATCCGCCTCCCTCGACCTCCGAAGTGCTTTTTTTTTTTTTTTTTTTGAGACAGAGTTTTGCTGTGTCACCCAGGCTGGTGTGCAGTGGTGTGATCACAGTTCACTGCAGCCTCAATCTCCTGGGCTCAAGCAATCCTCCTTGCCCCAGCCTCCCAAGTAGCTGGGAGTACAGGTGTGCCACCATGCCAGACTAATTATTATTATTTTTTTTTAGTAGAGACAAGGTCTTGTTATGTTGCCCATGCTGGTCTCCAACTCCTAGGCTAAAGCGATCCTCCTGCCTTGGATTCCCAAAATGTTGGGATTACAGGTGTGAGCCACTGGATCTGGCCTAACCATTCTCTTATTAATGAAAAGTCTTCTGTTTCCACTATTACAAATAATGCTGCAATGACAGTTATTTTTGTATATTTATGCACCTAAGTAGTTCTATAAAATAGAATCCTACAAGAGTTGTATTTTCAGTCAAAAAGTATGACATCTCATATTTTAAAAGTTACTAACAGCATTGCCCTCAAACAAGGGCACTTCAATGCATATGCCATTAATAATGCATGAGGGCCCTTCTCTCTCACCTTTCCAACATGAGATACTATCAGCCTTTCTAACTTGTGCCCAACTAATAGGGCAGAAAAATTGTCTTGGTCTAAACTGGCTTGTTAATCTTGATTGTGCCTTCCCAATTCCATTTTTTGTGGTATCACAATGTTAGCTTGAAAACAGCTGTAGTGGGAGTATTTACACCACAGAAACTGGCAAATGCTACAAATTAAACACACACACATACAAACACACACAACACAGTAAGGAAGGAAATATAGGTAGAAATTCCTGTTCTCGGCTGGGTGCGGTGGGCCATGCCTGTAATCCCACCACTTTGGGAGGCCAACGCGGGTGGATCACCTGAGCTCAGGAGTTTGAGACCAGCCTGGCCAACATGGTGAAACCCCGTCTCTACCAAAAATACAAAAAAATTAAATGGGTGTGGTGGCAGGCACTTGTAATCCCAGCTACTTGGGAGGTTGAGCCAGGAGAATTGCTTGAACCCCGGGGTGGAGGTTGCAGTGAGCCCAGATCACACCCAGGCTGAGATCAGCCTGGGTGACAGAGCGAGACTCTGTCTCGAGAGGAAAAAATAAATAAATAAATAAATTACTGTTCTCATGTTTTAAATTAAACTTTGTATTTTGAGATAATTGTAGGTTCCCATGAAGTTGTAAGAAATAACAGAAAGATTGCCCTTTACACAGTTTCTCTCAATTGATAACATCTTGCAAAACTATAGTACATTATCACAACCAGGATATTGACATTGACACAGTCAAGATATAGAACATTTCCATCACTGCAAGGATCTCTTTTACAGCCACATGCACTTCCTTCCCAACCCCACACCCCCTTAACTCCTGTCAACCACTGTCTGTTCTCCATCTTTATAATGTTATCATTTCAAAAATGTCCTATAGCAATGGTCCCCAATCTTTTTGGCACCAGTGATGGGTTTCATGGAAGACAATTTTTTCACAGATGCGGGGGATGGGGTGTGGTTTTGGGATGAAATTGTTCCACCTCAGATCATCAGGCATTAGATTCTCATAAGGAGTGTACAACAAAGATCCCTCTCATGCACAGTTCACAATAGGGTTTGAGCTCCTATGAGAATCTCATGTGGCTGCTGATCTGACAGGAGGCAGAGCTCAGGCTGTAAAGCTTGCCTGGGGCTCACCTCCTGCTGTGCAGTCTGGTTCCTAATAGGCCACAGCCAGTAGTAGTCTGCATCCCAAGGGTTAGGGACCCCTGTTCTATAGGCTGGGCGTGGTGGCTCATGTAAGTCATCCCAGCACTTTGGGAGGCTGAAGTAGGAGGATCACTTGAGCCCAGGAGTTTGAGACCAGCTTGGGCAACATGGCGAAACCCCAACTCTACAAAAAAAAATTTTTTTTTTGAGACGAAGTCTCACTCTGTCACTCAGGCTGGAGTGCAGTGGAGTGATCTCTGCTCACTGCAACCTCCAAATCCTGGGTTCAAGCTATTCTCCTGCCTCAGCCTCCTGAGTAGCTGGGATTACAGGCATGCACCACCATGCCTGGATAATTTTTGTATTTTTAGTAGAGATGGGGTTTCGCCATGTTGGCCAGGCTGGTCTCGAACTCCTGACCTTATGTTATTTGCCACCCCAGGCTCCCAAAGTGCTGGGATTACACGCGTGAGCCACTGTGTCCAGCCACCATCTCTACAAAAAAAAATTTAAAAACATTAGCTGGGTGTGGCGGCACTCACCTGTGGTCCCAGCTACTTGGAAGGCTGAGGCAGGAAGATCCCTTGAGCCCTGGAGGTTGAAGCTGCAGTGAGCCATGATCACGCCACTGCACTCCAGCCTGGACAACAGAGGAAGACTGTCTCAAAAAAAAAAAAAAGTTCTTTAGAAGGAATCATACAGTATGAAACCTCTTGATTAGCTTTCTTCACTCAGCATGATTCTCTGAAGATTCAGCCAGGTCACTGCATGTATCAATCATTCATTCGCTCTTATTGGAGAGTAATACACCATGGCCTGGACTTACTAGTTCATTTAATCATTCACACATTGAAGGGTATCTGGGGTTTTTCTTTCCAGTTTTTAGCTATTACAAATAAAACTGGCATAAACATTTCTGTACAGGGTTTTGTGTGTCATAGTCTCATTTTCCCAACTGATCCTGAGGCTGTAGCTAGTATTTATGACTTGGTTCCCTTTTACTTCTCATTCCTTTGACTTAATAATAGGTAACATTTATAGAGTGCTTATTACATGCCAGAACATGTTCTAAGTGCTTTACAAGTATTAACTCATTTAATTCTCAAAATTACCATTTGAGATATTAATTATTATCATCTCGATTTTATAGATGTGCAAACTAACGTAAGGAAAGGCACACAGCCAGCAGTGTTAGCACACAGATTCGAACCCCAGCCAGTCTGGTACCAGAGCTCAGCCTCTTAACCACTATGTTAGTACAGCCAGGACTGAAGATGGTTGGGGTTCTTTCCTCGTAGAGTGACCTAAGCCTTTGCTGCTAGAGGACCTGAAGTCTTGGTTATCTCATGCTTTCATCTTCTGTTAACCTTAACTATTGGACATGGTGGTACAAGATATTCCTGTGGGCTGCTGAGGGTTCCTCCCATCCTCCTCCCTGGCCCTGCTGTGTAACAGCAACTCTTTTTCCTGTAAATCATCAAGATGTCAGGATTGATCACCACAGCTCACATCTTCTCCTTTTCTGCCTGTTCACTCGATGGCATAAGGAGCCCAGAAGAGCAAGGTAGCTGTCTCAGCTTCCAGTTCAATGCTTATTTTTGTGGAAGCTAATCTCTGTGGGGCATCAAACCTCCCACCTAGCAGAGCTCAGCATCATGGGACTGCACGTGAAAATGTTGTGAATGGGTCATCAGGTGCAATAGCGAGAGGCCCTACTTCCACTTCTACCTCTCTGATCCTGGGCCCATCATGAATTCCAGCTGAGACAGAAACGCTGCTGCAGAATGGTTGCAGGTTCAGGGCATAAACTGCATTCTGTGGCCAGCACTCCAACCTCAGAAGGTTTTGCCATAACTGAGTCTTCCCTAAGGCCAGCTGCTTCTGAGGGATGAGGTACATGGTAAGATCCATGACTCCCATGGGTTCACAGCATGGACTCTGAGCCATAGTGTCTGGGTTCAAATACGGACCTCACTACTCACAGTTGACTTCAGGCAATTTATGAAACCTCTCTGTGACTTAGTTTCCTTATCTGTAAAATGGAGCTAATAATAGTGCCTAGATCTATGTGTTTGCTGTGAAGATGGGTTAACACTTGCAGGACTCGTCACACGCTGGGTATCATTACCCGTCTTTCACTGTACAGTGAGACCCTTTGTCAGAAGTGGTAACTCAGTGTGGGGCACTGTGATAGTGTATGAGACATCCAGGATGTCTATAGATGGTGGTGGTGGCAGTATCGGGTCAGAGAACGCAAATCCAAACCTAGAAATATGAAACTGCCTTCTAAAGAGAATGCGTTTCTGCTCCCTCCATGTTGGCAGACAGTAGTGGAAACAACCCTTCCCCAGGTGGTGGACTGTTGTGGTAGCTTCTGTGTCTTCAGCAGTGGCTCCAACTGGGCCTGACTCAGAAAGAGGAGGTCCATGCTGGCAAGGCCATGTGCAGCCTCTGCTCTAGCCACCACAACCTCTTTGTTCATGGAATATCAGTGAGAAAACAATGACATCCACAGAACAGGTTCGCCTCACCCTCCATCGTCACGAGCATCCTCCAGGGAGAGGGCCTGCTGGTTGAATGGCTACACTAGACACAAATATTCTTGCATTCTGGGCTCTTTCTGTGAGGTCCATTCACAGGCCTTCTTCCCAAACCCCCTTTCACCAGCCCTTTGATTTTGTTCTATCCAAGTCTGTCCACCCAGCAAAGCATGGGCCCTGCTCATGAGTCAGGGCAGACCCTCAGGCTGCGTCTCCTCCAAGGCAACGTGTCCAATGCAATGACAGTAACTTCGAAGGCCGTCTTTCAAAACAGCTTTATTATTATTTTTTTAATAAAGAGGCATTTCTAATTATCTGCAATTTAATAAAAAGACCACTCATTTTCTTTCCTTTCTTCTTCCAGAGACAGGGTCTTGCTCTGTCACCCAGGCTGACATGCAGTGGCGCCATCAGCTCACTGTAACCTCAAACTCCTGAGCTCAAGGAATCCCATGCACCAGCCTCCCAAATAGCTAGGACTACAGGTGTGCCCCACCATGCTGGCTAATTTTTTTTTTTTTTTTTTTTTAGAGATGCAGTCTCTCTATGTTGCCTAGGCTGGTCTCAAACTCCTGACCTCAACTGACCCCCTGCCTTGGCATCCCAAAGCACTGGGATTACAGGAGTCAGCCACCACACCCAGCCTGAAAGTGAAAATCACAATTAGAAAATTCTATGTTTAAAAACTTACATTTTCAGCCGGGCACAGTGGCTCATGCCTATAATCCCAGCACTTTAGGAGGCCGAGGCGGGTGGATCACCTGAGGTCAGGAGTCCAAGACCAGCCTGGCCAACATGGTGAAACCCCACCTTTACTAAAAATACAAAAAATTAGCCAGGTGTTGTGGCACGAGCCTGTAATCCCAGCTACTTGGGAGGCTGATGCAGGAGAATCGCTTGAACCTGGGAGGCGGAAGTTGCAGTGAGCCAAGATCACGCCACTGCACCCCAGCCTGGGCAACAAGAGCGAAACTCAAAAAACAAAACAAAAAAACACAAAACATTAAATTTACCATCTTAACCATTTTTAAACGTATAGCTCAGTAGTGTTAAGTATTTCACACTGTTGTTCAACAGCTCTCTAGAACTTTCTCAGAAGGGCTGTATTGCTGCAACAACAACAACACAGCGTATGTTAGGTTCTGGGTGCTTTTCGAAGAGCTTTATGTATATCATCATGCAATTTTCAAAACACCCTATGAGGGGAATAGATATTTTATTTTCTCTCTTTTAGAGATGAGGAAACCGAGGTACAGAGAGGTTAAATTACTTGCCCAGATTCATAAAGCTAGTAACTGGTGGAAGTGGAATTCACACACACAGTCTGGTTCTAAAATTCTTGTTGTTAATCTCTTAATAATAGACCACTTCTGGCTGATGATGGTGTATAGTGGAGAGCCAGCCACCTGTAACCCAGCCTAGAATGTTTTTCTTCTCTGTAGTCTTCATGTATAACTTCTAAAGCTCTTAGGGTGGACTGAGGGGAGAGGGTATTGGCAAGACAGGGCTAGCCAGGCGACTCCGCAGCTTCTCTCTGCTGTTGGCAGCTTCACTCTCAGGGTTCCTTTCGGGCTCAACCCAGTTCTACTTAAGGATGATGAGCTCCTGGGCTTGGTTCCTGGGCTAGCTAGGTGGATCAGATAATCCCCAGTTCATAAGGAGGCTTGAGTCAAAGGCCACCTGGTGTCCCATCCTCTCATGTTTGGTTTCTCTTGGGACCCAGAAGCTCAGAAGAGGCTGTTTTTCAAGAGAACTGTTCTTTGCTGAAGTGGGCTGGGCTCAATCATTTGGGGTCACCCTGGGGACTCTCCTTCTGCCTCTTGCCTGCCTCATCCCATGGATCACCCCAACTCACCAAGCATCACTGGATCTGCTCGATCATAAGGCCCCAGTGGCAGAAGTGGTTGCAGCCAGAGAGCCCTTTCTTGTCCTAGATCCCAATCAAAGGACACTGCCTCTACCCCTCAAGTTCTATGTGCTGCCATGGCACCACCAGCTGCGCTGGACCCTGGGAGGTTCTGCAGCATGGTGACCCACCCGCACACCAGCCTTCCCTGCAGCAACCAGAACCCACTCCCTACTTCCTTGTGTTGGAGTCTCCGGTGGGCACACCTGGCTGCGTCCAAGACCAAGTCACATGCTTGCTCCTAGCAGCAAGGAGGCCTAAGGCCTGGGACGGTGAGTATCTGGCCTTTTGCCTCCCACCCAATATAGAAAGGGCTGAATGTGCTGGCCAGCCATCCAAGCAACAAAACACAAAAGCATTCTGTCTGAAGGGGCTGCGAACTTATGTGCATAGAGGTCCCAGGCCAGAGCCTGAAGCTACTGCCTGGCTTCAGATCCTGGGCTCTGCTACTCACTAGCTGTGTAACTTTGTATGAGTTGCTTCCTCTTTCTATGCTGTAACTTCTTTATCTGTAAATTGGACATAATGAAAATACCCACTTCATAGGGATGTTGTAAACCCTGTATAAGTAAAGGCAGAACATGCAAATAGCTCAGAGAAGTACTTGGCACATGGAAAGCTTTTATATGAGGTGGATGTGGTTCATTTCTCTTTCTTTATCCCTAAGTACTTCGAACAGTACCATGTATTTAATAAATGATAGCTGTTGTTATTTTATTATTACAGTTTGGGTATCCCTTATCCAAACTGCTTGGGACCAGAAGTGTTCCAGATTTCAGATTTTTTTCAGATTTTGGAATACATATATATATATTAAAATATCTTGGGGATGGGACCCAAGTCTAAACGCAAATTTATTTGTGTTTCATAAACACCTTATACACATAGCCTGAAGGTAACTTTATACAATATTTTAAATAATTTGTACATGAAACAAAGTCTTGACTGTGACCCAACACGTGAGGTCAGGCACGCAATTTGCTACCTGTGGTGTCACACTGGTGCTCAAAACATTTCAGATTTTGGAGCATTTTGGATTTCAGATTTTCAGATTAAGGATGCTCAACCTGTACCTATATCTTTTTTCTTTTTTTTTTTTTTTTTTAGACAGAGTCTCCCTCTGTCGCCCCAGGCTGCAATGCAGTGGTGCAATTTTGGCTCGCTGCAACCTCCACCTCCCAGGTTCAAGTGATTCTCCTGCCTCAGCCTCCCAAGTAGCTGGGATTGCAGGTGTGTGCCACCACGCCAGGCTAATTCTTATACTTTTAGTAGAGACAGGGTTTTGCCATGTTGGCCAGGCTGGTCTCGAACTCTTGACCTCAGGGGATCCACCTGCCTCAGCCTCCCAAAGTGCTGGGATTACAGGCGTGAGCCACCGCCTCAACCTGTACCTGTTTCTTGCCTACTTGTGCAGGTATTTCCATGGGATTGCATCCTTGAAGTGAAATTCCTAGGTAAAACAGTATGCACAGTTTAACTTTTGTGAGGTATTGACAAATTGTTTTTGTTAGTAAGGCACCAATTGACACTCTCATTAGTCCTAAATGAGTGGTCCCTTTGCCGCATAGTCTCACCAATACAAGATTTTAACCTTTAAATTTTTTGCCCATCTTATAGGCAAAAATGTTACTGTATTCTTTCACTGTTTCAATTGTTTACACATGTATTTCAAACTTAATATAAAATTTTAAAAATATGATTGATACATAATGTGAAAAATAAAAATTGCTCCCTGTAATCCAATTCTTGAGGTAACCACTGTTAGCTACATTTGGCATGATAAGGGAAGCTTTATCTCTACAAATCCTTTTCTTTAGGTTTTTTTTTTTTTTTTTAAGCGGAGTCTTGCTCTGTCGCCCAGGGTGGAGTGCAGTGGCACGATCTCAGCTCACTGCAACCTCCACCTCCCGGGTTCATGCCATTCTCCTGCCTCAGATTCCCAAGTAGCTGGGACTACAGGCGCCTGCCACCATGCCCGGCTAATTTTTTTTTTTTTTTTTTTTTTTGTATTTTTAGTAGAGATGGGGTTTCGCTGTGTTAGCCAGGATGGTCTCGATCTCCTGACCTCGTGATCCGCCCGCCTCGGCCTCCCCAAGTCCTGGAATTACAGGAGTGAGCCACCACGCCCGGCCTACTTTTTTTTTTTTTTG
Organism: Homo sapiens; assembly: GCF_000001405.40. Classification (NCBI taxonomy): domain Eukaryota; kingdom Metazoa; phylum Chordata; class Mammalia; order Primates; family Hominidae; genus Homo; species Homo sapiens. The sequence goes on along the minus strand of NC_000001.11, from coordinate 151,379,557 downwards.
AGACAGCGTCTCACTCTGCCACCCAGACCAGAGTGCAGTGGTGCAATCACAGCTCACTGCAGCCTCGACCTCCAGGGCTTAAACAATCTTCCCACCTCAGCACACCTTCCCCACCCCCGAAGTAGCTAGGACTACAGGAGCCTGCCAGGCCTAAATTGTTTTAATTTTTTGTAGAGACGGTGTCTCATTATGTTGCCCAGGCTGGTCACAAACCCCTGGGCTCAAGCAATCTGCCTGCCTCAGCCTCCCAAAATACTGACATCAATCATAAGCCAAATCCTTTTCTATGAACGTATAGATGGATGAATAAATAAATAAATATAAATTTAACTAGTTAAAACTATATAGCTTAATTTTTATGTAGTTTTAATTAAAATGAGGCTGGGCACAGTGGCTCACACCTGTAATCCCAGTACTTTGAGAGGCTGAGGCAGGCAGATCAAGACCAGCCTGGCCAACATGGCGAAACCCCATCTCTACTAAAAATACAAAAAAATTAGCCTGGCTTGGTGGTACATGCCTGTAATCTCAGCTACTTGGGAGGCTGAGGCAGAAGAATTGTTTGAACCCGGGAGGCGGAGGTTGTAGTGAGCCAGGATGGCACCACTGCACTCCAGCCTGGGTGACAGAGCGAGACTCTTGTCTCAAAAAATAAAAAATAAAATGAAATGAGATTATACTTTCTGGTTTCCCCCACCCCTCCACCGTATTTATTGATATCCTTCTGTGTTGGTATATAGAAAACTACACATTAAGGTGCTTGGTGTTTCATACTATGGATGTTCCATAATATATTTCACCATTCTGCTATTGGTTGTTTCCAACCTTTCACTATTAAGAACATTGTTGCAATGAACATCCTATATTTATATATTTATATACTTATTGATTTCCATAAGGTAGATCACTAGAAGTGGATTTCCATTTAAAATGTTGCTAGATGTTGCTAAATTTCCTTCTAAAAATGTTCCACCATTTTATAGTCTTGCCAGTAGAATACAGGAGTGGTCCTTTTCCCCACACTCCTTCTGATCCTGAATATTATCAATCTTTTTATTTTTGAAAATCATATCTTTTTGTTGCTTTAACCAGCATTTCTCTAATGGCTAATGAGACCAGGTATGTTTTCTTATGGTTATTAGCCATTTATATTGTATTTTCATATCCTTGGAATGTTTTTCTTTGTGTAATTTATCTTTTTCCAATTGATTTGTTAAAGATTACTGTATATTGGGAACAGCTATTATTTTCAGTTTAAGCCTTTTTAAACTTTGGTTTCTGAGCACCTTTTGAAAAGGTGAGAAAGGAAATCTGGGGCTCCCATATCCCACATAGCACTTTTAGCATTCCTGCACATGGACGTGACCCTGAGGAGATTGTAAAGGAAACCAGCCGGGTGGATATGATGCAAAAGAGACAGCAGATCCAGGATGGGCAGTGAAGCCCCTGCCCGGGCCTCCTCCCAATTCCATGTAGACCTGAGGCCATGTCTCCCAAAGTCTCTGGCCTCCTGTCCTTCTGGGACACTGGGAGAAGGATCCCCTAACTTCTTCTCAGGCAGCATTCAGGTGCTGAGGTGAGAAAGTGGAGGCCTGGGCTCCGCAAAGAAGGGGATTTGTTTCTGCCCGTCCTGAGCCTTAGTAGAGAAACTGTGACTCAGGGATATGACCCCAGGGACCAAAGATTCTTCCTGCCCCCAAATGGAAGGGCTTTTATTTTCCTTTGGAAATTTTATTTCAAGTATTGTAACATGTTCAAAATAGAAGCTTTATTAGGGGTTTGATGGCTTAATTTGGGCCATTAACCAAGACTGATGTAATTCTTTCTTCTCAGGACTCTTAAATGAATGGGTGCTAGCCAAGTGGGCCTCGTAAAGGTGGAGATTATTGCATGAAAGCCATTTTATGGCTCTTGTCTCAGTTCTTCTGGAGCCAGGCTTGGCACAGGAGAAAGGCTGGAGAGAGGGTGTTGGTGATGGCAAGCGTCACCTGTGTCCTTGTAACCAAAGTTGCTGCTACCTCTTCCAGTCTGCATAATTGGTTTTCAAACCCACCTCATCTTTTCTTCTTGTGCATTAAATGTGTAACAAGATACATAATTTCTGTTCTAGTCAGACCCTTCTTTTTCCTTTCCTTTCCTTTTTTTTTTTTTAGGAGATGAGAGTCTTGCTATGTTGTCCTGTCTGGACTCAAACTCCTGGGCTTGAGTGATCCTCCCACCTCAGCCTCCTGAATAGCTGGGACCACAGGTAATTTTTTTTTCATAGAGACGGGGTCTCCCTATGTTGCTCAGGCTGGTCTTGAACTCCCTGGCTCAAGCAATCCTCTTGCCTCAGCCTTTCAAAGTGCTGGGATTACAGGAGTGAGCCACCATACCCAATTCAGAATTCCTATTTTAAAGAGATATATTCTGAAACATTAAAGCAATGTTTCAAAAAAATTCAGGGTGGAGGGAGGCTACAGGCTAGGAGGCATAACTGAAACAAAATGGCTTATAATTTTTTTTTTTTTTTTTTTAGATGGAGCCTCCTCTGTCGCCCAGGCTGGAGTGCAGTGGCATGATCACAGCTTGCTGCAGCTTCCACCTCCCAGGCTCAAGTGATCCTCCTCCTTAGCCTCCCGAGTAGCTGGGACTGCAGGTGCACACCACCACACCTGGCTCATTTTTGTAATTTTTGTAGAGAAAGTGTTTCACTATGTTGCCCAGGCTGGTCTTGAACTCCTGAGCTCAAGGGATCCACCTGCCTCAGCCTCCCAAAGTGCTAGAATTACAAGTGTGAGCCACCTCACTGTTTATTCTTCCTTCTCTTTAAGCAATAGAGGTAAGGAGTCAAGACGATAACATTTGCTTTTTAAACACCTTCTGTCCCCAACCTTAGCATCTCCCTGGATATGATAGGCCCCCAGCCACTCTTCAGTGCTGCCCACTGGGACACAGGCTTCTGATAAAACTGAGTGGCGCTGCAGTACTAGGAGCTTAAAGGGTTACCACTCCAGAGACATTCACTGTAGCCAGGAGGTGAGAAGAGGCCATCTGGTAGTAACACAAAGAAATAAACTGCTATTGGTGAAGTTTCAAGCATCAATGGCAGGCCAAAGGGAGGATATTTCTGAGTGGATTGGCAGTGAGGAGAAAGTCCTCCAAGTGGTTCTCAAATCATGCTTTTTATAGACAGCCCTGGCAGAGGGCATTAAAAAAAATTATTTCAGCCGGGCGCGGTGGCTCACGCCTGTAATCCCAGCACTTTGGGAGGCCGAGGCAGGCAGATCACGAGGTCAGGAGATAGAGACCATCCTGGCTAACACGGTGAAACCCCGTCTCTACTAAAAATATGAAAAATTAGCCAGGCGTGGTGGCAGGCACCTGTAGTCCCAGCTACTCGAGAGGCTGAGGCATGAGGATGGCGTGAACCTAGGACATGGAACATGCAGTGAGCCAAGACCTTGCCACTGCACTCCAGCCTGGGTGACAGAGTGACGTTCCGTCTCAAAAAAAAAAATTATTTCTCTTCTCTGAGCCATGTTATTACCCTGAGCAGCAGGCTTTGAACTCACTGTCATTCAGAAACAGTGCATTAAGTGTGGGCAACGGAGTGAATTGGGAAAACTCTGTTTCCTGAATGTAAGATGAAGAAAAAGGCATTTACAGGCCAGACACGGTGGCTCACACCTGTAATCCCAGCACTTTGGGAGGCCAATGCGGGTAGATCACAAGGTCAGGAGTTTGAGACCAGCCTGGCCATATGGTGAAACCCCATCTCTATTAAAAAGTACAAAAATTAGCTGGGCGTGGTAGCATGCGCCTGTAGTCCCAGCTACTCAGGAGGCTGAGGCAGGAGAATCACTGGAACCTGGGAGGCGGAGGTTGCAGTGAACAGAGATCACGCCACTGCACTCCAGCCTGGCGACAGAGGGAGACTCTGTCTCAAAAAAAAAAAAAGAAAAGAAAGAAAAAGAAAAAGGCATTTAACCTCTCCAGCTGTGCCATGGGCGGAACCTGAGCTAATTGTTAGTGTGTAGGGCCCGGCATGGCGCCCGTCACCTCTAGTAGCAGGTTCTCAGTAAACGCTACTCCCTTCACATCTCCTACACATCCCTGAGGGTATGGAGTTGGTCTGTTAATATAAGGAGAAATGAGCAGAACAGGGCTCTGAAACTCTACTTAGCTGGTGAAAACTCCAACCTCTCCAGCCAGTCCTGCCTCAGACCTCCATGGGCTGCTACCTTTATGCCTTACAGGCATTTTGTGCACGTTTGTGCTTTTTGGTTTGTTTGTTTTAGTTCTTTTGTACTGTTTGTTTGCATATAATTCTGTACCCATACATACCAAGCAACCCCACCTAATGCTGCATCACCCCTACATTACCCTACTCCTTCACAGCACTTATCTGAAGTGATTTTATTTATTTGTGTATTTGCATGATTATCAGTCATCTCCCCTAAAAAGTCATCTCCATGAAGGTAGCAACTTTGCCCTGTTCACCACTTTGTCTACCATATCTGGCTCAAAAGAGGTGCTCCAGAGGGAAGGATAGGCAGCTGGTTGGGAGAGCTGTAGCTCAAAAGGGACCGGGGCCAGTCCTTCTCCCCAGCATGGGCCCTCACTGTGGCCCTCACCTGCACTGCATGTGACCTTCCATCCTTCCTTTCATCTTCCTTATAGTTTTTCTTTTAATATATTTATTTGAGCTTTTAGTTACAAAAGCAGTACTTATTATTTTTTTAAAAATCCAAAATTAACTTTGGGAGACCAAGGCAGATCACTTGAGCCCAAGAGTCTGAGACCAGTCTGGGCAACATAGTGAGACCCCCCATCTCTACAAAAAAAATTTAAAAATTATCCAGGTCAGCCAGGCACGGTGTCTCAGGCCTGTAATCCCAGCACTTTGGGAGGCGGAGGTGGGTGGATCACTTGAGGTCAGGAGTTCGAGACCAGCCTGTCCAACATGGTGAAACCCCGTCTCTACTAAAAATACAAAAATGAGCCAGGTATGGTTGTGGGCACCTGTAGTCCCAGCTACTCGGGAGGCTGAGGCAGGAGAATCGCCCCTCTACCTTTACTGCCTCCCTCTGTAGCCCAGATTAGGATAACTTCCCCAACCACCTGCTGGCTGTAGAGCAAGAGTTCAGGGAGAAAACCACAGGCAGAGGTGAGGGGTGCCATGGAGTTGCTGCAGAGACCAGCCAGGTCAGAGCTCAGGAGCATGAAAGAGGTAGTCAATGACAGACCACAACAAACAAAATAACAGCCTTTTTTTTTTTAAGTTAATGACTCAATAATTTTTTATGAGAAGGTGGGGATAAAGTTTCTTTCTCTTTCAGATCTTGGGTGGTGGACTAACCCAAGCCAAGAAGCCGGAGAATAGAGAGGAGGCAGGAGATGGAGACCTCAGGAGGAGGAAGAGGGGAGGGCCAGAGGGAAGGGTGAAGGCAGGGTGAGTGGAGGTAGTCAGGACAGGAGGAAGCTGGCAAAGACAAGGAAGCAGCCTTCAGGGCCTTCCCCGTGGGGCAGCTGCACACACAAGACTCTCTTTGATGCCTGGCAGGCTGATGGCACAATGGTGAGGATAATAGATGCAGGATGGAGCCAAGAGGGGTTGAGTGGCGCTGGGGATAAGAGAAGACCCTTGCCCCGGGCAGCCACAGGGAGTCTTCCTTGATGGGCACATGATCCCTCACTGATGGGAGCCAGGAAGACAGATACCCAATGCACCAAGGCCCAATTTTGCTCCCCTTCCCCCACTCTGGTTTGGAAACCCTGTATTCTACTTGCAATCTCAAGCCCAGACTTTATTCTTTTTCCTAGCCAATAAAAACTTCACCCCAGAGCTTTTATCCAAAGAGTATGAATATCTGGAATAAGAGGGCAATCTTAGGGAAGAAGTGACCCTGGCTGATGGGCCCACAGTCCCGGGTGCCCCTAAATGCTAAGAGACAGGTCCAAATACAAAGACGAGCATTTGGAGACACAGGAACACATACGTGCGCAGGCTTACACAAGCACATGCACAGCCACATAGCCACACACTACACATACACAAGCACTTATGCACATGTCCACACAGGCGTAGATACTCTAGCAAGCACATACTCACAGAGGCGCGCACACACACACACACACACACACAGGCGTAGATACTCTGGTAGGCACATACAGAGGCGCGCACACACACACACGCACAAATACACACAAGCACACTCACAGGCACATTCACACACGTGGAAATTCACACACAGGCACAGATACACACTCATGCAGGCACGTGCACGAGCAACACGCAGGTATACAGGAACACACACATGCCCAGACACACAAATCCACACACACCCAGGCACCCACTAAAGAGCACGAGCTGGTCAGGGGCAGCGGCTCACACCTGTGATCCCAGCACTTTGGGAGGCCGACACGGGTGGATCACCTGAGGTCAGGAGTTTGAGACCAGCCTGGCCAACATGGTGAAATCCCTTCTCTACTAAAAATACAAAATTGCTGGGCATGGTGGTGGGTGCCTGTAATCCCAGCTACTCGGGAGGATGAGGCAGGAGAATCACTTGAACCCAGGAGGCAGAGGTTGCAGTGAGCCGAGATCGCACCACTGCACTCCAGCCTGGGCAAGAGTGAGACCCTGTCTCTAAATAAATAAATAAATAAATAAAGCACAGGCTCCCACACATACACACTTAAACACATACACGCACACCCCATAATTCAAACACCAGTTGCCCTAGGCCACTTGAGAGTATCCTGGCCAGCTGCCCTGAGTAGTTTACTCTGGGCTACAGCCCGGGCCCTCCTCCTTCTCTGCCCCACCCCCAGCTGGTTGTATAAATTCCCTCCCTTCGCTCCTTCCCCGGAACAGCGGCCTCTGACACCAGCACAGCAAACCCGCCGGGATCAAAGTGTACCAGTCGGCAGCATGGGTAAGGAGAGGGGTTTCCAATCACCCATTGCCTGCTCTGTCTGCCCCTAATTTGGAAGGCCCTCCTCCAGAAAATGCTAGAAAACCTGAGTGGGGAGCTGGGGAGGGAGTAGTGGACTCTGCTTCATTGTCCCCAGTCTGCACACCCCCTCCCCCACCACCCCACTGCATTTCCCAGCTCAGCCAAACTTTCTGAGGAAGACGGGCAGAGGCACTGCTGGGAGATGGGATCCTGGGCCCTGACTTGGCTCCATCCAGCAGAGGCTGGGACCAGGGTGCCTTTCTGCAGCTGGGAAAATCAGATGGGCGCTCTTAGAAAACACCACTAGGTCCCTGGCCCTCACATAGTAGAGAGGTGATCCTGATTTCAGCCATGGGCCAACTTTGTACTCCAGCGAGGTAGGGAGTCCAAAGCCTTTCTGTGCCCAGGTCACTCTCTAGCTACTCCACACAGCAAAGCTCTCTGGGAGGGAAATCAGAGACCCCCACACTCTTTCACTGGGGACCTGTTTCAATGCCTCCCCCACCCCTAAATCCCCCTTGGCCCTGCTATTCCTCCATCTGTAGGCTTCTGGGTGACAGGCTAAGAAGGAACTGAGGTTTGGTTGGGAGGTCCTTCCCCGCTCGGGGCTGGCTCTTGAGCTGGCAGAATGCCGAGCTGGCAGAATGCCCAGCAGCCAGCCTGACATGGAAAACCCACTTGAGCTTTCCATGAGTCCATCCCAAACCCAAAGCTGCTCCGAGACCTTGCTTGAGATGTTTCAGATGGGGGTATTCCCCAGAAAGAGGAATGATGCTCCCTGGGGCTGCAGTGGCATGCCAGGCCTGACCCTAAGAAATGCTGGGGCTGGGGTTGCTGGGGTGTGGGGTGGGCCGAGGCTGCAGAGCGGGCAGCTCCATCTCTGCACTTTTACTTCCCTCTCAGCTTCTCCCTAGCTTTGTATTTTTTGTATCTCTGTCTTGAGGTCTTGGAGTTTTAAAATCTCCTTTCCCTTCTGTATCCAGCAACCTCCTTCCCCACCCCCTGTCATCTGGTGCCAAGCCCCGACTTAGCAAGATTGTGTAACAGAACCAGTCTCCTTAACTCCTGTGAACTGGACCTCTCTCTCTCTCCCTGCCCCACCTCCAGCCCTCTCGCTGGGCATCGAGCACTCCCTGGCATTCTCCTCTCCTCTGGCACAGCCCTTCCCATATTTACACAGTAATTCATTATTTTTTTTTTTTTTTAGTCAGAATTTCACTCTTGTTGCCCAGGCTGGAGTGACTGCAGTGGCGTGATTTCGGCTTACTGCAGCCTCCACCTCCCAGGTTCAAGTGATTCTCCTGCCTCAGCCTCCCAAGTAGCTGGGATTACAGGTGTATGCCTGTATTTTTTAATACAGGCTAATTTTTAATACAGGGTAATTTTTGTATTTTTAATAGAGACAGGGTTTTGCCATGTTAGTGAGGCTGGTCTCAAACTCCTGACCTTAGGTGATCTTTCCGCCTCAGCCTCCCAAAGTGCTGGGATTACAGGCATGAGCCACCGCACCCGGCCTAATTCATTTTTATGAAAGGCCTTTGGAATACATTGTCTTATTTGTCCTCCATATCTACCTAGCAAAGTAGGTAGAATATCATTATTGCCCACTTTTCGTAAATGAAGAGGAGAAAATGGAGAAACGGGGCGTCAAAACTGGGACTTGAAACCAGGTTTCCAGACTCTGAACGCTGTTGCTGCCTCTCAGCTTCCTAAGTCTCTTGGCTGCTGCGAGTGGGAGTCCCAGGCCCCAGTGGAGGCCCCACTCTGCCTACTCCTGGCTCCCCACTTGCGGCCCAGCTGTGAAGGCAGAGGCTGGACTGGCCACAGGACAAGGCAGGAGACAGGGCCCAGGCCTGTGGACTCCACTCCAGGGTTTCTTTCAGCCTGCCACCCCCTCTGGGTATTCTTTAACCCCTGCTCCCCAGCAGGCCCCAAACTCTGATGCTGGGGTGCTGGTAGCTGTGATGTCCCAGCCCTACTGCACATCTGCTGACTTACATCCTGGAGATTAGCATGGCCCCTCTTGCCAGACTTCAGAGATAGGGAGGGTTGCTCCCTATCTCTCTGGTGGGCAGGCCTCTGGGCTCTCCAGAGTTGGGCCAAACACCTTACTTTACAGATAAAGGAAGTGGGGCACACCCAGGGGTAGAAACCAGCCTGAGGACTTCCAGTTGGTATTAGCCCCAGACCCTCGGTTATGTAATCCAGCCCTTGGCTAGCAGCCTGGGATCAGGACCCAGGGGAGAGAAAAGCAGGAAGTGGCCTCCCCCTGATATAGAAGCATCTTGGTGAAGGGAGCTGAGCAGGCGCCACCCCACTCCCTGAGAGCAGCTCCTCAAGAACAGCCAAGGGTGCCTGGGCTTCGACCAGACAAACACAGAGCTGCACACCTACTGCACCCTCGTGTTTACTTCTCGTAAAAGCCCACTGTGAAATTCTTACCATCTCCATTTTACAGAGGATGCAGAAATTGAGGTCGAGGAGCTTCAGTACTTTGCCCAAGCTCCCCTGGCTAGTCAGTGGTGGGCTGGGGTTGGGCCCCGAGTCCGTGTCATATTCACTACACCACACGACCCCGGCTGCATCAGCCCTCCTCCCACCCTCCCGGGGCCCTGCTGGACTGTCTGTCCACCTTCAGGTCATGTGTCTCCAGCTCTTCCCAGCACAACCTCACCCTCCTCAGGGCTCTGAGGGGGCGGAGAGGACAGGCCAGAGCGATGAGGCTGGAGTGGGGACCTAGGCCAGCCGCACTGCCGTGGCCCGCTGGGATGTGTGCTGCAGAACGTGCGGAGGGAGCCTTCACCCTCCAGAGCGTGGCCCAGCCAATGCGCCCCATTGCTTCCACAGCTACGAAATGTGGGAATTGTGGACCCGGCTACTCCACCCCTCTGGAGGCCATGAAAGGTAATTGCCCATGGTCTGAGAGCCAGCGCCCTACTACTGATTCCACAGCTGGGGGTGGAGGGACTTCAGACCTAGCCCCCACCCTCTGGCACACCCAGCACTTCCCCTACCTTTCCTTCCCACCCTGCCGTCCCTGCTGCCTGCTTTCTACCGTGCAGGACCCAGGGAAGAGATCGTCTACCTGCCCTGCATTTACCGAAACACAGGCACTGAGGCCCCAGATTATCTGGCCACTGTGGATGTTGACCCCAAGTCTCCCCAGTATTGCCAGGTTAGGCGGGGCTTGGGCGCCAGCTACTTTGAGACCATAGCTGCCCTCATCCCTGGCCCTGGGCCCCCCCTTCCCAGCTCCATCCTTCTTGGCCCTCCCTGGGGATGCTTGTGCACGCTCAACCTGGGACAAGGGGAGTGCTGAAATCCAGCCTGTGCCGTGCTTCCAAACCAAAATGAGTCCACAGGGCGCCTCTTCCAAAAGTGGACAGAGGCGTGGCCTGGGGGAGCACCACCTCTCCCCGCATCCTAGGTCATCCACCGGCTGCCCATGCCCAACCTGAAGGACGAGCTGCATCACTCAGGATGGAACACCTGCAGCAGCTGCTTCGGTGATAGCACCAAGTCGCGCACCAAGCTGGTGCTGCCCAGTCTCATCTCCTCTCGCATCTATGTGGTGGACGTGGGCTCTGAGCCCCGGGCCCCAAAGCTGCACAAGGCATGTCCTCTGCCCTTGCCAGCTCAGTAGACCATAAGACACCTGCCACCCCAGGTAGTCTACGGGCAGGAAGCCAGACCTAAACCAGCAGCCTCCAGCTCTTACGCGGCAACTGGCTCGGCAGCAGGGAGGGAGGTTGGACCTCAGAGCAGAGTCTACCCAGGCATTCTGGGTCATCACCCTCCAGCACGGTGACCAGGGCATGGGAGAAGAGGGACAAGGCTTCTTGTTTTACTCTGAGAGAGGGAGGGAGCCATTTATTCCCCCATGCAGTTAGGAGCTCAGGGTTCTCTTAAAAATTCCGGTCTCTCCCAACACTTTGTTTAGTGCACTTTTGGTGCCAGGCATTTACTGTGTTGTCTACTGGTAATACAGAGTTGACACTGGTGTAGGCCAGCCTGGGAGGAGCTTATGGTTTCACAGGGCTGCGTGTGCCTTCAGGACACATGGGGAAAGGTCAGCGCTTTCTGCCTGGGGAGTTATTAGCAATCTCTCTGACTTTCCCTTGCTGCTCTGTAGAAGTTACCAGACTGAATCTTTGTCATATTCCCACAGGGAGAGTTGTGTCCATGTTTTGAAGGAAAAGATGACAGAGTCAGCAGATAGAAGTAGGGGAAGTATGGAGGTTAAGAGCAGGGACTCCCAGTCCTGTATGATTCTGACACCATTCCCCACCCCTTCCAGGTCATTGAGCCCAAGGACATCCATGCCAAGTGCGAACTGGCCTTTCTCCACACCAGCCACTGCCTGGCCAGCGGGGAAGTGATGATCAGCTCCCTGGGAGACGTCAAGGGCAATGGCAAAGGTACCTGCCAGCACTGTGTGCTCATGAAAACTTCCACAGCTGTGAAATGTGGGAAGCATTTTTCTGTGGGAGGAGCAGAATGGAAGGGGAGGGTTGGAATGACTTCCCAAGGAGAACCAGTGAGCTGGATCCCAGCCAGTATTTTAAATGTTAGCAAGTAACTTCAGTTTTGAATATTTCTATTAAGATGAGTCTTCACTGATGAATTCAGTTCAAAGTTATAGTCAAAACAGGCCAGGTGTTGTGCCTCACTCCTCTAATCCCAGCACTTCAAGAGGCCGAGGCCAGCGGATCGCTTGAGCTCAGGAGTTCCAAACCAGCCTGGCCAACATGGTGAAACCCCATCTCTGTGTTGTCTGCTGATAATACAGAGTTGGCACTGGCAACTCTGCACTAAAAATACACAAATTAGCTGGGTGTGGTGGTACAGGCCTATAACCCCCACTTCTCAAGAGGCTGAGGTAGGAGGATCACCCGAGCCCAGGGAGGTCAAGGCTGCAATGAGCTGTGATTGAACCACAGCACTTCAGCTTGGGCGTCAGAGTGAGACCCTCTCTCAAAAAAATGTAGTGAGCAGAATGGAGCTTAGACTCTGGGAGGAATCCCACTCCAAAAGTGGGAGGCTGGACAAGAGAAATACCAGGTGCTGAGTCCCAGAAGATCTCGTGGGAGAAACGTTTCTGCTGTGGTCTGAGAGAGAGATGAAGTAGACAGGAGACAGGGGCACTGGCGTAAAGGCCCCCCTGCCACCTGGCCAAATTTGAATACCTGGATGAGACCCTTTGGATGCCTGAATTTTTTATTTACTTTTTCTTTTCTTTTTTCTTTTTCTTTTCTCTTTTTTTTTTTTTTTTGAGATGGGAGTCTCGTTCTGTTGCCCAGGCTAGAGTGCAGTGGCGCAATCTCAGCTCACTCCAACCTCCGCCTCACTGGTTCAAGAGATTATCCTGCCTCAGCCTCCCGAGTAGCTGGGATTACAGGCATGTGACGCCATGCCTGGGTAATTTTTTATATTTTTAATAGAGACAGAGTTTCACCATGTTGGCCAGGCTGATCCTGAACTCCTGACCTCAAGTGATCCGCCCGCCTCAGCCTCTCAAAGGGCTGGGATTACTGGCATGAGCCACTCTTCCCCCAGCCCTGGATGCCTGAATTTAAGGAACTGGCAAATCCAGCAGTGGAGGTAGAGGCAATGGGCTTACAGCCTCTTAGACATGCCTCGGGGAGAGGGCTGGAGGGTGGGGTTAGTGTCTCTACTGCTTCTACCTGCCACCCTGCTTCCTTCCCTGTTCAGGGGGTTTTGTGCTGCTGGATGGGGAGACGTTCGAGGTGAAGGGGACATGGGAGAGACCTGGGGGTGCTGCACCGTTGGGCTATGACTTCTGGTACCAGCCTCGACACAATGTCATGATCAGCACTGAGTGGGCAGCTCCCAATGTCTTACGAGATGGCTTCAACCCCGCTGATGTGGAGGCTGGTGAGAATCCCCCCATGTGCCAGCAGGAGCCTTGGGCCTACATCCCCTTGCTTTCTGCTCCAAATCTCCCACCCCCACACTTCCCTCCTGTGGCCCCAGAATCTAAGAGAGATGGCATAGGATGTACCGCATGCTCAGATTGCTCAAGCGTCTTCCTGATCCCTCCAATCCATTTCTTAACCTTCTGCCCTGATTGGTGGCCCAGTCTTTGCCCATGCCTTCCAACCTCTGATGCTGAGCCTATCCTCCGGCCCCACTCCCACCCCAGGACTGTACGGGAGCCACTTATATGTATGGGACTGGCAGCGCCATGAGATTGTGCAGACCCTGTCTCTAAAAGATGGGCTTATTCCCTTGGAGATCCGCTTCCTGCACAACCCAGACGCTGCCCAAGGCTTTGTGGGCTGCGCACTCAGCTCCACCATCCAGCGCTTCTACAAGAACGAGGTGACATACGCCCTCTGGCCCTCCCCTCCCAGTAGTCTTGTCAGCAGCTCTACCTAAGCAGGCTTCTGTAACGGTGCTCCCAGGCGTCTCCAGGAACGAAAAAAATGAGGCTGCATGCCCTGTCTCTCTTCTCTCAGTGCTAGGGCAACTTCTGCCTGAACCCTAACTGGCCGTATTTATCCATTCATTCAAAAACTACTTAGTGAATGTCTGTGCTAGGCACTGTGCTATGTTCTGGGAATGCAGTGGTGAAGCAGACACAACCCCTGCCTCAAGGGGCTTGCATGGAGTTAGATCCTGCTGGCAAGAAGGCCGGGCATCTATTCTCTCCCTCCCAGGTCTGGGCAACCCAGATCTAACCCCTAGTCCCCAATTCTGATAGGCTGACCTCTCTGCCAGCTAACCTCACCCTCCACCCCTCAATGTAGGGAGGTACATGGTCAGTGGAGAAGGTGATCCAGGTGCCCCCCAAGAAAGTGAAGGGCTGGCTGCTGCCCGAAATGCCAGGTGAGTGCCTAGGGCATAGGAAAGTTGATTCTTGGCCTGGGAAACAAGAGTCCTTAAAGGCTCTACTCGCCCCCTGCCCACAGGCCTGATCACCGACATCCTGCTCTCCCTGGACGACCGCTTCCTCTACTTCAGCAACTGGCTGCATGGGGACCTGAGGCAGTATGACATCTCTGACCCACAGAGACCCCGCCTCACAGGACAGGTGGAGACCCTGGCAGGAGGAGCAGAAGGGAAGGAAGGAAAGAGAAGAGAAGCTGGGGATGGGGTGGATGATCTGAAGCAGCTGCAGGATGTTGAGGGAGGTGCAGGAAAAGCAGACATGTGTGCTGTGGGACAGCACAGGCCCAGGACTGTCCAGGCCAGGGATGGGCATGCAGAGCATGTCTGAAAGGAGAGAGGGGTTCCAGCCAGGCAAGCTGCTCTTCCTGCAATGTTTGCGCCTCCCACTATGGTCCTCCTTATACTCTGCACCTCCCCATCTAGCTCTTCCTCGGAGGCAGCATTGTTAAGGGAGGCCCTGTGCAAGTGCTGGAGGACGAGGAACTAAAGTCCCAGCCAGAGCCCCTAGTGGTCAAGGTAAGAGCCTCTCCCCCTACTTGCTGGACCCCTCAGACCCATGCTTGAGGAATATGTGGGGGAGCAGCTGAGCATACTCTTGGGGTTGGGGTGGTGCCTAGGATCTGTGTGTTACCCTGGGCTCTGACCCCTGGTTTTCCCAAGGGAAAACGGGTGGCTGGAGGCCCTCAGATGATCCAGCTCAGCCTGGATGGGAAGCGCCTCTACATCACCACGTCGCTGTACAGTGCCTGGGACAAGCAGTTTTACCCTGATCTCATCAGGTGAGAAGCAGACACATGGGCTCTCCTCCCCAGCCCTCCTCTTCCAGAGGGGTCATTTGGCTTTCTGAAGACTCCTCAAGGAGACCCCTGTACCCCACCACACAGATGGCCCATTGAGACCCTGGTCATTCCTCCTTCCTCAGGAGCTTTCCCCTAAAATCTTAGGGGAAGGGGGCAGCCACCTCTGACCTCTCCCTTACCCCATTCCCTTTTCCACCAGGGAAGGCTCTGTGATGCTGCAGGTTGATGTAGACACAGTAAAAGGAGGGCTGAAGTTGAACCCCAACTTCCTGGTGGACTTCGGGAAGGAGCCCCTTGGCCCAGCCCTTGCCCATGAGCTCCGCTACCCTGGGGGCGATTGTAGCTCTGACATCTGGATTTGAACTCCACCCTCATCACCCACACTCCCTATTTTGGGCCCTCACTTCCTTGGGGACCTGGCTTCATTCTGCTCTCTCTTGGCACCCGACCCTTGGCAGCATGTACCACACAGCCAAGCTGAGACTGTGGCAATGTGTTGAGTCATATACATTTACTGACCACTGTTGCTTGTTGCTCACTGTGCTGCTTTTCCATGAGCTCTTGGAGGCACCAAGAAATAAACTCGTAACCCTGTCCTTCAGATGGCCTTGTCTTTGGGGGCCCAGGGCCTGTGTCTCTTCTTCTGCCTACCCTTTGTATCATGCACAAGAAAGGGCTAAAGAGGCCTCCAGTGGGGGTTATGGTAACTAGTTCACACCAGTGATTCCAACATGATGCTAATAATGCCCAAATCTCAATTTTATGGCCAGACAAAATCTGAAAATTTTGGGGGTGATCGTCACAAGGAGACCTGGGGGTAGAGAATGTAAATCGGTGTTTCTAAAGTTTTGGTTTTTTTTTAACCCATGCTTTCTTTTAATGAACCTAAAAATCTCACCCATCACTCTCAAGAGAATGTAACATGCTCCCTCACACACAGGAGACCCCAGGATCCCTGTTGTGTATAGTGTAATATATTTCCACTGATGGCAAGACGACTGGGAGAACGCAGCTGTTGGGAGGTTTATCAGGCTGCTCTTGCATTGCTATAAATGCCTGAGACTGGGTAATTTATAAAGAAAAGAGGTTTAATTGGCTCATGGTTCTGCAGGCTCTACAGGAAGCATGACACTGGCATCTGCCCGGCTTCTCAGGAGGCCTCAGGAAACTTACAATCATGGCAGATGGTGAAGGAGGAGCACAAACATCACACGGCCAGAGTAGGAGCAAGAGAGAGAGAGCAAGGGGGGAGGTGCCACACACTTTTAAACAACCAGATCTCAGGAGAACTCACTCACGGTCTCAAGGATAGTACCAAGGGGGGTGGTGCCAAACCAGTCATGAGAAACCCACCCCCCATGATCCAGTCATCTCCCACCAGGCCCCACCTCCAACACTGGGAATTACAATTTGACATGAGATTTGTTGGGGACACAGTTTCAAACCATATCATTCTGCCGCTGGCCCCCCCACAAATTTCATGTCCTTCTCACATTTCAAAATACAATTATGCCTTTCCAATAATCCCCAAAGTCTTAATTCATTCCAGCATTAACTTAAAAGTCCAAAGTCCAAAGTCTCATCTGAGAAAAAGCAAGTCCCTTCCACCTATGAGCCTGTAAAATAAAAAACAAGTTAGTTACTCCCAAGATACAATGGGGGTATAGGCATTGGGTAAATACTCCTATGCCAAAAGGGAGAAATGAGCCAAATGAAAGGGGCTTCAGGCCCCATGCAAGTCCAAAACCCAGCAGGGCAGTTGTTAAATATTAATACTCCAAAATAATCTCCTTTGTCTCCATGTCCCAAATCCAGGGCGCACTGGTGCTATGGATGGGCTTCCAAGGCCTTGGGCTCTGCCCCTGTGGTTTTGCAGGGTTCAGCTCCCATGACTGCTCTCATGGGCTGGTGTTGAGTGCCTGTGGCTTTTCCAGGTGCAGGGTGCCAGCTGGCAGTGGATCTACCATTGTGGGGTCTGGAAGACAGTGGCCCTCTTCTCACAGCTCTACTAGGCAGTGCCCCACTGGGGACTCTGTGTGGGGGCTCCAACCCCACATTTCCCCTCCACCCGACCCTAGTAGAGGTTCTCCATAAGTGTTCTGCCTCTGTAGCAGGCTTCTGCCTGGAGCCCAGTCTTCTCCATACATCCTCTGAAATCTAGGCAGAGGCTCCCAGGCCTCAACTCTTGCACTCTGCACAGCTTCAGGCTTAACACCACATGGAAGCCACCAAGGCTTAGGTTTGCACTCTCTGGAGCAGTGGCCCAAGCTATACCTGGGCCCCTTTGAGCCATGCCTGGAGCTGGAGCAGCTGGAATGCAGGGAGCAGCACAGAGCAGGGGGAGCCTGGACATGGCCCACAAAACCATTCAGTCCTCCTAGGCCTCTGGGCCTGTGATGGGAGGAGCTGCTGCAAAGGTCTCTGAAATGCCTTTACGGCCTCCCACCAGGCCCCACCTCCAACACTAGGGATTACCACTGAACATGAGATATGGTGGAGACACAGATCCAAACCATATCAGGAGGTTAAATGTGTCACCTCTACCTGGAATACAGGAACATTACCACACAGGAGGGCTAGGAACACCATGGTGAACCAATCCAACAGGCCAGGCCATGGCACTCTTGTCTCCTCACCCAGATGGTATTTTAGAACCTTACTCAGAGATGTCTCCTTTCCCTGTGCTAGGTGGTGGTGGTGGAGGTGTTGTTGTTGTTGTTGTTGTTGCTGTTGTTGTTCTTCTTCTTCTTCTCCTTCTTCTCTTCTTCCTCTTCTTCATTTCTTTCTTTTCTGCCTCTTCCTCCTCTTCCTCTTCTCCTCCTCCTCCTTCTTCCTCTTTTCCTTCTCCTTATTCTTCCTCCTCCTCTTTTTCTTTCTTCTCCTTCTTCCTCTTCTTCTCCTTCCTTCCTCCTCCTCCTTCTTTTCTTCTTTTTCAAAATAAGGTTTCCCTATATTGCCCAGGCTGGTCTCAAACTCCTGGGCTCAAGTGATCATCTTGCCTCAACCTTGCAAAGTGCTGGGATTACACAAGTGAACCACCATGCCCTGCCTACAATTCTTTTTTTTTTTTTTTTTTTTTTTTTTTTTGAGACAGGGTCTTACTCTGGTGCCCAGGCTGGAATACAGTGGCACAATCACAGCTCGCTGCAGCCTCAGTGTTACAGGCATAATCATCACACCTGACTCAATTCTTTATAGAAGGAATCTGATAGAAATTCCTTTATAGAAGGAATCTGATAGAAATTTGATAGAGATAGCAGCCAAATGGTAATTATTATTTTATTTTATTTTATTTTGGATAGCGTCTTGCTCTGTCGCCCAGGCTGAAGTGCAGTGGCATGATCTTGGCTGACTGCAACATCTGCCTCCTGGGTTCAAGCAATTCTTCTGTCTCAGCCTCCCAAGTAGCTGGGATTGCAGGCGTGCACCACCACACCTGGATAATTTTTGTATTTTTAGTAGAGACTGGGTTTCACCATGTTGGCCAGGCAGGTCTCGAACCTCTGAACTCAAGATATCTGCCCACCTCGGCCTCCCAAAGTGCTGGAATTGCAGGCATGAGCCACTGTGCCCAGCCCAAATGGTAATTCTACTGACTCCTTTATTCTCTCCCTAGACAATATTAAACAACATTCAGGTATTGACCTACATTCTTTTCAGTCTTCTGAAAAGGTGTCTTTCTTTTAAACATTGGAGCAGCCTAGGACCCCCAGGATGGTCTCACCACCCCAGGAATACACCATACTTTCCCTTTGAGGCCTTTAAACATGCTCCCTGAAATGTCCACCTCAACTGGAGTCCTGATTCCCTCCTTCTGCCTCACCTGCCATCCAGGCCAGATTTCCTTGTCCTCTGGGAAGCCTCCTTCCCTGGCTCCTCCAGGCCAGGGGCCCATTTTAACGCTCACAAAGCCTGCCACACTTAACCTCATCATAAACTCATGTCTCTTGGAATCTAAACTCCCTGTTAACTCCCAGCACCTAGCTTGGATGTTGGCACTTAGTACACTTTAATGAATAAATGGATATAAAGGAAGTGCTCAAAATGAGTAGGAAGTTACAGGGAGCCTTGGGATTTACAAGGTTTTACCAGAAGTTTCTCTCCTTGGTCTCTGCTCTGTTCTCTTCAATAACCAAACTTCTTCAGAATGAGAAAGGATAATGTAGTTCTACATCATTTCTATCTCTTCCTAAAAGCTTAAAATTCCACTCAGCAATATTCCATCCCATTCATCTTCTTCATTCTGGTAAGAGCAATTGCCCTACCTGAAGGCAGGGAAACTACTGAAGACAACTGGGGCGGCCGGGCGCAGTGGCTCACGCCTGTAATCCCAGCACTTTGGGAGGCAGAGGTGACTGGATCATCTGAGGTCAGGAGTTCGAGACCAGCCTGGCCAAAATGGTGAAACCCCATCTCTACTAAAAATACAAAAATTAGCCGGGCATGGTAGCACACGCCTGTAATCCCAGCTACTCAGGAGGCTGAGGCAGGAGAATCACTTCAACCTGGGAGGCAGAGCTTGCAGCGAGCCAAGATCACGCCATTGCACTCGATCAAGCCTGGGCGACAGAGCGAGACTCTGTCACAAAAAAAAAAAAAAAAAAAAAAGACAACTGGGGCTATGTCTAAAGGATTCATGCCATATCTGACAAAAGATTTGTATCTAGAATGAGTGGAAAACTCTAAAAACTCAACAGTAAAAAACCAAACACTCCAGTTAGAAAATGAACAAAAGGGATGGGCATGGTAGTTCACACCTGTAATCTCAGCACTTTGGGGGGACGAGGCGGGTGGATCACTTGAGGCCAGTAGTTCGAGACCAGCCTCACCAATATGGTGAACCCCATCTCTACCAAAAATACAAATATTAGCCAGGTGTGGTGGTGTGCACTTGTAGTCCCAGCTACTAAGGAGGCTGAGGCAGAAGAATAGCTTGAACATGGGAGATGGAGGTTTTGGTGAGCTGAGATCACGTCACTGCACTCCAGCCTGGGCAACAGAGCTGCCCACCTGTCGGATGTGTTGGCTCATGCCTGTAATCCCAGCACTTTGGGAGGCCAAGGCGGATAGATCGCTTGAGGTCAGGAGTTCGAGACCAGCCTGGCCAACATGGTGAAACCCCATCTCTACTAAAAATACAAAAAATTAACCAGGACTGGTGGCACATGCTTGTAATCCCAGCTACTTGGGAGGCTGAAGCAGGAGAATTACTTGAACCTGGGAGGCAAAGGTTGCAGTGAGCCAAGATCGTGCCACTGCAGTCACTCCAGCCTGGGCAACAAGAGAGAAACTCCATCTCAAAAAAAAAAAAAAAAAAGTCTGATCAAGCCTCTAGGTCTCTCATCAGTTTATAGGAGATACAAGGAACAGAAGAACAAGTTTAAAAATACTATAGGCCAGGCACGGTGACTAACTCCTGTAATCCCAGCACTTTGGGAGGCCAAGCCGGGTGGATCACTTAAACTCAGGAGTTCAAGACCAGCCTGGCCAACATGGCAAAAACCCCCTCTCTACAAAAAAATACAAAAATTATCTGGGCATGGTGGCATGTGCCTGTGGTCCCAGCTACTCCAGAGGCTGAGGCTGGGACCATAGGCACACAACATCTCAAATAGTTACTCGTTTTTTTGTTTTTTTGGCAAGAGCAGCTAAAAACTATGAAAAAATTCAAACATATAAGAGGAGAAGGAAGAATGTAATAAATGCCCACATAAACATACCCATCATCCTGCTTGAATTGCTTGAATCCAGGAGGTGGAGATTGCAGTAAGCTGTGATCATGCCACTGCACTCCAGCCTGGGTGACAGAGCCAGACCCTGTCTCAAACAAACAAACAAACACCACCATAAAGATACAATAATAAAAATCCAGAATGTGAGAAATCTTATAGAGCAAATGACCTGTCTCCTCAACAGACCCACTGAGAGAGACAGACTATGGATTAGAAAGAATTAGGAAACACATTAACCGAACCAATTACAACGCAATGCGTGACCTTTGTTGATCCTGATTTGAACCTATCAAGAGAAAAATACAGTTTTTGAGAAAACTAGAGAAATTTGAACACTGACTAGATGTGTAATGATACTAAGAGATAATTTTTAATTTTTAGGTGTGATCATGGCTTTGGGCATTATTAAAAGAGAGTCTTTATTTTTTAGTCACATTAAATTATTTACTGTAAATACCTAAGTATTTAAAGATGATACAATATAATGAATGTCTGCATTATATTAACTTAGAGTGGGGAGGCATGGATAAAACAAGATGATCGGCCAGGCGCGGTGGTTCACGCCTCTAATCCCAGCACTTTGGGAGGCTGAAGTGGGCGGATCACCTGAGGTCAGGAGTTCAAGACCAGCCTGGTCAACATGTGAAACCCCATCTCTACTAAAAATACAAAAATTAGCTGGGCATCATGGCAGATGCCTGTAATCCCAGCTACTCAGGAGGTTGAGGCGGGAGAATCTCTTGACCATGGGAGGCCGACGTTACAGTGAGCCAAGATCACGCCACTTCACTCCAGCCTGGGCAACAGAGCGAGACTCTGTCAAAAAAAAAAAAAAAGATCAGGGCCAGGTGCGGTGGGTCATGCCTGTAATCCTAGCAGTTTGGGAGGCCAAGGCAGGCAGATCACCTGAGGTCAGGAGTTCAAGACCGGTCTGGCCAACATGGTGAAGCCCCATCTCTACTAAAAATACAAAAATTAGCCAGGCATGGTGGTCTGTGCCTGTAATCCCAGCTACCCAGGAGGCTGAAGCAGGAGAATCGCTGGAACCTGGGAGGCAGAGGTTGCAGGCCGAGATCACGCCACTGCACTCCAACCTGGGCGACAAGAGCCAAACTCCGTCTCAAAAAAAAAGGTTGGGGGGGCTGGGCGCTGTGGCTCACACCTGTAATCCCAGAACTTTGAGAGGCCAAGGTGAGCAGATCACAAGGTCAGGAGTTTGAAACCAGCCTGACCAACATGGTGAAACCCTGTCTGCACTAAAAATACAAAAAATTAGCCAGGTGTGGTGGCGCATGCCTGTAATCCCAGCTACCAGGGAGTCTGAGACAGGAGAATCCCTTGAACCCAGGAGGCAGATGTTGCAGTGAGCAGAGATTATGTCATTGCACTCCAGCCTGGGCGACAGAGCAAGACTCTGTCTCAAAAAAAAAAAAAAAATAGATGATCAGATGTGGACAATCATTCAAGCAGGATGATGGGTATGTGTATGTGAGTGTTTATTACATTCTTCCTTCTCCTCTTATATATTTGAAATTTTTCATAGTTTTTAGCTGTTCTTCCAAAAAAAAAACAAAAAAAAATTGAGTAACTGTGAGAAGACGTATATATTAATTTGCTTCACTATAGTAATATTATATATATCTTAAATATACACAATAAAATTAATTTTGTAAAGAAAGAAATCTTTTTCATAATAAAAGCTTAAAATTCTATTCACTTTTATCCTGATCTTGGCATCCTCTCACTATGTCTAACCCTACATCACTGAAACAGACTCCAAAAACAAGAGGCCCTCCTGTAACAGACAACCCAGGCACCAGCAACATGCAGAGGGTACCCACCCAGATACCTCTCTCTGCTGCACTCACAAAGATTCTACCCCACACCCCAGAACCAGGCTAGATGAGCAAGAATAGCAAAGCTGAGGAGTGTGCTGTGGGAAAAGTCTACTATATCACCTAGGATCTCCTGCCAGCACCATGGCTTATGAGGCCATGTAGAAGGTTCTAGAAAGTTTGTTGAGCTCAGGGACACCCTCAGAAAAGCTGTAGTGCCAGTCCACCAGGACAAAGGATATAAGAGAGCATTGGGAGATTTCTATCCCATCGTTGGTCCTTCAAGCATTATCTCACACACTGCACTCCAGTAAGTCTCTAAAAGACAGCATCAGGCAATTGCACTCATCTCAGGGATTAGTGAGGTCCTCCTTCTCACATTCCTGCATCCAGTCCTCCCACTTTCATCTTCCAAGTGTTTGACCAGCTGGCTCCATGCTCTGGATATCTGCTCTGTGCCTCCTCTGGCATGCTCTTAGGAGTCCCTTCCCTGACTTCCTTATTTTGATGTGTGGCAGACTCTCTACTCTCAATACTATCTGACCTAGAGGAATGTGTGCAATACATTGTTCATGAAAAAAAGTAATCGTAGAGTTATGTGAATAATTCTATAACTATAGTATAATCCCCAGTTTTAAAAACAAATTCAACCACAATAGCAACAAAAACTTCTATTTAAGGCCAGGCGCAGTGGCTCACGCCTGCAATCCCAGCACTTTGGGAGGCCAAGGAGGGCAGATCACTTGAGGCCCGGAGTTTGAGACCAACCTGGCCAACATGGTGAAACCCCATCTCTACTAAAAATACAAAAATTAGTTGAGCATGCTGGCACACACCTGTAGTTACAGCTACTCAGGAGGCTGAGGCAGGAGAATCGTTTGAACCTGGGAAGCAGAGGTTGCAGTGAGCCGAGATTGCATCACTGCACTCCAGCCTGAGCAACAGAGCGAGACTCTATCTCAGAAAACAAAACAAAACAAAACCTCTATTTAAGTGGCCCTGTGTTTGCAATGACATGGAAGTGAATACGGCAGGATACTTATCAGAACATGTTACCTCAGAGGGGTGAGATTTTTTATGAAACTTGACAAGCTCTTTCTAAAACTAGCCTGGAAATGCGAATGTATACTGTTCCAGTTACCTAGTGCTGTGTAACAAACTACCCCAAAACTTAGTGGCTTAAAGCAATGACAACATTACTTTTGCCCACAGATCTGTAGTTTGGACAGGGCTCAGCAGGAACAGCTTGTCTCTGCTTGGTGTCAGTGGAGGCAGCTTAAAGGCTAGAGGCTAGAATCATCTGATAGCTCACTTACTCACATGTCTGGAGACTCATGCTGCTGTCACTTGGACCTTCAGCTGGGGCCAGAACATCTACACATGACCTTTCCATATGGCTGCTTGGCTCCCTCACAACATGGTAGCTGGGTTCCAAGAGCGAGTGTTCCAAGAGAGAGCAGCAAATGTGAAGGTGTGTCACCTACTCCAGCCGACACTTGACAGTCACACAGCATCACTTCCACCACATTCCAATTACTGAGCCTGTCACAAAGGCCTTCCCAGGTTCAAGGAAACAGGGGACTAGACTCCATTTCTTTCATTTATTTATTTATCTATGTATCTATCTGTTTATTTATTTATTTATTTTTGAGACGGAGTCTCACTCTGTCACCCAGGCTGGAGTGCAATGGCATGATCTCAGCTCACTGCGACCTCTGCCTCCTGGGTTCAGGCAATTCTTCCGCCTCAGCCTCCCACATAGCTGGGATTACAGGCACCCGCCACCACATCCAGCTAATTTTTTGTATTTTTAGTAGAGACAGAGTTTCACCAGGTTGGCCAGGCTGGTCTCAAACTCCTGACCTCAGGTGGTACACCTGCCTCAGCCTCCCAAAGTGCTGGGATTACAGGTGTGAGCCACCATGCCCGGCCGACTCCACCTCTTGACAGGGAAGTTGTAAGGTTCTGAAACAGTGTGTGGAACCAGAAACATTGTGGCCACATTTGGAAAATACAATCTTCCATATATAGGAATAATTTTTTTAGTTAATAAAACCAATAACAGAAGACTCTCAGCATTAGATTTCAAAATATACTATACTTTGAAATATAGTATTTCAAAACATTAACTAAAACAGTGTGTTATGGGTGGAGAAATAGACAAAAAGAATCAACAAAAGAGACATGCGCCTATAATCTCAGCTACTCAGGTCACCAAGGTGGGAGGATCACTTGAGCCAAGGAGTTTGAGGCTGCAGTGAGCTAGGATCCTGCCACCGCACTCCAGCCTGGGTAACAGAGTGAGACTCTGTCTTAAAAAAATAAAATTAAATTAAAATTTTTTTAAAAAGAGAGGCTAAGATCCAGAAATACACCTAACTATACAAGGAAACTTAGTATACAATAAAAGCATATGATAAAACTGTAAAAGGAAACAGTTAAAAGAAGAAGAAAATGATAGTATATATTGAAATGGCTGGCCATTCATTGGAAAACAAGCATATTAAATTAGATGCTATGTAAGGTGTTACTAACTGCCAAACAACCATTCCCAAACTCTTTTCCCTTGCTCACTATAGGTAACTTCTATCCTTAATTTTATGGTCATGATTCTATTGCTTTTTATTAATTATTTTTACCACCTATGTATTTACCCATAAACAATATATTGTTCAGTTTTGCCTGATATTAAATATTTATAAATTGCATTGCACTGTATGTTTTCTTCTGGGTTTTGGTTTTTTCACTTTCTGAAGTTCATCCAGTGGATGTGTGTGGCTGTAGCTCATTAATTTCCACTGCTCTATGACATTCCATCCAGTGAATATATCACAACTTATCATTCTAGGGTTGACGGATATTGGGTCATTTCCAGTTTTTGCTAATGCAAGCAGTGAGACTATAAACTTTACTGCCTGTGTTTTTAGGGCATATGTCTAAGAGCAGGATTACTGAGATATTAAATGTAAATTGAAATACTCACATATTCGACTTCACCAGGTAATATCAAACTATTTTCCAAAACAGTTTTACCAAATTACACTCCCGCAACAGTGAATGAAAGCGCTTGTTGATTCATAACCATGTCAACCCTCAATATTGCCAGACTTTAAAACTTTTGCTGTGGCTCACACCTGTAATCCCAACACTTTGGGGGGCCAAAGTGGGCAGATCGCTGGAGCTCAGGAGTTCAAGACCAGCCTGGGCAACAAGGTGACACTCTGTCTACACAAAAAATACAAAAAAATTAGCTGGGTGTGGTACCGTGCCTGTGATCCCAGCTACTCGGGAGGCTGAGGTGGGAGGACTGCTTGAGCCCAGGAGGTCAAGGCTGCAGTGAGCCATGATCACGCCACTGCACTCCAGCCTGGGTGACAGAGCAAGAACCTGTCTCAAATAAAAAAAAAAGCCAATTTAGTGGGTGTGAAATGGTATCTTCTAAAATTTGCATTTTCCTGATTATTACATAGGGAATAACTTTTCATATGTTTATGAGCCATTTCTGCTTTTTTTGTGAAATTCCCATCCATTTTTCTAGTTTGTTATCTTTTTTTTCTTTTTCTTTTCTTTTTTTTTTTTTTTTTTGAGGCAGAGTCTCACTCTGATGCCCAGGCTGGAGTGCAGTGGTGCGATCTCAGCTCACTGCAACCTCTGCCTCCCAGGTTCAAGCGATTCTCCTACCTAAGCCTCCCAAGTAGCTGGGACCACAGGTGTGCACCACTATGCGCAGCTAATGCTAATTTTTGTATTTTAAGTGGAGATAGAGTTTCACCATGTTGGCCAGGCTGGTCTCAAACTCCTGGCCTCAAGTGATCTGCCCATCTCAGCCACCCAAAGTGCTAGGATTACAGACGTGAGCCACCATGCCCAGCTGGTTATCTTTTTTTGTAGGAAGTCTTCAAAAATTCCAGATAATAATCCTTTGTCAGTTATATGTCTTGAAAATATATTCTCCCAATTTGCAGCTTGTCTTTGTATTCTTTTTTATTATTGTATTGTATTGTATTTATTTATTTATTTATTTTTACCTATTTTTTTGAGACAGGGTCTCACTCTGTTGCCCAGGTTGGAGTGCAGTGGCGCCATCTAGGTTTACTGCAACCTCCGCCTCCCAGGTTCAAGTGTTTCTTCCGCCTCAGCCTCCCAAGTAGCTGGCATTACAGGCACACGCCACCACAGCCCAGCTAATTTTTATAATTTTAGTAGAGATGGGGTTTCACCATATTGACCAGGCTGGTCTTGAACTCCTGACTTCAAGTGATCCACTCATCTCAGCCTCCCAAAGTGCTGGGATTACAGGCATGCGCCACTGTGCCCAGCTGTTCATTTGTTTCTTTCTTTATTTATTTTTGAGACAGAGTCTCACTGACACCCAGGCTGGAGTGCAGTGGTAAAAAAAAAAAAAAAAAAAAAAAAAAGCTCCAGATACAGTGGCTTACGCCTGTAATCCCAATATTTTGGGAGGCCAAGATGGGCAGATCACTTGAGGTCAGGAGTTCAAGACCAGCCTGGCCTACATGGTGAAATCCCATCTCTACCAAAAATATAAAAAATTAGCCGTGTGTGGTGACACGTGCCTGTAATCCCAGCTACTCGGAAGGCTGAGGCAGGAGTATTGCTTGAACTCGGGAGGTGGAGGTTGCAGTGAGCCGAGCTTGTGCTGCTGCACTCCAGCCTGCGTGAGAAAGCAAGACACTGTCTTAAAAAATAAAAAAAAAATTCACTCCCAATCTTAGTAGGCAATGTATAATAGTGTCCAAGAGCAAATTCTGAATGAAATGAGAGAGGAGAAAGAAGAAACCAGTCAGGCAGGCAGTTAAGGTGGGTCCTTGGTAAAACTCCTTCAAACAAAGAACAGCCTGAAAATTAAACTGCAGGCCCCAGATAAGTGACAGCCCGCATCCTGGAATGGAAATACCTACTCTAGGAACCCAGATGAACAAATACCACTCCCTTTTTGGACATATTTCACTCTCTTTGGCACACCTTAGTCTCTTAGTTTTCATCTATTTTACATATGCTTACCTTTCTGTGATTGGCCACAGCGGGAGTCTTCATTTACATAGGGTGAATCATCACTTCAGCCCCTGATTGGTTCCAGGCCAAGGTCCTGGCCCAAGCTTTCACTTCAGCCCCTGACTTGGTTCCAGGCCAAGTTGTTGAGCCAAGCCTTCACTTCTGCCTCCAACTGGTTCTTTACACTATCATACCTCTTTCTGAGTGGTGCTTTCTGCAAGATAGCCTGCAGGCCCGATCAGCACACTCCTCCCTTTCCCAGTCCATAAGCCACCCTCCTCACCCTCCCACTCAGCCTCATAGCTGGCAATCCTCTTTCAGGCCCCCTCTTTGCTGAGAGCTTTTCTGTTGCTTAATAAATCTGACTCTGGCTGGTCAGGAGTTTGAGACCAGCCTGGCCAACATGGTGAAACCCCGTCTGTACTAAAAATACAAAAAATTAGCCAGGTTCGGTGGCTCACACCTGTAATCCCAGCACTTTGAGAGGCCAAGACGGGCAGATCATGAGGTCAAGAGATTGAGACCGTCCTGGACAACATGGTGAAACACCATCTCTACTAAAAATACAAAAATTAGCTGGGCATGGTGGCAGGCGCCTGTAATCTCAGCTACCTGGGAGGCTGAGGCAGGAGAATTGTTTGTACCCAGGAGGTGGAGGTTGCAGTGAGCCAAGATTGTGCCACTGCACTCCAGCTTGGTAACAGAGTGAAACTCCATCGCCCCCCCGCCAAAAAAAAAACAAAAAGCAAAATATTGGCTGGGTGTGGTAGCAGGCACCTACAGTTCTAGCTACTTGGGAGGCTGAGGCAAGAGAATCGCTTGAACCCGGGAGGCGGAGGTTGCAGTGAGCCAAGATCATGCCACTGCACTCCAGTTCAGGTGACAGAGTGAGACTCCCCCATCTCAAAAAAAATAATAAAATAAATAAGTAAATAAATAAATAAATCTGACTGCCTTACTCACTCTCCAGTGTCTACACACCTTATTCTTCTTGGTCGTGGGACAAGAATACAGAGTCCACCAGCAGTTGAAGTGAAAATGCTGGAACACTCCCTCCCACTCTCCAAACAGCAAGAGTGAAAAAGCTGCAACAGGCCAGGCATGGTGGCTCACGCCTATAATCCCAGCACTTTTGGAAGCCAAGGTGGGTGGATCATTTGAGGTCAGGAGCTCAAGACTAGCTTGGCCAAAATGGTGAGACCCCATTTCTACTAAAAATACAAAAATTAGCCAGGTGTGGTGGCACACGCCTGTAATCCCAGCTACTCAGGAGGCTGAGGTAGGAAAATCACTTGAACCTGGGAGGCAGAGGTTGCAGTGAGCCAAGTGCAGTGGAGCCACTGCACTACAGCCTGGATGACAGAGTGAGACTCTGTCTAAAAAGGAAAAAAAAAAAAAGCTGCAACGCAAAGAGCCTAGGTGCAGATCCTGGCTCCATAGCTTACTAAATTATGATGTAATCTTGGGCAAATTATTAACCTTTCAATGCCTGTCTCCTCACCTGTAAAATGGGGATAATCATAGTATCTATCTGAGGCCGCACGCGGTAGCTCACGCCTGTAATCCCAGCACTTTGGGAGGCTGAGGCGGGCGGATCACGAGGTCAGGAGATAGAGACCATCCTGGCTAACATGGTGAAACCCCGTTTCTATTAAAAATACAAAAAAATTAGCCCGGTGTGGTGGCAGGCGCCTGTAGTCCCAGCTACTTGTGAGGCTGAGGCAGGAGAATCACTTGAACCTGGGAGGCAGAGCTTGCAGTGAGCCGAGATTGCGCCACTGCTCTCCAGCCTGGGTGACAGAGCAAGAATCCGTCTCGAAAAAAAAAAGAACGGGCCCCAACACATATTAGGCTCTGTATAAATACTTGCTGTTATATGATGCTTATCCGGACAATTTTTATTGTTACTGCCCAAGGCAAGGACCATACCTTATTCAGCTTTGTATCCCTAGCTCTTAACACAATGCCTGGCATAAATTAATAGTTTCCTCTTTCCTATCTCTAGCCTTTTCTTTCACTCAACTCTACCTTCTATAGTGCTGTCAAAATCATCTCTTTTACTAGGTACTATGTACTATGATACTTTCTCCCCCCTTACTAAAGCTTCCAGTTTTTCCCTGTTATCTGCAAATTTTTAAGCTAGATAACTTACCCAAAACTCTGTTTGCAACCAAAGTGCTCTAGGTTCTCCTTCATACCAAACAGTGGTGTTAGGGCTATCTTTCCATCAGTCTATATCCATATTTGGCTTGCTATTTATTTATTTATTTATTTAGAGATGGAGTTTCGCTCTTGTTGCCCAGGCTGGAGTGCAATGGCATGATCTCGGCTCACCCAACCTCCGCCTCCCAGGTTCAAGCAATTCTCCTGCCTCAGCCTGCCAAGTAGCTGGGATTACAGGCATGCACCACCACGACTGGCTAATTTTGTTTTGTTTTTTGTTTTGTTTTTTGTTTTTTGTTTTTAGTAGAGACGGGGTTTCTCCATGTTGGTCAGGCTGGTCTCAAACTGACCTCAGGTGATCTGCCCACCTCAGCCTCCCAAAGTGCTGGGATTATAGGCATGAGCCACCACACCAGCCGGCTTTTTTTTTGTTTTTTGTTTGTTTGTTTGTTTTGAGACAGGGTCTTACTCTGTCACCCAGGCTGCACGACAGAGTGGTGCAATCATAGCTCACTGCAGCCTCGAACTCATGGGTAATAGTGATCCTCCTGCTTCAGCCTCCCAAGTTGCTGGAACCACAGGCATGTACCACCACACCTGGCTGTGTGTGGTGTGTGTGTGTGTGTGTGTGTGTGTGTGTGTGTGTGTGTGTGTGTGTGTTTAGAGAGAGACAGAGTCTCACTTTGTTGCCCAGGCTGGTCTCAAACTCCTGGCCCCAAGCAATCCTCTTGCCTTTGCCTCCCAAAGTATTGAGATTATAGGCATGAGCCATCATGTCCAGCCCGTTATACCCATATTTATTTATGAGTATCTGCAAATATGTATACATGCAGTCTAAGGCAGTGCTCAAAACAATCAGCTTTGAGGCAGACTGCCTGCCTTTGGATCCTGATTCTAGCACTTTCTACATATATGACTAAGGACAAGTCCCTTCACCTCTCCACATTGGTTTCCTCATCTGTAAAATGGAGACAGTAACAGTACCTACTTCAGAGAGTTGCTGTGAGCATTACACGAGGTGTTTAGCATTTGGTATGGTGTCTGATACCTAATAAACACCAAATAAATTTTTGTTTGTTTTTGTTTGAGACGGAGTTTCGCTCTTGTTGCCAGGCTGTAGTGTAATGGCACAATCCTCCGCCTCCCCAGTTCAAGTGATTCTCCTGCCTCAGCCTCCCGAGTAGCTGGGATTACAGGCATGCGCCACCACGCCCGGCTAATCTTGTATTTTTAGTAGAGACGGGGTTTCTTCATGTTGGTCAAGCTGGTCTCGAACTCCCAACCTTAGGTGATCCGCCCACCTCAGCCTCCCAAAGTTTTGGGATTACAGGCGTGAGCCACCGCGCCTGGCCTAATAAACACCAAATAAATTTTAGCTGTTATTAGAAAACCTGGCCAGGTGCAGTGGCTCACACCTGTAATCCCAGCACTTTGGGAGGCCAAGGCAGGTGGATCACCTGAAGTCAGGAGTTTGAGACCAGCCTGACCAACATGGTGAAACTCCGTCTCTACTAAAAACACAAAAATTATCTGGGCGTGGTGATGCACGTCTGTAAACCCAGTTACTCGGGAGGGTGAGGCAGGAGAATCGCTTGAACCCAGGAGGCGGAGGTTGCAGTGAGCCAAGATCGTGCCATTGCACTCCAGCCTGGGCAACAGAGCGAGACTCCGTCTCAAAGAAAAAAAAAAAAGAAAGAAAGAAAGAAAAAAGAAAACCTCTTGCCAATATATCCTTATTGCCCCAACTCCACAATCTCCTGGGTTCCCCCAGCACTCATAGAAGCTGATAATAGGGAAAGGTAGGCTGTAAAGGGCAATGGTGATGAGCTCAGGCAGCACTACTGTCTTCTTTACAAAAGCACATTAATGATGAGCCTGGAGAACATATTAGATGTCAGGATGGCAAATACAGTTTTGGTTGTAACATGACCGCTGCGCAAAACAAAATACATCCATGTAAGAGGCTTTCAACCTGGAGTCCATGACCTCTCTGAAATTAGATGCAAAACTTGGTCTCTGTGTGCATTTTTCATGGTAGAGGGTCCATTGCTTTTGTCTGATTCATAACCTTAAAATGTCTTAAGTAAGAGGGTTAAGAACCCATGACCTATTCAGTACAATGTTCCCTGAGTGTAAAAAGTTCCTGTGGCATCCAGCACCCCCGTGGGAGTCCATCAAAATTCCAGGGTTCACCGACTGCAGAACTATGGGGATGCAAATGCATTTGCAACTCTTTGGAAGTAAAGTACACACGGGAAACCAAGAAATACTAAGAGGGAAAAAGCATTTTAGTTTAATGGGTACAACTGCTGAGGTTTTGAGGCCTCCATCAAGAAGGAAAAGAGAGCCCAGATTGCAGGTCTGTTGCGAGTAAGTGTGTCTGCAGGTTGTATTAGGCATGTGGTGATGGTGATGGGGGGTTATAGGAGCTTACAGTGAACTTCCATCACTCCTACCCATCATTGTCTAGTTATTTTATCATCCATTGATTCTTCTCTTCCGGCAGCTCTGAGGACCGTAGACTAAACTGAAACACAAAAGGGGAGGGCAAAAGAAAAGACAGTTCCAAAGGGAGCCGAGCGCCCGTTCTTTCATCCTGCGGTCCCTTTAAGAGAAGAACCTCTTGGGACCTGCAGTCCCAACCGACCCCAGTTTTAACCGAAACCCAACCCGGACTTCCCCCTCTTGACTCAAATAAGACCAACTTTGGATTTTCCCTCCCCTATTGACCAATCAGATTCTGTTACCAGGCAGACTTCAGCGGCCGCCGGTACGAGCCCGGCGCCTTCTGTCTCCGGGTGGCAGCAGTGACCAATGACAGAGCAGGCCGCCCGTGTATCTAGGCAGATCGCGGCTGTTACAACCATTCAGAAAAAGGAAAATAAAGCAACGCACGAGCCGGCTGGGCCAGGACCTTGGGGCTGGGCTGGAGTGAAGGTGGCTACGAGGTAGTTTCTCTTTCTCCCTTACCTTTATTGTTGCTTGTGTTGGAAGGCGACTGTTCAGAGGTAGGGAGGGGCAAGATGAGTTGGGAGGAGAGCAGAAAAAGATTGTAGCTGTATTTTCAACAGCTTCTTCACCCATGTGCACGTGCCCGGAATCTGGGACCCCATTCCCCTGCCGGGTTTCTGACGCCCAGCGCATGAGTTCCGCTACCCCGCCCCACCCCCGCTCCACTTTGCAGAAACCGGGGATTGAATGGAGGGGGAAGGGAAGGAGGTGGGGGCGCGCCTCAGGATGGGCTGTTGTGGGAGATGACGTAGGGGCCGGCGACGTGGGGAGGGGGAGCAGCGGGGGAAGTCGTGGCGAGATTAAGTAATGAGAACTTGGGCCCAGTTTTTTTTCCAAGCCTAGAAGGGCAGAATATGTTCGTATCCTTTCTGACCTCCCAGGCATATGCAATGGTGAGGAGTATTTTTGAGAATTAGAGAACTTTGTTTTGTGGCTGTTATTGTTGTTTTTGAGGGGGAGGAGGGCAGTATGGGGTCAGAGGCAGAAATGAAAATTTCTTGCTAACATGGATTCCCAATCCCCCTATCTCTTCCTTTACAGTTTTCCAGATTTAGGAGACTTCAGAAAGGTGGGGCAGATAGAATGGAGATGGCAAAGATCTCTTTGGGCATATATGGGCCTGGCGAAGTAATGGAATAATTTCTAATTTTCGGAGAAGGCAAGTGGTGAGAAAAAGACCACCGGGGAAATTCGGAGGCTTTGTTTCTGTTTCTCTGCCTTTCTGGGTAAAGAGATGAGGAGTGCCCTGGGGCCTTCTGGGGAAGGGAAGGCCAGTGTGAGTTACATCTTTATGCCTGTCCCTCTCAATTCTAGCCCTCATGCCGGGATGGCAGAAGATGAGCCTGATGCTAAGAGCCCCAAGACTGGGGGAAGGGCCCCCCCAGGTGGTGCTGAGGCTGGGGAACCTACCACCCTTCTTCAGAGGCTCCGAGGTACCATTTCGTAAGTACTCATCACATCTCCAAGTCCTGTCCAAGACCTGAGTATAGATCCCTGCAGCACTTCACTTTGGCTGTAGATGAACTGCCTCTCAGCAAGGGCATGGGAGCAGAGGGAGATTTTTGGCCATGGTAGCAATTCTTGAGCACCTGCTGGGCATTTCAGTCCTTTTCCCTCCCTAGCAGTCAGATAAAGAGACAGGGAAAATCTTGTGTGTGACCTCCAGCTTTCTCCTCTTCCCCACAGCAAGGCCGTGCAGAACAAAGTAGAGGGGATCCTGGTAAGTGTGTTGGGGAAGAGGGCAAGAGAGGGATGGAAATGCTGAGGGAGGAGGATGTGAGGATGATGGGCATCAACAAAACATTGATGTGGGAGAGGTAGGGTCCTCTGCCTTGTCAGAAGATAGTTGGCTTTGCAAACTTGCTGCCAGTTTGACTTTGTGCCTCTCACTTGATCTCTGTGAGCACTTGCATAGAAGCCCAGCAGAGATGAAGTCAGAGCTGATCCCCTCTACTTCCCTCCTCTCCATGGTAGCCTATAGGGCTCCTCAGAGCACCTAGCATCAAATAATTTCTTTCTTTTTTTTTTTTTTTTTTGAGATGGAGTCTCACTCTGTCGCCTAGGCTGGAGTGCAGTGGCGCAATCTCGGCTCACTGCAAGCTCCGCCTCCCAGGTTCACGCCATTCTCCTGCCTCAGCCTCCCAAGTAGCTGGGACTACAGGCGCCCGTCACCACACCCAGCTAATTTTTTTTTGTATTTTTAGTAGAAACGGGGTTTCACCATGTTAGCCAGGATGGTCTCGATCTCCTGACCTTGTGATCAGCCTGCCTTGGCCTTCCAAAGTGCTGGGATTGTAGGCGTGAGCCACCGTGCCCGGCCTTGTCAAATAATTTCTAAGGTCCTTTTTCAGTCTGACACCCTGTAAGTCAGCTAGACTTTGGTGTGGGGATCAGAGGGTCCTATATTGGGTCCTTCTTGGCCTTATTATTTCTCCTGC
The DNA here is from genome assembly GCF_000001405.40 of Homo sapiens. NCBI lineage: Eukaryota > Metazoa > Chordata > Mammalia > Primates > Hominidae > Homo > Homo sapiens. The sequence continues at coordinate 151,345,209 of NC_000001.11, read as the reverse complement.
CTCTGTTCTCTCCTACCTCAGCAAGATGTACAGAAATTTTCTGACAATGACAAGCTGTATCTCTACCTTCAGCTCCCCTCAGGACCCACCACTGGAGACAAAAGGTAGGTTTGATAGTAGTTTTAGATGGCAGAGGTTCTGATTCTTAGAGAAAGGTTCACTGGGAAGGGGTGAGGTGAATAGGAATACTCGTAAATGCTGTCCTTGATGAAGAGGAAAGGTCCTCGCCCTGACTTGGTTTACCAGGGAAAGTTAGATTCTGGGTGAACTAAATTTGGTCCAGCACTACTGAAGTGGTAGTTTGGGAAGAACCAGGACAACTGTTAGGGTCTTAGTAATGCTTGTTCCTTTTGTTTCTGTAGCTCAGAGCCAAGTACACTGAGCAATGAGGAGTACATGTATGCCTATAGGTGGATCCGCAACCACCTGGAAGAGCACACTGACACCTGTCTGCCAAAGCAAAGTGTTTATGATGCCTATCGGTGGGTGGAGGGGTGGGTGGTGGGATGAGTGGATTGGTGGGCATAGGACCCCCTCACCCATGAAGAGCTTCCTGCCTTGATAAAGCCTGCCTTCTTAAAGGGTTCCTCACACTTGATCCCTAGGGACTCTTCGAGCCTACCCATGGCCTCCTTCTCTGAGTATCTTCCCACTCTGCTCCCCTCTCACTCAGGAAGTACTGTGAGAGTCTTGCCTGTTGCCGCCCACTCAGCACAGCCAACTTTGGCAAGATCATCAGAGAGATCTTCCCTGACATCAAAGCTCGAAGGCTTGGTGGCCGGGGCCAGTCCAAGTATCCTTGACTAGAGAGGTTGGGGGTGGAGGACCTGGGAGGAAGACTTAGGATGTGGAGAGCAAGGAGTGGAACAGCTTAACTTGCTCGAGGGGCTTGGAGATCGCCATGTGTTGGCTGCTCTTTAACTTGCATCAGATATTGCTACAGTGGCATAAGGAGGAAGACCTTGGTGTCTATGCCACCCCTGCCTGGACTTGACCTAAAGGGTTCTGAGAGTGTAAGTACCAAATCACCTTCCAATTCCACTCTTCTCTCCCAGGTAAAAGTCAGAGGTCTTTGGGGCATGTTTTGAGGGCTAACAGCCTCAGTCATTATGTACATAGCTTCTAGGTATGATGTTCCCTTCTGCCAACCCTGTAGCTGAGGCAGAGGATGAAGAGAACTTGTGGGCTTCTGCAATGGGATAGGTAGAGGCTACTCCCATCCCCAGTCTGGTCTCAGCTTTGGTCAATAGTCTTTGATCTCTGACAAGAGAGGAGGCAAGGGTTCTTTAATTTGGAGTGTGATTGGGCATGTCCTTCCCCACTTCAGCCAGAAATGGGCCCAGAAGTAACCCCAGCACCTCGAGATGAACTGGTGGAGGCAGCGTGTGCCCTGACCTGTGACTGGGCAGAGCGGATCCTGAAACGGTCCTTCAGTTCCATCGTTGAGGTCGCCCGCTTCCTGCTACAGCAGCATCTCATCTCTGCCCGATCTGCACATGCCCATGTGCTTAAGGCCATGGGGCTCGCTGGTGTGTTGACCCTCTCTTATGTCTCAGCAACCCTGAGCCACTTTCAGCTTCAGTGGCCCTCCCACACACTAGAATAGAGACACCTTGGATTTGCCCCCTCTTCCTGGAGACCCTTCTAAGACATGCTTTAGCACCCCATTTCCTGTCTCTACCAGTCAGTCAATCAGAATTGCCTCACTCCCCTATTCCTCAGTTTCCTCCTCACCTTCACTCTATTACCTTTTTGGTACCTCTGCAGAAGAGGACGAACATGCACCTCGGGAACGGTCATCTAAACCAAAGAATGGTTTAGAGAACCCAGAGGGTGGAGCCCACAAGAAGCCAGAGAGACTGGCCCAGGTAAGGAAGTCAGTGGCCCTGACTTTGCTGTCCTGGGCTGGGGGCTTAGTATATCCTTCTCCAATTGGGTCCCTTGCTTTTCCACCTCCTGTGCCTCTGGCGTCTATGTTTCCCCCAATACTCATTCTTCACACCTTACTGTGTTCCTCTCTTTACTTTTTAGCCTCCTAAGGATCTGGAAGCCCGAACTGGGGCCGGTCCTCTCGCACGTGGAGAGCGGAAGAAGAGTGTAGTTGAGAGCTCGGCCCCAGGAGCCAATAACCTGCAGGTTAATGCCCTAGTGGCTCGGCTGCCTCTGCTCCTTCCCCGGGCCCCTCGCTCACTAATTCCGCCAATCCCAGTCTCTCCACCTATTCTGGCCCCCAGGCTTTCTTCAGGTGCCCTGAAAGTGGCTACACTGCCTCTGTCTAGTAGGGCCGGGGCACCCCCAGCAGCTGTGCCCATCATTAACATGATCTTACCAACTGTTCCTGCTTTGCCTGGACCTGGACCTGGGCCTGGGCGAGCTCCACCTGGGGGACTCACTCAGCCCCGGGGCACAGAGAACAGAGAGGTAGGCATAGGTGGTGACCAAGGACCACATGACAAGGGTGTCAAGAGGACAGCTGAAGTACCTGTGAGTGAGGCCAGTGGGCAGGCTCCACCAGCTAAAGCAGCAAAGCAGGATATAGAGGATACAGCAAGTGATGCCAAAAGGAAACGGGGGCGCCCTCGAAAAAAGTCAGGTGGAAGTGGGGAAAGGAATTCTACCCCTCTCAAGTCAGCAGCTGCCATGGAATCTGCCCAGTCCTCAAGGTTACCATGGGAGACATGGGGCTCAGGAGGGGAAGGCAACTCAGCTGGAGGGGCAGAGAGGCCAGGGCCAATGGGAGAGGCTGAAAAGGGGGCAGTACTTGCCCAGGGTCAGGGAGATGGTACTGTTTCCAAAGGAGGAAGGGGCCCCGGTTCCCAGCATACCAAAGAAGCAGAAGATAAAATTCCCTTGGTCCCCTCAAAAGTGAGTGTCATCAAGGGCAGCAGAAGCCAAAAGGAGGCTTTTCCTTTGGCAAAGGGAGAGGTAGACACTGCACCACAGGGTAATAAAGACTTAAAGGAGCATGTGCTTCAAAGTTCCTTATCCCAGGAGCATAAAGACCCAAAAGCAACACCCCCATGATACAGGTCTGTGGGGAAGAGTGTTTATATCCCTACGTTAACTTTGCCTAGTAGAGGCCCTTCTTTGCACTTGCTTCTCATTTGGCTATTCTTTTCCTAAGGAAGTCCATTCTCCTCTGTACAGACAGCTGAGTCACCCAGTCTACTTAGTACCTGGTTGCTGCCTCTGACCTTTTCAGCTTGATACCCTGGGCTTTAGTGTAACCAATAAATCTGTAGTGACCTTACCTGTATTCCCTGTGCTATCCTGTGGGAAGGTAGGAATGGGCTAAGTATGATGAATATATAGGTTAGGGATCTTTTGGTTTTAAATCACAGAAAACCTAATTCAAACTGGCTTAAAATAAAAAGGATTTATTGGTTCATGTAACTAGAAAGTCCATAGGTAGTGCTGGCTCCAGGTGAAGACTTGACCCAGTAGTTCAGTATGTCTCTAAATACCGGACTGACTTTTTTCTCACTGTTGCATCTTCTGTAGGACCATTTAAGTCTGGGCCACTTAATGGCTGCCAGCATTCCTAAGATTACACTTTTCCCCATTTATGTCCAATCAGAAAAAGAAGGCATCTTTGTACCAGAAATCTCAGCAAAAGCCCTAATATTCACACTGATTAGGCCTGGGTCACATGTCCACCCTGACCAATCACTGTGGCCAGGAGGATGATACATGCTAATTTGCTTATTCTATATCATGGACAACACCTTTGGGGAAAAGGGTGGGGGTCAGCCTCCCCAAAATCACATGGATTCCCCAAGTGGAAACTAGGAGCAGGGAGTTGCTTGGGTGGCCGCTAACACCAGGCTACTCTTATTTTAGCTTGCTAAGTTGAGATCAGCTAGACCTGCTTTCTTTTCTCCTCAGTCTTGCATTTCCCTCAATACAAGCTGTAGCCTCTTTCCTCGTTTCTAGTCTCAGAAGGAAGGAGAGGGAAGCCATTCTCCTCTAGGGACTCTTCAGTCTCATTTAGATGATAGTCCCTTTTTTTCTACCTCCATATTAGAGATGGAGCTCCTTCCTTTTCCTGTTTCTTAATTTTTGTCTTCTCATTCCTGCTTCCCTCTCACCCTATTGCCAGTTCCACCAACTAGAGTGAAAGACTTCCTAGCCATTTCATTAAATCTATTCTGTATCCACCAGGTGGCAGCATCTTGTCATACGTGTCAGGACTTAGGACTGCGGGGTTTAGGTTAGATGTCACGGAAAAAGCTAGTTCTGTGGTCAGGCGGCACCAATGAGAAAGGAATGCAGACCCTCCAGATGTATCCTTGGGAAAAGCAGTAAACCAACTAATATTTATTGAAGACCTACTTTGTCCTCTACATAGGGTAGCTTCTGTCAGGGAATCTTGGTTCTTCCCAAGAAACACTGATTTTCTTTCAGGGAGACTTCATGTGTTCATTTATTTCCACCACAGCAGATTTTAAGAAATTATAATATGTAATATTTGATATCTATAAAGAGTATATCTAACGTGAATAAATTATGAAGCATACTAATGAGTACCTATGACCCATAACACATATACATTAAAACATTTTAAATACCATTGTGTTTGTGTTCCTCCCTAGCCTGTCCCCCGCCTCTTCTTAGCGGTAACCACTGTCCTTAATTTTCGTGTCTATTATCTGCTATAGATATTTTTTAACCATATATGTATATATAATTTTAAAAATGTGTTTAATTTTGCTTGTTTTTTAGCTTTACAGAAAATGTTATACTTTTTTTTTTTTTTTTTGAGACACAGTCTCACTCTATTGTGAAGGCTGTAGTGCAGTGGTGTGATCTCAGCTCACTGCAACCTCCACTTCCTGGGCTCAAGCAATCCTCCCACCTCACCCTCCCTAGTAGCTGGGACTACAGGTGCCTGCCACCATGCCTGAAGTTTTGTATTTTTAGTAGAGATGGGGTTTCACCATGTTGCCCAGGCTGGTCTTGAACTCCTGGGCTCAAGCCATCTGCCCACCTTGGGCTCCCAAAGCGCTGGGATTACAGGCATGAGCCACCTGTGCCCAGCTATGTTATACTCTAATAGTCCCCTGCAGTTTGCTTTTTCTCACTTACCATTGTTTCTAAGATTCATCCATGCTGTTGTAGATAGCTATGATTCATTCATTTTCATCTGCATAATATTTTATCAAGTTCATAAACCACAAGTTATTTATCCATTCACCTATCAATGGATCTTTGGATATTTTCAGTATTTTGCTATTTCAAACTGCTGCTATGAACATTCTTGTACATGTTAGTGCCTTTGTTTTCAGTAAGATTTCTAAAGAGGCTTCTACCATGGTCCTTTGGTTTATATAACCTCTAAGTTGGGAACTGTTCCCTCTTGTCTTATTCTCTGGAAGAGTTTATATCAGATTGAAACAAACTGTTCCTTGAAAGTTTGGTAAAACTCACCTGTAAAGCTATCTGAGATTGATGTTTCTTTGTGGGAATAATTTTAACTATTGATTCCATTTCTTTAATAATTATAGACTGGGCTTTCTATTCTTCTTGAGTCAGCTTAGGTAAAGTATTATTCTAGGGTTTTGTGCATTTCATGTATTTTTTTTAACACAAAATGCATATATTTCTTCTAGTTTCTTTTTTTTTTTTTTTCTTTGAGACAGAGTCTCGCTCTGTCTCCCAGGCTGGAGTGCAGTGGCGTGATCTCGGCTCACTGCAAGCTCTGCCTCCTGGGTTTTACGCCATTCTCCTGCCTCAGCCTCCCGAGTAGCTGGGACTACAGGCATGCACCACGTACACCTGGCTAATTTTTTTTTGTATTTTTAGTAGAGATGGGGTTTCACCGTGTCAGCCAGGATGGTCTCGAACTCCTGACCTTGTGATCCGCCCGCCTCAGCCTTCCAAAGTGCTGGGATTACAGGCGTGAGCCACCGTGCCCGGCTCTTCTTTTTTTTTTTTTTTTTTTTTTGAGACAGAGTCCCGCTCTGTCGCCCAGGCTGGAGGGCAGTGGCGCAGTCTTGGCTCACTGTAACCTCTGCCTTCCGGGTTCAAGCGATTCTCCTGCCTCAGCCTCCGGAGTAGCTGGGATTACAGGTGTGTGCTACCACGGCCAGCTAATTCTTGTATTTTCAGTAGAGAGGTGGTTTCACCATGTTGGTCAGGCTGGTCTCAAACTCCTGATCTCAAGTGATCAGCCTGCCTTTGCCTCTCAAAGTGCTTGGATTACAGGCGTGAGCCACTGCTCCTGGCCTTGTTTCTTTTTTATCTCTGCTCTGTGGATAGGCATATCTTCCTTTTCATTTCTGTTGTTTACTTGTGCCTCCTTTTTTGGTCTTGATCAGTTGCACCAGCAATTTATTTTACCTATATATCTTCAGATGCTACTTTGAGCTTTGTTGATCCTCTCCCTTATGTATTTGTTTTCCATTTCATTAATTATGGATCTTATCTATAGCTATCTTTTTTATGCTTTCTTTAGGTTTAATTTTATGTTCCTTTACAACATATTCATTTTGACACTTAGCCAATTAATTTTCAGGCTATCTTCTTCACTATTTTAAGTTTTTAATAACCTGTTTCTCTACATCCCACAAGTTTTTCTGTGCTGTATTTTTATTACTTAGTTCTAAAAATATTTAAATTACCTTTATGACTTTTTGACTCATGAACTATTTAGAAACATTTTATAAACTTCCAAATATCTGGAGATTTAAAATTGTATTTTTTTTTTGAGACAGAGTCTCACTCTGTCGCCTGGGCTGAAGTGCAGTGGCGTGATCTTGGCTCACTGCAAGCCTACCTCCCGGGTTCAGGCCATTCTCCTGCCTCAGCCTCCGGAGCAGCTGGGACTACAGGTGCCCGCCACCACACCCAGCTAATTTTTTGTGTTTTTTAGTAGAGACAGGGTTTCACCGTGTTAGCCAGGGTAGTCTCGATCTCCTGACCTTGTGATCCGCCCGCCTCAGCCTCCCAAAGTGCTGGGATTACAGGCATGAGCCACCGCACCTGGCCCAAATTGTATCTTTTTGATACTGATTTTTAGCTTAATCATTTGTGTTCAGAGAATGTAGTGTCTATGACACCAATTCTTTGAAATGTGTTGGGATTGTTATTTTATATTCTGTAACATCTTGGATGTCTAAATCCATTTTGTTGTTTTCTGCTGAGTCCTGTCCATGGTAGCTTGTTTACTTGTATACTTTATATTTTGGGTTTTTTTGTTTTTTGTTTTGAGATGGCGTCTTGCTCTGTCACCCATGTTGGAGCGCAGTGGTGCAGTCTCAGCCCACTGCAACCTCTGCCTCCTGGGTTCGAGAGATTCTCTTGCCTCAGCCTCCCAAGTAGCTGGGATTACAGGTGCATGTCACCACACCCGGCTAATATTTTGTATTTTTTAGTAGAGATGGAGTTTCACAATATTGGCCAGGCTGGTCTCGAACTTCTGGCCTCAAGCTATCCACCCGCCATGGCCTCCCAAAGTGTTGGGATTACAGGTGTGAGCCAGCGTGCCTTGCCTATTTTATATTTGGGGTTTTGAACTCATTTTTGTTAAATTTAATCTGTGGGAATTCCGAGGACCTAAATTAGGAATACTTCCCTCCAGAGAGGATTTGCATTTGCATAAACCTGGGACTATGTTAGCCCCTTCAAGAGTCCAGGTTTAATTCAGGAGTTGCAGGTTTTTCTTCTCTTCCCTTGGCCTAGGCCCAAGGCTTAGACTATGATCACAATGCTGACACTGGGATTTGTCCTCAGGGTAAACCTGCTTCTACTACTCCATGTTGCTCTTCCTTTATATAGGTTTCAACTTTCTTTTTTAAATTTGTATTTTGTTTTGTTTTGAGATGGAGTCTCGCTCTGTTGCCCAGGCTGGAGTGCAGTGGCGCAATCCCGGCTCACTGCAACCTCCATTTCCCAGGTTCATGCCATTCTCCTGCCTCAGCCTCCCGAGTAGCTTGGACTACAGGCACCCGCCACCACACCCGGCTAATTTTTTTTATTTTTAGTAGAGACGGGGTTTCACCGTGTTAGCCAGGATGGTCTCGATCTCCTGACCTCGTGATCCGCGTGCCTCAGCCTCCCAAAGTGCTGGAATTACAGGCGTGAGCCACCGTGCCCGGCCTGTACTTTTTTTTTTTTTTTAGTGATTTCTCTTTCTAATGAACTCAGCAATGTGCTAAAAAGTATGTTTGCTGTAATTTATCTAGGATCTAGTTGTATTTTAATGGGATAGCACTTTCTCTTATCCATGCTGCCAGAAGTAGGAATCCTTTACTGTGGTTTTGATATTTTCCCTCTTGTTTTTTAAATGTCAGGCATTTGTTAGAAGCTGGTTTACTCAGACCCCAACTTTAAACATTCTAGCTGGGGAGACAGACAAATAAATGATCACAGCATGGTGTGAGTTATATAAGTAGTGAGCACAGAGTGCTGTGGGAGCCCAGAGAGAGATCGTGTGTGTTAGGCAAGAATCAGAGATGACTTCCCTGTAGATGTGAGTAGGAGTTAGCTGCACAAGTCAAACTAATAAAGCAAGGACAAAACAACATAAGACATATCATAAAACAAAAAGACCTAAGTCGTGATACTTTACCGCATAAGAGCTGTAAATTCAGAGACATCAGTTTGGGCTGAGTAATTTGTGAAAGCTTCATGGAAAAGGCAAGTTTGAGTTAGGCCTTTAAGATAAGTAAGAGCTTGGATAGGCAAAAAAGAGGAGGACATTACAGGAAAAACGGGTGTGGGGATGTGGCATGGCAGTACAACCCAGAGATCCGTCAGGCAGACGTGATGTGTATGAACAATAGTGAGAAATAAACTAGAAGAAGGCTGGGCGTGGTGGTTCATCCCTGTAATCCCAGTACTTTAGGAGGCCAAGGCAAGAGAATCACTTGAACCCAGGAGTTAAAGCAGCATAGTGAGACCCTGTCTCTACAAAAAAGCTTTTTTAAATTAGGCGTTGTGGTACGTGCCTATAGTCCCAGGTACTCAGGGGGCTGAGGTGGGAGGATCACTTGTGCCTGGGAGTTCAAGACTGCAGAGAGGCCGGGCGTGGTGGCTCATGCCTCTAATCCCAGCACTTTGGGAGGCCGAGGCAGGCAGATCACTTGAGGTCAGGAGTTCGAGAGCAGCCTGACCAACATGGTGAAACCTAAAAATATAAAAATTAGCCGTGTGTGGTGCCAGGCACCTGTAATCCCAGCTACTTAGGAGGCTGAAGGAGGAGAATAGCTTGAACCCAGGAGGCGGAGGTTGCATTGAGCCCAGATGGCACCACTGTACTCCAGCCTGGGCTACAGAGCGAGACTCCGTCTAAAAAAAAAAGAAAAATGCCGGGCACGGTTTCACGCCTGTAATCCCAGCACTTTGGGAGGCCAAGGCAGGCAGATCACCTGAGGTCAGGAGTTCAAGACCAGCCTGACCAACATGGTGAAACCCCATCTCTACTAAAAACACACAAAAAATTAGTCTGGCTTGGTGGGGGGGCACCTGTAATCACAGCTACTCAGGAGGCTGAGGCAGGAGAATCACTTGAATGGGGGAGGCGGAGGTTGCAGTAAGCTGAGATTGCACCATTGCACTCCAGCCTGGGCAAAAAGACTGCAGTGAGCCCAGATGGTGCCACTACACTACAGCCTAGGTGACACAGCAAGACCCTGTCTCAATAATTAAGTAAAATAAACTAAGAATAAACAACCATTATAGTTATCTGTTGGTTGAATAAATGAATGAATGAAAGGCATGAAGTTTGCATTAAAGGATGGAGAAACTGGAGTTAAAGGACTGAGCCAGGCAGTTGTTGCCATTATCCATGTGGAAGGAAATGAAGGACTGGACCAGGATGCAGACAGATGAGAGGTAACAGGCATATGGTAAAATAAACCACTGGTGATAGAATAGATAAGACTCATCCAAATAAATATTGCCCTCACCATGACTGAGATTGAGGATGAATCCATTCACTTTAGAATACCACAGCACTGAATGATTTTGAGATTTTAATGAGTGTTACGGGGTTTTAAAGTAACCTATTCCACCCTATTTTAAAATATATAACATGAAACAAGTTATTCCTCTGTAGTTTAAGCAATCTTCAGTTTTTTAGATGAAGGCCTAAACTAAGATTTGGGGGAGTACCACTTCCTTCCTACCATTCCTCACTCTTCTCCTTCTCCACAATTTCCCGTTCTCCACTCCCATTACCTTTTCCAGTTCTATTATTCATTTTAGTTTATCATAAATTTACTAAAATTTAAAATAAACTTTTGCTATAATAGCCGGGCACGGTGGCTCCCACCTGTAATTCCAGCACTTTGGGAGGCCAAAGTGGGCGGATCACTGGAGGTTAGGAGTTCAAGACCAGCCTGACCAACGTGGAGAAACCCCATCTCTACTAAAAATACAAAAAAAAAAATTAGCCAGGTGTGGTGGCGCATGCCTGTAATCTCAGCTACTCGGGAGGCTGAGGCAGGAGAATTGCTTGAACCTGGGAGGTGGAGGTTGCAGTGAGCTGAGATTGCGCCATTGCACTCCAGCCTGGGCAACAAGAGCAAAACTCCATCTCAAAAAAATAATAAAAATAAAAAATAACCTTTTGCTGTTAAACCAAGGCAAACTCTATATGTGTAGTCTATGGCCTCAAATAAATGAATCTATTGTTTATTTTTGTAGCTAATAATCAGCCTTCTTTAGAAATTAAAGCAAATGCTACACATTCACACAGCATAATAAATGGGGGAATTAATGTCACTGTATATTTGTCTTAAGTGTTTTACTTCATGTTGTGGTTTCTCAGTAGTACTACTTCTTCATCCAAAAACACCCTGCTGATTCCATCCTATGTGAAAAATCTGTTCAGCGTTTTATACAGAGAGTTGGCTGAACACAGATACATATATCTCACAGTATATAGAAATGCTCAGGTTGGCCGGGCATGGTGGCTCACACCTGTAATCCCAGCACTCTGGGAGGCTGAGGCAAGCGGATTACCTGAGGTGAGGAGTTTAAGACCAGCCTGGCCAACGTGGTAAAACCTCGCCTCTATTAAAAATACAAAAAAAAAATTAGCCTGGCATGGTGGCGTGTGCCTGTAATCCCAGCTACTCAGGAGGCTGAGGCACGAGAATTGCTTCAACCTGGGAGGTGGAGGTTACAGTCAGCCGAGATTGCACCACTGCACTCCAGCCTGGGCAACAGAGGGAGAATCTGTCTCAAAAAAAAAATGCTCAGGCTGGGCACAGTGGAGCCAGGCCTGTAATTCCAGCTACTTGGGAGGCTGAGGTGGGAGGATTGCTTGAGCCTAAGAGCTCGAGAACAGCCTGGGCAACATTGCAAAACCCCATCTCTACAAAAAAATTAGCCAGGCATAGTGGCACGCACCTGTGGACCCAGCTACTTGGGAGGCTGAAGTAGGAGGACTGCTTGAGCCCAGGAGGTGGAGGCTGCAGTGAGCTGAGATGGCACCGCTGCACTCCAGCCTGGGTGACAGAGGAGCAAGACCCTGTCTCAAAATAAAAAAAGAAAAGAAATGTTCATAAAGCCAGGCAATGGGACATGCACCTGTAGTCCTAGCTACTTGGGAGGCTGAGGTGGGAGGACTGCCTGAGCCCAGGATTTCGAGGCTGAAGTGAACGATGATTGTGCCATTACACCCCAGCCTTAAGAGACAGAGCAAGACCTCATCTCTAAAAGTAAAAAAGTTCAGAGGGAGGCATTTGTTTACTGGAATAATCAGGCCAGACTCTGTGGCTCACACCTGTAATCCCAGCACTCTGGGAGGTGAGGCAGAGGATTGCTTGAGCCTAGGAGTTTAAGACCAGCCTCAGCAACATGGCGAGATCTCATCTCTACAAAAAAATACAAAAAATTAACTGGGCGTGGTGCTGTGCTCCTGTAATTCCAGCTACTCAGGAGGCTGAGGTGGAAGGATCACTTGAGCCTGGGAGATCGAGGCTGCAGTGAGCCGAGATGGCACCACTACACTCCAGCCTGGGTAGAGCGAGACCCTGTCTCAACAACAAACCCACAATGACTTAACTATTCTGAAGCTCAGTTTCCCTAAAATGGAATAAAATCTGTTTCATTTGCTTGTAATGAGGAATAAATGAGTTAATGTTTGTATTCATACACAGTAGGGGGCTCAAGCAATAACTGCTGGCTTCTTTTTCATTACCCTGAAAAAAAGCCTATGTATCTAAATATCTATATATTGTTCAGGAAAAAAATTCACTCTCTTATAAAAGTTTCTTTAACTCAAGGGTGTTTAAGATATAACTGGAGGCTAGGTGTGGTGGCTCACACCTGTAATCCCAGCACTTTGGGAGGCCGAGGCAGACAGATCTCTTGAGTCCAGGAGTTTGAGACCAGCCTGGCCAACATGGTGAAACCCTGTCTCTACTAAAAATACAAAAATTAGCTGGGAGTGGTGGCTCATGCCTGTAATCGCAGCTACTTGGGAGGCTTTGGCAGGAGAATTGCTTGAACCTGGGAAGCAGAGGTTGCAGTGAGCCAAGATTGCACCATTGCACTCCAGCCTGGGCAACAGAGTGAGACTCAGTCTTAAAAAAAAAAAGGAAAAAAGATATAACTGGAGTTGTATTTTACTGACTTTTGAATAAGCCAACTTCTTTCCCCAGTTTGTAAACAAGACAAACAAATGACATTATCTTACTCTGTTGGTAATTTCCTGCCCTCCCCACACCTCGATGTGCAAAACATATACGTACTTTCCTACCAAAGCTAGAGGCTTCGTGTGTACACAGGATAGCATAGGTTCCCATAGGGTCACCCATCATCCAAGTGCAAAACCATCTACATCTATAGTGGCTCCTTGGGATCTCACATAGAGGTGAGTGATTTTTTTTTTTTTAATCAAAAGAATTTTTTAAAAACAGATTCGGTGAAGTGAGAAATTTTAGAGCATATCACAAATGTTAAGCTTTTTTATTTTTTTTTTTTCTTTTTTGAGACAGAGTCTCACTCCGTCACCCAGGCTGGAGTGCAGTGATGCAATCTCAGCTCACTGCAACCTCTGCCTCCTGGTTTTAAATAATTCTCCCTGCCTCAGCCTCCTGAGTAGCTGGGATTACAGGCACCCACCACCAGGCCTGGCTGTTTTGTATTTTTTTTTTTTTTTTTTTTTTAGTAGAGACAGGGTTTCACCATGTTGGCCAAGCTGGTCTTGAACTCCTGACCTCAGGTGATCCACCCACTTCAGCCTCCCAACGTGCTGGGATTACAGGCGTGAGCCACCGTACGCAGCCGCAAATGTTATGCTTTTACATTTAATGTGGGGGGAGAGAATGGCATTCAGTTTTACAATTTGACAACTAAGGAGACTGAGGAGAAAAAAGACAAATCAGGGGGAGGAAAACATAACTTAGTCAAAATATTTATTTAAAAAATATTTTTGGCCGGGTGTGGTGGCTCATGCCTGTAATCCCAGCACTTTGGGAGGACGAGACGGGTGGATCACTTGAGGTCAGGAGTTTGAGACCAGCCTGGCCAACATGGTGAAACACTGTCTCTACGAAAATAACAAAAATTAGCTGGGTGTGGTGGTGGGTGCCTGTAATCCCAGCTACTTAGGAAGCTAAGGCAGGAGAATGGCTCCAACCCGGGAGGCGGAGGTTGCAGTGAGCTGAGATGGCACCACTGCACTCCAGCCTGGACAACAGAGTGAGACTCTGTCTCAATTAAAAAAAAAAAAAAGAAAAAGAAAAAAATATATATATAAAATATATATATATATATATATGAACTAAATCATTTTTGAAAAATAACTATATTTTCCGAAACAAGAAAAAAAATCAATGAGACAATTGGCATTGTTTTTAAAGGGGGAAATTTCTTTAATGTCAGACTGGGTTCTCATATCTGCTTCTGCATTCAATCTTTGTGTGTGTGTGTGTGTATGTGTGTGTGTGTGTGTGTCTCACTCTGTCACCCAGGCTGGAGTGCAGTGGCATGATTGCAGCTCACTGCAACCTCTACCTCCCAGGTTCAAGCAATTCTCCTGCCTAAGCCTTCCCACAGGTGCATACTACCACGTCTCGCTAATTTTTGTGATTTTGGTAGAGACACAGTGGCTCACACCTATAATCCCAGCGTTTTGGGAGGCCAAGGTGGGCAGATCACCTGAGGTTGGGAGTTCGAGACCAGCCTGGGCAACATGGTGAAACCCCATCTCTACTAAAAATACAAAAATTAGCTGGGCGTGGTGGCGTGCACCTGTAATCCCAGCTACTTGGGAGGCTGAAGCACGACAATCGCTTGAATTCGGGAGGCAGAGTTTGCAGTGAGCTGAGATCACGCCACTGCACTCCAGCCTGGGCAAAAAAGCAAGACCCTGTCTCAAAAAAAACAAAAACAAAAAACAGAAGATGATAAAAAAAAAAAAAAGAAACCCTCCCGAAAACGGCAGAAAGACAGTCATAAAGGGATGCAAAGAAATTTATACATATGGGCCAGGCACAGTGGCTCACGCCTGTAATCCCAGCACTTTAGGAGGCCGAGGCGGGCGGATCACGAGTTCAAGAGATCAAGACCATCCTGGCCAACATGGTGAAACCCCGTCTCTACTAAAAATACAAAAATTAGCTGGGCATGGTGACGCATGCCTGTAATCCCAGCTACTCGGGAGGCTGAGGCAGAAGAATCGCTTGAATCCAGGAGGTGGAGGAGGGTCCCTTGAGCCAAGATTGCACCATTGCACTCCAGCCTGGGCGACAGAGGGAGACTCTGTCTCAAAAAGAAAAAAAAAAGAAAGAAAGAAATTTATACATATGAACCCTTAGAGCTATAAATAGGAAACTTAAAATCTTCTACTTATGTTTGTGTGTGTGTGTATTTTTAGTAGGGTGGTCTATAACTGACTAGCTATAAAAAGTTCCTGCTTCAAATTTGAAGAGATGTTTCTGAAATTTTTTCTGTCATTGGAAAATAAGAAAACTTCCTACTATAAAAAAGGTTGTCACATGTCTTTCTACAATGTTTCAAAAGGCTAGTCTTGTGGCTGTTTGGAAGGTTATCCCTTGAGGGGATACATGACATTTTAAACTCTAGGCTAAAGCAGGGTCATCGCCTCATGATATTTGCGGGACAGCTGATTGGAAGCTGGCCAAGAGCTGGTGGGCCTAACATGTGGACTGGTGATTCTCCCCAATCCAGACCAGTGGTGAGAATTTTTTTTTTTTTTTTGAGATGGAGTCTCGCTCTGTTGCCCAGGCTGGAGTGCAATGGCGCAATCTCGGCTCACTGCAACCTCTGCCTCTCAGGTTCAAGTGATTCCCTGCCTCACCCTCCCTAGTAGCTGGGATTATAGGCACCCACCACCATGCCCAGCTAATTTTTGTATTTTTAGTAGAGACAGGGTTTCACCAAGTCGGTCAGGCTGGTCTCAAACTCCTGACCTCGACTGATCCACCCACCTCGGACTCCCAAAGTGCTGGGATTACAGGCGTGAGCCACCACGCCAAGCCGATTTTTTTTTTTGAGACAGGGTCTCACTCCGTTGTCCAGGCTGGAGTGCAGTGGCATGATCTTGGCTCACTGCAGCCTCTGTCTCCCAGGCTCAAGTGATCCTCCTACCTCAGCCTCCTAAGTAGCTGGGACTACAGGTGCATGCCACCATGCCAGCTAGGCTAATTTTTGTATTTTTGAAGAGACGTGGTTTCACCATGTTGCCCAGGCTGGTCTCAAACCCCTGAGCTCAAGCAATCTGCCCACCTCAGCCTCCCAAAGTGCTGGGATTACAGGTGTGAGCCACTGTGCCCAGCTGACAAATTTAAACTATCTTTGGCACTCTTGTCCCCATTCTTTGTTCATCTTTCATACTGTACTCCTGCTTTAACCTAGCTTGTCTGCTTGCCCTCTCCTCATGATATGAGCAAATTCCCATTTATATTCTTCAACATACAATTTTTTTGCTTTCAGAATGCTCGCTTGTCTTTTATTTTGCTGGGTTATATCCAATATCTATTCTAAGACCTGACTCACAATATTTCTAAGAAGCCTTCCATTCATTCATTCACCATATACTGGTGTGTGTGTGTGTGTGTGTGTGTGTGTGTGTGTGTGTATGTGTGTGTGTCCATACACATATAGGCCTTCCAAATTAACTTAAACTCCACTATGTCCCTTCAGCAATTAGGTTAGGTACCCCATTTGTTCTACTGTTGTATATACTGCATGTTTTACACAGGCATTTTCAAGCTATTACACTTTATTCTGCCTTCCAATTAAACATTGTAGCAGTGACTCTTTCATCATCTATCCTGTATGATTGTCCCAATAATTAATAATAAAGTACTATAGTAGCAACTTGTACTCTCTTGATCCTAACAAAACCCTGTAATGGGCTAATATTACTTCATCCATATGTCTTCTTTGTAGACATAGAAACTGAGGTTTAAAGAGGTTACATTAGTTATTCCAAATCAAACGGCTTGTAAGTGGCAGGGAAGATGGCATTCAAGACCCGGGCTCAAATAACTAGCCTCAATGTATTAAGTAAGGCACTAATGAGGGGCATTGCATATTAAGTAAAGCCCTAGGAAAGGCATTGAGATAGAGGTTCTGAGGACAAAGAGGGCTCTAAATCAACAATCTTAACCGAAAAATACACAAAAAACTTGCTGGGCGAGGTCGGGCCTATAATCCCAGCACTTTGGTACCTGAGGCCGGCAGATTGCTTGAGGCTAACAGTTCGAGACAAGCTTGGGCAACATAGCAAGACCCTGTCTTTACAAAACAAACAAACAAACGAAAAATACACAAAAGCAACACCAGAGGCCCATTTGCATGGCGTGTTTTTGTTTATTTGTTTGGCCTAATATGGTTTCGTTTTGTTTGGAAGAAGGGATTGTGCCCTCCAAGCCTTTGTCGTTTCACTCACCTCTCCCAACCTGGCCCTGTCCAGCCCCTCCCTGGAGGGCTGGGCATATGGATGCTGGAGGTCACAGGCTGCCCAGGCAGGTTGGTGACCTCGGAGGCAGAACCACGGCCTCGAGTCGGGCCTCTAACGGCGAAAAGACTGACGCGGTTGGACCGCGCCATTCCCGAAATGTTAAGGAGCTTAAACTCCGCATCGTCCTCCAAGATAAGTAGGAAAAGGGCAGTCAGAAAGAACGTCTTCCCCGTCCGCCGTCTTCCTGCGCGCCCTTCTAGGAACCCAGCGTCCATCCCACGGCCTGATTTACTAAGGGAGTCTTGTAGCATACGGGAGGGGGAAAAGTCATTGATTGCAATTACGGTAATTTGGTTAGTTACTCAAACGGTCGTTTACATATAACTTGCATGTTAATATACTTCTGGAAGTATGCATATGTCCATACTTCTTTAACAGGGCACCCACGGCCGCCTGCTCACCCTACTTATGCAGCAAATTTTACTTCTCTCTCGGCTTCTTTAGCCTCGCAAACGCTATCGCTTAGGTCCGCTTCTTAAATATTGGCCCCTCCTCCCACCCGTAAGCTCCTCCCTTCGCCCTCTCTCCCTCGAGAGCTTCCAAACATCTTTTCCCCGCCCCCTTTTCTATTTCTGAACAGGCATGTTCCAGGCAGCTCACCCGACTCCTTAGATTACTATGGAATCGGTAGGGTCCTGACCGCTGGGGAAGCAGGAAAGCGTATCCTGGGAAGAAAGGCTTGGCTTGGACTCCGGAGAAGAATACTACATCGAGACCTGCTGGGGAATTTTATTTTATTTTATTATTTTTTTGGTCTTGGTTGTACTGAGGGAGGAAGAAGAGGTTGTGTGGCCCGGTCGAACTTGTGGCAGCCTGAAGGCCCCCTCAGGCGGCGCCGCGGGCAGCCCCGCAGCCGGGGCCTGGTGCAGCCTCCGCGGCCGCTGTCAGGGAAGCGCAGGCGGCCAATGGAACCCGGGAGCGGTCGCTGCTGCTGAGGCGGCAGTGTCGGCAGTCCAACCGCGACTGCCCGCACCCCCTCCGCGGGGGTCCCCCAGAGGTAAGCTACTCCTCCTTCATGAGTCACCTTTGCCCTGTTGGGTGGGGGGGGGGGTCCCTCTCCCACCCTGTCCCGCACAGTCTTCCCCACCTGAGTTCGACTACGAAACTGCCCTCTTGGTGTCAGCTGCACCCCGGGTTCCTTCTCCACCCTTTCCTCTCAGGCCTGGGGTCCTCCTCCGCTTTTTGGCTTCCTCTTCTATTAGCTCCTCCCTCTGCCTCGGGGATTCCCCCCTCCCTCACTCATCCCTGTTGCCTACGTCTCGAATAATTCTTTTTTTTAAGTCATGAACCCTTTCCATATCAGACGACTCCCATAATGCCCATCCTTGTCCTTCCTCGTCGTCTCTGCCCCTGCCCCAAACCTTTTCCATGGACTCCACCTTTATCTCTTTTCCTAGTTTGCACTTTTCCTCCTATGTCCCTGTGCAACTCCAGCACTGGGTTCCCATTTCCCTGAGCTAAAGATTGCATCCCTGTCTTCCTGTGCTGCTTCTGATTCCATTACCTCACTGTCACCCACCTACCCAGCCAGCTCCTGGCTTCCAAGAATTGCCTGTTCCCTTCTCCTTAAGGGATCTCGGGCCCTTGTCATCAATCCAAAAGTACCATTTACATTCTTACTTTGAACCTAGTCCTCACTCTTCTCTGGGATGCATTATGATCCCTATAACTTTCTTTAGCTTCTCTTTCTCCCTCCTCAATCCCCCAACTTTCTAGAGGTTTCTGTCTGTAGGGGAGAGATTTGACAGTGCCCTTCCCATTCAGGATTTCCAACTTTGACACCTCCCTCGAGTTTCAGGGATTTCTCTGATCCTTGTGACATTTGTTCTGTTTTTCCCGTGGGCTTCATGTGTTCTCTGTTACACTCTTTATCTCCACATACCACTTATTTCAGGATCAACTAAACCTTGAACTAAGAAGAAAAATGTGTTGTGAGCAGGGGGAGCCTCAGCTGCCTCAGGCCGTTCAGGACAGAAGGGTGTTTCTGAAGGCCGGAGCAAGTTTTGAAGAAGTCCCTATCAGATTACACTTGGTTGACTACTCCGGAGCAGCCACTAAGAGGGATGAACAGGCCTGCGTGGAAATTGAATGAGATTGTGAGAAAACTTGTTTCAGATTATTTAATTTTAGGCTTTTGTTAAAGGAATCACAGAATAGAGTGCCTTCTCACCCCTGTCCAGATCCATGAGGAATCAGTTTATTCTTGTGGTTTACTAGAATAGTTTTGGTTGGTTCCATAAGAATTCAGGCCTGGAGTGGGGTAAGGGTATAACTGGAAAAAGGAACATGAGACAATGGAAAGAGCTTGTACATTCAGAATCGGGACTCCTGGGTTCAGCATGTGACTTCCTCACTTGACCTCTAGAGTGATCCTTTTGGAAAATGCCCACTCTCTGTAGGCATCAGTGCAGTAATAAGTTGGTAGCAGGATGTGGGTTGGGGGAAAAAATCAGATTTGGTTTATTTGTTTACAAAACATTTTGGGTTCCTCAGGCAAAAGGTATTTATTAGTAGTGGTTTAGTCATCCTGAGAATTTTCCTTCACCTTGGTCTTTCTGTCAGATGTTTCTAGTCCACAACCAGGGGTGTAAGTCATTTTGAAAGACAAGCTCCAGGCCTGCTTCCTTCATCTGCTTTGCTTTTTCCCCCAGTGCATTAAGTGGCTGATTTTCTGTCCTGTTCCTCACGTACTTGATCCATAACTCCAGATTCTATAGGTAGAAAGTATGTTTGTGGGAAAGCACTTTGAGGAAGCTGGCTGGAAAAGAGAACTTGGAGTGAACTGAGACTTAGGCAACTAGTTGCTGCCATGTCTCTCTCAGCCTGTGATAGCGAAAGGGCACGTGAGATTCCATTCATTTTCTGATTCTAGGTCTGTTTGGGAGTAGTTATGTCATCTTATCCCACTTCCTTTCTCTTCCTTGTCGTTAGTCATGGTGCAGTCTCCTCATAATTCCCCTTATTAGAAGCTTTCCTGCCAGGCGCGGTGGCTCACACCTGTAATCCCAGCATTTTGGGAGGCCGAGGCAGGCAGATCACCCGAGGTCAGGAGTTCAAGACCAGTCCGGCCAACATGGTGAAACCCCATCTCTACTAAAAATACAAAAAATTAGCCGGGCATGGTGGCGAGCTTCTGTAATCCCAGCTACTCCGGAGGCTGAAGCAGGAGAATTACTTGAACCCAGGAGGCGAAGGTTGCAGTGAGCCGAGATCACGCCACTGCACTCCAGCCTGGGTGACTGAGTGAAACTCTGTCTCAGGAAAAAAAAAAAAAAAAAAGCAGCTTTCCTCCTTGGAAGCATCCCCAACCAGAAATCATATTTCCTCTCATTTCCCTGCTTTCTTCTTAGAGTTGAGTCCACGCTCCATGAGAATGCTGAACACCATCCAAAGCAGCAAATTGAGATTCCTTGATTTGGGGAAGAGGTTTGGGAGGAACCCTTCAATAATTGGCATGGGACAAGAGGGGACCCAGTCCAAGTGTATTTGGGACTCGCAGTAGGGAGGAACAATTCAGAGAGAGGTGAGTGCACAGGCTGCTTTCTTTGCCATCTGTTTCAGTAGCGGCTCCCATAGCTGGCTTGGGCTGTCTGGCTGGAATCTGCTTATACCAGCTCCATGGCTCTGCACAGAGTTCTCAGCCTGAATCAATATTGACTTAACTACCATGAGACCACTGCCCTCCCTACCCTCGTGCTAGTAGCTTGAGAATGCCCTCTCCCCTAATGCCCACACTCTCTGGGCCCTTGTGTCAGCAGTTACCTGGATCCTGGTAGGGCTGGAGCTGGCTTGACTGCCTGGCCCTGAGTTTCTATAAGGAAAAAGGAGTACTCAATCTCTACCTTTACCATTGAGGTCAAAGGGGAGAGATGAGTTGAGACATCCTTAAAGAAAGGTTTGAGTTAGACATTAAGACATGAGGAGGAACTCCTCAACAGCAGAACAGGCAGTCAAAGATGATATGGAGTCTCTTTTGAGGAGCAACCTCTCTTTAAAAATTATTTTTGGGCTGGGCACCGTGGCTCATGCCCGTAATCCCAGCACTTCGGGAGGCTGAGGTGGGCGGATCACTTGAGGTCAAGAGTTGGAAACCAGCCTGGCATGTTCGAGACAACATGGTGAAACCCCATCTCTACTAAAAATACAAAAATTAGCCAGGTGTGGTGGCGTGTGCCTGTAATTCCAGCTACTCGGGAGGCTGAGGCAGAGAATCACTTGAACCTGAGAGGCAGAAGTTGCAGTGAGCTGAGATGGCGCCACTGCACTCCAGCCTGGGTAACAGAGCGAGACTCCATCTCAAAAAAAAAAAAATTTTTTTTTGAAGGAATGCATGCATTTGGTAACAAATCCAATGGTACTCAAAGAGTTTATGAAGAAAAACAGCAGTCCTGTTTCCGTTCATCCCTACTCCTGTTCTCGCAGAGTTAACCTCCTTAATTATCTCAGTGTTCTGAAGGTTATCACCATAGCTTTAGATAAAATGCTTGTTCCTCTATTTCTTTGTTTTTTTGTTTGTTTTTGTTGTTGTTTTTGTTTGTTTGTTTGAGATGGAGTCTCGTTCTGTCGCCCAGGCTAGAGTGCAGTGGCACGATCTCGGCTCACTGCAACCTCTGCCTCAGGGTTCAAGCAGTTCTCCTGCCTCAGCCTCCCGAGTAGCTGGGATTACAGGTGCCCGCCACCACGCCTGGCTAAGTTTTTGTATTTTTTGGTAGAGATGGGGTTTCACCATGTTGGCCAGGCTGGTCACGAACTCCTGACCTCAGGTGATCCACCCACCCCGGCCTCCCAGAGTGCTGGGATTACAGCGATCTCAGCTCACGGCAACCTGCGCCTCCCAGGTTTAAGCGATTGTTCTGCCTCAGCCTCCCGAGTAGCTGAGATTACAGGCACCCGCCACCATGCCTGGCTAGTTTTTTATATTTTTTAGTAGAGACGGGGTTTCACCATGTTGGCCAGGCTGGTCACAAAGTGCTGACCTCAGGTGATCCACCCGCCTCAGCCTCCCAGAGTGCTGGGATTACAGGCATGAGCCACTGCACCTGGCCATTTGTTCCTCTATTTCTTTACTTATTGTTACAAACAAGGATTTAGCTTTAGAGGATATACCTCTCATTTATATAATTATGTCATTTTTATTTCTTCTACTGGACACCTGTATAACTTTAAATAATATTTAATATATTTGAACCTTTCTTTCTTTTCCATTAACTTTTGACAGTCTCTCTTAATTCACCTTGTAGAATGAACGTCAGATATTGGTTTCCTTACCCGTTTTTCCATCTCTTGTGGATCCATCTCAAAGGACTGTGAGATGTATAAAAAAAGGATAGAGGAGACTAGTTGTGGTGGCTCATGCTTTGTAATCTCAGCACTTTGGGAGGCCTAGGCGGGAGGGTAGCTTGAGGCCAGGAAGAAGCTTTCCTCCTTGGAAGCATCCCCAACCAGAAATCGTATAGTGAGCCATGATTCCACCACTGCACTCCAACCTGGGCAACAGAGTAAGAGCCTGTCTCTTAAGAAAGAAAAAGGAAAAAAATAAAAAGGCAAGGGGTGGGGAAATAAAGGATCCTTTAAAAGGAGGAAAATTGAGCCAGCCTGCCTGCTTGGAAGCAGGGCACTAGATCAGATGATCTCTTAAAGCCATTCTATGAAAATATAAGAACATAAAAATATCAGAATTGGTGCAAACCAATCCATATTTATCTAGTCCATGGAAAAAATTTTGAAAAAGAGAATGGTGATTAACTGGGTGAGGGGATTGATTTGGGGCTCTTTACCATTCTGTCCTAGCAGAGACTGATCCAATAAGTCCTTTAATGGAGGCCAGTAGAAAGTTGTTTGCCTGGAATCTTTTGAGGTGATAAGAAATGGGGAGCTAGGTTAAGCGATAGCATCTCCTCCCCAGAGAGTCCTCTGCAGACATGTATTTTAACTGCTCAGTCACACAGAACATATGTGTATATCTTCTGTGTCTTCTCCAGCTGCTGCTCTGTGTGACCTGTAACAATTCCTTGTCACTCAGACCAGAATTCCCTACTTTGCCCAGTTGGGAGCTGTGGAACTCAGTCAGTTGTCAACTTTTCCTAGGGGCCAGCTGTTAGGCTGTGGAACAGGGGAGGCCTCTTCCATTTCCCTTCCAGTCTGACTGGAAGGAGAATTTAGGTTCCCAGTGTGAAGTGTAGAGCCTCAGTTGTCTGAACCCCCTTGAAGGCCATAGGAGTCATTTAATATTAAAAATTTAGATTGTCTTCCGTCACTTTTTTCTTATTCCTCTGACTTAGAAGGGGAAGGCTGTTGAATACAGGACTTTTTCCTTCACCTTTTCTTTTGCTTTCCAGTCCTTTCATTTTCTTTAGAACAGTTACCCTCAAAGGCTTTTTTTTTTTTTTTTTTTTAAGACAGAGTCTCACTCTGTCGCCCAGGCTGGAGTGCAGTGGTGTGATCTCGGCTCACTGCAAGCTCCGCCTCCTGGGTTCATGCTATTCTCCTGCCTCAGCCTCCCAAGTGGCTGGGACTACAGGTGCCCACCACCATGCCCGGCTAATTTTTTGTATTTTTAGTAGAGACGGGGTTTCACTGTGTTAGCCAGGATGGTCTCCATCTCCTGACCTCGTGATCTGCCCTCCTCAGCCTCCCAAAGTGCTGGGATTACAGGCGTGAGCCACCATGCCCTGCCCACAAAGGCATATTTTCTTGGCATTCAAAACTAAATGAAGCAAGCTGGGCATGGTGGCGGGTGTCTGTAATCCCAGCTACTTGGGAGGCTGAGGCAGGAGAATCGCTTGAACCTGGGAGGCGGAGGTTGCGGTGAGCCAACATTGCGCCACTGCACTCCACTCCAGCCAGGGCAACAGAGCAAGACTCTGTCTCAAAAAAATAAATAAAATAAAAATAATAGTAATAATAAATAGCTAAAGCAATTTAACCCTATTCCCTACAACACCTTCTTCTCCATATGACTTGCTTCAGATGCAGGCAGTGCCTGGGTTCCTGAGAGGCCAGGGAAGAGACCCAGCTCCAGTTTGGTGGTTTCTAGTGGTAGAGCTGCTTATATAGGAGAGGAGTCTGTTTTTTCCTGCACCTCTCAACACTGTCTAGCTCCCTGAGGAGTAAAAGCTGCCGGGAGGGAGAGTCTGTTCAGTAGCAAAATCCTCTGAATACTGTGATGTGATTCTTAGCTGAGCCCTGGGAGTTTTTCTTTTGTCTGTGAGATAAAAGAGGTGATAGTATCCTTATTTGCCTTCCTGGTGCCAGTAATAATCCCAATCGTAGTTAATTGGGGCAGGCATCTGCTAAATTTTCTAGTGAGGTCTGAGACACTATTATGTGGGAGAATGTCTGAACTGTATTTCCCTTGAAAGTTTTGAAAAGTGTACTTCTAGGAGCTTTCAGTGACTTAAAAGTCTGTGGACTAGAGGGAGAGGAAAGGATGTACCAAACATAGAGACTGAGAAAAAGAAGTTGATTGTTTAAGATGATTGAGGCTATCACATGAGTTTCTAAGCAGACCTAAAAGGTAGTGGTCCCCGTTGAATCGGTGACCCTCTGATGAGAGTGCCCTACGAAGGTGTGGCAGGGAATGATTAAAGCTTCCTTCTTATTATTCCTGTGCAACTCACAGTTGCGAGTAGGGACAGATCCACATAGGCAGCCATGCTGGTTCTACTGCTCAGAGGGCACTACCTAATTTTGGGAGAGAGCATAGTGAAAGAGTTGCCACCTTCTTACCAATACCAAGCTCAATCTGCATCAGGGATATTAAATTCAGGAATGAACTTGCTTGGCAGAGTTGGCAGAAAGAAACAGAAATAGCCTTTTTTGGTGATCTCTGAGAACAGAAGAGTTCCCCATCCGTCTTTCTGCAAAACTTTAGTGGTGACTGCTGGGAGGCAGGGAGCTGGACTATATGATATTGGGCAGTTAAAAGTAACCTGGGGCCGGGCGCGGCAGCTCACACCTGTAATCCCAGCACTTTGGGAGGCCGAGGTGGGCAGATCACGAGGTCAGGAAATCGAGACCATCCTGGCTAACATGGTGAAACCCTGCCTCTACTAAAAATACAAAAAATTAGCCGGGCGTGGTGGCGGGCATCTGTAGTCCCAACTACTTGTGAGCCTGAGGCAGGAGAATGGCATGAACCCGGGAAGCGGAGCTTGCAGTGAGCCAAGATTGCACCACTGCACTCCAGCCTGGGCGACAGAGCGAGACTCCGTCTCAAAAAGAAAAAAAAAGTAACCTTAACATTTCAGACGTACAAGAACAGACACTGGAAGGGTGGTGGTGGAAAACAGCCTCCCAGAGGGACTAAAGAATCTCTAGGCCTCCTTATTCCACCTACCCAAAGTATATGCATCCAGGGTCACCGGGGTTGAAGGTGATGTCACTAATATTTTGAAATTACCTGTATTCCAACTCTACAAAATCTTTCCTCTTGCTCATGCTCTTGAGTGTGTCTTAGACTCACTCTATTAGCATTTTTGTGAAGAGGCCTCTGAGTCTGAGTCCTTTGTTAGCTATAGTCAGATTCTGGAGCCAGGTTGATCTGATGAAATTTCCCCAGTTCTGCACTGATTCCAGATTTGGTGAGGCTCTGAAGGATTGTTCTTGGAGAGCAGTGGCTTTGGTCAGCAGTGTTCTTTCATTGAACTTCCTTCCAACAGTCCCTCCAGAGGAGGTGTTCTTTGTTTTGTGACTCCTGTTCCTCCCTGTTCTTTGGAAGGCCTAGATCTATGAGTCCTAGTCTGATTTCTTTTTGCCTTTTCAATTGTCCCTCCAGTTGTTAGAATGTGTGTATGACAGTGGGGGGAGTGGTATTGGGGCAGAAAAGGCTGTCATAAGTATTTCTGGAAGATTCTCAAACAATTGGAACTCTTTGCTTCCCTTATAAAATAATATAAGTTTTATGTTACACACACACTGGTTAGTAACCTTTTAGGTGATGAGGATTCAACTAGCATTTCTTTTTTTTTTTTTTGAGACAGAGTCTCGCTGGTCTTGAACTGCTGACCTCAAAGTGATCCACCTGCCTCAGCCACCCAGTGCACTGGGATTACAGGCATGAGTCACTGTGCCCGGCCTCAACTAGCATATATTGAGTACTACTATGTATCAAAGACTGTGCTAGATTCTTTCATACACGTGATGGTATTTGTTCCACATAGCAACAATGAGAAGGAAGTGTTTTTTCCCAATTTGCAGTTGAGGATAAATGGCTTGCATAAGTTGCACATTTCTGAAAGGCTGAATGAGGATTTTCAACCCCAGCCTATTTGCCTTCAAGTCCAGAGCTCTTTCCATTATATGTTAGCAGCCACGGCACTGGAGAAAGAGGGTGTGATGTCATGATGTCAGACAACCAGAGAAACGGCACAGCTTCAGCAGGGTTGATGATGGTTGTTTTAGAGCTGCCTTCTTCTAAGTGAAGCCTGGCATGGTATTTACTGGCCTTTATTTTCTGGGAACTTCGAGTTTAAAAGGGAAGGTAAAAAAATACCTGTAACCAGAAAAATATATCAAGACTTTAATTTTATTTATTTATTTATTTATTTATTTATTTGAGACAGAGTTTCGCTCTGTTGCCCAGGCTGGAGTGCAGCGGTGCGATCTCGGCTCACCACAACCTCTGCCTCCCGGGTTCAAGCGATTCTCCTGCCTCAGCCTCCCAAGTAGCTGGGATTACAGGCATGCGCCACCACGCCCAGCTAATTTTGTATTTTTAGTAGAGACGAGGTTTCTCCATGTTGGTCAGGCTGGTCTCGAACTCCTGACCTCAGGTAATCCGCCTGCCTCAGCCTCCCAAAGTGCTGGGATTACAGGCGTGAGCCACCGCGCCCGGCCTTTTTTTTTTTTTTTGAGACAGAGTCTCACTCTGTCTCCAGGCTGGAGTGCAATGGCGTAATCTCGGCTCACTGCAACCTCCACCTCCCAGGTTCAAGCAATTCTCCGGCCTCAGCCTCCTGAGTAGCTGGGATTACAGGCGCCTGCCACCACGCCTGGCTAATTTTTGTATTTTTAGTAGAGACGGGGTTTCACCATGTTGGCCAGGATGGTCTCGATCTCTTGACCTCGTGATCTGCCCACCTCGGCCTCCCAAAGTGCTGGGATTACAGGCGTGAGCCACTGCGCCTAGCCAAGACTTTAATATTAAATAAAGATGGCTGGGCAAGGTGGTTCACACCTGTAATCCTAGTGCTTTGGGAGGCTGAGGCAGGAGAATTGCTTGAGGCCAGGCGTTCAAAGCTAGCCTGGGCAACACAGCAAGACGCCATCTGCACAAAAAAATTTTTTTTTAATTAGCTGAGCATGATGGCACACACCTAAAGTCCTAGCTACTCGGGAGGCTGAGGCAGGAGGATGCCTTGAGCCTAGGAGTTCAAGGTTACAGTGAGCTATGATCATGCCACTGCACTCCAGCCTGGGCAACAGAGCAAGACTTGTCTCTAAAAAATAAAAATAAAGGTGAGATGCACAGGACCTGTGTGTAGAATGTTATATGAGTAAGGAAATATAGTCTAAAGTGGAAAATAAAAAGGTTATAGCAGGCATTTAAAGGGAGACAGGAAGAGCAAGTGGATAGAAAAGTATTTGAAGAGTTAGGGAACAAGGGAGTAACACCTGACTTGCTTCTCAGTCTACCCGAAGAATCTGTAAATCACCAGGCATGGTGGCTCATGCCTGTAATTCCAACACTTTACGAGGCTGAGGAGGGAGGATTGCTTGAGCTCAGTTCAAGACCAGGCTGGGCAACATGGTGAGACCTTGTCTCTACAGAAAAATTTAAAAAATTAACCAGGCATGGAGGCACATGCGTGTAGTCCTGGATACTTGGGAAGCTGAGGTAGGAGGATTGCTTGAGCCCAGAAAATCAAGGCTACAGTGAGTTCTGATCGCGCCACTGCACTCCAGCCTGGGCAACAGAGCAAGACCCTGTCTCAAAAATAATAAGATTAAAAATTTAAAAATAAGCCAGGCATGGTGGTGTGCACCTGTGGTCCCAGCTACTTGGGAGGCTGAGGTGGGAGGCTTGCTTGAGCCCAGGAGGTCAAGGTTGCAATGAGCCCAGATTGTTCAACTGCACTTCAGCCTGGGTAACAGAGCAAGACCTTGTCTCAAAAAAAAAAAAAAAAAAGAATTTGTAAATGTAGGCCAGGTGCAGTGGCTCACGCCTGTAATCCCAGCACTTTGGGAGGCCGAGGTGGGTGGATCATGAGGTTGGGAGATGGAGACCATCCTGGCTAACATGGTGAAACCGTGTGTCTACTAAAAATACAAAACAAAATTAGCTGGACGTTGTGGTGGGCGCCTATAGTCCCAGCTACTTGGGAGGCTGAGGCAGGAGAATGGTGTGAACCCGGGAGGCGGAACTTACAGTGAGCTGAGATTGCGCCACTGCACTCCAGCCTGGGTGACAGAGCGAGACTCCGTCTCAACAACAACAACAACAACAACAACAAAAAGAATTTGTAAATCTATATAAATACAACATATACAAAACAACATTTCACATATATAAGCTAAGAACAGAGGCTAAGCTGAGTAACTACAGGAGGAATGACGAGTAATGTAATCAGAAGTGGAGGTAGTCAGGAAAGCTTCCTAGGATATGTCTTCTTATCTGATTTTGAAGGAGTCCAGGAAGACAAAAAGAGGAGGTGCCTGGGAAGGTGTCATAGCAAAGGGAAGATCTGAGGATGGCACCACTAACCAATGTGTGTATGTGTCTCCCTTTCTGTTCTTTTCTCCCTCCCTCTTCCTGTAGCTTGGAAGCTCGAAGTCTGGCTGTGGCCATGGGAGATACAGTAGTGGAGCCTGCCCCCTTGAAGCCAACTTCTGAGCCCACTTCTGGCCCACCAGGGAATAATGGGGGGTCCCTGCTAAGTGTCATCACGGAGGGGGTCGGGGAACTATCAGTGATTGACCCTGAGGTGGCCCAGAAGGCCTGCCAGGAGGTGTTGGAGAAAGTCAAGCTTTTGCATGGAGGCGTGGCAGTCTCTAGCAGAGGCACCCCACTGGAGTTGGTCAATGGGGATGGTGTGGACAGTGAGATCCGTTGCCTAGATGATCCACCTGCCCAGATCAGGGAGGAGGAAGATGAGATGGGGGCCGCTGTGGCCTCAGGCACAGCCAAAGGAGCAAGAAGACGGCGGCAGAACAACTCAGCTAAACAGTCTTGGCTGCTGAGGCTGTTTGAGTCAAAACTGTTTGACATCTCCATGGCCATTTCATACCTGTATAACTCCAAGGAGCCTGGAGTACAAGCCTACATTGGCAACCGGCTCTTCTGCTTTCGCAACGAGGACGTGGACTTCTATCTGCCCCAGTTGCTTAACATGTACATCCACATGGATGAGGACGTGGGTGATGCCATTAAGCCCTACATAGTCCACCGTTGCCGCCAGAGCATTAACTTTTCCCTCCAGTGTGCCCTGTTGCTTGGGGCCTATTCTTCAGACATGCACATTTCCACTCAACGACACTCCCGTGGGACCAAGCTACGGAAGCTGATCCTCTCAGATGAGCTAAAGCCAGCTCACAGGAAGAGGGAGCTGCCCTCCTTGAGCCCGGCCCCTGACACAGGGCTGTCTCCCTCCAAAAGGACTCACCAGCGCTCTAAGTCAGATGCCACTGCCAGCATAAGTCTCAGCAGCAACCTGAAACGAACAGCCAGCAACCCTAAAGTGGAGAATGAGGATGAGGTAAAATTCTGGGGAGGGCCAGAGACAAAAGGTGGTAGAGGGCTGCATGGAGACAGGATGCCTCCTATATACACACAGGGTTACGCTGTTCTTTCTGTCCTCCCTGTTTCATTTCACTGATAAAAGCATGGAATGTTAGAATGGAAAGGCCTTAGAATTCATGTATTTTGCCTGCCTTAGTTTACAAAGGAAGAACTCAGACCCAGAGAGATAAAGTGAGTTGCCTCAGGTCATATAGGTCATGGCAAGGCTGACGCTCCTGACTGTGTCCCAAATCATTTTTATTAAACTGCACTGGCCAGGCGCGGTGGCTCACGCTTGTAATCCCAGCACTTTGGGAGGCTGAGGCAGGCAGATCACGAGGTCAGGAGTTTGAGACCAGCCTGGCCAACATGGCAAAATCCCATCTCTACTAAAAATACAAAAATTAGCCAGGCGTGGTGGTGGGCGCGTGTAATCCCAGCTACTTGGGAGGCTGAGACAGGAGAATCACTTGAACCTGGGAGGCAGAGGTTGCAGTGACCAGAGATCGCGCCACTGCACTCCAGCTTGGGCGACAGAGTGAGACTCCGTCTCTAAATAAATAAATAAATAAATAAACTGCCATTCCATTAACATCTACTATGTTAATGAGAACTGTGGCAGAAGCCCTCCACACCCTGACCTGAGACTTGAGATAGCTACCAGAGCCTCTCAGAGCAGCATCTGTGGGAAAGGAAAAGGTACTATTGTCTTTCTGTGTGCTGGGGTAGGGGAGATGTTAGAACATCGGCTTCATTCTCCTGGCCACTCCTCCTCATAATCTAATCCCTTTTCACTACCCTCTGAAGATCCTACCTTTTGTTGACATAAGTGTAAGGTTTATTTCTTATCACTGAGGCATCTGGAGAATGCCTTCATTGCCTGCCTTTCCTTAGGGGGAAGAGTGCCTTGCTGGTATCTTTCCCATACCATTTGGGAGAAGCACAAAGGGAAGAGAAAGCACTCTTAGTATAGAGTAAATATAGTGCCTAGTCAAGGACCTGGAGGCTGGGAAGAAGAGGAAGCTACAGCAGCAGTTGGAGGTATAACTTAGGATATAGAGCAGGGAAGAGGTGGCCACATGAATAGGTTATACCCACTCTTCACTCCACATCTGGACAGATAGCAGGGAAAGCTGCCCAGTGGACTACCAAGTGTCAGTGACCTGGTGTCCCAGCCAGACAATGGTGCTCCAGTCCTCCCCTCTGACTCACCATTGGCCAGGCTCCCATCCTGGCTTCCAACCCAGCCTAGAAAAGAGGGAGAAAAAAAGGAGGAATTTGCACTTTTTGAAAAATGCGGATAGCTATGGTCTTGGCATCTGCCTCTGTGGGGCATATAACCCACCCACGTTTTTGATACAATGGGACTTCTTTCAAATAGAGGGAAGTCAGAGTGACTAGAGAAAAGGAAGAGGGAGGGAGACTATAGAGCCTGCTCTCTGGAAATTTGGAATTTTGTTAGGATAGTTTAATAATGGTAAAGCTAAAAGTGCTAACATTTATTCAGCACTTATGTGCCAGGCATCTTGCCAAGTACTTTACATTTAATCCTCACAACCATGCTGAGAGACAGGTATTATTTTGCCAGCAAGGAAACTGAGGCTTAGAAAGATTAGATGTTTTGCCCAAGGTCCCTCAACTAGTGAATGTCAGACCAGGACTCAAATCTCCAGCTGGTGCTCATAATCATTCAGCTGAACTACCTTGGTTATTTCTCAATATCTACTTCCCAAGGTCCCCAGCTGTCAGAAGCCATGTGGGGAAGAACGGCCCAGGCTATGGCCATCTGAGCTTCCACATCCATGCACAGGCAAAGCCAAAACTGTTGTCAGAACTAGAATGAACCGTTTTCATATCTGGTTGAGCTTGGCAGCAGAGCCCTGGGTCATGAAGAGAAGTTGCTGCAGAACAAGAAGAGTCATCCAGATTCTAGTGGAACATGAAGGGTTGGATAGCTGTCTCATCTTGGAGTCAAACCTGTAGCAGAGGGTGAGCAGCTGGAAGTGAATTCCTTGGTGCCTCTTGTCAGGCTTGGCTTTTCTCTTTATCCATTTTGTAGTGCTCATCTTAGGACCAGAAAAGCTGAGGCCTCAGGGCTTTTCTTACTCTGCTGATCCTTGGTCCCTCTTTCCTTACATCTAACTCCCACTCCAGGATAAGATTATGGATGGCACTGAGAGGCAGGTATTAGGTGAATACTTACATCATTTAGGGTGGGTTCTGTAGCTGCCGTTCTTCCAACCTGACTCCTTATCTTGGGTCACTAGATCCAGGAGAGGAAGGAGATACTATGTTCCCAGGCACTCCTGCGTTATCTGATACTGACAGAATGAAATACCTGAATTCATTATGGCTCCACAGAAAATGGGAGAGCAAGAAAGAGACAGAAACATGAATATCACTAGGTTTCTAAGCATTAGAGTCGTCAGCACAGGGGTCTCTCCCAGCCCTTTTCCTTCCATCCGTCCTTCCTTCCTTCCTTCCTTCCTTCCTTCCGCCCACCCGTCTGTCTGTCCGTCCGCCCTTTTTCTTGCAACAGGGTCTTGCTCTGTTGCCCAGGCTGGCGTGCAGTGGCACAGTCATAGCTCACTGTAGCCTTTAACTCCTGGGCTCAAGCAATCCTCCCATCTTAGCCTCCCAAGTACCTGGGGCTACAGCTATGTACCACCACACCTGGCTAATTTTTAAAAAATTTTTTTGTAAAGATGAGGTCGTGCTCTATTGCCCAAGCTAGTCTCAAACTCCTGGCTTCAAGTCATCCTCTCGCCTCAGCCTCCCAAGTCACTGGGATTACAGGCATGAGTGACTAGACCCAGCCCCTTTGGCATTTTGAGGATGCGTCTGTCAAGGCTTTTGTCCCCTAAATACCAAAGGAATTGGTTTTCCTTTTACTCATCCTTCTTCCCTTTCATGTAACATTCATTCACTCAACATGTAGTTATTGACTTTGTACAATGTCCAAAGCCGTGAGCTGTGCTGTGGAGGACGGGGGATAAAATGTTATCCTTCCCTCTAGGAACATGTGAAGTAATAATGAAAACCCCAGTATCTATGGAACTGTTTAGTTTGTGACTCTCTTGAAAAAGTTGTTTTCTGCCATAAGCAGGAAGTATACAGCTTACTAAAATGAGGCACATAATTATCTAAGACCTAAGCAGAGATACTCTAGGAGAATCTCTAGGTAGACCCTAACACTCTGCTCCCAGTCTCTTGCTTTTCTTTTAGGTTCTGAGTTTAATACTATGCTCCTACCACCAGTAGAGGGGCTCCCAAGGATGAGGTCGGGCCTCAAAGAAGAGGCTCAGGGGCAGCATGTACAGTTCTCTTCCTGCCCATGGTCTCCCTGCAGAGTTGTTCTCTGCTCAGCTCTCACAGTGTTCTCTTTCTTACTATGAGGAATCCTTTACACTCTCTCCCACAGTCAGAAGGCTTTGTGCTGATTTTTCACATTTTCCACCACTGCTCCTCAAAGCCTGCCGCTTCAAAGCCATTTTATCAGCCTAGTCGGGGAACTCTGCCCAGGCAGTTTGTCCTCCCATTTGTAACCAAATGGCAAATATTTTGGTATAGAATGGGGGAGCTAAAAGGAGAGAGTGATTTAGGTATCACACCCTCCCCGATATGATGACACTGTTAGTAGATTAGCTTTGTCTTTTCAGGACTGCAACCTTTGTACAGAGAAATCTGCCGCATGTCACACTGGAAGCCCCAGTAGGCCTTCTAGCTTGATATGGTGTGATGTCAGCTTCTTGCTTCATCTTTACTCCCCGGAGCTGACTCAGTGTGAGTGACTCAAGCCCAGGGAGTAGGAGAGGAGCAGGTCATGATATACCTCCCTTCCCCCAGGGCTGTCAATGAGTCAGACAGGACCTGTCTGTGACAGAATCAGCTGGAGCGTTGCTCAGGGAGCCAATATCTTGCCTGCTGTTCCTTCTCCAACCAGCTCATAGGTAGAAATAGAACCACTAATTCATAATAGACTCTGACATCCTCACTGCCTTAATTCTCCCACCACCTTCTACCCAAAATGGAAGAGTTGTTGCCTTAGGGGCATGTTTCCAAATGTGGCTTCTCCCTCAAAGTGCTCCAGTCCCCAGATTCTTCAAGGAAGGACCTGACTATAGGACCTCCAGCTAGAATAGAACTGAAACCATGGAATTGAGTTCAAGTGGATGCTTGAATCTACTCAGCAGATTTCAGAGTAGAAACTCACCACTGCCCTCCTGCCCTGGGAGCTCTTAGGACTTTGTCTTTTAAGTCTAACCTCCCCCACCCCGACCTCAACGTCCCCCACAACCTAGATTTGTGCACACGTGCTGCTCTGTTCCCTGCCCTGGTAGACCATGTTGGACAGAACCCAGGATGAGCCCTGTGCATGAGTGTTGCCTCAGAGCTGCTGAGTGAGAGTTTGACACCATCTCTTTCCCCTGTTTTTGCACACGGACACATATGACACAGCAATGGGGTGATGTTTAGATAAATCCTCTGGGCTGGGACTAGGACAGCTGCTATCCAGCTAGTCAGCTTTCTAGATGGATATAGCTAACTCCCCAACTTATATCAAAAATTGTAGTATATTGATTGTCATGTGGATAGCCTGATAGGAAGCCTAAGGAGGTTTGGTAGATAGGAGATTGATTTATCCTTCACTCCCATCAGCATCCAGCCCAGAGATTTTGGGCTTATTGGTCTAGGATGCTCTTTGTCACAGAGGTTCAAGGTTGGGATTCAGCTTCCCAGGGTGATAATGAGGCTAATTAGAGAAGAGGTATACCTGCCACTGAAAGTTTAGCTTTTCTTCCTCCCTGAGGTTTCCAAAAAGCTGGAGGAACATGGGGTTTCCAGTATGGGAGCCATGCAGCTTATTAAGTTCAGTCCTGTGGTGGTCCCCATGGAGAAGGATTTGGTTGAGAGCATGTGAGTGGGTAAAAAAAAAGAGCAGGGAAGCTTGGCAGTGCAGTTACTGCCCTAGGGACCCAGCTTTAGAGCTTTGGCCTAGAAGGAAGATCCATTCAGTTGAGAATAGAAGTGAATAAAGTGAAAAGCAGAGGCTGCTTTGTCTCTTCAGTCCTTCTGACCTTAAAGTCTGAGCTGCCCTTCCAGCATCTCCTACAAGTGGTCAAGCATCTGGGCAAGTAGCATTTCTGAGTTGACTTTCTTTTATTAAAGCAGAAAGGTAGAACTTCACTAGAGAAGCAGTTACGATCCAAGTTGGAGCTAAATTCTTTACCTTTGTCTCTCTCCCCTCCCTTCCCACCCCCTCCTTCTCCCTTTGCCCTCTGGCCCTTTCCCAGGAGCTCTCCTCCAGCACCGAGAGTATTGATAATTCATTCAGTTCCGTAAGTGGGGCCAGGCTGGGACGGGGTGGCAGGCTCCCCCAGTGGCCGCATTTCCTCTCCGTCCCCAGGTCTTCTGAGCCCCCAGGCCAAGGCTGGAGTTAAAATGCCCCTTTTCTTACTGGGAGATCAGCTCCTCCCTCCCAGACCTCCCAGATCTGCTGGAGTTCCCCTGACCTTTGCGGTGGAAATCCTGAGCCCAGGCTGAGATGAGCTCAGCTGATCCTTCTCTCAGAGACAGCTGGAGTACAGTGCTGCTCAGCCCCCAGCTCCTGAGTGTCTGGAGCAAACAGCTGGGAGAGAGGTAGAATTCACTCCTGGATTAGAGCCAAAAACTGCCTGGCAGAAACCCCCAGGATCCTGTTTCTCCCACCCAGAACCCTTTCCCCATGGCTTCTGCCGTCAGATTATCAAATATTTATTCATAATCTTCTAAATGCTAGGCCCTGTGCTGGTGAGCTGACTCCAAAAACAAATAGGACTTGGCCTGAAGGAAAGTTTTGCCTCTCCACAACTGGTTTTCTTTTTTAACTTCAACCACATTTTTTCCAGGTCTGAGTTCTTCCCTTTTCCCAGCTCACTGCCCAGGATGTTCCTTAATCCCCTCTCCTTTCTTGTTCCCTCTG